>NC_000004.12:143921381-144546381 GCF_000001405.40 Homo sapiens | reverse complement strand
CTTAGTCACTGGGTGTCTGTATTTGAACTGCTTCAGCCTGGTCCAAGGAAGAATTATCTTAATGGAATTTCAGCTTAATATTATATTAGTATCTTTAAAAACATAATAAAATGTCTGCAAAAAGTTAATAAAAAATAACCTTCTGTACCTGTAACAAAAATTTTCAGGAAGAACCTTGCTAAGACTTTATGAATTATTTTTTAAAACTAATGGCAACTCCAGCAAGAAACCCAACAGAATAATGAATACATGTGTATTTCAAAGGAAATTTAGAAAAGAATATCACTAAGAGAGAACTTACACTAAGTAATTTTAAAATGTTTTATATAGTTATGGGAATTAGTGCAATTTGGTGTTGACACAACTCAAATAAGGGAGTTTAAGAGTAAACTCAAGTCTATATAGGAATTTACTATTTGATAAAGTTGACATTTGAATCAATCAGAAAGGCTGGAATGGCAAGTTAGAGAAGGGAGATGACAGTTGAAACAGGAGCAAATGACATACACACACATGCACACATATACCCATAGAAAATATATCAAATATATAGAGACTTTTGCTTTGCATGGTGTTGGAATCCATGGCTCAACTAGCATGATTATTTTGGTGACATCCATGGCTCAGTTCTTTTGAGAGTGCAAGAAATTGCTCAAGTGGCCAGAGTAATATAAATGGCAAAATCCTGTTCCAATAGTTTACCTGATTTCCTCTAGATAGTAGACCCTGAAGATTGTAGACTACGAAACCTAATAAGCTCCATGAAGGCAGAGACAAGGTCAGTCTTATTAAAAGTTGTTCTCCTAACCAAGTAGGAACTCGATATGTTGAATAATGAATAAATGCTTGGAAATTGTTTGTCTTTCTTTCCATTAGGTAGCAGGCCTCAATCTGTATTTCTTTGTGTTTTTAAGTTGCCTTATGTTATATCTGGCTACATTATCATTAGCTGAGGTATTATGATGTAATTTTGATTGCATTTTACCCTTTAATAGTTCATGAGGTCAGTTCCCTAAAGCCAGAAAATGAATTAGTGTTGATCTGTGATAAACTTTTCACTGGTCTGTGATAAAGTAAGGAGAGAAATTATTTATTTATTTATACATGTCTGTAAAATGTTGACAAATATCATTTTGGGGCGAAGGATTGCTATATTTTCACCTGAAATTATATCCTTCATATTTTTTATACCAAAATCATGGTGACAACAGATAGTAGTTACTTTTTTAAAGCCCTTATTTAAATAAATCAAATGCTGACCATTCTACATACATTCCCAATTGAAAAGAGAATTGTCTCTGGAATTTGAATGTTGATATAATGATTAAAACTCATCTTAAGTCAGAAAGATCTTACTTCTTATCCTGACTTTGCCAATTGTTAGTCAAGTGACATTATGTCTCAATTAGACTTCTTCAACTTCTGTTTAAAATTAGAATGATGATAGTGTTTAGAACAGTACTTTTATTCAAATGTGATAGGAAATGTTTACCTGTTAATACATTATTACGTTACACAGTAGACTCCTTCAGTGCTAGGCCTTGTTTCCCTGTCCAACATTCTATTCTCAGCACTTCATCAGTTGCTAAATATATATATGTTTGATCCCTCTTTAACACTGTCAACTTTTGCTTTATATATTTTGAAGTTACGTTCTTTTGTATATACAAGTTTAGGGTCACTACAATTTTCTGTTCAGTTGACCATTTAATCAACATGAAATGCTTGACTTTTTGTCATAATACATCTTGCCTTAATGTCTACTATGTCATATAGTAACACAGCTACACTAACTTTCTTTGTGCTAATTTTTTAATAGAATATGTTTTCATTTGGCCAGGCATGGTGGCTCACGCCTGTAATCCCAGCACTTTGGGAGGGAGAGGCAGGCAGATCACCTGAGGTCAGGAGTTCAAGACCAGCCTGGCCAAGATGGCGAAACTCCGTCTCTACTAAAAACACAAAAATTGGCTAGATGTGGTGACAGGTACCTACAGGTATTACATCCCAGCTACTCAGAGGCTGAGGCAGGGGAATTGTTTATACCTGGGAGGTGGAGGTTGCAGTGAGCTGAGATTGCACCACTGCACTCCAGCCTGGGTGACAGAATGAGACTCCATCTCAAAAAAATAAAAGAATATGTTTTCATTCTTTTATCTGCAAACTTTTCTTTTTGTATCCTTAGAGTAAAATCGTCCCTTCTGTTAATAGCATATAATTGAGACTTATTCCTTTTACACAGACTAGTAGTTTTTGTATTCTTCCTAGATTTTTCAGTTTGTTGTTCAGTTAATGTGATTAATAACACAGTAGAATTCAGATATCTATTTAACTATTTTTTTTGTTTGCCCCATCTTTTCTTTATTCCTTTATTCCTCCTTTCTTCTCTACTTTTAGATTAATAAAAATTTTTCCTTACCCCATTTTTATTTCTTTATTGGCCTATTTGTTACAGATTATTTTATTAATTTTTCAGTGGCTATCATAAATATTACACTATGCATTTTTGATTTAATACAGTCTATCTAAAATTAGTAACTTAATCGCATCCTAAATAATGCAAGACTACTACCATACTTGAACTCCATTTATTTCCCTCTTGCCCTTTGTGTAATTATTGTCACATATTTTACTTCTATCATATGTACTGTGTTTTGAATGCATCCCCAAAGTGTGCTGGAAACTTGGTCCCAGTGCATCGGTGTTGAGAGGTGGGATCTTTGGAAGGTGATTGGGTCAAGAGGGCTCTGATTCATGAATGGATGAATCCATTCATGGATTAATGAGTTATTGAAGGAGTGGGCTAATTATTTTGAGCATGAATCTGCATAAAAGCCAGTTTGGCTGTCTCTTATGAGCTGCCTCACCAAATGATGCCCTGCATTGCCTTTTAAATTGTATGTCAATGCCTTGGGATAGCTGAAATTTTTTTTCCAGGAGCTTCAAGATTATTGCAGGATCTGGCCAGCAGCCTGCAATGCAATGGGCCTCTCTCTCTCTTTGTTCCCAGGCAGATCAGTATGTTGAGAAATAATAGACACACACAAGATAGTGAAAGCTGGGACCAGGGGGGTCACCGCCTTCTGGTCCCGTGATGTCAACAATGCACTGGATATACCAGCATTTATTATTAAGTTTAGTGAGGGCAGGGGTAAGTTAGTGAGGGATTTAGGGTCATTTGATTATGAGGTGAGATGGTCATATGGGGATGAAGTAATTCTTTAACATAACATCTGTATGCAGAAGTACAGTATACAGAGGTAAGAATTTACAATATAGTGTGTGCATCAGTAATTTCTAACAGAGCCTTAAAACAGAAACACAGTCTTTCCATAACCTATGATTAGCAAGATATTAATCAGCAGTAACAGTTGCAGCAAAAGCTGGTTACAAACAATCCATAGAAACAGGACGTGAAGCTAGACAACCAGTTAGACCAGAAATTATCAGAAGGGAGTAAGCCTTAACCCTAAAGAGGCCTAGAAGAGCCGTGCTAAGATGAGGGCTTTTATAGCCCTATCTTATGGCCATATGGACAGGTGCCCCCCTCCATGCGTCTGTTTATAGGCTCTCCACAAGGGTCGCATTCCATTCCCAGAGCTACAAAAGTCTGCTTTACTGGGATAGGAATCTTGGTGATGTGAAACCTCCCTGACTGCATGTCCGTTCACAGGCTCTCTGCAGGAGGAAGCACATCATGCGCTGTTGGCTCATTCTGGCAGTCCAACCTGGCATTGTCTTTACACAATCCTGCATGCAATTTTGTATTTACAATAATCAGGAGCATTTCATCTTTTATTCCATAGCAATAGTTTCAGGGGGTCTCCCTACACAAGATGTTACTCTTTTTTCTTCTGGATTCTCTAGTTTGCATTGCAAAGTCAGTTGTCAATGTCGTTGTTGTTCCCTTAAAGGTTGTGTGTGTTGTTGTTGTTTTTCTTCCGGCTGTTTTTTTTTTTTGGGGACGGAGTTTCGCTGTTGTTGCCCAGGCTGGAGTGCAATGGCACAATCTCGGCTCACTGCAACCTCCGCTTCCTGGGTTCAAGCAATTCTCCTGCCTCAGCCTCCCAAGTAGCTGGGATTACAGGTGCCTGCCAGCACACTGGGCTAATTTTGTATTTTTAGTAGAAATGGGGTTTCACCATGTTGATCAGGCTGGTCTCGAACTCCTGACCTCAAGTGATCCACCCACCTCGGCCTCCCAAAGTGTTGGGATTAGAGGCATGAGCCACCATGCTTGGCCCTGGCTGTTTTTTAATATTTTCTTATTGTTGGTTTTCAGCTGTTAGACCATGATGTGCCCAGGTATAGTTTTCTTTGTATTTCTCCTGCTTGGGACTTCTTAGGCCTCTTGAATCTGCAGGTTGATTTTTTTCTTTTTAATCAGCTTTACATCTTGGGTATTATCTTTTCAGGTATTGCTTCTGCCTCATTTTCTCCTTTTCCATTTTTATCTCCTTCTAGGATTCCAATTACATGTAAATTCAACATTTACATTGGATACAACATTTCTTCTTATACTCAGCTCTATTAAAAAAAATTTTTTTCTTTGTGTTTCAATTTGGATATTTTCTATTTATCTGTCTTTTAGTTCAATTATGCTGTCTTTTGTAGGTCAGTCTGCCATTATTCAAGTTCTTATTTTCAGATATTAAATTTGTAGTTATAGATTGTCATTTTTGTTCTTTATAATAAATTCCAATGTCCTGTTGAAATTCTCCATCTTTTCATCTATTTTCCTTTAATTTCTTTGATATATTAGAACTGATTATTTCAAAGCCCTTATATCCTAATTTTAATCTGAATCATCTAAGATCTCCTGCCATTATGTTTTATTTCCTTGATTATCAGCCACATTTTCCAGTCTCTCCACAAATCTAGAAATTTTAAATTGTATGTCAAATATTATACACAAGAATCTTTAGAGGTGACAGATAATATCATCTTCCAGGAGGGTTCCATGTTAGAAAGATAGTGTTAGGGGCTGGTCTTTTCATTTCCAAATTCATTAAGGTGAGTCAGAACTGGATATATATGACTTACTTTGAATCAGTTCACTTCTGTTTCTTAGGCATGTTCTTCCAGGTCTTTTTATTCAAAGTTTCCATCATCTTAGCCTTGAGAGACTGAGATTCAGTCTGCCCTTCAGAGGTTTGGGACTTTGGTCTTCGGCCTCCTGCTTCCACTGCTTCCAACTTTGGCAAATGTCTTGAGGAGGAGTCCAGCCCTGTGTTTGAAGCAAATCCCATCCTCAAATGGGACTTTCTCTTAAGTACGATGGTACTAGAGGATATTTTAGTTTGCATTACAGAAGTTTCCTAGTTTCAAAACTCAGCAAGCATACTGTGGAGAAAATTAACTGTGTAAGTTTACATATGATCAGGAAAAGCTTTGCTGATTTCTTATTTTCCCAGTGAAGCACCTCTGTGAGGGCCAAGCTCAGTCTGATGCCCATGTCTAGAATTGGCAAATCTTTCCAATTCAGAAGAAAATGGTCAAGCACATACTGCTCCTCTCAGAAAGGTTCTTCCCTTTATGGCTTGTTAAATTCTCTTTGATTCATTGATTTTCCAAGGTCTTTTAAAATACATCTTTTCACAGTGTACCTGGTGTTTTAAATTTGCTATAGCAGAAATAGTGATTCTTGTCATCTACTGTCTTCTACTGGAAACCAGAAGATTAAATAAATATGTTTAAATGAATGGATAAATTTCTCAAAAAGTTGTGAGAATGAAATTCTATAATATATTTAAATTATATAGCATAACATTTATTAATATATTTATGTTCTTAAGTTGGTGCAAATGTACTTGCAGTTTTGCCATTAAAAGCAATGGCAAAACCCACAATTACTTTTGAGCCAACCTAATAGTATTACAATTGGCTTATAGTCTTTAATTTTCCAGTCCATTGGTCCTAATTTTTGTTTTAAATGTATCCACATTTTTTGCCTTATAAGAACATCTAATTCTGCTTAAATCTCATGTTTTTATGAGTCAGAGTAATTTTGTATCTTTGCTTAAACTTTGCATAATTTGGAAATGTCTCGCTCTTTTAAAATTTTTTTCTTTTTCTCTTTGCATCTTGCCATAGAATTAAGATCATATCTGTCATTAATATAGTCCTCACACCAGACAGTGGGTCATGCATCAGAGTGGTTATGACAATATTTTCTGGCAATCATCAGCAGAGTTGGTGAATGAATGGATTAGGTATGACTGGCTCTATTCATTTTTCGAGGGTAAACCTCCTTCAAAAATATTGAAGTGACTATAGCACTGGATACTGTTTGAGGGAACAGAAGTGGGGTTAAGCTCTTATTTTTGTTTTTTATTTTTTGACATGGAGTCTTTCTCTGTCTCTGAGGCCAGAGTGTAGTGGTGCTATCTTGGCTCACTGCAACTTCTGCCTCCCAGGTTCAAGCAATTCTCCTGCCTCAGAGATTAGCTGAGATTACAGGCACATGCCACCACTCCCAGCTAATCTTTGTATTTTTTGTAGAGATGGGGGTCTCACCATGTTGGCCAGGCTGGTCTCGAACTCCTGACCTCAAGTCATCTGCCCACTTCGGCCTCCCAAAGTGCTGGGATTACAGGTATGAGCCACCATGCCAAGCCTTAAGCTCTTATTTTATGGGACATGGTGAAACCTACAATTCAATGGAACAGAACTTAATGTCAGTGTTCACGCAGTATTAAAATATTCTTGGTGTACTAAGTATGTGAATTAGCTTCAGGTTTTGTGACAGCTTTGCCACAGCCATAGAAAGTTCTTGATTGGCTTGATATCTTTATTGACTTTTTTTCTTCAACCATAAAACATAAAAATAAAACAGAAGATCAATGATTAATATCACTACTGCTCTCACTTGGTCTTGTTGCTACACTTTAGGCACATTAGGCTTCTTACTCCTTTGGTTGTCAGTGAGGTATGATGATGAAAATGTTAAGGAGGTAAGCAAGAATTTGCTTTCTATCATCTTTAACATTGGATATGATTTGAAAAACCTCACTGCGTTCGTTTTAATTTCTTTATACATAAAAGTGGTTTAATGCAGCCTTCCAATTCTGTAACGTCATTATTATTTATGAGTATTTATCCAGTACACTGTGTTTTCAATGTACTTTATAATCACTAATTAGCTATTCAACAAAATACCGCTATGAAATAGGTCAGGTAAATTACCTTTACTTTATAGGGATGCAAACTGAGACACAGAGATTTAGTGGCATGCCTAAAGGTATACAGCAAGCCAGAATAGAGAAGCAAGTCAGAACTCTTGAGTTCTTGATGCTCAGTCCTATGAATGACACTAAATATTTTATGTGCATTTTAAGATTCTAAAACAAAAAGAATTTCTTACTGATACAATCACAGGGCAATGTGAGTTGAGAGGAGCTGGCAGGTAGGGAAGATAATCAGGAAAGTAAGCTAGATCTGAGTGGAGGCAGGTGATGGTGGTGATGGTGCTGATGGTGATGGTGGTGGAGTATGTGTAAGGGGTAGAGATTAGTAGACCTGAAGTTGAGGTAAAAATTAATCAATTTTTTCTATTCGCTCTACATATGGAGTTAATGAAAGTCAAGTTGCACATTTATAGTTGGAATTTAAATCTGACTGTACTTTATGCAAATGCAATTGGCAAATTTTTCGGTAAAATATCATTTTGACAGGTTTCATTAATTTTTAAAATGCTTATTGAGTTTCTTCTGAATTGTAATATCATCAGTGGGTCACAGTAGCCCAGCCAGGAAGAACAACAGAAAGCCCTACATTTTAAGTACAGCAATGAGTATAGAGCTTCCCCAACCCAAACTTCGGTTTTGATTTGTCCAGGCAAAAGCCTGTTATTACTTTGGTCAGTCTTTCCAGAGAAAACTAGGAATCCATTTACTCATTAAGAAATATGGGAGGCCCAGTGCTGTGTCCTAGAGAAACAATTCTTGAGTAAAGGATGGTTAACAACAAATAAAACAATGTTCAAAGTGTTTTAAACAATTCATGTTGTGTAAGCACATTAGCTCCCTGGCCTGTAATTAGTGGTTTCCTTACTTGTTGCATGTGCCATCCCCATTCTGGCCTCAGTGTGGCAAAGAATCCTGTGATTAACTGGCTACAGGAAAGGTTGCAACAGAAACCAACCTAATTTTAAACCCTTTAAATAGCAGCTTAATGTTGAAGCACAACAAATACAACCAATCCGAGGTTTTTTCATTAACCACTCTTGATGGGAGGAAATGGTAACTCTCAAGAAAGAATAGAAACGCCTTTGGTCCTAAAGCAGTTATTCTGCTGTAGATCCCAGTGCTGCAAAGCAGGGAGGGATGCCCACACAGAAGGAGCACCAGCAATTCAAAAATGGGACTCTGCAATGGAAGTGAATCATGCTCAGAGTAACAAGTATTTTCTCTGCTTTCTTTCGTGAGTGCTCTCGAGCCAAATAGCAGAAGGGAACGAGTGAGCAAAGACATGGTTTGGAAGTCAAGGCAGTTGTCCAAGATGGTGCCAATGAGTGATTTGGGGGAATTTAAGAAAGAGTAATATTATGGCTGGTTTTTCCAACTAAGTGCCTCAACTCAATTTTGCTAAGAGACACCATTGGCAATTTTGTGCTTGCATCCAAAAGGATGTGAAAAACAACTACAAAATAAGCCAGTTGCCCCATTTCCTTTCCTTTTCTGAGTAATAATAGCTTTCTATCTTTTGATGTGCTGATTAAAAAATAAATTCCTTCATATAACTCATGTTTTGCTGCTAGCAGCAATTGGTTGCATAAAAGACCAAATTCATTAAAACTCCCACACACAGACTCAAACACAGCAGTTTTGAAACATCTGATCATTCTAACATTAATTTTCAAATTAGGAAAAATTTTACCTACTTCTTCTCAACCGCATTGAACATTTCAAATTGTTTCTTTTATGTCTTGAAACAAACTGTAAGGAAAAATGGTTTTGAGAATTGGGTGAATAGAGCTGAGCTACATTTCTTGCTGCTTTGTGCTGCTTAGTTTCTGCCCTAAATTAGCACCAGCCCTGAGGCTTACCCTAAAAATGTAATCACCTGCAGATTTCCTCCATCCTTTCAGAAACCTGGAAAAAAAAAAAGATGATGAACAGGCCAAATGGCAACAAAAATAGCCCTTGTGCTGTTAATCTGCTGGAGATGGCCATTACACTTAGGGCAGAGCTATGAAATGTGTTCCTCCCCATTATGGGAGTGCAGGGGGTGGGGAAGGTGGAACCAAATCCCCACATTTGATTCTTTTCTCTAAGAGCCTTTTAAGGAAATTGTGACTCTGTGTTAGAGCCAACGGGCTATATCCTATTAGTTCATCTCACTCCCTTCTGCCCTGTGCCCCTTGCCCCCTGCCTTATTAAGATCTGACAAATATCCAACACTAATCACTTTCCACTTAGCTTTTCAGAAGTGGTAGCACTGTCTGGCCAATGACTTTCTCCATCAGGCACCTGGGGAAGGGATCCCAGACATTTTCCTAAAAGCTGCATGTTTGGACTTTCTCTCTGATGGAGGATGTGACAGCCATAAATCAGAACACATTGTGGATGTTAACATTTTGCTGCACAATTGCATTTGTTGATGAAATGGAAGTTCATGGTATGATGAGTGGAAAAAGTGGGTTACAAAAGAGTATGTATAATATGATTTCATTTTTATAACTATCTGCATTTTTAAAAGCCTGAAGGCATATTCAACACTATTTGGGGAGTAAGCTTTGTCTTGCCTTTTTAAAATCACATTTTGAAAAATGTTTTTAAAAATTCACGTGTATAATTGTGTAATACAATCAAATCAATTTTTGATCATTTCAAAGTATGTTTTAATGATAAAGAAACAGAAAAATTTATCAAGAAAGTGATGATATTCTTCAGTAGTCTGCAAAATGACATAGCTTCTGTGTAACAACATTTTCCAGATGAATAATAATAATGATTATGGTACTGTACCAGCAGCTGTATGACTGTTATCACTAACCTTCCCAATAGTTCTGTGAAATGGACATTACTTTTATTCTTCCAATTTTACAGACAACTGAGGCTCATGGAGTCTATGTAACTAATCTAAGTAATAGCTAGGGAGTTATGAAGCTGAATCAAGTTTGCCAATTGGGGAAAATGTCCAGTCACACTTATAATGAGGAGATTTCAACGGATATCAATTTCCCAAATAGGTCTATCATTGTTAATGAGGAGGGCTTGAATGGGAATGACTAATAAGGTTTATTACTGTGTTTTAGCCAATCCACAAGACAGTCTCTTCCCTCTAAGAATTCCTAGATGACAAAGATGACAAAATGTGGATGCATGTAAAATATAAAGCAGATAAAAGCACATCCTTTCATTTACTTGTAATTCCCAAATAATTTTTAAGTGCTGGTTATATGTATGAAAACCAAAAGGATTTAAAATGTGATTCTATTTTGGGTGTTTAGTTTTACTGTGCCAGTTTTAAGGGAAAGACTCAGGAAGGAGAGGCTGGATGGAGATAGTGTATAAGAACAGGAGGCTAGCTATTATGATAGTTGAGGAAAAATTTCAAATGCAGGAGGAGAAGTAAGAAGAAAGACCAAAGAAGATTTATGGAAAGCAAAAATGATTCAATCTGTTTTATAGACCAATATTTTGAATCAACCATTTAGAAAATAGAAATTGTAAAGTAATTAGGAAAAGGAGACTTGGAAATGTGATTGTGAAAGAAGGAATGTCAGACATAGAGAAATTAAACAACTTGACAGGAGAATCATGAAAGTTGGTGTGCTGGTAAATATTTAACAACTGGCTTTTAGGAGGAAAAATCCCCCTGATTTGTTAACTTGCCAGTTTCTATGGTGTAAATTCTCACACTACCAGTGTTGATGAAAGAGGAATTGGCAAGATAAGCACAAAATTAGCACTTGTGAATCCATGTTAGCAGGCTCAACATGCCACTAAGTTGTGCTATTGAAGAATAAATCAATAGAACGAGACTGGTAGTTTTGTACAAAGGGGTTAGGATTTCTTGTCTCTTGAGATAGGTGTTGGGCTTAAAATTTCCCTTAGCACACCTTTTCTTCATAGAAAGTATAAAACAACAATCCAAACAATATAGTCGGGGGGCAGATATTTTAAAATACCTTAAAAAACATCTGTTTTTAAAGTAACATCAAGAATTGTCAAGGAAATTAGAACTATTTTTTTTCATATCCAACTATAATATGCTAATCTGGCTTAGAACTTTTTCTTAATTCTGACTGGTTTCTTCTGATGATTTGAGCCTGAGGTTTTACTGAAGAGGAATTGCAGGCAGGGAACAGAGACAGCAAATAAATGGGGCTCACTGCTGAAGAGCATGTTCACATTGGCAGGTTCTAGCACATAGTAAGTGCCCGATTAACCATGGTGCCTCCCTTTCCCATTCCCCCAGTACACACACACACACACACACACACACACACACATGCACAGGCACACGTGCACACACACCCACACACACACAGCTTTTCGTCTTCACATTGAAATGACCTCGTTTCCTGGAGTAACACTCGACGTTTGTTGTCTCACAGCTGCGGAGAACAAGGACACAAACACACAAAGAGTGAGGTTGAGAGTGGACACTTAACAGGCGAAAGGGAATAGCTCTCTGCTGCACAGAAGGGTCATGGAAAAATGGGTTGCCGAATCCATGGTGAAATGCAGGGGGTTTTATAGATGAGCTGGTGAGGAGATGGTGTCTGATCTACATAGGGCATGAAAGACTGGTTAGGCCAGGTGTGCTATTTGCATAGGGTGTGATCTGTGGTATCCCCTACCCTAATCTTTTATTATGCAGGCGGGGTCTCTGCCTGAGCTGTGCCATGGTGCCCATTTCTTTCTTATTGTACACCCTTGTGGTAACAAAAAAAAGGGAGGATGGAGCCTCCATGTTGGTCACACCTGGCCCCCAGGTAGCCCTTTCCTGTTGGCTCAGCTGCCAGCATTCCCCCGTGCAAGCTTCTAACTTCCTTATTTACATTTGCAGCTCAAATTTTCAGGCTGGTCTTTGCTAGAAAAGAGATGATTTGGGGGCTGCTTTTTGTTAGAAAAGAAGCTCTGCTGAGGACTCTTTTGCCCTCTATCTGTCTAAATAATGACTTTCTACCTCCTGTATCAAAATGACCTTTCTTCTTAGAACAACTCTATTGGGATTATGACCTAGACTAGGCATGCTCATGTCTGCCTTTGCAGCAGCAGCCCCCATTGTCCTCACTTCTAAGCAGATGTTAATTATGACAGTTTTGCTACCTTTGTACAGAACTGTGCAGTGTTTCAGGTTTTTTTTGTATATCTTTTCCCATCCTCTCTCACAGTGAACTCATAAGGTATGCATTTAATGCAGGAAATAATTATTCCTATTTCACAAATGAGATAAAATAAGACTCACAGAGTTAACATGATTTATCCAACTGTTCATGTGGTGGATAAAACTAGAACGAATATCTGGATCTTCAAATTTCTAGCTCTGGTACTCTTTCCACTATACCTTTATTTATTTGCTTATTTTTTTGGAGACAGAGTCTCGCTCTGTCAGACATGCTGGTGTACAGTGGTGCAATCTCAGCTCACTGCAACTTCTGCCTCTTGGGTTCAGGCAACTCTCATGTCTCAGCCTCTTGAGGAGCTGGGACTACAGCCATGTGCCACCACGCCCCGCTAATTTTTGCATTTGTTTTTTTTTTTTAGTAGAGATGGGGTTTCACCATGTTGGCCAGGCAGGTCTTGAACTCCTGACCTCAAGTAATCTGTCTCCCTTGTCCTCTCGAAGTGCTAAGATTACAGGCATGAGCCACTATGCCTAGCATATACCTTTATTTTTAAGATAAAGTGGAAAAGTAGAGGATTCATGGCTACACAGGTACCTGCCTGCGAGACAATAGGTGAGCACCGGGAACAGCGCTTTCCAGAAATGTGGCAGAGATGAGCTTTCCTTTCTTCATGTTGGCTTACATTTGTCTCAGTCTTTTGTTTTGAAATAAGAAGAGTAGGGAATAGGGGTACACAGAATTTTGAAGGCCTTGCTTTTGGCCTTTCCCCTTGTTGGGAGTGGATGTAGGTTATACATTCATTTCATTCATTTTATTCACTGTAATACTTCACAAAAGCCTGTGTTATGTGCCAAGCTTGGAGCTGGGTTGCAAATAGGACAGCAGGGACATTGCTCCTGTCTTTATAGAACAAATGTGGGGATGAACAAACATATCCACATGAAGCCACTAAACTTTGTAAAGTGAGAATGAACTAAATTCTTATGATGTTAAAACAATAGTTTATGGAAGTGATACATTTTCTATGAAAAGTACCTGAGAAGTTCTTTAGTAAAGTTGTATTATGCTAGGAGGTGATCATTTTTAGATTTCTTTTATTTATTTCTTTTATTTATTTGAATTTGAGACAGGATCTGACTCTGTCACCGAGGCTGCAGCACAGTGGTGCAATCTCAACTCACCGTAGCCTCAACCTCCCTGGCTCAAGCAATCCTGCCTCAGCCACCTGAGTGACTGGGACTACAGGCGTGTGTCACCACACCTGGCTAAGTTGTGTAGTTTTTCTAGAGATGGGGTTTCGCTATGTTGCCCAGGCTGGTCTCGAACTCCTGAGCTCAAGCAATCTGCCCACCTTGGCCTCCCAAAGTTCTGGGATTATAGGCACGAGTCCCTTCACCTGTCCCCATTTTTAGATTTCTTAATAATTTTTGTTTAGTAAATAGGAGAGCAGAGGCAACATCCACTGAATGCCTACTAAGTGCCACTATGCCACTCAGTTCCTACAATGACCCCCATGAAGTAGGCATCATCATCTCTATGGTAGGGAAGAGGAAATAGTGGCTAAATGCCACAAATTCACTTGTGTACATTAATACACCTATTAACTGGTAAAAACTAAAACCTGAGTACTCCTGCCTTCTCCATGAGTACGCCTACCATACCATGGCGTTTCATTTGCCCAACTCTTGGTCTTTAGGATTGATTCCCTGTCTTACTCCATTTGCATTGCTACAAGAGATACTTGAGGCTGGGTAATTTATGAAGAAAAGAGGTTTACTTGGCTCATGGTCCTGCAGGCTGTACAAGAAGTATGGTATCAGCATCTGCTTCTGATGAAGGCTGCAGACTCCTTCTACTCATGGCAGAAGAGGAAAGGGAACCAGAGTGTGGAGATCACATGGCAAGAGAGAAGCAAGAGAATCAGAGGAGGGAGGTGTTAGAGTCTTTTCAACAATCAGTTCTCAAGGGAACTCACAGAGCAAGAACTCACTCATTCCCTCCAGGAGGGCACCAAGCCACTGATGAAGGATCCACCCCATGACCCAAACACCTCCCACCAGGCCCCACCTCCAACACTGGAGATCAAATTTCAATGTGCGATTTGGAAAGGACAAATATCAAAACTAGATCCAAACCATAGCATTCCCCTGGGATTTCATGGAGAAGGAGTGTTTAGCATTCTTCCACCAGACAGCTCAGTGTATGCACTATCGCCACTCTCACACCTCCACACACATACCGGGTTAGTGGGTGGGATATAAGAAAGAAAATAATCCTGCTGCTTGGAGCCTTCACTAGTAGCTTTTCCATTCTTTCTGTTTTAATCAAGACACATGGCAACTAATCAAGACATGTGGCAACCTCTCACACTGCTGTGAACACTGACTTCTCCTTTGTATATACTGTGCTACCTAAGTGCTTCTGCTTAAGTTGGTGTCAGTGGCAAGATGCACTTTATCAGAAACAAGAAAGAAGGATGGATTTCAGAATAAAACAAACATTTACAAGAAATAAAACCTTTTACTCTTCTTAGTGACTTGTAGAATTAGAGCTATCTTTCTCCTCTCTCACCCCCACAGGTTGGAGCCTTAAGGAAATTACAGTTCTGACTTCTTTATGATGCCATCTCACATACTGTCCCTATCTGATTTCTCTTGGATGCGGTCCACCTAAGTAGCATGACCACCCTGTCACAGGGGGAAGCAGTTCCCAGCAGTACTGCCTTGTTTTCCACAAATACTCTGTTGGCCCCACCTGAATGTGTACACCAAGGTTAAGCATGAATGTTAAGTGTAGGGAATGCCTCTGTAATTGGTGATATTTAAGTATAGGTTTTGGACACTTGTGGGTGTTCTCTCTCTCTCACTGTCAAGTATAGACACACACACATAGTCATGTGTGTTTTTAAATTCATAAGCCTTCTTTCAGAAACAAATGACAAATACCTGTTTTCTGAGAAAACCTTTTTTCTTAAAGAGTCTCTTATACATTGTTGATAAGGTTCAGTTTTTAATCAATAAACTCAAATTATTAAGGCAACTCTAAAATTTAAAATGCAATCCAGTTCTAAGCCAAGACTAGAGTTTTTTCCTGTTATTTACAGGTGTAACTAAAATATACTTTGGTTTGAAAAATGTTCCAAACCGAACTTCAAATGTGCCATTTGTCTGAAGAGTTAGATGTTGAATTGTTTTGAAAATTTTATTCTAACAGAGTTTATTTTCCACTTGGAAAAGAGCTATTGAAAATAAATAACTTGATTCATTGTTATTTAGAGTTCTTCAAAAGAAATAGATGAGCCTTATATATCAACTACATTCGATAAAAAGTGCAAGTTTTTGATGTTTTCAGCTAACTAGATTTTAATGGCTCAAAGGTAAATTTTCAATAAAAAATTATCTCCAAAGCAGAGTACAGCAACACAGATGACATGTGCGGCCTAACAAATATACCTGAAACTAATCATTTAGCTATATGATAAGCGTCACCATCTAGACTGAATTAAGGAGGGCCAGGCCTGGATCATCTCAAATTGTACAAAACTGCCAGCACTGCAATTGTTAAGTCCCATGGGAAAAAAGCATGTGTGGGCTCAAACTTCAGACTTACAAAAAGAGCTAAGTGTCTGATAAAAAGGTTTACTAGAATAATTTGTTAATTAAAATTATTGCATTATTTATCTAAAATAGCTGTGGGCAATTGTATGAAGCAGAGTTTATATTCATTCTTCTCTTTTCAAAATAAGGGAATGTTTTGCTTCATGTGCTTGTATTTAAGCATTGGGATATTGGGGTTATATAAATTAATTGTATCTTAGCAGCACTGACACGAATAGACTCTTTAGGAATAACATGTCGAAGGAGGGCTGGCTTTTTTTCTTTTACCACCCACATTATGTTATGAGTAGCACAGGGTATTTAAATGCTTTGGCACAGAGCATGAATAAAGACCTGATCTTGAAAATACCATTATCGTTATTTATTTTGAAATTGACACTCTGCTGTATTTTAAGGCTTACATCCAGTTTTATCTGTGTGTCTCAGATAATCCAACACATGCATAAGAACCGGGCCCAAATGTCGTTCTTTCTTTACCCCTATCCCTGGGTCTTTCCATTTAATTTTTTGAGGAAAAAATAAAAGGCGAAGAAAACATGGGTCCAGAAAAAGACATCAGCTGAGGAATTTTGTTTATTATGATTGGACAGCTGCTTTTGGCCTAGTAAGGATCATTTTATGTTTTATTTTGATTGAGTAGATATCACTTTGCCAACTATAATTTTTACAATTCAGCTTTTCAGTCGAAATGAAATGACCTTTAAATTTTCTTTCTTTCTTCTTCTTCTTCTTTTTTTTTTTAGCCAATGGTTGTTCCCTAAAAGTGTCATTGTTTTGTGGATGATTATTCTATTACCTATAAGTGACTAATTTGATGTTACATTTAATGGACTCGTCTTTTTATGAAACGTTGGCTGAAACCCACATATTGGCTAAATATGTTTCATCTCATCTAATAGTATGAAAAAGATCCCTGGGGATTCTGCGGGAAGGAATCTGGCCCTTGGTCTTGGGTCAGATGCTGTTGATGTCTTTATTTGACAAAGATTTTCCTTCTTTTTTTTAAAAAAAAAATTTTTATCTTATTGATTTTTAAATTTTTTTCTGTAGAGACAGGGTCTCACTAGGTTGTTCAGGCGGGTCTTAAGCGATCCTCCTGCCTCAGCCTCCTGAGACCCTGGGATTACAAGCATGGATTGCCTTAGTTGCTTTTGAATTAAGGAGGTACTTAAAAAAATATGCTAAAAACTGATTAACATAAAGCAGGCCAATTGACCTCCTCCAAACTTTGGTTTTGTGATAAATGTGGGCAGGGCCTATGCCACATTCATCTCTGTGTTCCCAGTACCGGGCCCATAATGAAAACTCATTGTTTTTTTTTTAACTTCAATAGAAATGCTTATTCTTTCACCTGTCTCTGTGACTTGACTTTTTGCAGGGTCATTGTTCTCTAGAGATTTTTGAATGAGTTAATATACTGAGCCTTTAAAAGCTCTGAGTTGTACAACTGAGTTTTATATTGATATATTTAATCAAGCTTCGAACAAAAGCTGACACTGAGAAAGAACTCATAGCCACATTACAATGGACATCTTTCCTGGATAACAGTCTGAAGTCATGGGAATTCCATTTTTATTGAGCATATGCTCTTAATTCCTGAAGTGCTAGAGGACATATGTGGCATCTTATGCCTGACTATTTTGGGACAAGGTTGGATATAAGGCTAATAAATAGAAATAGCACAACAAGTGAATTTTGCCAATGACGCATCAACATCTATGCAAAATGAGTGTGTGTGTTTAGAGTAGAGGAAAGTGAAAATTCCATGTATTGGCAGGATTTCTAAAGAGGGAAGGGCAGAGTTTCAAAGGTCAATGGGTCAATCTTTCAGGCCCTCATATATTAGGGTTAAAGGTAAATATGCTGTTCCAATGTAGAGTTTGATTCCATCAAATTAAATGCCGCAATATTTTTCCCTCAGGATTACAAAGTGATTCTTACAAAAGTAAGAAATTAAGTTGGTACCTTAGTCTCCTAAAATTAGATATTAAGTACTCTATGAAACACCCAGTTTGGGAGATTAGAATTCTTCAGTTTATACATCTGTAATTTAGATTGATGAAGAAGGCATTCCATTTAGTCATATATATCTAATATGGGTTCCAAACAGCAGAGAAATTACTATGCAGCTCTCCCCTGTACACATTCCCATAATATTTATAAACTCAACCCTGACACCTGTGGTTTCTCTCTATTAATTTCTACATTTATGATCCCATAGCCTTACATTGCATTTCAATTATTATTATTAAAATTTATGTTTCTTCCACTAGAATGTGTTATCTTTCTTTTTTTTTTCACATTTCACACTTCATTTTATAGAATCCATAAACGGTACACTGGCATTGGTATAATTTCTCTTTATTACTGATTAGGAAACTGATTAGGAAAGTAATTATTCAGGGACACATAGCTAGCTTAGTTCTGATGTGTGATTATCTGCAAAGCATGGTGCTCCTAAGCTTTGTATTATATTTGCTTCCCCTTTATAATCTCTTCCCTTCTCAGTCTTTTGTTTTTTTCAGTTTTCATAAACTATACTTTTTTTTATTATACTTTAAGTTTTAGGGTACATGTGCACAACGTGCAGGTTAGTTACATATGTATAGATGTGCCATGTTGGTGTGCTGCACCCATTAACTCATTATTTAACATTAGGTATATCTCCTAATGCTATCCCTCCCTGCTCTCCCACCCCCACAACAGGCCCCGGTGTGTGATGTTCCCTTTCCTGTGTCCATGTGTTCTCATTGTTCAATTCCCACCTATGAGTGAGAACATGCGGTGTTTGGTTTTTTGTCCTTGTGGTAGTTTGCTGAGAATGATGGCTTCCAGCTTCATCCATGTCCCTACAAAGGACATGAACTCATCCTTTTTTATGGCTGCATAGTATTCCATGGTGAATATGTGCCACATTTTCTTAATCCAGTCTATCATTTTTGGACATTTGGGTTGGTTCCAAGTCTTTGCTATTGTGAATAGTGACGCAGTAAACATACGTGTGCATGTGTCTTTATAGCAGCATGATTTATAATCCTTTGGGTATATACCCAGTAATGGGATGGCTGGGTCAAATGGCATTTCTAGTTCTAGATCCCTGAGGAAACGCCACACTGACTTCCACAATGGTTGAACTAGTTTACAGTCCCACCAACAGTGTAAAGGTGTTCCTATTTCTCCACATCCTCTTCAGCACCTGTTGTTTCCTGACTTTTTAATGATCACCATTCTAACTGGTGTGAGATAGTATCTCATCGTGGTTTTAATTTGCATTTCTCTGATGACCAGTGATGATGAGCATGTTTTCATGTGTCTGTTGGCTGCATAAATGTCTCTTTTGAGAAGTGCCTGTTCATATTCTTCGCCCACTTGTTGATGGGGTTGTTTGTTTTTTTCTTGTAAATTTGAGTTCGTTGTAGATTCTGGATATTAGCCCTTTTTCAGATGGGTAGATTGCCAAAACTTTTTCCCATTCTGTAGGTCGCCTGTGCACTCTGATGGTAGTTTCTTTTGCTGTGCAGAAGCTCTTTAGTTTAATTAGATCCCATTTGTCAATTTTCGCTTTTGCTGCCATTGCTTTTGGTGTTTTAGACATGAAGTCCTTGCCCATACGTATGTACTGAACAGTATTGCCTAACTCTTCTTCTAGGGTTTTTATGGCTTCAGGTCTAACATTTAAGTCTTTAATCCATCTTGAATTAATTTTTGTATAAAGTGTAAGGAAGGGATCCAGTTTCAGCTACTGGAAACTCTAAAAATCAGAGCACCTCTCCTCCTCCAAAGGAATGCAGCTCCTCACCAGCAACAGAACAAAGATGGATGGAGAATGACTTTGATGAGTTGAGAGAAGAAGGCTTCAGACGATCAAACTACTCTGAGCTAAAGGAGAAAGTTCGAACCCATGGCAAAGAAGTTAAAAACCTTGAAAAAAAATTAGACAAATGGCTAACTAGAATAACAAATGCAGCGAAGTCCTTAAAGGACCTGATGGAGCTGAAAACCACGGCATGAGAGGCTAGGAAGAAACTGCATCAACTAACAAGCAAAATAACCAGCTAACATCATAATGACAAGATCAAATTCACACATAACAATATTAACCTTAAATGTAAATGGGCTAAATGCTCCAATTAAAAGACACAGACTGGCAAATTGGATAAAGAGTCAAGACCCATCAGTGTGCTGTATTCAGGAAACTCATCTGATGTGCAGATACACACATAGGCTCAAAATAGAGGGATAGAGGAAGATCTACCAAGCAAATGGAAAACAAAAAAAAGGCAGGGGTTGCAATCCTAGTCTTGGATAAAACAGACTTTAAACCAACAAAGATCAAAAGAGACAAAGAAGGCCATTACATAATGGTAAAGGGATCAATTCAACAAGAAGAGCTAACTATCCTAAATATATATGCACCCAATACAGGAGCACCCAGATTCATAAAGCAAGTCCTTAGAGACCTACAAAGAGACTTAGACTCCCACACAATAATAATGGGAGACTTTAACACCCGACTGTCGGCATTAGACAGATCAACAAGACAGAAAGTTAACAAGGATATCCAGGAATTGAACTCAGCTCTGCACCAAGCAGACCTAATAGACATCTACAGAACTCTCCACCCCAAATCAACAGAATATACATTCTTCTCAGCACCACACCACACTTATTCCAAAATTGACCACATAGTTGGAAGTAAAGCACTCCTCAGCATATGTAAAAGAACAGAAATTATAATGAACTGTCTCTCAGACCACAGTGCAATCAAACTAGAACTCAGAATTAAGAAACTCACTCAAAACCGCTCAACTACATGGAAACTGAACAACCTGCTCCTGAATGACTACTGGGTACATAACGAAATGAAGGCATAAATAAAGATGTTCTTTGAAACCAACGAGAACAAAGACATAACATATCAGAATCTCTGGCACACATTCGAAGCAGTGTGTAGAGGGAAATTTATAGCACTAAATGCCCTCAAGAGAAAGCAGGAAAGATCTAAAATTGACACCCTAACATCACAATTAAAAGAACTAGAGAACCAAGAACAAACACATTCAAAAGCTATCAGAAGGCAAGAAATAACTAAGATAAGAGCAGAACTGAAGTAAATAGAGACACAAAAAACCCTTCAAAAAATCAATGAATCCAGGAGCTGGTTTTTTGAGAAGATCAACAAAATTGATAGACCGCTAGCAAGACTAATAAAGAAGAAAAGAGAGAAGAATCAAATAGATGCAATAAAAAATGATAAAGGGGATATCACCACCGATCCCACAGAAATACAAACTCCCATCAGAGAATACTATAAACACCTCTACACAAATAAACTAGAAAATCTAGAAGAAATAGATAAATTCCTGGACACATACATCCTCCCAAGACTAAACCAGGAAGAAGTTGACTCTCTGAATAGACCAATAACAGGCTCTGAAATTGAGGCAATAATTAATAGCTTACCAACCAAAAAAAGTCCAGGACCAGATGGATTCACAGCTGAATTTTATAAGAGGTAAAAGGAGGAGCTGGTACTATTCCTTCTGAAACTATGCCAATCAATAGAAAAAGAGGGAATTCTCCCTAACTCATTTGATGAGGCCAGCATCATCCTGATACCAAAGCCTGGCAGAGACACAACAGAAAAAGAGAATTTTAGACCAATATCCCTGATGAACATCGATGCAAAAATCCTAAATAAAATACTGGCAAACCGAATCCAGCAGCACATCAAAAAGCTTATCCACCATGATCTAGTGGGCTTCATTCCTGGGATGCAAGGCTGGTTCAACATACACAAATCAATAAACGTAATCCAGAATATAAACAGAACCAATGACAAAAACCACATGATTATTTCAATAGATGCAGAAAAGGCCTTTGACAAAATTCAACAACGCTTCACGCTAAAAACTCTCAATAAATTAGGTATTGATGGGACGTATCTCAAAATAATAAGAGCTATCTATGACAAACCCACAGCCAATATCATACTGAATGGACAAAAACTGGAAGCATTCCCTTGGAAAACTGGCACAAGACAGGGATGCCCTCTCTCACCACTCCTAATCAACATAGTGTTGGAAGTTCTGGCCAGGGCAATCAGTCAGGAGAAGGAAATAAAGGGTATTCAATTAGGAAAAGAGGAAGTCAAATTGTCCCTGTTTGCAGATGACATGACTGTATATCTAGAAAACGCCATTGTCTCAGCCCAAAATCTCCTTAAGCTGATAGGCAACTTCAGCAAAGTTTCAGGATACAAAATCAATGTGCAAAAATCACAAGCATTCATATACACCAATAACAGACAAACAGCCAAATCATGAGTGAACTCCCATTCACAACTGCTTCAAAGAGAATAAAATACCTAGGAATCCAACCTACAAGGGATGTGAAGGACCTCTTCAAGGAGACCTACAAACCGCTGCTCAATTAAATAAAAGAGGATACAAACAAATGGAAGAACAGTTCATGCTCATGGGTAGGAAGAATCAATATTGTGAAAATGGCCATACTGCCCAAGGTAATTTATAGATTCAATGCCATCCCCATCAAGCTACCAATGACTTTCTTCACAGAATTGGAAAAAACGACTTTAAAGTTCATATGGCACCAAAAAAGAGCCCACATTGCCATGTCAATCCTAAGCCAAAAGAACAAAGCTGGACGCATCACGCTACCTGACTTCAAACTATACTACAAGGCTACCGTAACCAAAACAGCATGGTAATGGTACCAAAACAGAGATAGAGACCAATGGAACAGAACAGAGCCCTCAGAAATAATGCCGCATATCTACAACCATCTGATCTTTGACAAACCTGAGAAAAACAAGAAATGGGGAAACGATTCCCTATTTAATAAATGGTGCTGGGAAAACTGGCTAGCCATATGTAGAAAGCTGAAACTGGATCCCTTCCTTACACTTTATACAAGAATGTGCTATCTTTCTAGCTGAATTTGTAGAGTTAAAAGCAGTGTTCTGAAGCCAGACCACTTGGGTTCAAATCTCAATGACCATGTGTGTGAGCTTGGGTGAGTTGCTCATCTCCTCAGTTCCCTCCTATGTAAAATCTGAAAAACAATATGCCAACTTCTTATGGTTGGTATGAGGATTAAATTAGATAATTTATGAAATAAGAACAGTGCCTTAGACATAGTAAGTGCTAAATAAATGCTAGTTGTTCCTGGTACATAGTATTCATTCAACAAATGTTGGTTGAATAAACAATCATTAGAAATGTTTGAAAAATCCTTTCTGTTGAGGTGATCTAAACTTTTTACATTGACATGTACTTACAGGAATGAGAAGGTTCATTTGAAGGTGGTTCAAAACTATTGCTATTTTCTTATTTGATAGTGTCAGTCATTGTCTTTATATATGAAGCAAAAATACTATCTTGTGTGGTCTTCTTTTTACATTATCTATAAGTACAGTATATGAGACTCAGTTCAGGAACTGTAATATCAACATCGTTCATTAAGCAGTCATACTATAATGCTGTGCCAAGCATTTCCACTGAGCTCATAATTTTATCCTCTGCTATGTCATTGTAACACCTCCGGTCAGGCCAAGTGTGTTCAGTTTGGGTCTGGGTTTCAGAATAATTAGATTCCTTTTATACTGAAATGGTATAATAGCAGCAGATGCTATTCCCAGATTTGACTCAAGACAAAGAAGTTAATTTTGCAGATAATGGAAGATGTGAATTGGAGATTATAGCAAAGAACAATTAGCACATATATTAGCTTGGGTCATATTTATACTTTGTCATTTGTTAGAAATAAGATCTCCTACATTTATTTGAGTCATAGAGCCTGGCAGGGAGTGATAAGGTGTTTAAATTGCTATGATTATGTTTAAATTTTGATCTCTTGTATTTCACAGCAGGAATCTACTTTCCAGTTAGAGTTTTATAAAATAATTCTTATAATCATCGTCAGGTCTTAAGTGATTAATTTTTGAGACTAAACTGTAAACCCAGTAAATGGAAGGTCTTCCTTTTGTGTGTTACCTCCTAATTCTTCAAAAGATTATATGTGCTTTGAAAATAGAAAAGTCCTATCTAGGGTTAATTAACATGTGCTACAGTGTATCTTTTTTTAACCTTTAAAAAAATCTTTAAAGGTAGTTTTAAAGGTGCTTGCTAAATCAAATCAAATCAAATATTTTCAAAGTTGTAAGGTAAAAAAGAAAGAGTTATTCCTCATTCTAATTTCACTTCTCTGAAATTATTACCACTAATATTTGCTGTCTTTTTCTGTGCTCATTCTAACAAATACATACAGAAATAGGGTACTGTTTTTCAAACAAATGAAATCATATCACGTTTATGATCATTCTGCAGTTTGTTCTTTTCACTTCACAATATTCATAGGGTCATTCCAAGTTAGTATAGAAAGATATGCACATTCTTTTTAAGATTTATTGTGACTTATTTAACTATACCCTTTCTAGGTGGACCTGTAAGCTATCTCTAATTTTTCATCATTACAAACAATGCTACAGTAATCATCTCTGTACCTATCTATTCACACATTTACGTGATTATTTCTGCAAAGAGATTTCTAGTAGTGGATGGCTGGGTGATAAGTTTGATATTTGGGAAATATTACCAATGTGTTTTCTCTCTTCCTCCTGCCTCTGCCACATTTTAAGCAGCTAAGGTCTTCTGCATGTATTGTCACTGAGGAGGAATGTTCTAATTCTAAAATCAGAGAGAAAAAAATATAAAGTCTTTAGGGCTTTGGATTTCAAAAGCTAAAACCCTCAGAGGAATGAAGAAAACACCAGGCAAGGACAGGGTATGTGGGAGACATATCATGAAAGACTGCAGAACTTCTGTTTTAGGTTAGAAAAAGTTTCCCTGGTGTGGTGGAAAAGGAGGAGAGGTGGAGGGGAAGTGAGGACAGTGGAGGCATTTGTAAGGTCCTAGTAGCTGGCCATACCCTATGGTTTCCCAGGTTGTAATCTCAGAGAGGAAGCCCTGGGTAGGTGGTAGGGTCCTAGAGAAGAAATGCTGTGTGTCATACAGACACAAATCTACCCAGAGACAATCCGGCTAAGATTCCAAGGTCCCAACTTGGCAGAGAAGCAGTGAAATTATTCCCAGGCCCTCAAGCATGGGATGAAGGGAGCAGAGGATGTTGCAAGGAACCATGCCACCAGAAGCAAGGGGCATCTCATCAGGGACCTGCCTAGGATTACAGCTGAGGCTGACTTGAGCCGATAGCTTTCTTGGAGAATGCCACGTGGACCGATGTCTACTTCCAGGATCATGCCTCTCCCACCATCCCCCACCAACATCTTAACAGGACATCAGCCTTAGAAATATTCCAGAAGAGAAGAACCTTGAATTGACTGAGATTTGAGTTTTTGTGATTCAGCAAAATATCTCAGATAGTTACTGAGATTCTTATCTATTCCTTAGGATTCATGCATTTAAAATTTATAGCATCTATAATTTCATTCTTCTCCTGAAAAAAGGTTATTCCAATTTACACTCCTACCAATAATATATGAAAGTGACAATTTCTTATACCCTGGCCAGCACTAGATGCTATCAATCTTTTGATTTTCTTTTTTTCCCTAGTTTAATAAGAGAGAAATGATGTCTCATTGTTTTAAACTGTGTTTCTCTGGCAACGGGTGAGCACTTTTTCATATGTTTGTTGATTATTTGTATTTCTTGTTCTGTGAAGTGCTAGTATAGTTCATTTTATTCTTGTACATTGTTTGATTATGCATTTTATCTTCCACTTAAAGACTGATTACTGGCTAATGACACGTACTGATGTTTAGTCTTCAGACATTACCCTCAACACAGAGGACATATCATTACTTTTGTTCCTCAAAGGTAATTATTAATCCATTATAGAATCAGTCTTTTTAGCAATTCCTACCTCATTATTATCTTAATTGTTTTAGTGTCTTAATGAAAGACCATAAGATTTTCATATGAAAATTTAGGGGGGGTCAGGGTAGGAGAAATATCAAGAACTGTCTTCAGTTATTTTCCAATTATTTTGTGTTACTAATGAAAAATAATATAAAAACACATCATTGATATCATAAGTCAGAAGAACAAGATTATAAAGATTATGACTGGGTACTTACTAAATTATCTTTTGATGAGCTCTTTTCTTGTGGATTTAAATTAGATTTAAAAGCCTCTGCTCCGTGGAGGCTGCTCCCTGAGGACAGTGTTGAAGCCTCCTGGCTGGCTGTCTTTGCTGCTTTACACTGCCACTACCTGTTCCTGCTTGCTGGGGAACACCACTACCTGTATTGGGCCCATGAATCATTTAAATTTAACCATTTACTTGTGTTATTTTATTTAAATTCTTCTCCAGGGGGTGTTCTTTCTCCCTATTTTTGACAAATCTCTACTTGACACATCGTTCTTTTAAAGCTTAATATACCTCATTGGCCAAATCATGGTTCACTCAAATTGCAGACTGCAACGGTTTAACACTTAGAAATGGTTTACTTTAAAGGTAGGAAAACTGATGTTTGGGTGACACTGGTCAGCGGCAAAAGCACCCACAGTCCAGATCTCCTTTCTCTGCACTTCTTCCCGGAACTTGCCATGTTCTCTATTTCTTAGCTCCCTCTCTGTTTAATAAGCTTGAGAATTAGACAGTTTGAAGAGCTGCTAGCTGTTCAAATAGAGGCCAGGTTGTTCGTCTTTACCATCTGAAAGCTACTTTGATGATCTCTGTAAAATGAACTCATGGACACCTACCGCATGGCTGGCATACTCATAGCAGTCTCAGAAGAGATCAAAGCCGGACCTCTCTGTGGAGGCTGCTCCCTGAGGACAGTGTTGAAGCCTCCTGGCAGGCTCTCTTTGCCGCTTTACAGGGCCACTACCTGTGCCTGCTTGCTGGGGAACACCACTACCTGTCCTGGGCCCAAGAATTAAAGAGGACTTTCAGTGTTCAAACCCATTCTCTGGCAGCTGGAATTCCAAGTGTACTTAGAAACTATAACCAACTCTATTAATTTTAAAGTGAAGCAAGAATACCACTGCTTTACTTTCTCCAACACTGTCCCTTTGTCTCTTCTGGGCTGAAGCTGTTCTTTCGGCCGTCATTTACCATGGTTGAAATGATTTAAAATGTTATGCAATTGGGCACCAGGATGGGCAGCTGGGAACAAAGAGCTCTCTGGTTATCAGAATCAATGTTAGCCAAACTCTTTGCCTAGTGTCATCAGAAGGGCTAAGAACATACATTTATTATCTTTAAACCACTTTTATTCCTCTTGCCGGCAAGATCCCATATTCTTATTTAACCTGGTATATACCTGGCATTTGGCATGGAAAGGAGCCTCTTTTATTGAAGTCACTGTACCCATATGGGAAAAGACTGGGGCCCAGGCACTTTATAAAGGTGCTTTTAGAATATTTTTGAAAATGTAAAGTATTTATTCAAATATAAAGTGAAAAGTCTTAGATGTTGTCCTCGTCATTCTTAATTTAGAAAGCAGGAGGTGTGGAAGGCTCCAGTAAGGCAGATGCCCCCTTGGTAACTTGGCTTTGCATTTACTAATAAGAAGGAACGGTTATTTTCGGGTAATCAGACAAGGGTATTCTCCTCTGGAGCTCCCTAGGAAAACTGGTTTTCCTCGTGGAAGTCCAAGCTCTTTTCACAGGCTTTTCACAAGCTAAGAAACGTGACTCAAAAACTAACAATGTGGGCCCGCACAGCTTGGGCAACTAAATCTTCAGACATAACAAACTCGGTACAAGGCTCCCATTTTTTATCAGTCTGGGGACAGGAGCTAGATAAGCAGAGGAAAATCCAAAGATAAAGAAACTCTCCCAAGTAGAGGCTGTGGGAGGTAATTTTCTAGAGTGACAACTTGGAATACTGTGGATTTGTGAAGTAAGACCTCCCCTTCATGTGGATATTGTGACATTCTTGTGGAAAAATGAAAACATAGCACACTGTGTATACCATGGCATATTTAACATCGACAAGTAAGGGCTTCAAAGTGCAGTGGGATTGCCTGAGGCAAGACACCCTGCAGGTGTGCAGCTAGCAGCAGGCTAACTGGGTTACTGGAAATGAACGTAGGAAAACACAGAGCTGGCGTTTTGGCTCCCTGCACATCTGCTAGTGCTGAATTCATGGATGGAAACAGAGAAGCATGCTGCATCCTCAAACTGACAGGCAAAATTCCTTGTTAGTACAGAAGAGAGCTGAAAGCAGGTAAAGAATGGATAAGGTTAGGATAGGGCTCAGCTAATTGGATTAGCCTGTGACTTGCTGTTTGAGTTGCCTGCTGATTCCTAGGTCTTCTATTGACGAAACGCATTTAACATCTCCAAAGTTTTCCACATATATTATCTTACCTGTACCCCTAATAATCCTTTGGAGTATACAGGGTAACAATGGTGCCCTCACTTAAAGGTGGGGAAACTGAGATCCAAAGTAGTAAAAGGACTTGCTGAACCTTGCAGAGGGAGATTGTGTAGCAGAGCCAAGCCTGGATTTTAGACCTGAAAGCAAGTCTAGAATTCTTTCCATGACTTGTCTCTTCTATATGTGCAGGCTGCTTTTACTCATCTATGGTTTTCTGAGTTTCAAATGACTATTTCATAAACAAAAGAAAATGACTTCTCCCAGAAAGTAAACTTTATTTTTTTTTACTATTAGGCAAGTAAAATATAGTAGAAAATGTTAGAAAATAAGAAAAAAAGGAATGAAATAAATATCACCCATAATTCCACACCTAAAAACTGTCCATATTTTGGAAACTATGCTTCTTTAATTGTGTGAATACCATACATTTATGGAGATTTTAACCGTTTTTATATAAGAAGATGAGATCACGCGGTATAAAACGGGACTACTTTTTAAATTCACCTAATATTGAGAAAAAACTGTCAAAGTCAATATTATAGACCCTTCTACTATATATATATATGTATACACACACACACACACACACACACACATACACACATATACACTTCCACAGCCACTGTCTTTTCTATTCTATAGGCATAAGACCATATTTTGTTTTACCTTTGTGTGTTGTCAAGCTTTCTATACCACAAAAAAAAGGCTGCAATGACTATGCTAGTGATCAAATTTTTGCACACATTCTTATTATTTCTTTAGGATTAACTTATAGAACTGGAATTGCCAAGTTAAAGAGTATGTATATTTTTACAGTTCCCACTAGGAAACAATGTTTGAGAGAGCCCGTTTCCCCATCTCTTCAGCAACACTGGGTTTTATAATTAAAAGGCAGACTCTGGTAACTTTACATAATTGCAGAGAAGAGGTAACCAGAACATAGGAAAGACACCTCTCCCCACCTTGCATATGATGTATAAGCAAAATAAGTACAACACATTATTTCTCCACTTACCTAACCCAAAAGATCAGCTACTGTAACAAAACAAGATCCCTAAGAGGGAACATTAAGGAAGATTGCACTGAATCCACACTTCAAAGGCCCTAGGGAAACCTAACCAAGAAAAAAATCTAATCCGTCAGTGGCCCATGGCCATATACCTTCTCCTATAATCTCTTCGTCTTTTACAAGTTAAGTAGGGTTAAGCCAGGTCAGCACTTGGAAAAAGGTACTTTAAAGAAATCCTAAGTACCACATAAAGTGTTGGTTATGATTGTATAAATGTCAATCCTGTGCAAACAAGTGTATGTAGCACTTTCCAAAATACCTGCTTCGTAGTGGAAAATACTCTGTCTTCTTGACTATTACTGATGGAGAAGGAGTAGTAACTAATTGCAATGAGCTCCATTTGGTTTGTAGGATTTCTTGGAAAGTTTGTGAAATAGTCGGTACAGCTGAACCTAATGGCTCAGGGTGGCAAATTAACCACTGCTGTTACTAATCCAGAGTAAAGACCACCCATTTTTTCTGTTGGAAGATGGTTCAAGAAAGTACCAGGGACTTTCAGCTGGGGTGATCACACTGCACTTTCAGCTTGTCAACACAAGCAAAACAAAGGGCTGATGCAATGATCTAAGTATTTCAGGAAAAAAGAAAAAAAAAAGGAAAACAAGGATATTCTCAGCAGAGGATTGGAATCTTCAGTAGGCTCTCTCTGCTCAAAAACTCTACCAAATAGCACCCACACCTTTTCTTTTACCCTGATAACGCTACAGAAAAGTGCAGAGCAAAAGTGTCATGAAGTGAAAGAAGGGCAAGAAAACACTACAAGGAATAATCTGTTGAATCTCTAACAGGTCAGTCATAACAGAGTCGGGTAGGAGGACGTTTAGAGAATCGAGGCTCTGTCTAGGACTCCTTTGTGTGTGGCATGTGCTGGGGTGTTTTAGAGCACTGTTATGTTGTGCAAATCCAATGTGCAATCCTAATGTTTTTCAGAGGAACTGTGATTCCCCAAAGCACTATGGATTGAACTGAAAACAAACAAACAAAAACAACTTCAACCTCGAGGGTTGAGCTACACTGTAAATTGAGAAGATATTTTTCTAACAGTTTCCATCCTGAAGTAGACAAGTTTCAGGTGCTCTTAACAAAAGTAGATGTAGCATCAACATTTATTGATCACTGATGGTTCAAAAGGAAAATGGAAACAAGTGCAGCAAAATAAGTGGAGAGCCAGTAAATCTGGAAAGAAAATTTTTGGGGGGTTTAAAGGCTGATATTATTCACTTAATTATTATATCGACTTTATACCTACTAAAACCTCTAGGATGAATTAATAGTCAAAACAACTAAAGTTGGCTATAATTTTCCAACCAGGTTTTCAAAATCCATGTATACTAGATATGATAATTTTTAATGTGGGAAAGTATTTTCTAGCACTTATAAACCATGGTGTAGAATATTGTTCAATAAGTTTTCATGAATAAGTTGATCAATGAGTGAATGGCAGGTAGGAAAGGACTTCTAACTTTAGCAACTTGTGGATTAACAATGAAATGCTCACAATGCATACTTATTTTCCAATAGATAAATGTTTTAATCCATGCATCCTTCAAAAAGTGCCAATAATGCGTTCATTTGTTCATATAGCATTTCTAGAACATCTATCATGTGCCGCATACTATGCTAGATGCAGGAAACATGAAGTTGAATAGACAATTGCCTCGGTCCTTGACCAGTTTGCTTACTGTCCTTAAGAAACTGAGTAACTTTGACAAGTATTTTCTCCAACTCAGAATTTCTTCAACTTCTGAGGGATTTTACATTTTCTAGTTTAATCTTCTTACTGTTGTATTAAATAAGTCCCAGAAAATAAGAGTCTGCTTTTAAAGGTTGAAAGCCCCAGATAAATACCTTTAATGGGGTAATGGCACTCTAAATCTCAAATCCTTTTTCAATGGATTTAGGAATAGATAGAAGAGAAATGGATGGTCAACTAGTATTAGATACTTCTCAGAGACAAGTTTTGAAGTGAACAATATAACATCAAGCTTCTGGTATTTGGATCCCATCTAAAATAAGTAGGCAGCACTCTTCTAATCAAACAATCTGGTGATGCCACTTAGCCAGGCACACAGGAATGCTAATCCTTGTTTCTCAGCAAAATTCCAAAATGGCTCTGCTGGCTCCCTAAATTCCTCTTAGGAGGATTAGCAGGAAAAACTTATTTTCTTTACTTCCTGTCCTCAACAGCTGGGGAGAGTTGAATGGGCTTTTAAAGCATATGAGAAATACTAAATATATGACTTATACGAAATTTTAAAGTCTGCAACATTTTATAGGGTAGAAAACTATTAAATAAATGGGATATATTTTATGACACCATTTACTTATCTTCTTTAGCATCATCATTTCTATTCCTCAGAAGGGAAAAAATATTGGGGAGAAATAAACTCCTAACAATAAGGGAAAGACTATTAGCATAATGTAAATTGCTGTTACATTTTTCTACTGCTTAAGAGAGAAGGTGTCTCAAAAAATAAGTAGTTTGATGCCAGCAAGTAGGCCTGGCATGTCCAGAGCAGCGTCACCGTATGTTCGGTTGTGGGTGGCTCTGCAGACTGGCGACTTCAGAGTCAGTACCCTTGTGGAAGGGTCTACTGATGCTCTTACACTTTTGGTGTCTTGCCGGAATGGTAGATTACACATGTGAAACTTTGGCCTGTTTTCTTTTCAAACAATATATTTTTCTAATGCTGAAAATATCAAATTTATTTTCACAAGCAAAATCCTAGGGGAAATGAGGAAATTGGCCATAAATTCCTTTTTAAAGTATCCACTAGTGACTCTATTCTGTTTATTTTAGGTTTTAACTTGCAGTAGGTCCTTCAGCCTCTTGCCCTACCCCAGTTAACTTGTCACTGTGCATGTTACAAAGCAGACATGCCAATTCTTCAGAAATAGGGTTTAACATTCAGCTGTTCAGGCCTGAAAGACAACAAATATAAGATAATAGGAAGAGGCTAGTTTGACAGTGAAATAAGTCAGGTTCATTTCAGTTGACAGAGAAAGAAATTTTATGCATCAGGGAGAGTCTAAATGGCTTTATTAGACACTAATTTCAAAAAATTCTTTTTACTTCTATAATGCCCTTCCCTCCTTGTTCTCTCTGATGGTTTACAATTAGATTTATTTCTCTGTAATACACAATTAACTTATGATAATTAAGCCCTTATTTTCCAAGACATATTGTTTCATCTTGTTTTTCATCTTTAAATCTTTTTGTTTAACACTTAAAAGAGCTTTAACTTTTTTTCAAGCAAATTCTTTTACTTCAAATACTTAATTCTCTTTCTTTAAAGATGTAGTTAATGCATGCCTTCCGTATTTTTCCTCTCTTTTTCCTCTGTACTCAAAAACTTTACCAACTGCCTTAAGAGGAGTGGCTTCAAGGTTGATAGTGGAAACACTAAATCTTGAAATGGCAGCACATTTGTCATTGATGCACAATGGTGCCATCAATGTAGAGCCCATGTTATGTAGAAATCTCATACCATTGGTTTTGGATAACAGTTCTCTAGAAAGAATTGCCTTATGGCTACCTCAGAATACTCAGCAGGCTTTTTGCCCAGAGCTGCTAAAGCATTTAACTTGATACAACTCTCCTCCAAACACTGTCAAAGCTCCCAGATGTTCTTTGCCACTCACTGGTCCTCCTGCATTCCTCACTACTGATGATGAGCACAGGTGGTCTTTCTCCCTCCCTTGAGCAGACTCTGCACTTTTCATGTCCTGCTTGTGTTCTTACTCAGTTTTTCTTTTCATTGTGCCCTACCTTTCAGACAAAAAAAAACACTGTTGTTGTTTTTTTTTAATATTTTATGTTTTTTGAGACAGTCTCACTCTGCTGCCCTGGCTGGAGTGCAGTGACGTGATCTCAACTCGCTGCAACCTCCACCTTCCAGGTTCAAGTTCAAGTGATTCTCTTGTCTCAGCCTCCCGAGTAGTTGGGATTACAGGCATGCACCACGATGCCTGGCTAATTTTTGTATTTTTAGTAGAGATGGGGTTTCACTATGTTGGCCAGACTGATCTTGAACTCCTGACCTCAAGTGATCTGCCTGCCTCAGCCTCCCAAAGTGCTGGGATTATAGGCATGAGCAACCACCCCCTGCCCCTAGAACACTGTTCTTTCCATGCTTTCATACCACTGTTATCTTGAGCCTTTGCCAGGACTCACATTACATTTTAATTATTTACACCCTGTCTTCCCAGTGTATAAATATCAAAGGTCTTCTCCCTCTAAGGAGGGTGATAACAATCACTGTTGACAGGAAACATCAATGACTTTGAAGAGGAGGATTTTTGATGGGCACCCAGCGTTGTCATGAAGGGGATGTTATAAGAATAGTAGAAGCACATGATGGCATTTAGTTTTAACTGAGCCCACAGACTACTTTATGTCACTGTAGGAATCAGAGCAGTTCAATGAAGGACTCTTTACATAAGAGAAATTATGAGGACTGAATAGTGTTAATTTTTTTTATAATCAGGATGCATCTTTTATAGTTGGATGCATCATTCAAGGAAGGATGGAATTCTATAGCAGGAATGGGGAAGTGGTGAAGTGTATGTGGGATCCCAGCAAAGATGGCAGATGTCCCATGGGCATGGCTAATGCCCTAGAGATGAGCCCTGATGGGTGACAGGGTATCCAGAAACTGTGCGTTCTTTTCGCAATACATTTGAGACATCTATGGGACTTCCCAGAAATATCTGACGGTGGGATAAGATTGCAGGAGAATGAAGTATTGAAGGAATAAATGTAGAGGCTATAAAAGTAGTAAGAATCATGTGTTCCCTCCAATACTTTATTTATACTGCTGGGCTGTTGAATTAAAGGATATTTGCATTATACATAGTTTATGTCTGTGGGATAAAACATAGCAGGTGCTCAGAAGACTGACAATTCTTGGTTCTTAGATCACACAAGAGTTTCTGCCACAGGTCTTGAGAAAGAGATATTGTTATAATAGATGTTTGTTGGTGGATGTTTCCGCATCATTTCCTTTACCCTTCTGATTTCGCTTCGGAGATCTGTGTGATTCTGAGAAAAATAATTCTACCTCTATGTCTAAGGTGGAGCACATGACCTAGGCTAACCTAATCAGTGCATTATATGCACAGATTATATTAATTAGTTCAGATTTAGGCATGTAGTTTAAGCCATCTAATTCAAGCCATGCAAGCAGATTAAATCTCATTTCTTTTCCTGGGAATGTTGAAACATTGATATTGTTGCTGAAAAAAATAGTGAGGAAATATGTTATTCTGGGTTTTGTTGCAGCCATTTTGGGACCATGAGTTAAGTCAGTCTTAGGAAGAAAAAAGATGTTGAATATGTAATTGAGTAGCTTGATGAAGGTTCACTTGTAGCCCATCTTCCCTGTGGTATTTTAAATTATGAGTCAGTGAATCCTCCCTTCTAGTTTAAACACATTGGGTGCAATTTTCTGCTACTAATTACTAAAAACAATCTCATTAGGAAAGATGTAAAGTACTGACCTACATCCCCAATAATATTCTCAACACAGTGTGAAAGTGCTCTATTTCCTTAAGCATGCAAGGAAAATTTTCACAATACCATAAAACTGGATAAAGTTGATAAATGCAAGTGGGCCTTCTCTTTGGAAGGCACCATGACTAGAGGGAATTCCACAAACCATATTCATCTGTATTTCAAGCTACCCCATTCCAGAATCTAAGCAACCAGGGAGTAGCAAACATGCTTATTTATTTTGCTTTAAGTAATGCTGCACATCATATTATTTGTAAATAAACATTTAATGGTTTTGCTTACATTTAATTTTATATTTAATTTCTTTTGGTAATAACAAGGTAACTGGCAATTAACAAGATATCATTTTCTAGGAAAATAAAATAAGGCAAAAAATTATTTAGTTTAGGATACTTTTTGAATTAATGGCAAGGTCACACAGTTCAGTACCATTCAAAAAATTTTTACTGAGGCCAGCTATGTGCCAGATACTGAGACAGGTGCCAGAACAAAAAAAGGAATAATTGTGGTCCTTCTCTCATAGTGCTTACAATTTAGGCCAGAGAAGGCAAGTGAGTTTTTTGTCTCATGTGCTATAATAAATTGGTCATGGTTGCCTGCAGACTTTATTGAGGAGTCTAAGCATGTGTCCTGATTTAATCAAACAGAGGTACTGGATCCAGGTTTACCTGAAGCCTGTACTGCCCCTGTAACCCATGGCTAATGTCTGCTGTGAAGACAAGAAATTCAATGATAGAACAAGTTCTCCGATTCTCTATCTCTGTCTAAGGGCATAGGATTTAGGCATAATTCCACTTTCCATATGCTTTCTACTAAGTCACTCCAATAATAAAGGTTCAAATCTCATGTGCTAATTGTACTATGTTCAAAAACATAATACATTGGGTATGAAAATATGTTTGCATTCAAGACCTAATGACCATAAAGGACCTTGTTGAAAATTGTGAAACAAAATAACCAATGTATTATGTTTTTGAATGTAGTACAATTAATATAAAAATACTGTATGTAGTTTCTCTTTTGCTTCACTTATAGGGAAACATTTGGAATTTATGAGTGAGATACTTTTGTTCTCCAATGACAACTGAAAATGATGGGCTTGGGTCTATAGAATAAGTGTGGGCAAAGCAAACACAGATTTTGTTAAACTTGATGATTTTGTACTCTATGGCTTTTGCAGGGCAGTTTGCTGAATCCAGATTTCCTGAAGAAGATGACATTTTCTTTAGTGGGACTTAGCCCAAGAAAGCAGTTCAAAATGATTAGTGCAGATCAAGAAAAGAAAGGGTATTTTAGTATTCTCATGTCTCTAATTTAATTCCAAAATGTGAGTCCTGTACCCCCCCCAGCACGGTTAAATGCTTTCTGTAGCACGATGAAGGGTAGTAGGAGGGAATTCAACCTGCCAGAGCCACACAGATTTATACCTCATAATAGCTACCAATGCGCCGCAGTAAAATTTTACGTTTCAGCTAAATTACTAATGACTTTCAGGCCCGTGCCAGAAATTTTAGAGTAGGCTTATAAAGGGAGATGAGAGAATATACAGTCAAGCATTCTTAAGAGTGGTGTGTGTGTGTGTGCGCGCGCGCATATGCGTGTGTTTTTCATTTGGGATTATGGGACACGTGCTCATCATTTTTTGCCATCTTGATTAAATGTAATTAGGTTCTGGCAAGCCACCCTTCCCCTCTCTTGGATGCTGGGGTGTTTTTGCATTTTCACAGGGGTTATCCACAGGAGGTTACTCTGTTGCCTTTTGCCTTTACTCCAGGGGTGGCCACATTTTTTTTTGACGTATTGGGCTTCACAGTGATTTACAGATTAAGGATCTGGCCTGAACTCGGGCCAGCAGGACTGCTGTTCTCTCTCGCTGACACATCTCACTGCTTGGAGCCAGTGGCTCTTTGCTTACCCTCTCATTATAGTTCTTAGCCCACATTTCCTTTTGGCACAGAACACTTGGTTATTTTGACGATGTGCTGGATTTGCCTCCTGCCTCTACCCCCTGCTGACTTATGAAAATGACCACTATAGGGGGAGGCAGGTGACCCCCACTCCCCACCCCCAATCCCATCCCATCCCTGGGTCCCTGAAAAGTTTTTCCCTCAGTAGGAGAATTGCTTTAGGAGAAGCCCAAAGTGGGATGCTTGCTTTGCTCACATTGATTGCGTCTCCCAGTGCCTCCCCGCGCCTCATCTCTGTCGTCATCCTTTTTCTACTGCAGGCTCATCAGAGAACACAAGTAGCTCACAGCACCCTGGAGAGGGAAGGTAGGGCCTCCCTGGCTTCTCCTTGTTCTTGTGCTAAGGACAATGACTACTTCTTTCAATGATCTCAGGACCTCCTTTGTAAATATGTGGGCCCTACGCTCTGGCACTGTTTCTGTGTGGGCAAGGATTACCCCCGCTGACCATACAACGATAAAAACTAAAATATAGTTAAAATTAACCTAACATAAAAGAAAAAAAAAAGACTTCTGTATAATAGTAAAAAGCCATAAAGCCCAGTGTGTATACATGGATTTATTCCTTGATTTTTATATACTTTATTCTTCACTTGGAATTGTCCATATTTAATGTTATTTTGATTTTATTCTTTCCTATTTCTTTTACAACCTAATATTTTCATATTGGCCTAAGAAGAATTATTGTTGTTAGAGTCTTTCAGATTCTCATTCTCTGTGTTTTGTATTTTTTCGTTGGCTTGTTTTGCTGAGTCAATGTTACCGATTTCCACTGTATCTTTATACTTTAAAATTAAGAAAGTCCTACTTTAAGCTATTACCATGCAAAACTTTTCCATAATAATGGACACATTTCTAGTGTGTATGAGAGCACAGTAATATGTAGTATGTACAAGCTTCCATAGGAATGTGCTTCCAATACAGGGGTTTGCATTGCTGGGTTGAGATGGACTTCAAAGTTGTTAAAACCTGGTAACTTATTAATATATTTCAGTATATTAAATTATTGTTCTTTTGATATTTTGAGATTCCTCTAAATATGGTTTTAAGAATGGTTTCCTTATCCTCTCTAACTAGGCACCTATATTTTACAAGTGAGAAAACAGACTTAGGTAGACACATAGGCTTCTTAACTGGTCCATTCAAGTGACCATGTTGGCTGCTTGAATCCAGACCTGTGTAAGTTCCGTGTTCTGTCCACTTGACTATACTTGGCCATAATTAAGCCATGTAGCTAGCATGATAGCTCACATAAATCATGAATGCAAAACTTTTTTTTCATTTAATTTTGATAGGCAGCAAGGAGAAGAAGGGAAAACTTTTTTTATTTTTAATTTAATTTTGATAGGCAGCAAGGAGAAGGGAAATCAACTCTTCCCTAACAAATTTTCAGGTCAATGTTAAAGCATTTATTTCTAAACTTAGGTCAGTCTTAGCCTATGTTCTCTTTTCTTTTATGTTTTCTTCCTCAGTCTACTTTTCTGTACATTCTGGGTCTGGAGGCAGGATGAGGATTGTAGCATCTTCCACAAAGCCTGGAAGACAAACTCTGTGTTTACCCTGTTTCCATGGCACCAGGGCTCTCTTGTCAAGGCTAATATCTTAGTGGGACACCTTACTGAGTGGTGTGGGTCTGCTTGTGAAGTTTACTCAGCTGGTTTCGCTTTGGCAGTGAGGCTTCTAAGACCTTCCACAAAACCACCACCTTGGCTGCTCTGGGTTTCTTTTGAAACATCCTCAGGCTTGGCCCATAAGGTAGGACTGAATGGTACCAGGATATTCTGGTGTCTTCCAGAGAATCCCAGAAAAACACTAGTGTATGGACCTAATGGCCAAGAATGGTGTTTAATTCTGAGTTTGGCACTATGATGAGGCTATCACTTCTGTGCATATTTGATCCCTCAGAAGGTAGCCAAGCCTGACCTGTACTTTTCATGTCAATTTTCTGTGAGGAAGAAAGAACAGTGGAGGACTTGGACTCTTGGAAGCTCATCAGAGTGAGCTCATCAGAGCCTTGAACGTTGTGGGCTATGTGGACGTCACCCAGTGACATCAGGAGTAAGGAATTCCTGTTCATTATTCAGGTTTAGTGATGTCTATATGGGATGTGACTTCATATTTAACTTCTTTTTATTCCTCTCTTCTATAATAATATGAACATATTTTCATGGAACACTATTACCTGTAGCTTGTTTTCACAGCTGTTATTTTATTATTCTATTTTGATCATATTAAGATCCCTCCACTGTGAAGTACACAAAGGCAAGATAGAAAAATCAAGACTGAGAGTCTATAAACAGGAACAACAGTACCTCAGCTTATGATTCGTAGTCCAGCTTTTCTTCCATTACCCTGTGCTGTGGTTCACAGGATGGGAAATTGCAGGGTCTGGGAACACAGTCTTTGATGGAGCAGTGGTAGAACTGCCAGTGATGCCTTTGTGCAACCTGCAATGTGCTCTTGTTAAGCCATTTCATTCCTGTTGATTGCTTTTTTCACTGAAGAAAAATAAACTGAAATAAAGGCAAGTATAATTTTCCAACCTTCAAAAGCTCAGCTTCAGATGGTGTATTTGTTTCCTTCAGTTGCTACAACAAATTACCACAAATTTGATGGTTTCAAACATGGAAATATTTTCTCCCACAAATCTCAAGGCTAGAAATCTGAATCAAGGTGTTATTAACATGGTGCTCCCTTGAAAGGCTCTAGAGGAGAATCTTTTCTTGCTTCTTCTAACTTCTGGAGGCTCCTGGAGTTCCTTGGCTTGTGGCAGCCTTATTTAATCTCTGCCTGCATCGTCACATGCCTTTCTCCCCTCTGTGACTATAGCTGTGCCTGTTTCCCCTGCTCTTCTCTTAGAAGGACTTGTCATTGGATTTAGGGCCCACCCTAAATCAGTATGCTCTTGTGATCCTTAACTTAGTAACATCTGCAAAGACTCCCTTTCCAAATAACATCACATTTACAGTTTTTGTGGGTGAGGACATGAACATATCATTTTGGGGTTCACCATTCCACCCACTAAGAAAAAATGCTTTGTATTTATGTGGTATGGGGTGAAAGCATTGAATTATTATAACTAATTTCAGATAATAGAATATGGTAAAATTATGCAATTCAGATTGCATTAATATTTTACATGAGAAAATTCTTCTTAAGGAAAACAATCTGACCTTCTACCATGTGAGTATATAGAGATAAGGATGTGGATGAAAGAGGGAAAGGGAGAGGCTAATCAACATTTTCAGGTGGATTTTGCCCCCGGGTGATTTCTGCCTGACATTTCTTAGAGACTTCACTTCTTCCTTGGGTTTTCTTAGACATTCCGTTCCAACAGAAAAGTCACTGGACAAAATCTTAGGTCAGAGGCCAACTCTACCTACCCCAGCTTCCCTGAAAAAAAGGTCTTTCTCCCTTGTGGTTCTGTTCAATTGTTAAGGAAAGCCACCAAGGCAATAAAAACTCTTCCACTTGGAAGCTGCTGGAAAGTTAGAATGCCTCTGCTCTTACAGTACAACAATATGAACTTGAGAAAACCAGAGTCGCTACTGTGACTGATAGTCTTAACTCCAGTGTCCATATGGCTGTCTCTTTCTTGTCCCTTCACAACTCACCTCCTCAAAGAGGCCTTCCCCAGATATCCTCTCCAAGGGAAAAAATGGCCTATTTTTTCTCATGGCTCCTCCTTGGTTTCCTTTATGACACCACGCATTGTCATATTTTTTTTCTTGTTTTGGATCTATCCTCTCTATGAGAATGTGAGCTCCATAGTGACATGGATTGTGTCTGTCTTGTTCATCACTGAATCCCCCAGGGCCTTTGTAAAATTCTGGCTCATAGTGTCTTATGAATACATACATGTGGAATAGTGAACACGGGAGCAAGTGAATAAAGTAACTTGCCTGTGTCTGTGCTGAGATAGAACCAAGGAAAGATCCTGGGCTGACATCAAGACAACAGCATATGACATAAAATAAAGGAAGTTGGTGAACTAAGTGATCTGGGAAGAGAACAGTAACAAGAATTTTTCATCAATTTTTTTTCCTTCTTACTACTACCAGTACCCCGCTACAATTTCCCATAAATAATGGTATAATATTAAAATTAAAAGACTCTTGGAGAGTTTTAAATTTAAGAGAAATACCAGAAGCACAATAAATAAAACCAAAAGTAATTAATGGGTTATGAGTTAAGGCTACTGAAAATATTATATATATGCACTGGAGTCAAATTTCCTGTTAGGAATGATAATAGGAGAAAGAACAGACTTTGATGTCTTGCCAAAAGCCACCAGCGTGGGGATCCAAGTCACTGTGATGTGGGCACCTGGCCTACAGATTTCAGAATTCTGTGTGGTTTCCCTCAACCAAATTTCTTAAGGAGCCAGCAGAAAGGGGGTAGGGGTGGGAAATGTGTTATCTATAAAAGTAAACCACAAAAATAATTTCCAAGTGCCACTAACGGCCTCAGTTTAGGCTGTAAAAGCCGAGACATTTAGAATAAACTATTGTAACTTCTTGCAAGTGTGGTAGCACACATGGCCAACAGCATGCCGGATGAGAGGAGTATGTAATGTGTCTGCATGGGTGGGGAGAGTGTGAGAGGTGGTAGCATGGGGAGGAGATGTGAGCTTCATGGGTTTTAAGAGTTGCTCTGTCCTTTTGCCAATCCTGCTTGACTCTTAAAATTAATTGCACTCAATAATTTGACATTCATTGCAATTTGTCCATTATATTATTCAAAGATATCTGTGAGTGAAAAGATGCATCTATCCAAAATTCATTTTAGAAACTCATGGTGTCCTACTTGATACATTATGTCAATATCTAATTTCTCTTCTGAACACAACTTAAACCATTTATTTACTAATGGTTAGAAAGATTCAGTCCTTTCTTGATGACAGTACTTCTAAGTCAAGAATTATCAGCTGGGCAGGGTGGCTGAAGCCTGTAATCCCAGCACTTTGGGAGGCCAAGGAGGGTGGATCACTTGAGGTCAGGAGTTCAAGACCTGCCTGGCCAACATGGTGAAACCCCGTCTCTACCAAAAATATTAACAATTAGCTGGGCCATGTGGCTCATGCCTGTAATCCCAGCTACTCAGGAGGCTGAGGCAGGAGAATCACTTGAACCCAGGAGGCAGGGGTTGCAGTGAGCCGAGATGGTGCCACTGCACTCCAGCCTGGGTGACAAAGCAAGACTCCATCTCAAAAGAAAAAAAGAAAAAATTATTCATAAAAGTTGCATCCATAAATGTGTTTACCCTAGATTAAAAGGTGGTGTGTCTGAAGGGATGGATTAATAAATTGGTTGTTCCATTGCATTAAGACAAGGCCAGCATTTCATAATTTTTACTTTCTATTGTGAAACAGTAGAAATAGCCAAGAAGATTTTCCTACAAGCTGTTGCCTTTACTAGGTATATCAGAATGCTTTAGGGTTAAAAGAGGAAAGAAACAATTAAAAGTAGGTTTAACAATACAGGCATTTTATGTCTTACAAACTAAATTCCCAAGCACATTGGTTGAAGGTTTATTATTTTTTTCTTTTTTGGGTTGACTTTCTGTTCTGCCATTTCCAGCCTTTGGGTTACAGGATGGCTGTGGCAATCCTAGGCAGTGTGTTTTCACCCAACAAGATTTAAAGGTGCCTTGTTGAAAAAGGGGGAAAAGAAGGCATGTTCTTTCCTTGGCTTCCCTTTTAAAAGAGAGTGAACTATTTTCAGGCATCTCATGGCAGACTTCCTGTTAACATTTTATTGGCCAGATTTGCAACTTGTCCCAAGTCCCAAATCAATCACTGGCAAGGAGATAGAATTGCCTTGACTGGATCTATTCAAACTTACCTTCCTGAAGATGCGGAGGGCCCCAGCCTCCCCTGAAGCATATGGCTCTCTCAACTAGATCAAAACTGAGAGAGAATATCTGTTGAGAAGGCAATGAACAGTGTTTGCCACTCAGGAAAATATTTAGGAAAGGCTTTAATCAAGAGTTCCTTTGGACAAGGAGCAATTTGGTCACATTTTTCTTCTTGAACTTTCCTTATGTCCCTGTCCTAACTGATCTAAAAAGAAATCACATTCTGTGAGTGAGGGCAGCCATCTCTCTAAACCAGGGGTCTGCAAAATCTTTCTGTAAAAATAATTTAGGATTTCCAGGCCACTTACTGTCTCTGCCCTGACACTGTGGCAGCCTCTTCTTCTTCCTCTGCTTCCTCCCCTTTCTCTTCCCCTTCTTATTTTTCTCCTTCTTCCTGTCTTTCTTCCTTTTCTGCCTCCTCTTCCTTTCCAACCCTTTAAAAATATAAAAGAAGTTCTTAGCTTAAGACCTTTACAAAAAAAGTCAGGATCATTTGGCATGAGAACTGTAGATTGAGAACCTCTGCTCTTGACAGAAAATGCAGAACAAGGGAAAATACAACTAACACAGTGAATTCTACCATTTTTAAATACTTGAATACAATCCATGAGAAAGCTAGATTCAGTTATATGAACTTGGAAACAGGGAAAAGTGAAAGAAGGTGCCCAAACATTGGCACTTTGGTGTGTTTCAGAGTAAAGAGTGGGCTTTCCAGCAACAGGCAGAGCAGAAGTGGAAAAAAAGGCAGATGCCATGCTGAAGCCAAGGGGACCTTTGGCTCCCATGACTGTAGGCCTACTGCTTTTCTGAGGTTGGGGAATCTGGGGTATGCATCTGCTTTTGAAATCTCAAGATATATTTTCCTGATTTTCATTTTATTGCTGACAGTAAGTATAATAGAGAAGAATTCATGTTCTCCATTCTTAATTAAGCATGTCAGTTGAGACATCCAATTTCACATTAAGCTTTCAGCTGCATTCCAACAAGGATTAATCACTTAGGTAATATTTTTTCAATTATTTTATTGGAAAAGAAACAAATGCAAAAATCCTGTATGAATAGTGTATGAGACTACAAATACAGAATCTAAATCTAGCATTTAAAAGTAATTAACATATTTCAATAAAACATTTTAAATTATAATTCTCAAAAAACTAATGAATACATCTTACATATAAAAAAATCTTTGAATCTTGAATCCTATTTCTTTGCTTAAGCATAGCCTTCCTTTTATAATTATAAAGAGGCAGTCATACCTTGGAGATACTGCAAGTTCAGTACCAGATCACCACAATAAAGTGAGTATTGCAATAAAGCAAGTCATATGAATTTTTGGTTCCTCAGTACATATCAAAGTTATGTTTATACTATTCTGTAGTCTATTAAGTGTGCAATAGCCTTTTGTCTAAAAAATATATATACATGCCTTACTTTAAAAATACTTTATTGCTAAAAAATGCCGATGATGATCTGAGCCTTCAGAGAGTCATGATCTTTTTGCTGGTGGAAGGTCTTGCCTTGATATTGATGGCTGTTGACTGATTAGGGTGGTAGCTGCTGAAGGCCAGGGTGGCTGTGGCGATTTCTTAAAATAAGACCACACTGAAGTTTGCACATAGATTGACTCTTCCTTTCACAAAAGATTTCTCTGTTTTACTCACAGTCGAACTTTTTTTCCAAATTGGAGTCAATCCTCTCAAACCCTGCTATTGCTTTAGCAACTAAGTTGATGTAATATTTTAAATACTTGTTTGTCATTTCAACAACGTTCACAGCTTCTTCACCAGGAGCATATTCCATCTCAAAAAACCACTTTATTTGCACGTTCATAAGAGCCAGCTCCTTGTCTGTTAAAGTTTTATCATGAGATTGTAACAACTCAGTCATATCTTCAGGCTCCACTTCTAATTGTAGTTCTCTTGCTATTTTTATCACAGCTGTGGTGACTTCCTCCCCTGAAGTCTTAACTCTTCAAAGTCATCCATGGAAGGGCAGAATCAACTTCTTCCAAATTCTTGTTAATGTTGATATTTTGACCTCCTCCCATGAATCACAGATGTTTTTACTGGCATTTGGTGAATCTTTTCTATAAGGTTTCAATTCGCTTTGCTCAGATCCATCAGAGGAATCACTATATGTGGCAGCTAATGCCTTATTAAATGTATTTCTTAAATAATAAGACTTGAAAATCAAAATGACTCAATCCATGGGCTACAATGGATGTTTTGTTAGCAGGCATGAAAACAACATTCATTCACTTATGTATTTCCATCACAGCTCTTGGGTAACTATGTGCATTGTCAATGAGTAATATTGTTTTGAAAAAAAAATTTTTTCTGAGAAGTAGGTTTCAATAGTGGGCTTCAAATATTTTATAAACCATGCTGTAAACAGATAAGTTTTCATCCAGATTTTGTTTTTCCATTTCTAGAGCACAGGGAGAGTAGATTTAGCATAATTATTCATGGCCCTAGGTTTTTTTTTTGTTTGTTTTTTGTTTTTTTGAGACAGTGTTTCACTCTTGTTTCCCAGGCTGGAGTGCAATGGTGGGATCTTGGCTCATGCAACCTCCGCCTCCCGGGTCCAAGGGAATCTCCCGCCTCAGCCTCCTGAGTAGCTGGGATTATAGGCATGCGCCACCACCCCCAGCTAATTTATTTATTTATTTATTTATTCATTTATTTTATTTATTTATTTTGAGATGGAGTCTTGCTCTGTTGCCCAAGCTGGAGTGCAGTGACCTGATCTTGGCTCACTGCAAGCTCCACCTCCCAGGTTCACGCCATTCTCCTGCCTTAGCCTCCCGAGTAGCTGGGACTACAGGCGCCCACAACCACGCCTGGCTAATTTTTTTATTTTTAGTAGAGACAGGATTTCACCATGTTAGCCAGGATGGACTCAATCTCCTGAATTTATGATCCGCCTGCTTCGGCCTCCCAAAGCGCTGGGATTACAGGCGTGAGCCACTGTGCTCGGCCAAGTTTTGTGTTTTTAGTAGAGACGGGATTTCTCCATATTGGTCAGGCTGGCCTCGAACTCCCACCCTCAGGTGATCCGCCCCCTTCTGCCTCTCAAATTCCTGGGATTACAGGCGTGAGCCACTGCACCTGGCCAAGGCCCTAGGATTTAAAGAATAGTCAGTGAGCAGTGGTTTCAACTTAAAGTCGCCAGCTTCATTAGCCCCTAACAAGAGATTCAGCCTGTCTTTGAGCTTTGAAGCCAGATTTTGACTTCTCCTCTCTAGCTATGAAAGTCCCAGATGACATTTTTTTCCAATAAATGGCTGTTTTGTCTGCATTAAAAAGTCTGCTGTTTAGTATAGCCACCTTAATCAGTTATCTTAACTAAATCTTCTGGACAACTTGCTGCAGCTTCTGCATTAGCACTTGGTACTACACCTTGCACTCTTATGTCATGGAGATGGCTTCTTTCCTTAAACGTCATGAACCAACCTCTGCTAGCTTCAAACTTTTCTTCCAAAGCTTCCTCATCTCTCCTAGCCTACACAGAATTGTAGAGAGTTGGGCCTTACTCTGGATAAGGCTTTGACTTAAGGGAATGTTGTGGCTGGTTTTAGTGGCCTTTCTGGGCCACCAAAGCAACAAGGCTGTTTTGCTTTCTTATCAATCATGTGTTCACCAGAATAGCACTTTCAATTTCATTTAAGAACTTTTCTTTTGCATTCACAACTTGGCTAACATTTGGTGCAAAAGGCCTCTTTTTGGGGCTATCTCTGCTTTCTACATGTCTTCCTCACTAAGCTGATTCATTTCTAGCTTTTGATTTAAAGTGAGAGATGTGTAACTCTTCCTTTCACTTAGACACTTAGAGGCCATTGTAGGGTTATTTATTGGCCTAAATTCAATATTGTCATGTCTGAGGGAATAAAGAAGCTGGAGAAGAAGAAGAGAAATGGGGAATGGCTGGCTGGTGGAGCAGTCACAATACACACAACATTTATTGATTAAGTTCTCCTTTTATATGGGTGCGGTTTATGGCACCATAAAGCAATTACAATAGTAACATCAAAGATCACTGATCACAGATCACCATGACAAATATAATAATGATGAAAAGTTTGAAATATTGTGAGAATTACCAAAATGTGGCACACAGACAAAGTTAGGATATTTTTGGAAAAATAGTGCTGATTTTCCCTTGCTCTGTGCAGGTTGCCACAAACCTTCAATCCGTGAGAAATGCGGTATCCATGGTGCACCATAAAGAGGAGCTCAATAAAACAAGGTCTGTCTGTGCTAGAGGGTAAGGATACTAAATCTAACAGTACTCCCAAACCATTGTCAGTTTTAATTTTGACCTAATTTCCTCTTTTCTAGTATTGTAGTAAACAAGCAGGGGAGAAAAATCAGTCTTACATGGAATCTGGGTTTTGTTTAGTAAATTGTGAGTAAAGACCTGAAGCATGCCATGCAATGTAGTAGCTTCAGGTTATACGACAGAGAGACACAGGATGGAAAAAATTGGAGTGAATTCTTATAGGGCACCTTCCATGTCAATGCGAAAAGTGCACAGGAAACTGAACTCTTCAACCAGGGTACTTTTTAAAGTAGTGGTTGGGGAAGAAAATTTAAACATTCCCGTGAACCATCCTTATTTGCATGGCAAAAATAATACCCAATGGCTTGTTTTTCATAAATTCCACATATTGAGAAACGAACTTGAAAATTACAGCCTCTTAAACGAGAAAAACCTGTTTCAGGTCTTCTACTAACAGCTGAAGTTTTTACAAGAAGCTCAGTTGGTATTCCAAGCACATATAAAAGTGAATATTATTATTTTTTGAATGACTTGATTGCCAGCTACTCATAACTTAGCCTCAACCTGGAGACCGAGGAGGAGCTAAGAATTTTTTCTCACTTATTTGGTCAAGGCTTATGGATAATTTAGTTAAAGAAAGAAAAATCATTATAAATTCTACTATTTACAAATTTCACATTTTTCTTGATGTTGAGATCATTATATTTGGGATGATTAATTTCCAGTCAAATTGTATCTGGAGAGTTATTGAGCTTCAAAATCTCAGTATGCATGGAAACATGCTACAAGCACAATTTATTGCATAGAGGAATAAGCACAATATTTTTCCTAAAAAGTTAAAAATAAATGATATTTGGGAATAAAGGAAAATCTATGTGATGTGCTGAATTTTACATTAAACAGATCACATGGCGACAGATGCCCAGTGTTCTGTGTCACCACCCCCTGCCCCTCCGTGGGTGTTGGATGGGTGGAAACAATTGGTAGATGATGTGCTGGGCTTTAGGTCCTGTTTGCATGTGAAGACTCCTTCGTGGTTTTCAGGCTGTAGCCTCAGTTTGTGACACTGCTGTGGCATTGTCTGGGCTTCTGTTTATGTTCCATTCCTCTTCCCTCTCCTGCACCTTCTGAGAGTTGGGCCTTTTGCCTTATTTCTTTGGTACACATTCTCTAACATGCAGGGTTAGTAGAAAGGTTTGGACTCATTGTTTTCTTGCTTGTCCACTTCAGAATGCTCCTCTAGTTTTTGGACTTTCTCCCCACACCTCTTGGCTAGGCAGAGATTACAGTGCACCCCCAAACTTCATAGTATCATGTGCTCAGCATGCAGAGAGTCCCGCAGGAACCAAGTTTTCCGTTGTTCTGTTCATTCAGTCTCCCAAAGACTAGTATAGCAGATTATTTGGGTATATGCAATTTTTTTAATTCTACATTGTCAGGACAAATTCCTAAAGGAATTGTAATAGAAAAGGACAGAGATTAAAGTTCTAGTTAATGTGGACTTCTTCCCGAATTTCAGAAAGGACAAGTTCCTAAAGATTGGGACCCACACAAGGAGGGGGTCCTGTGGACAATATTCTGGCATCTTTCCCCCATCTTCCTCACCTTCTTTGGTTTCTCCATCCCTACACCTACACTCTCTGTTTTGTGAAATGTCACCCCTCCCATGGGAGGAGCTCCTGGGTTGCTGACAGGGGGTCCCAAGTAGCACCTAGGCTTCAGTGGTGGTTGAGGGCAGATAGTGATGCTGACGGTGACCCAGCCTTGCTGGAAACTGTGGCAAAGATTAGTTCTCTTCCCCGACTTGCAAAGGAGAAAGAATTGAGAGTGAGATGTTAGTGAGTAACAAACTAGTGTTATGTTCTACAACAAAAGGTATACTACAATTTTCCAAATAATATTGTCTAAGTCAACAGCAAGAAATAGTATATCTCCTGTGTTTATTTCCTACATTTTTGCCTTTACTATGTTTGGATTTTTTTTTTTTGTCCCTCAAAAAGCAAACTTGCCATATTATCTTGGATTTATCTACCAGCCAAAGATAAACATTTATAACAAACAGTTGTGAATGAATGTTTTCTTCAGTGTCTTTAGGTTATCAATACTCAAATTTCTACAGCAAGCAATTCCCACACACAGAAAATAATGTACGGGAGAAATAGCATCTTTCCAAGAAGGAACAAGGGCCTTTTGACCTCGCCACAATCTACAGAGTTAAATTCTCCCAGCAGTGGGGATTTTCTGTGTGCCAGCTGATCTCTTCATTTGGATATATTAACTTGTCTCCCACTGTTTTTTAGAAACTATGTTCCCTGGACTAAAATCTGTAGTTCTTATTGAAGAGGGTTAAATTAATATTTCCCTGATTGCCACACACCTATAACCCTATAAGAATTTTAATATTTATTCTTTTTGGATGTCTTCTGGTGATTGTGTGTGTGTGTGTGTGTGTGTCTGTGTGTCAACAGAATATAGCCATACGTAGAGCACTTCATCTAAGATGAAGATAGCTGGAAGATGCTGAAATATTGTTCATAAAACTCCAGTTCCTTATTGGTCTCTTTTTATAAGCTGAGAAAATAAAACTCTCTTAGAAAAGCTATTTCATTTCTCCACTGGCTATGAGAATAGAATTGGATAGCTTCCTCCATAAACAACCATCTAGCCCATATTTTTGTATATCAAGAAGCTATGTATTTGATACCTATTTTGTGCCAGGCAGTGGATTTAGCATGATGAATAAGAAATGATTCCTGCCTTAACAGTTCAAGTCTCCTGGAAGCTACAGAGATAAGAACAAATCATTATAATTCAATGTGATAAGTGAAGTGACATTGGCATAATCAAGGGATTGTGAGATTATAGAGAAACTATTCCTAACTTAGCCTGAGAATGAAGGCTATGTTCCTGGAGCTTCCTAAAGAAGCTTCATGCCAGAACTTTGTTTTAATGGAGAAGTGATAAAGTTCTATGGACAAGTAGTGCTTATTAGAGCCTTGCTTTTAATAGCATAATTTGTAAGAATACTCATTACTAAGTTTCTATTTTCAGTTGCAATGTTTTTAAGAGTTTGTTCTATTTTCTTTCCTGCATTCCAATCTTGCTATGTTTGGATGATATGATTACATTGCTAGCTTTTTGATCTATGTGACATGATAGTGCCACTTTAAAAAAAAATCGGCTTAGAAAATGAGAATCCTTAGTAAGTGTGAATGTAAATGAGGTCATCTTCACAGTGCAATTGAAGATTTTACTCTTTGATTAAGATTGAGAAAGTTACTAAATGACTTGTCCAAGGCCCCACAAGCTGATTTGGGTGGCCAAATCAGCTTTAGAAATGAGAAATTCCTAATTCTTGGTGGCGTGCATTACTAGGCCAGAAATGAGTGGAAGAGCAAGTGATATTTATGGCTGGTGATGAGGGAAACCTCAAAAGGGCTGGATGATCATTTGAAAGAGTGGTCATTTTTCTGTGCTTATTTATACCTCCTGGGATTGAACGTTGGATGGCTATTCCACAATAACCATTTGCTGGCTTCACATTTGCATAAAGCATTTTTTCCAGTGTCATCAAACATGGAAACATGGCTTCTGTGGAAACCATATCAGAAAGCACTGGGACATTTTCAAAACTTCAGGAAATGGTTAGGTGTCTCTAGCTTGTAATGATAGCAGAGGAGTCTGTTTGAGGGAATCTGAAATAGCAACTCAAAAAAAAAAAAAAGAGCCCAAGGTTGTGAGAAGAGACCCAGGTTTGTGTTGTGCCCCAGACACTGTGCAGGTCTCACATCTTCCAGGGAATCAATTTATTCTTCTGTGAAATGTGGGGATTAGATGTGTCTAATTTCAGTGTTATACATTGTTTGGTAGCGATGAAACAAAACAAGGAGATCACTATTAAACAAGCTATAGCTCCTTTTAGTCTGACGTGACCAATAAAACTTGCTTGGAGAGACATTCACTGCCATCCTTGATCAAAAAGAACTTATGTCTGCATAAATAATTTTACTACTAGGAAATAATTCCTTAAACCATAGTTGTGTATTTTAGTTGCAAACAGTGTGCTTAATGCTAATTCTTCCTTATATCTCCTTTAGTTCATGTTTTGACCACTTTGCACTGATTCAGGACGTACATTTTTAAGTAGAAATCATGATTGAGTCATTGTGATTTTCCTAGAGGAGGACTTGTTATTGAAATTAACAAAAAAACCACAAGATACTCCCATATATGACAATGATGTAGAAAAAGTGCAAAATACATGATTGAGTTGTCAATATATAACCCAGAAATTATAGAAGATTAATGCTTAGTAAGAGAAAATTGCTTTACAAGAAAAAGTGGTAGAACCATCTGACTTTGCAGTGTTCTTTTGCAAGGGGAATAGGTAAAGAAGGAGTCAGGATGGGTTAGGCACTGCACTGATCTGCCTCTGTGTTATCCCATTTAATCCTTATAACAATGCTGAAAGTTACGTATTACTTCACTTAATCTTTAAAACAATGCTGAGAAGTATTTATTATTATACCCGTCTAACAGAGAAGAGGCTGAGACTCAGAGAGGCTCAGGTCCTACAGTTAGTAGGTAATAAAGAAAGAGTTCAAACGAGGGTCTGTCTGACTTCAAAGCTCTAGCTCATTCTATTCAGTTCCTTGCCTCCTTCAAAGGCCCCTGCCCATTAACTTTAGGAGGCTGTGGCAAATTTGAGCTAAAATCCAGATTTGGTTATTTAAGCCCATTTTCTCCTCTGAATTAGAAGCCCACCTCTTCTGCTGTTGCTTCTTCCAAGGCCCTGTCTCCCTCAGATTATTAGACTAAGGACCACCCCTGACATGTTGACAAGAAATAAGCTTCTAATTTGCAACTCTTCTTTGTACAACTTGTCAGCTCAGAGCTTCTACCAGAGAAGTATTTCACAACAGGCCTGGCCACCTTACCACATTCCAAGCAGAGTTAAGGCCTTCATGGACTATAATACTTGAAACCCTTACGGCGACAAATTACTTGCCCTCAATTTTAATGCCACCAGGGCTTATTCTCCCTTTTCTTCTCTCTGCTTCAAAGAGTCATATTATCTTCTATTATACACCAGAGATCATGTTGCTTTGGGTTACACTATAAAATAAATCATAATATCCAGCAGTTTATTGCTCTAGCTTGCCCTCATGCACACAAAGACAACATGAAAAGCAAGCTTGGTAATTTCAGGTGGCATGTCATTGGGCCAACTATGAAAAGAATTTTTTATTTGGTTCATGTCCAAAGACAGTTTTGTGAAATTGAAGTGAATTTTGTCTCTCAGCCTGAATGAAAGGCCGTTGGTTTTGTTCTTTCCTTCTGTCCCTTGGAGGACTGCTGCTTCTTCTGTAAGGTATCTAGTGTGTGCCTGAAAAAGATTAAGATGGTCCCCAGGGGTGGGGGACTGTTCATCGGAATTTATTACTGTTCAAAGCCTCTATAAAGGCTCTCATTTAACACTGGCCTTTGTATTTCCATCCATGAAAATTGTTCATACCATGACGAATCCCATACATTGTCAGTATTCTTCATGGAATATTCCAAACAAGACCACAGTGAACCAACTCCTCAGCAGGAGAAAAAGGGGAAGATGCTGGGGCAGCCAAAAAACTAAAGTTTGCTTTAATCGTTTGTGGCATTTTCCATCCAGGTCATAGCTCCCTTAGGCAGCAACTGATGGAAACTCTATTTTGACAGTTAAAAGAAGAACTGGGATAGATGCTCTTGCCTACCACGTGAGTTCTTACAATGAACCAAATTTTCAATTAGACCCAAGGAAGAAAAGTAGGCCTAAAATGTACTGTCTTTTTTCTCCATTGAAAACCCAACATCTGCCAATTACAACAGCCTATCTAATTTGTTATATTGGTATTTTTCTTTCATTTAGTAAAAATCTTTTTTAGCATCCATCAGAGCTATGCTCTAAGAAAAGAGTTGTATACACTCACATTCTCTTTATAATTCTTTGATTTACAATTTCTTAATGCGCATTAAACACACACATGCATATATCCCACAATTGCAATCGATAGTATTCAAATCAAATACAAAAAGAAAGAAGGCAGGTATGAAAGAAAAATATTCTAAGAATGGATAATAAATCTAAAAAAGAACTGACTGTACATTAGTCTGAAAACCCAATTTCTGCAAATTAGTGTTAAATGAACAAAAGCTTAAAGCTTAGAACCTGCAGTTGAGTGCTGTGTGGACTGACACTTGGAATATGTGGTTAATTTCTGTAAATATATGGAGGAGCTACAATTCTAATGACTTAAATGCTAACAATAAAAGCTTGAAAAAATCTACATTTTAAAAGCAGCACTGTAAATCACACACTAAGGGGGTAATGTGAACAGGACCTGGAATGTGGGGGCAGGGAGAGCAGAGACATTATTTCTTTCATGTTTTGCAAGTATCAGCCATAACTGGAGGGTCCCGAGAATGTGCCCTTCTAGTTTGCAGCTTGTGCCCTGACCCCATGTTTATAAAATCCTTTGGGGACCACTTTTAGTTTAGCCTTCCAGCATCCTAAAAAATTTGTTTGTATTACCTCAGTTGCACTGGGAGTTGGTTAGTAATTACGTTAGTTCCGTTAAACGGCCTTGGCAGCTTTTAGTGATTAACTTTGTAGAAACCTTCCCTATCCCTCACTACCTCCAATCAACTTGCTAACTCTTACCCATTTAAGAAAAAATGAGTATGATTTACCGTAGCAGCCCCCTTTCCCTTTTGTACTCCTGCCTTTGGTGGAGTCTATGTGCTGAGCTTTTTTCAACATTTTTTGTCCCATGCCTAGCACAGGGTCCACACAGAATAGCTGGAAATGAATAAAAAATATTCCAACTTTTGCTAAAAATTGCCAAATTGCTTTCTGCCAAGGTGATCAAGAGTGGCAATAAAACTTAGCATTATCTTTTTTAAAAGTTGCTTATATTATGGGAATAGGAAAAAATCTTATCTTGTTGTTTCCGTTTACTAGGGTTGCATATTTTAAACATACTTATTGGTGATTTACTCTTCCTTTTTGGTGAATTTCTTGTCCTTTTCTTTAGTCTCTTTTTCTATTGGGTCATTTATCTTTTTCTCTTTTTTATTCATAAGAACTCTTATTAAATGAAAAATTAAGGTCAGGCACCATGGCTCACGCCTATAATCCCACTTTGGGAGGCTGAGGCTTTTGGATCACTTGAGGTCAGGAGCTCAAGTACAGCCTGGCCAACATGGTGAAACCTCATCTCTACTAAAAATACAAAAATTAGCCAGGCGTGGTGGCAGGCACCTGTAATCCCAGTTACTTGGGAGGTTGAGGCAGGAGAATCACTTGAGCCTGAGGTGCAGAGGTTGCAGTGAGCTGAGATCATACCACTGCATTCCAGCCTGGGCGACAGAGCAAGAACTTGTCTCAAAAAAAACAAAAAACAAACAACAACAACAACAATAACAGCAACAAAAAACTGTTTCTATCATGAAATATTGCAACTATATTTTTGAATTTGTATATAGCTTTTTGGCTACTTCATCATCAGATACTTTAAATGGGCTGGGCAATAACGTGTAGCTTGTTTCTTGCTTCATGGAAAATGGTTGCTGTGGCTGCCTCTTGGCTTAAATGAGTTAGGTGTGTCTAATCCTACTGGTGCTTGTAAGTCAGTAATTATGGAACTACATAACTCAGTATCTCAAAGGTGAAAGTGTGCATTGTTTTCCTATCCTTAATATGTTTTGCAATATATCATCCAATCACAAAAATTGCTTTCTTTAAATGTGCCATAATGGAGGAAATACTTTAAACATGTGGTTGATTAGACTTCTTTTCTTGCATTATTATCACTAGTTTATAAAAGCAAACCTATCTTGATTTTAGGAAGCAAATTTCTCCATGTTCAACATTTTAAGAGCATTTTTTATTTAGTTGATAGCAGAAACTATGTACCATCCATAATGAAGATATATTTCTCCTGATCTAGCATCCTGATTCAGCTGCTACATCAAATGCATTTATTTCTCTTCCTACCATTGCAAGTAGAAATGTCTCTGGTATTCAGGACAACCTGACAACTTCTTGAATGTTATTTACTTTGACCAAATTAGTGTTAGGAGTATTGAATGTCATACATTGTTTAGGGTTCTGCCAAAGCCTCATGCAGAGAATACTAGGCAGAAAAATATACTTTCCTCTGGGTTATTTCTCCAACTGAAAAGAAAATGTCTATATCTAATATTTATTACCGTAATCTATAATATTTAGTACCAGTGTATAGGTTAACTCTATGGGCCATTTCTCACTAATGCTAACAATGAAAGCAGCATTATTCTTGTCTAATCAGTTATTTAATCCTCAACTTGGACATAATAATTTCAGACCTATTTAAAAATTTTAATATTGCTGTGCATAAATCTAATACATATACATCTAGAACATCAAAATTGGAGGGACAAAACGGTGTGGTGCTGGCTTCCTCTGAATTTCTGTACTTAGTCTGATAATATACAAAATATTAGCCATGCTCTCCTCAAGTTCTCTTTTATGTTTATAGAAGAAAGAATCCATTTTTAAATTTTTTTAAATAAAATAAAATCTAGAGTGGTATCCATCTACCAAGATCACAAGAAAATTCACTCTCAGGCATTTTGGTGGGTCTCTTTGAAGTACCTTGGAAGGGAGACTGAAATGTCACACCATCTGGGGACATGCCAAGCTTCTTGTTTTGGATGGACTGGAGCCGATGGTCTCATTGCTCCTTGCATGTAGCTGACATGTCCCATCAATGGATCTTCTTGCCTCAAAGTCAAGCTCAAGGCTCTAAGATTCATAAGCTGAGCAATTAAGGATGAGCCATGCTAGGCATAGCAAAGCTTAAGAATGTGACATCCTTTTTGAGAGAGAGCATGTGATGGAAGCACTAAGGGTAGGTGAAGCTATTGTATGTGGGGTGGGCATCTCTGAGGAGATGCATTTTATGATGAGAGCTTACTGCTGAGAGGGAGCTAGCCTTACAGCAGATTCCAGGCAGCAGGAGCAGCAAGTGCAAAGCTCTAAAAAGGGCAAGCTTGTTGTATGCGTGGAAAAGGCCAACAAGGCTGGATCACAGAGAAGAAGAGGGAGAGTGGCCAGAGTAGGCTTGGATGAGCTGGCAAGGGCAGGTGGTGTGGTACCTTGAGGCCATGAAAAGGAGTTTGGATCTTATTCTAAGGGACTGGGAAGACACTTGAAGGTTTGAAGCAAAAAATAATATGATCTAATTTTTATTTTGAAAGACCAATTATAGATCATTATCTTACAGAATTAAAAATATGCATCTATAAATATATTTGTACAAAGATGATCATTACGCAATGTTGCTAATAGATAAAATGGAGATAATCTATATGTTTATTAGCAATGAAGTGATGAATGAACACTCACATATTTATATCATGGAATACCATGTAGTTATTTAAAACAATAAAGTATCCTGATCTGGAAAGGTGTTCATTATGTATTTTAGAAGAAAAAAGTACATTGCAGCTTGATATGAATAGAATAATTTTATTTTGGTAAAAAATGTATTGCATCACTGAGTAAATGTAGAAAAATGCATACTGAGTTATGGATATTTCTAGATGATACATATTTTTAAAAACAAGACATACTTGACTGAGAAGAGAAATTTCACTCAAATTTAAAGATATCTTATGATCTGTCTAAATATTTTAACATTTAAATTCTCTTTATTTTTAATTACCTAAAGTAAACAAGAAAAAAAAAAGAAAATGAAAGGTAAATTAAAAAGAAAATCCCTGTCATTAGAATGATTTAGAGCTTACCCTGAGTTGCAGGTCCTAATTCTTGTCCAATTCCCTAATCACTCAGATAATTCCTTCATAATATATTCAAGAATGAATAGAACACACCTTTCTGAAGCATTAATTAGCACCTATTTTTAACAAGTCAATGTCTCTAAAACTACTTTCTTACCTGAGGAACAATCAGATATCTGGTGGGATTACTGCTTCTTTTTGTTTTATTTCACTTGGAAAATAATTAATAAAAACAAAGATATTCACCAGTGCACATTGATGTGTTATTAGTTTTTGACAGAGATTTGCTGAAAACTAAATGCAATGATTTTCATATAGCTCTCACCATATTAATTGTAATGGGCATGTTTTGGTTTTGGCTGCTCCGTAACTAACCTTCTTCCTGGTTTACGGGACTCCTTCATTTTGTGAATCTTCGTTGGGGTAAAGTCCCTAACCCTCTCTGCTGAGCAACACAGAGAGCTGTTCTGTATGAGTGGGAATGTCAGTACCTACTTATTACCTGGCCGACAACAGGAGGCTACCTAAGTCCATTCTGCCTCAGCTTCCTCATTCATAAACTGGAGATAACAATAGTGCCTACCTCATAGAGTCGGTGTGAGGCTTAACTGAATTACTAATGAAGTGCCTGACACATAGTAAGTGTTGTGTAAGAGCTACACTAATAAATTAGGGAGGCGCCATAAGATGAAGAGTGTAGATGATACACCGAAGTCAGTTGTAACTGAGGGGTCTAGTAGCCCTCAACTCCATGCCCACAGATGCCTCAGGTGGTACACTTCCTTTGAATGACTGTTTTATCAGTTAGATTTCAGACTTTAAAAATTAATTTTTTGTTTCTATTAGATGTATACAAGCACATGGTTTAAATAATCCTGCCGTTCTGTGAAAAAGTGCAATAATCCCTCCATTTTGCCTCATCATTTTCCCCCTCCAATGGCAACCCCTTTCAACCTTTTTATTTTTCATTTTTTTCCAATTTTATTTTATTTTATTTTACTTTTTTTGCTTTATAATTTTATTTATTTATTTTTATTATACTTTAAGTTCTAGGGTACATGTGCACAACGTGCAGATCTGATACATAGGTATACATGTGCCGTGGTGGTTTGCTGCACCCATCAACTCATCATTTACATTAGGTATTTCTCCTAATGCTATCCCACCCCCAGCCCCCCACCCTTCTACAGAGTGTGATGTTCCCTGCTTTGTGTCCAAGTGATCTCATTGTTCAATTCCCACCTATGAGTGAGAACATGTGGTGTTTGCTTTTCTGTCCTTGTGATAGTTTGCTGAGAATGATGGTTTCCAGCTTCATACATGTCCCTGCAAAGGACATGAACTCATCCTTTTTTATGGCCGCATAGTATTCCATGGTGTATATGTGCCACATTTTCTTAATCTAGTCTATCATTGATGGACATTTGGGTTGGTTCCAATCTTTGCTATTGCGAATAGTGCCACAATAAACATACGTGTGCATGTGCCTTTATAGTAGCATGATTTATAATCCTTTGAGTATATACCCAATAATGAGATTGCTGGGTCAAATGGTAATTCTAGTTCTAGATCCTTGAGGAATCGCCACACTGTCTTCCACAATGATTGAACTAATTTACACTCCCACCAACAGTGTAAAAGTGTTCCTATTTCTCTACTTCCTCTTCAGCATCTGTTGTTTCCTGACTTTTTAATGATCACCATTCTAACTGGTGTGAGATGATATCTCATTGTGGTTTTGATTTACATTTCTCTGATGACCAGTGATGATGAGCATTTTTTCATGTGTCTGTTGGCTGCATATATGTCTTCTTTTGAGAAGTGTCTGTTCATATCCTTTGCCCACTTGTTGATGGGGTTGTTTGATTTTTTCTTGTAAATTTGTTTGAGTTCTTTGTAGATTCTGGATATTAGCCCTCTGTCAGATGGGTATTGCAAAAACTTTTTCCCATTCTGTAGGCTGCCTGTTCACTCTGATGGTAGTTTCTTTTGCCATGCAGAAGATCTTTAGTTTCATTAGATCCCAAGTCTATTTTGGCTTTTGTTGCCACTGCTTTTGGTGTTTTAGTCATGAAGTCCTTGCCCATGCCTATTTCCTGAATGGTGTTGCCTAAGTTTTCTTCTAGAGTTTTTATGGTTTTAGGTCTAACATTTAAGTATTTAATCCATCTTGAATTAATTTTTGTTTAAGGTGTAAGGAAGGGATCCAGTTTCAGCTTTCTACATATGGCTAGTCAGTTTTCCCAGCACCATTTATTAAATAGGGAATCCTTTCCCCATTTCTTGTTTTTGTCAGGTTTGTCAAAGGTCAGATGGTTGTCGATGTGTGGTGTTATTTCTGAGGCCTCTGCTCTGTCCCATTGGTCTATATCTCTGTTTTGGTACCAGTACCATGCTGTTTTGGTTACTGTAGCCTTGTAGTATAGTTTGAAGTCAGGTAGCGTGATGCCTCCAGCTTTGTTCTTTTGGCTTAGGATGGCAAATGCAGGCTCTATTGTGGTTCCATATGAACTTGAAAGTAGTTTTTTCCAATTCTGTGAAGAAAGTCATTGGTAGCTTGATGGGGATGGCATTGAATCTATAAATTACTTTGGGCAGTATGGCCATTCTCAAGATACTTCCTATCCATGAGCATGGGAATATTCTTCCATTTGTTTGTGTCCTCTTTTATTTAGTTGCTCGGTAGTTTATAGCTCTCCTTGAGGAGATCATTCACATCCCTTGTAAGTTGGATTCCTAGGTATTTTATTCTCTTTGTAGCAATTGTGAATGGGAGTTCCCTCATGATTTGGCTCTCTGTTTGTCTGTAATTGGTGTATAGGAATGCTTGTGATTTTTGCACATTGATTTTGTATCCTGAGATTTTGCTGAAGTTGCTTATCAGTTTAAGGAAATTTTGGGCTGAGATGATGGGGTTTTCTAAACATACAATCATGTCCTCTGCAAACAGGGACAATTTGACTTCCTCATTTCCTAATTGAATGCCCTTTATTTCTTTCTCTTGCCTGATTGCCCTGGCCAGAACTTCCAACACCATGTTGAATAGGAATGGTGAGAGAGGGCATCTTTGTCTTTTGCCAGTTTTCAAAGGCACGGCTTCCAGTTGTTGCCCATTCAGTATGATATTGGCAGTGGGTTTGTCATAAATAGCTCTACTATTTTGAGATATGTCCCATCAATACCTAGTTTATTGAATTTTTAGCATGAAGGGCTGTTGAATTTTGTCAAAGGCCTTTTCTGCTTCTATTGAGGTAATCATGTGGTTTTTGCCATTGGTTCTGTTTATGTGATGGATTACATTTATTGATTTGCATATGTTGAACCAGCCTTGCATCCCAGGGATGAAGCCGACTTGATCGTGGTGGATAAGCTTTTTGATGTGCTGCTGGATTTGGTTTGCCAGTATTTTATTGAGGATTTTCACATTGATGTTCATCAGGGATATTGGTCTAAAATTCTCTTTTTTTGTTGTGTCCTTGCCAGGCTTTGGTATCCGGATGATGTTGGCCTCATAAAATGAGTTAGGGAGGATTCCATCTTTTTCTAATGATTGGAATAGTTTCAGAAGGAATGGTACCAGCTCCTCTTTGTACCTCTGGTAGAATTCGGCTGTGAATCTGTCTGGTCCTGGACTTCTTTTCGTTGGTAGACAATTAATTATTGCCTCAATTTCAGAGCCTGTTATTGGTCTATTCAGAGATTCAACTTCTTCCTGGTTTAGTCTTGGGAGGGTGTATGTGTCCAGGAATTTAACCATTTCTTCTAGATTTTCTAGTTTATTTGCATAGAGGTGTTTATAGTATTCTCTGATGGTAGTTTGTATTTCTGTGGGATCGGTGGTGATAACTCCTTTATCAATTTTAATGTGTCTATTTCATTCTCCTCTCTTTTCTTATTAGTCTTGCTAGCAGTCTATCAATTTGGTTGATCTTTTCAAGAAACCAGTTCCTAGATTCATTGATTTTTTTGAAGCGTTTGTTGTGTCTCTATCTCTTTCATTTCTGCTCTGATCTTAGTTATTTCTTGCCTTCTGCTAGCTTTTCAATCTGTTTGCTCTTGCTTCTCTAGTTCTTTTAATTGTGATGTTAGGGTGTCAATTTTAGATCTTTCCTGCTTTCTCTTGTGGGCATTTAGTGCTCTAAATTTCCCTCTACACACTGCTTTAAATGTGTCCCAGAGGTTCTGGTACATTGTGTCTTTGTTCTCATTGGTTTCAAAGAACATTTTTATTTCTGCCTTCATTTCGTTATTCACCCAGTAGTCATTCAGGAGCAAGTTGTTCAGTTTCCATGTAGTTGTGCGGTTTTGAGTGAGTTTCTTAATCCTGAGTCCTAATTTGATTGCATTGTGGTATGAGAGACAGTTTGTTATAATTTCTGTTCTTTTACATTTTCTGAGGAGTGCTTTACTTCCAACTATGTGGTCAATTTTGGAATAAGTGCGATGTGGTGCTAAGAAGAATGTATATTCTGCTGATTTGGGGTGGAGAGTTCCGTAGATGTCTATTAGGTCTGCTTCTTGCAGAGCTGAGTTCATGTCCTGGATATCTTTGTTAACCTTCTGTTCCATTGATCTGTCTAATATTGACAGTGTGGTGTTAAAGTCTCCCATTATTATTGTGTGGGAGTCTAAGGACTTTGCTTTATGAATCTGGGTGCTCCTGTATTGGGTGCATATATATTTAGGATAGATAGCTCTTCTTGTTGAATTGATCCCTTTACCATTGTGTAATGGCCTTCATTGTCTCTTTTGATCTTTGTTGCTTTAAAGTCTGTTTTATCAGAAACTAGGATTGCAATCCCTGCTTTTTTTTGCTTTTCATTTGCTTGGTAGATCTTCCTCCATCCCTTTATTTTGAGCCTATGTGAATCTTTGCACGTGAGATGGGTCTCCTGAATACAGCACTCTGATTGGTCTTGACTCTTTATCAAATTTGCCAGTCTGTGTCTTTTAATTGGGGCATTTAGCCCATTTACATTTAAGGTTAATATTGTTATGTGTGAATTTGATCCTGTCATTATGATGTTTGCTGGTTATTTTGCCCATAAATTAATACAGTTTGTTTTTAGCAATGATGGTCTCTAAAATTTGGCATGTTTTTGCATTGGCTGGTACTGGTTATTCCTTTCCATGTTTAGTGCTTCCTTCAGGAGCTCTTGTAAGGCAGGCCTGGTGGTGACAAAATCTCTCAGCATTTGCATGTCTGTAAAGGATTTTATTTCTCCTTCACTTATGAAGCTTACTTAGTTTGGCTGGATATGAAATTCTGGGTTGAAAATTCTTTTCTTTAAGAATGTTGAATATTGGCCTCCACTCTCTTCTGGCTTGTAGGTTTTCCTTGGAGAGATCCGCTGTTAGTCTGAAGGACTTCCCTTTGTGGATAACTGACCTTTCTCTCTGGTTACCCTTAACACTTTTTCCTTCATTTCAATCTTGGTGAATCTGACAATTATGTGTCTCGGGGTTGCTTTTCTCAAGGAGTATCTTTGTGGTGTTCTCTGTATTTCCTGAATTTGAATGTTGGCCTGCCTTGCTAGGTTAGGGAATTTCCCCTGGATAATATCCTGAAGAGTGTTTTCCAACTTGGTTCCATTCTCCCCATCACTTTCAGGTACACCAATCAAACATAGATTTGGTCTTTTCACATAATCCTGTATTTCCTGGGCTTTGTTTGTTTCTTTTTACTCTTTTTTCTCTAATCTTGTCTTCTCACTTTATTTCATTAATTTGATCTTCAATTGCTTATACCCTTTCTTCCAATTGATTGAATCAGCTGTTGAAGCTTGTGCATGCATCACGAAGTTCTTCTGCCATGGTTCTCAGCTCCATCAGGTCATTTAAGGTCTTCTCTACACTGCTTATTCTAGTTAGCCATTCGTCTAATCTTTTTTCAAGTGTTTTAGCTTCCTTGCGATGGGTTCGAACATCCTCCTTTAGCTCGGAGAAGTTTGTGATTACCAACCTTCTGAAGCCTACTCCTATCAACTCATCAAAGTCATTCTCCATCCAGCTTTGTTCCGTTGCTAGTGAGGAGCTGAAATCCTTTGGAGGAGAAGAGGTGCTCTGATTTTTAGAATTTTCAGCTTTTCTGCTCTTGTTTCTCCCCATCTTTGTGGTTTTATCTATGTTTGGTCTTTGATGTTGGTGACCTACAAATGGGGTTTTGTTGTAGATCACCTTCTTGTTGATTTTGATGCTATTCCTTTCTGTTTGTTGGTTTTTCTTCTAACAGTCAGGTCCCTCAGCTGCAGGTGTGTTCGAGTTTGCTGGAGGTCCACTCCAGACCCTGTTTGCCTGGGTATCACCAGTGGAGACTGCAAAACAGCAAATATTGCAGAACAGCAAATATTGCTGCCTGATCCTTCCTCTGGAAGCTTCATCCCAGAGGGGCAGCCACCTATATGAGGTGTCAGTCTGTCCCTACTGGGAGGTGTCTCCCAGTTAAGCTACACAGGGGTCAGGGACCCACTTGAGGAGGCAGTCTGTCCATTCTCAGAGCTCAAATGCTGTGCTGGGAGAACTACTGCTCTCTTCAGAGCTGTCAGACAGGGACGTTTAAGTCTGCAGAAGTTGCGTGCTGCCTTTTGTTCAGCTATGCCCTTACCACAGAGATGGAGTCAGGCCTTGTTGAGCTGCGGTGGGCTCCACCCAGTTTGAGCTTCTCAGCCACTTTTTTTACCTACTCAAGCCTCAGCAATGGTGGACACCCTTCCCCCAGCCAGGCTGCTGCCTCGCAGTTCGATCTCAGACTGCTGTGCTAGCAGTGAGCAAGGCTTCATGGGTGTGGGACCCACCAAGCCAGGCACAGGAGAGAATCTCCTTGTCTGCCGGTTGCTAAGACCTTGGAAAAAGCCCAGTATTTGGGCAGCAGTGTCCCGTTTTTCCAGGTACAGTCTGTCATGGCTTCCCTTGGCTAAGAAAGGGAAATCCCCCAACCCCTTGTGCTTCCCAGAAGAGGCGATGCCCCTCCCTGCTTCGGCTCGCCCTCCATGGGCTGCACCCACTGTCCAACCAATCCCAGTGAGACGAACCAAGTACCTTAGTTGGAAATGCAGAAATCACCCATCTTCTGCCTCGATCATGCTGGGAGCTGCAGACCGGAACTGTTCTTATTCGGCCATCTTCTTGACTTTTTTATTTAAAAGCATGTGTAGACTACTATTTCTTAATTTTCATTTTGAAGCATTCCCACCATGGAAAATGAAGATTTAGCTCTTTTACACTACCTCTGCTTTTCACCACAATTCTTACACATTCCCATCCTTTAAATAGAGTTAGACATTTGAGTTAGGTCAATATTTCAGGTTTACATTTTTAGGACCATGTAAATATTTTCATATGTGAGCAATGTTGTATACTATGACTACTTCCTCTTCTTTTTTTTCCTTGCAAAACGTTTTGAAGCGAAGCTAATAATGATCATGTTTTTTCATCTGCTTGGTTTTCTTTATACTTATCATTGATGCTTCCTCAAATTCTTCCCAATTTTTAACGTTCCTCTCAATATATTCAAACCACTATAATTCTATCAGCTTCCTCTTTTGGCCCACTCTAATCAGAGTTGCTGGCTTACTCCAAAATGGCTCTCATACAGAGTTTCTTCACACCAGTCTGGAAATTTTCCTTCACTTTCTCTTAAGTTCCATGCCCTTCTTCCTGCATTTCATATCTTCTTTCCTTTTCACACTCTCCTTGTGGTGGGACACCTCATTTGATAGATTTCTAATAAAAGGTACACGAGAAGAAGTCTGAAATATTATATGTCTGAAATTTTCTTTCATGTACCTCATAATTAAAGTTGGCAATTAAAATTACAAAATAACATTGCTCCTTTGACTTCTTGCTTCTCATGTTGCCTTGAAAAATGTTGAGATTAGCATCACCTTGATACCTAAGCCAGACAAAGGCATCACAAGAAAAGAAAACTACAGGCCAATTTATCTTATGAACATTGATGCAAAAATTCTCAATAATGTATTAGCAAACTGAATCTAACAATACATGAAAAAAGAGTATACATCATGACCAAGTTAAATTTATCCCTGGCATGCAAGGCTAATTTAACATATATAAATCAGTCAACATAATACATCACATAAACAGAATGAGAGATAAAAAACCCATAATCATCTCAATTGGCATGGGAAAAGCATTCAACCAAGTCCAACATCTTTCCTTACCAAAAACTCTCAATAGTTTAGGTATAGAAAGAACGTTTCTCAACATTGTAAAGGCCAATTATAAAAAATCCTGCACTAACATAATCAAGAGGGAAAAACTGAAAGCTTTCCCGCTAAAATTTGGTATAAGGCAAGAATGTTTACTTTTACTACTTCTATTCTATTCAACTATGTTCTGTTCAACATAGTGCTGAAAACACTAGCAAGAGCTATCAGACAAGAAAAATAAAACACATCCAAATTGGAAAGGAAGAAGTAAAAATTATCACTATTTTCAGATGACAGGATTCTATATGTAAAATACCCAAAACATTTTATTAAAAACTGTTAGAACTAAGAAAATAATTCAGTAAAGCTGCAGAGTACAAAATCAACACAAAAATTGGTAGCATTTCTTTCATTTTTAATGATTATGAATACATAATAGTTGTACATATTCATGGGTTACATGTGATATGTTGATACAAGCATATAATATGTAATGATCAAATCAGGGTAATCGAGATATCCATCACTTCAAGCATTTATCATTTCTTTGTGTTAAGAACATTCTAATTCCACCCTTTTAGTTATTTGATATATATAATAAGGCACTGTTAACTATAGTCACCCTATTGTGCTACTGTACATTAGATACACTAGATCTTATTCCTTCTAACTGCATTTTTGCATGTATTGACCATCCCTTCTTTATTCCTCCCTCCTCACTACCCTTCCCAGCCTCTGGTAACTGTCACTCTACTCTCTATCTCCATGAGTTTTATGTCTTTTAGCCCTCACATCTGAGTGAGAAGATGTGATATTTGTCTTTCTATGCCTGGCTTATTTCACTTAATATAATGTCCTCTAGTTCCATCTATGTTGCTGCAAATGACAGGATGTCATTCTTTTTTATGGCTGAATAATATTCCATTGTATATCTGTACCACTTTTTTTTTTATCCATTCATTCATTGATGGACACTTAGGTTGATTTCATATCTTAGCTATTGTAAATTGTGCTGCAATAAACATGAGAGTACAGATATCTCTTTGATATACTGATTTCTGTTTCTTTGGACAGATACCCAGTAGTGGGTTTGAGAGATTACATAGTAGTTCTATTTTTAGTTTTTTGAGGAACTTCCACACTGTTCTCAATGTGGCTGTATTAACTTACATTCTCACTAACAGTGTATGAGGGTTCCTCTTTTTCCACATCCTTGCCAACATCCATTATTGCCTGCCTTTTTGATAAAAGCCATTTTAATTAGAGTGAGATTATATGTCATTGTAGTTTTGATTTGCATTTCTCTGATAAACAGTGATGTTAAACATTTTTTCATTTACCTATTGGTCATTTGTATGTGTTCTTTTGAGAAATATCTATTCAGATCTTTTGCCCATTTTTAATTGAATTATTTGGGTTTTTTTCCCTATCAAGTTGTTTGAACTCCTTATATGTTCTGGGTATTAATCCCTTGTCAGATGGGTAGTTTGGAAATATTTTTGCCCATTCTGTGGCTTTTCTCTTCACTTTGTTGATTGTTTTCTTTGCTGTACATAAGCTTTTTAGTTCAATATGGTCTCATTTGTCCACTTTTGCTATGGTTGCTTGTGTTTTTGAGGTCTTAATCAAGAAATCTTTACCTGAACCCATAGATTGGAATAATTTATTTCCACTGTATATAAGTCATAATAACTTCCCCAACAATTTATTCTAGTAGTTTCATAGTTTCTGGTCTTAAATGTAAGTGTTTTGTTATTTTAACTTGATTTTTGTATGTGGTGAGAAATAGAGGCCTAGTTTCATTCATCTGCATATGGATAACTTGTTTTCCCAGCACAATTCATTTAAGAGACTGTCCTTTCCGAAGTGTGTGTTTTTGGTGCCTTTGTAGAAAATGAATTGACTGTAAGTGCATGGATTTATTTCTGGATTCTCTATTCTGTTCCATTGGTCTATGTGTCTGTTTCTATGCCAGTACTATGCTGTTTTGGTTACTAGAGATTTGTAGTATAATTTGAAGTCATGTAGTGTGATGCTTTGAGCTTTATTCTTTTTGCTCAAGATTGCTTTAGCTATTCAGAATCTTTTGTGGTTTCATACAAATTTTAGTTCCTTTTTATTTCTGTGAAGAGTGTAATTGGTATTTGGATAGGGATTGCATTGAATATGTAGAATGCTCTGATTAGTATGAACAGTTTAACAATATTGATACTTCCAATCCATGAACATGGAATCCCTTTTAGTTTTTTTGTGTGTCTTATTCAATGTATTTCCTCAATGTCTTATAGTTTTTATTATAGATATCTTTCACTTCTTTAATTATGTTTATACCTAGGCATTTTATGTTATTTGTAGCTATTATTAATGAGATTAGTTTTTTGGGTTTTTGTTTCAGATTATTTGATGTTGGCATATAGAAATGTACCGATTTTTATATATGATTTTGTATCCTGCAACTTTGCCAGATTTATCAGTTCTAATAGACATTAAAATGGATGAAAAGAAATTCAAAGAACCATTAGAGACTATTACGATAAACTATATGCCAGTAAGTTGCGAAGTCTGGAAAACTGGTTAAATTCCTAGACACATAAACCTACCAAAATTAAACTATGAATAAATCCAAAAATTAAATAGAACAATAATAAACAAGAGATAGAAGCAGTAATTAAAAGTCTTCCATCAAAGAAAAGCTCAGGACCTGATGGCTTCACTGCTAAATTTGTCCAAATATTTAAAAAAGAATTAATACCAATCCTCCTCAAACTATTCAAAAAGATTAAGGAGGAGAAAACACTTCCAAGCTCAGTCTGTAAAACCACTGTGACCCTGATACCAAAGCCAGACAAAGACACAAAAAAGAAAACTACAGACCAATATCCCTGATGAACATAGATGCAAAAAATATTAATGAAATACCAGCAAACAAAATTCAAAAACACATTAAAAAGATTATTTAACATGATTAGAGGGATTTATCCTAGGGATGCAAGGATGGCTCAACATATACAGGTCAATAAATGTGACCCATCACATCAATAGAATAGACAAAAATCTTATGGTCATTTATATAGATGCTGAAAAAACATTCAACACCTCTTCATAATAAAGTCACTGAAGAAACTGGGTATAGAAGGAACACACCTCCATAGAATTAAGGCCATATACAACCAAACCACAACTAATGTCATACTGAATGGGTAAAAAACTGAAAGCCCTTCCTCTGAGATCTAGAACAAGACAAGGGTGCCCACTTTCACCACTGTTATTCAACATAGTACTGGAAGTCCTAGCCAGAACAATTAAACAAGAGAAGGAAATAAAGGGCATCCAAATGGGAAAGGAAGAAATAAAATTATTTTTGTTTGCAGATCATGTGATCTCATGTTTAGGAAAAAAAAACAAACCTAAAGACTCCACCAGGAAACTGTCAGGAGCATTTTTATACACAAGTAACAATTTAGCTGAAAAAGAAACCAAGAAAACAATTCCGTTTATAATGGCAACAAAAATAAATTAAAATATCCAGGAGTAAATTTAACCAAGGAGTTGAAAGATCTGTACTCTGAAAACTATAAAACATTGATGAAAGAAATATAAATGAAAAGACATCCTGTGCTCATAGATCAGAAGAATTAATATTTTTAAAATGTCCATGCCACCCAAAGCAATATAATCCCTATCAAAATTCCGATGACATTCTTCACAGGAATAGAATTAACAATCTTAAAATTTGTATGGAACCATAAAACACCCCAAATAGCAAAAATAATTCTGAGAAAGAAAAACAAAGTTGGGGGCATCACACTTCCTTTTTAAAAATTATATTACAAAGCTGTATGGTAATCAAAACAGTATGGTAGTGACATAAAAACAAACACACAGACCAGTGGAGCAGAATAGAGCACCAAGAAGTAAATCCAAACATATATGGTAAGCTAATTTTTGACAAGGGCACCAAGAGGACACAAGGGGAAGAGGATAATCTGTTCAATAAAAGATGCTGGAAAAACTGGATTTCTACATGCAAAAACCCATGAAATTGTACCCTTACACCATACACAAAAATGACCCTAAATGGTTAAAAGACCTCAATGTAAAAGCAGAAACTATAAAACTCCTAGAAGATAACACAGAGGAAAACTCTTGAACATTGGCCTTGGCAATGATGTTTTGGACATCACACCAAAAACTGAGGCCACAAAAGCAAAATAAGTAAATGAGATTACATCAAACTAAAAAGCTTGGCACAACAAAGGAAACAGTCAACAAAGTGAAACAGCAGACTATAAATTGGGAAAAATATCAGCAAATCATATATCTGATAAGTTAATATTCAAAATTAATAAAGAATTTATACAACTCAATAGTGGAAAAACAAATTATTCAATTACAAAATGGGCAAAATACCTAAATAGACCTTTGTCCAAAGAAGATATAAAAATGGCCAATGGGTACATGAAAAGGGGCTCAACATGATTAATCTTCAGGGAAATGCAAATCAAAACCACCATGAAATGCTAACTCACACTTGTTAGAATGACTATTATCAAAAAGTCAAAAGATAACAAATGTTATGAGTGTGAAGAAATGGGAACCCTTGTACACACGGGTGGAAATGTAGATTGGTGCAGCTATTATGAAAAATAGTATGAAAGTTTCTATAGAAACTGAAAATAGAACTACTATATGACCCAATAATTTCTCTGCTGTGTAAATGCCCAAAAGAAATAGAATCACCACCTCATAAAGATATCTTCACTCTCATGTTAATTGCATCATTATTCACAATAGCCAAGATATTAAAACATCTTAAGTGCTCACTGATAGATGGATAAAGGAACTGTGATATATATGTACAATGGAATATTACTTTATCCTAAAAGATAATCTATCAATAGATAACAAAGAAAAATGTTGTATGATATTACATGTATGTGGAACTTGAAAACTTTAAAAATTACATATACAGAGATAGAGAACAAATAGTAGTTACAAAGGGTGATGAAGAATGGGAAGATGTAGGTCAGAGAATATAAAATAGCAGATATGTAGAATAAACAAGTCTAGAGATCTAATGAACAACTTGAGGAGTCTAGGTAATAAAATTATACTGTATATGGGATTTATGGTAAATGAGTATATTTTAGCTGTTCTTGCTACAAAAACAAAAAAATGGGGAATGATGTGAGATGAATGATATGTTAATTTACTATAGTAACCTTTTTACTATCTATATGTGTCTCATACATCACATTGTATACCTTAAATATAAACAATAAAACTTATTTTTTACAAAAAGAGAGAAAAATGTTGGGTCTTCCTAAGTTTTGATCTTTTGTTATGTGACCTGTTCCATCGCCCCTGCCCCAAACTTCAGCACAGAAGTTGATGGGATATTTCCTTTTGTCTTTGGTGTTCTAAAAGTGCTTTGATAGGTCTATTTTTATCCATTTACTAGGCATGCAACGAACTGTTTAAATTGAGAATTTGATGTCTTTCAATTCTGGGAAATTTTCCTGAATTATTTCTTTGATGATTTCTACTTCTTGATTTTCTCTGTTCTCTTTGTAAAAAATATTGTCAAATTATTGGATCTCTGGACCACCTATTCCTTAAATTTGTTACCTCTGTTACCTCTTCTCTCCTCAATTCCACCGACTTATTTTAAGTTAGACATTTTTAAAGGTATAATTTACATACAATAAAAATATACTTTTAAAAAGTATATAGAGTTAGAAGAGTTTTGACAAATGTTTACAGTCAGGTAACCACCACCTAAGATATGTTTGTTTTGTATCTGCCTTTTTTACTTAGCATAATGTAGTTACGTAGTTCATTAATTTTTGTTACTAAATTGTACTATTCAGTTATAGCTATACTATACTTTGCTTAGCTATTTACCAGTAGATAGATATTTCAATTATTTCCATTTGTAGCTAATATGTATAAAGCTGCTATAAACACTGGCAAGTAGGCCTTTGGGTGAACACAGGTTTTTATTTCTTTTGAGTAAATACCAAAGAGTGGAAATGTTAGGTCATATGGTAAAGATACTTTTAACTACTAAACTGTTTTCCAGAGTTGCTGTACCATTTTGCACTACCATTAGCAAAAGGAATCCAGTTTTTCCATAGTGTCATCAACTCTTATATCATCAGTTTTTTTCCTTTTAGCCATTCTCTAGGGTGTATAGTGAAATCTCATTTAAAACACTTTATTTTTCTGATGGCTAATAATATTGATCATCTTTTCCTGGTCATTTGTATGTTTCTTTTTGTGAGCTCTTCATTCAGTTCTTTTGCTCATTTTTAAATCAAGTTTGTGTCTTATTGTTGAATTATAAGAGCTCTTTATAAATTTGGGTATAAGCCCTATGTCAAATATGAGTTTCCCAAATATTTTCTCCCAGATTGTTGCTTATCTTCATTTTCTTTAGAGTGGCTTTTAAAGAGCAGAAGTTTAAAATTTTGATAAAGTCCAATTTATAAGTGTTTTCTTTTGTGATTTGTGCTTTATGTGCCAATCTAGGAAAACTTTACCAAACTCAAGTTGATGTGAATTTTCTCCTAAGTTTTCTCCTATACAATTTTTAATTTTAACCTTTGTGTTTAGGTCTATACTAACTAATAGCTAATTTTTATAAAGAGCATGAGGCAATGAATTGAGGTTTTTTTTGGATATAAATATTTAGGTATTCAACACTATTTTCTAAAAAGACTTTTCTCTCCTCACCAAATTACTTTAATATTATTGTCAAATATCAATTTGTCATTTACAAGTAGGTCTGCTTCTAAGCTCTCTGCTCTGTTATTTTGATCTATAGGTCTATTCTTATGTCAATATCACACCATCTTGATTGGTCCAGCTTTATAGTAAATCTTGAAATCAGGTAGTATGAGTGACTCAACTTTCTTCTACTGTTTCAAAATTGTTCTTTTACTAGAAGAGTGTTTGCATTTTCATATAGATTTTAGATTCAAGTTATTTATTTTTAGAAATAGAACAGGTGGGATTTTAATTGGGGTGGTATAAAATTTATATATTAATATGAGAAAAGATGACATCTCAATATTGAATCTTCTGATCTATTAAAGTGATTTATCTCCTCATTTACTTAGGTATCCTTCTCTGAGCAAAGCTTTATAGTTTTCAGTGTATGGGTCTTGCACATGTTCGTTAAGTTTATCACTAGGTACTTTGTATTTTTTAAATTTTTTAAATTTTAGCTTCCAATTGTGCATTGCTATAAACATTTACATATGGTTTTTATGGTAATGTGTTTTTATCCTCCTCAGATAAATAGCTAACATACTGCTGGGGCAAAATGCAGATATGTATGTTTAACATGTTAAGATTTTTTTACATATTGATCTTTTATCCTGCCATCAGGCTAAACTCTTCTATAAATTCCTGAAGCATTTTTTTCTGAATTTCCTAGGATTTTCTACATAAACAGTTATGTCACTGGCAATTAAAGACAGTTTTCTCTCTTCCTTTCTGATCTGTATATCTTTTATTTCTTTCTTTCGCTTCACTGTACAATGTTGAATATAATTTGTAAAAGTAGAAATCTTTGCCTTGTTCTCAATCTTAGGGGGAAACATCAAATTTCTATTAATATGTAAGATATTAGCTGTAGTGTTTTTTTTGCCGATGCCCTTTATTGGGTTAAGGGAGTTCCTTTATATTCCCTAGTTTGCTGAGCATTTTTATCATGAATGGATGCTGAATTTTGTCAAATAGTTTTCCTGTACCTGTTGAGATGATTATATACTTTCTGTTTGTCTATCTATATAGTAAATATTGATTGATTTTAAAATGTTGAACTATCTTTGAATTTCTGGGTTAAACACCACTTAGTCATGATATATTATTTTTACATACTGGTGGATTTTTTTTTGCCAATATTTTGTTAAACAGTTTTGCATCTATATCTATGAGGATTATTGGCCTTCCGTTTTATTTTTTCATGATATGTTTATCTGGTTTTGGTGTCAAGGTATGCTGGCCTCACACAATGAGTTGGAGAGTGTATCTACTTCTTTTTTTTTTTTTTTGAAAGAGTTTGTGTAGAATTTTCATTATTGTTTTCTTAATTATTTGGCAGAATTGTCCAGTGAAGCCATCTGTGGCTTGAGTTTTCTTTGAGGGTGACTTAAAAAAAAATTCAATTTCTTTTGTTCATGTTTTTACATTGCTAAAATTATTATCAATAAATTATACTATTCTTTTTAACTTCTGTAGAACCTAGAGAGCTGCTCCATCTCTTGATCTTGATCTTGATAATTTTTATCTTCTCTGTGTTTTTCCTGAGCAGTCTGTTTATCAGTTTTATGGATCATCTCAAAAATCCTGGTTTTGGTTCTATTAATTTTTTCTATTGTTTGTCTGTTTTCTAATTCATTGATTTCTGCTATCTTTGTTGTTTTCTTCCTTCCACTCATTTGATTTTTAGTTGGTCCTTCTTTTTCTAGTTTATTAAGATGGCAACTTAGGATTCCTTCTTTTCTAATGTAGGCATTAATTCTGTAGATTTCCCTGTAAATATGGTTTTAATTTCATCCCAATGTGCTTTCATTCACGTTCAATTAAACTTATAGTCTAAATATTTTTGTTATTTTTTCTTTAATCAAGAGTTGTTTCAACATATATTGCTTAAATTCTGAATAAGCGATTCAGAATTTGGAGATTTTCACATTTTTTAATTACTTATTTTTGATTTGGAAATCAGATTTTTAAGTTATTGATTTCTGATTTACTTCTACTGACATCAGAAGACACACTTTATGTAATTTCATTTGGTTTGTTTTGTGGCTGATAATATGTTTTATCTTGGCAAATATTCCATTTGCATTTGAAAAATGTATATTGTACATAGATTTTGGTTGAAGTGTTTTGTAAATATTAACCAGATCAAATTGCTTAAGGGTATTGTTAAGTTCTCTATATCTTAATGGTATTTAACTCTTTGTTTTATTAATTACTGTAAGAAGTATTGAAATCTCTAACTATAATTGTAGATTTATTTAGCCATTCAGTTCTAACATACTTTTTCTTTGTGTATTTTGAAGCTTTGTTATTAGCTGCATACATATTTGATTGTTATGTCTTCTTAATAAATTGACCTCAATATCCTTTTCTCAATTTTAATATACCCCTCTATGAAGTAGATTTATTTAATAGTAAGAGAGCAAATCAGCTTTCTTTTTATTATTCTTTGCATAGTATTTTCTCTATGTTTTACTTTGAACATATCTTTGTCTCATATTTAAAGCAAGTTTTATTAAGCAACATTTAGTTAGTCGAATCTATGTTTCAACTAGATTTCCTCTTAAGAATAGAGACTTTATCTTGGTCAACTTTATGCTGTTCTCAGATAGTGTATCTCATGTAATGGGTACCCAATAAATGTCTGAAATGAAGATATGGAGTAGCAACTACTAGGTAATCAGAATAAATGCACAATGTTGAGCCATGTAACATAGTAGAATATGTGTATAGATTAGTTTCATTTTCCCTTTCCCTGAAAATTTAAATGTAGGGATTTGGTTATGACTAGAGCATATTTAAGAATGACTGGTACATTTAGCTTTACAGGTTGATAAGACTTGGTTCCTGTTCACTTAAAACAGCTTCCATTACTTATTCTATTTTCTCAATTGTGTAAGTCTTTAATAGAAATTCCTCATTTTCAGCCCCCAAAGATTATCACAAATAGGAAATTTAATTCATTTCTGGACCTTGCAAGAGAATGTCTTTTATAGATTTGTAATGATGAATTGGGGGAATTTAGGCTTGACTACCTACCAAAAACAAATAATAGAGAAAACATAAAATGCATGAAAATAAAACATTTGGAATCATATTTTATCTACTCTAGTTTTTTCTTCTAAATTAAATTTGTTGAATAAATTTTAGAGATATTATGACCCTAAGAAATATGTTCTATATAATCTCCTTATCTCTTTTTAATGGGAGAAAGATGACTTAAATCACTAAGAATTACGAAGTATGAAGTTTCTTAAAAGGCAGAAATAATTTTGGAATTCACCTAATAACAATTCTAAATTCAAAGCAATTAATATAATTAATAGCATATCTTATACATAAGGCAATTAAATGTAAAAATAATTTATTAAATTTTCACATGGTTGAAAATTAATTTTTGAAAACATAGGCTGATAATGTACAATGTTAATTAAGTATTGTGAGCCTGGGCATGTACTATGGCCTGTAGATGCTAATCACACATATAGATGCAGCCAACTGAGTTCTGATTACTAGAGAAAATTTCCTATAGTCAGGCTGTGTCTCCAAGCTACATAAGGTAGCATTTATAACATTAGGAAATTTTATCAAAATCCAGCATCTAGCCCCAAGACTGGCAAGCTTTGATGTTATGTGCACTCTCAGAGCTGATCTTCTTCTTTAGAAAAAATTTATGAGACTTGTTTCAAAACCAGAATGCCAAATAATTGATTGGCAATAACAATGATAGTCATAGGAACTGTAATACTCAAGTCCATTTTCTTCCTATGGTCAAATTTTATTTAAAAATTTATAACTTGAAATTACTTTACTTGAGAATTTATTCCTATATGGCTTAGAAATACAAAAAAAATCAGACCAGAATTTCTGATAATATGACAGACTGAGCTGGCATGGACTCTCCCTGTCATTCCAAGAACGCTTTATAAACATTTAATAGAATAAAACAGAACAACAACAACAACAACAACAGACATAGTAGGAAAAACACAAAAGAAAGAAAGAGAAATCTCCAGATACCAGAAATAAATAAGGAATTCAATGCCAGAATAGTAAATACGGGAGCAGATACTATGAACATGCAAGACATCTTGCCCAAATCTTTGTGTAAAAACTGATCTGGGAGCAATGGAGTTCCAGCAGACACAAACACAAAACTACTCTCTAATAATACTTCCACAATCCTGATGCACAGGACTTCCACCTGAAAAAAAAAATCAGCCTCTACTGAAGATTAGCTCACAATAAAAAGATAGATGTTACTTGAGTAAACAAACCTGTATGAAAATGAGTTTATGGGACAATACAAACAAGCCACAAAGTCATTACATTTAAAATAAAGAGGAAAAGAAAGGAATGGAAGAAAGACAAGAACTATTTTATAGACATCTTGATCAGTGAAAATTGAATGGTTGAAAAATACTATGTATTTGTGAGGACATAAAACACTGAGAATGCTCATACTACGCTGTTAAGCATTTGAAACTATACATCTGCTTGAGAAACAATTCAGTATTGCCTAGTCACATTTATAGATACATACCCACAACTTAGCAATCAATGTCTATGAAAATAATCTAGATAAACGCTTCTGTTTTTTACTAAAACACAAATTTTAGAAAATGCTTATAGCAGTGATATGGTTTGGCTGTGTCCCCAACCAAATCTCATCTTGAATTGTACTCCTATAATTCCCATGTATTGTGGGAGGGACCAGGTGGGAGATGATTTAAATCATGAGGGCGGTTTCCCCCATACTGTTCTCATGGTAGTGAATAAGTCTTATGAGATCTGATGGTTTTATCAGGGGTTTCTGGTTTTGCATCTTTCTCATTTTCTCTTGCTGCCACCGTGTAAGAAGTACCTTTCACCTCCTACCATGATTCTGAGGCCTCCCCAGCCATGTGGAACTGTAAGTCCAATTAAACCTCCTTTTTTTTCCCAGTCTCACGCATGTCTTTATCAGCAGCATGAAAACAGACTAATACAAGAAATATTGTTTATAATAACAAATCCTGAGAACAATTCAAATACCCATTAAGAACAGAATGATAAAATAAGTTGTGAAAATAGCAACTAACTCTTCACAGCAATAAAAATGAATGAGCAACATATATGAATTTTAGAAACATTATTAAGGGAGAAATAAGCAAGTCATGGAAGACTACATACAGATTCTGTTTAAGTTTTAAAATAGACAAAACAACATTATATTTCAACCTCATCGTCTCATGTGCAAATTCTTGCTAAAATACTTAGCTGCACTTGACAATGCCCCCCCCCGTACAGACAACAAACTACACCGGATATCTGACAACTCCAGAAGCTCAAGATCAAGGGCAATTAGAGAAGAAAAATTAAAGCAACAGTAGAAGACATAACCATTGCTCAAGACACTTGGAGAATTCCAGAACTGATTTCTGGTAGTAAATGTCCACCGAATGCACACAGCATCAGCAGACATCAGCCAAATTTTGTTTCTTTCTGCTGCTCATTCACTAAAACAAAAACAAAAAGAAATTCAAGTCTCTAAACTGAGCAACTTCACAGTGTTTGGTTAATGAAATGTGCAGTTAAACAGTAAAATTAAGCTGTTAGATGAAAATTCTGACCAGTGTAAGAAACAAAAGTTTGTTTTATAAGTTGACTTGACAGTATTTTAAGATATTATACTCTTTGCCTTAATAATAAACCAACTTTTATTTACTTGATATATTTGTATCTGTTTTGATTTAGAAATTTAGCTTATGAAATGAGTAGGTACTCTAAGAGTCTCTGAATCAGCCAATTATATTGAATTCTTTCTTTTGTCTACCATGCAGTACGACTCACACTTTTGAAACACTCAGAAAGCCATCGTCACATTTCCTCATATCTAAGACACTATTGAAATATAAAGCGAAACATTGATTTAATAATGGCTTTTTAAACTTAACAACTTTTTTTGCATTAAATTATATCTCTATTGTAAACATACACTTTTCAGAAACATTAAATGTGATTAAAAAATGTACATTTTAGAATTGAGCTCTATCAGTTTTTGCTTCATGCATTTGAGGCTTTGATGTGCACATATTTGGGATCCTTATATTTTCCTGGTAGACTGATCCTTTTATAATTATGTAATATCTCTCTTTGTGTCCAGTAATTTCCTTTGCTCTGATGTCTACTTTAAAATATAGCCAAAGCTTTCTTTTTTAAAAAATAATGTTTTCATGGCATATTTTTTTCATTCTTTCACTTCCAACCTATGTTGTTGAATTTGAAGTGAGTTTTTTAGGCAGCAAATAGTTGAATCATTTTATTTAATCCATTATGCCAATATCTGTCCTTTGATTGGCATATTTAGACCATTTACATTTAAGGTGATTATTAATAGGTTAGCACTTAAGTCAGACAATTATTTGTTTGCTTGTTTTTCTTCTGGTGTTTGTTCCTCTGTTTCTTATTTCTTGCCTTTCTGTGAGTTACTTGAACAATTTTCATCTTGATTTATTTATGCTTTATGGCATATGTGTTTTCTTAGTTTCATAGTGATTGGTCTAGGTATTAAAAGATACACATGTAACATGTGACTTTTCAGTCTACTGCTATCAACATTTTACTACTTCCAGCGAAGTGTGGCAACTGAACTTTTATTTAGGTCTCTACTTTCCCAACTTTAAAAATATCATTGTCTTAAGTATGACATGGTATAATAATTTTTCTTGAGACAGGGTCTTTCTCTGTCATCCAGGCTAGAGTTCACTGGCATAATCAAGGCTCACTGTAGCCTTAACCTCTTAGGCTCAAGTGATCCTCCCACTTCAGCCTCCTTCCCTTCAGCACACTTCAGACTACAGATGTGTGCCATCGAACCTGGCTAATGTTTTATTTTTTGTAGAGACAGGGTCTCACCATGTTGTCTAGGCTGGTCTTGAACTCCTGGGCTCAAGTGATCCACCCACCTCAGCATAATTTTTAGTTAAAACATCAACTATGACTTATGAAATTCATGAGGAAAGGGACAGTTTATTGTACATATATACAGACTTCTGCTCTTCCCATTTTTTTTTTCTGATTGTCTGAAGACTTTTTCTTTTATCATTTTCTTTCTCCCTGAAGAAATTCCTGTAGTCAATCTTTAATGGTTGTTTTCCTTTGCCTAAGAAGGTCCCTGTTTCTCTTTTATTCCTAAAAGGTAGTTTCACTGGATATAGTTTTTGAAGTTGACAAATTTTTTCTTTCACTACTTGAAAAATATTGTGCCACTTCTTTCTGGACTACACAGTTTCAGATGAAAAAAATCTGCTATTATTTTAATTGGTGATTCCCTATAGGTAATGTGTTATTTCTCTGGCTGTTTCCAAGATTTTTTCTTTCTCTTTAGTTTTCAGAAATTTGACTATAATGAGTCTTGGCATGGATTTATTTGGATTTATTTTTTGGGGAATTAATTCATTTCTTCATTCTGTAAATTTGTATCTTTTGGTAAATTTGCAAGTTTCTCAATAGTTAATTTTTACTCAATACTTTTTCAGTCCCACTCTTTTCCTCTTTTTTCCATCTGCAGCTCCAACGATAGAAATTTAGGATTCTTGTTATTATTCCTATGTTTTTAAGGCTCTGGAAATTTTTCTTCAGTCTATTTTCTCTCTGCTGTTCAGATTGGGTGAATTATATTGTTTTGTCCTGGAGTTTACAGATTCTATCCTCTGTTATCTTCACCCTACTATTTAATCAATCCAGTGAGTTTTTAGTTTCTATTGTAGTTTTTCCATCCTACAGTTTCTATTTGATTATGTTTTTTTAATAACTTTTCTTTCTCTGCTGAGATTTTTATATTTTTTTGTTTGTTTTAAGAGAATTCATAATTGATTGTTGAAGCATTTTTATGGTGGTTTCTTAAAAATTTTTGTCAAGTAATTCCTATATATGACTCATCTCAATGTTGATGTCAGTTGATTATTTTTCTTATTGAAGTTATGATTTTCTTGGTTACTAATATGAGATTATTTTTCATTCTATCCTGTTCATTTTTATCTATTCTGTTAGGAGTCTCTGGGACCCATTTAAATATTTTATTTTAGCAAGCAGTTACCCTGCTTAGGGTTAGCAGGTGAGTCTTGACATATTTTTGTGGGCTTTGATTCCACTGAAAGTTTACTTTTCAGTCTTTGCAATGTTATTTTGGTCTGATTGGCTTATTTGGTTCCACTGAGGCTGTTACTGTTCCCTGCTTGCTTATTTCTTGAGGAAGAAGAAGACATTTTCAGGCCTAGACTTCAAGTGTCTCTCAGTGAGTGAAGGTGTGGTAGGGTCCTCCTTCTTATGCCTCTGAGTGGGAGAGGAGAGGCTTGGGCCCCAGGGATTAAGACTCTTCCTGGACTAGGCATCTTTCTGTAGCTTGGTCCCTCTGGCAGAATTTTTCTCTTCTGCCTTAGTGTCTCTAGGTGGGAGACAGGAGTCTCAGGCCTGGAGGGGAGTAGAGTGCTTCTCCTGGCTGCTAATTGTTGGTAAAGGGCTTCTAACCAATCCTCTTGCTGTTGGTGTTGAGATCACCTGATATTGTCAAAGGTAGTCTTATTCCATCCAAGAGAGTGGTAAGCCTACTTGAGTCACCTTCTGTTACTGGGACAAGTGTTGGAAATATTTGTCTGGGTGGCCTTCTTTTCCATGGTTTTGGTGGGAGATATAAGATTCCTTTTTGCTGCATTGAGTCTTCAGTCCAGTGGTACTAAACAAGCTCATCTTCTTGCCGTCTTTCAGAATTCTCTTCTGTTTGTCTTTGGTGACATTTTTCAGGGCTTATAATTTGCTTTGCAAGAAGAAATAGAAAAAAAATCGATTTACATTATCTTGAAAAGACCAGAAGTAAGCCATATTATTTGAAACAATAATTTTTAAATTAGCATTTTACTCTTTCTAGAAACTGCTTACATTACAAAAATGCAAATGTAGTTTTTTCTAACCTATTTAGAAATAAAGAATTAGATGTCTCTGGGATGTGGATTTCCACACTTATTAACTGAGAGAATTATTTAAAGCTTTTTGAAGGTTAAGTAAAGGACCTTGGAATTGGCCTGAAACCTGTATCAAAATTTCCTTTCTTTTACTTGTCTTCTTTGTGACATTTCCTTACAGTCTCTTCTCTGTGTATATTTAATATCAACACATTTCATTTTAGTCTATCTTCTTGTTTCGACCTTGCTTCTCATTCTTTGTAATGTGTGCAGTCTCTGTTTTATGATATGATTCCTGATTTGAGCACTATTCCACACGCAGCTTCCCAATTCTGGTAGCATCAAGGTATATTGTTACTAGCAATGAGAGGGACAAAGTGGGCAATAGAAATAGAAGGAACAAAGGCTGCTTGATGAACTCAAATTTAGTGTAGTAACCCTGAAAATATTCTTCCCGCCAGAACATTAGGACATGTTATCAATAATTTATTGTAAAGAGGTCTTCGTATATTTCTTTATCACAAACTTCCGACAGTTTTGACTGGGAAAACAGGAAATCATGACAGAGAGAGGAAAGAATTTGAAAAATCATATAGAAAATGAGGAATGTGGATAGATGAAAACTTACTACATATATTAAGGGGTAAGAAAAATAGGTAGTGTAACCTGGCAAATTGAAAGTATTTGCGGGATGCCACCATCCCCTGGCTATCTTTTACAAATTATAAAGTTCTATTATTAGCCCTTCTGCCTTTTTTCCTTTTTCTGCTTTTCAGGGTTTTTGTCTTTTAATAGGCTTCTTTCTCCAGCTCTGGAAAGACATTATGCCAATTTACATATGCTCTACACTTTTTTGTTGTTCTGAGCTGCATAAGAGTATTTATAATTGCTCTTTTGTGATCTGATCTTTTAGTTTTGTTGCCAAATGTTATTCTCCAGAGTAGATGCTTCTACAGAATATGTATGAAATAACAGGAAGTGTACCAAAAGATTGAATCATGATCTTGCAAATATTAAAAATGCCAAGCACCAACATGCGTTGGGTATGGTATCAAATTGTTATAAAATCCATTTAAATTATTAAATGTTTCCTTCATGAAAAAGATTGGTTGTTGATTTGAAGTCACATTAAATAAGATGGAGTAAAGAGAACCCTTTGTAAGCCAAGTGCATGAATTCAAATCAACAAATGCCACCACCTTCAAATAACACTTTTTAAGTACACAAGTGTTTGAGGTCTGTACTCTATTTATTAATAGAATGAAGACATATGTTCTAAAGAAGATGTGAGGTGTTCGCGTGCTTTTGTCATTTGAGCGATATGCAAGTGAGGTGTAAATGAAATTTTATTGATAAAACACTTCTTCGTTCATTTACTTCATATGAGATTTTATACCCGTCTGATCTTTTTCCTCCACAAGTCAGAACAGAGTGTGGCTGGAATCACCGGCGTGCATAAACCTCCGCCAGCGGGGTCTGTGCTGTGTTCTCAGGCCCACTGAACAGGCTGTTTACAATGAGCAGCCATTTGGAAAGCAGAGCAGGGCTTCTCACTATATCTCACAGAATGGCCCCAAGTGCCCCAAGCCATGCCTGTGTTGCTCACACAGTACACTCTTTATAAGCCTAGAGATGGAATTTCAATGAGGAGCACTGAGGTATGTTTTTCCAAAAGCGGCATCTGGCTTGAGGATTGGTTACGTGAATGGCCCAGCAGCTGGTTATACCTGTGGTTTCTGCTAATTAGCCTGAGGTTGTGCTGGCTGCCTCCTTGGGCTTTCAGAGTACATCCACCCTTTCGTCATCATCACAACTCTAAAGATGGCCTAAATGCGTGTGTGGTAAAGTCCAGTGGCCTTTGAACTTGATGCGGATACCTGTCTTATTGTGGACAGAGTGGATATTTATTCCCTGGCCTACACTTATCCACTAATGATGGGTCAAGTCATTGGGATTTCAAATACAGTAATAATTAATCCTGAGGAAGTTTAGCCTAAGTACAGGTTTCCTTTCCCTTAGAACTGACTGTCTCTCCCTAAAGTGGGCAAATGTTTTCTTTAAAAATTAAAAATATTTCTGTATCCATCTGTCTCTGTCATTCTTCTCTCTGTATTTATCTCTGTGGACACAGAACTGCTCTGGACATTTAAGGGATGTATATGTTTGTGTATGGGTGCATGTATATTTATAAACAGGGCTTTACTATAAGGGGAAAGAAGGATTCCTGGTACAACTGTGGTTGGAAGGGCCCACTTCCTGTAGTAAAGGCCTCTGGACCACACAGGGAACAGCCGCATCCAGTCCTCCTCCCCACTTCTCTCCTCTGGTCAGAAGAGGCCCAGTGCAGAAAGTGCCTCTCAAGTGATGTGCAAAATATAACCATAACCATTTTGCCTGTCTGATGGCCTCTGTGCATTCAAGAGCTTGTTGCAGAGCCAAATAGATACTATCTCAAAGAAAGAGCACAGAATCAGAAGTCTGAAGATGTGGCTCTCTTTCCAGGCCTATGTCTGGACAAAGGAGATACTTCTGGACAAATCCATTCAATTTCTTTGCCTCCATTTTCCCAATTTATATAAAATGGCGATAAGTAAATCATATTTGTGTGTATCTTGTATCGTGGAATGTAATTTGACTCTTCTTTGAAAGTTTCTCAGATAAAAATATGGGGAAAATATGAGAAGATACAAATAATTTATGAAGCTCTATCCAGAAGAGATTCTTAAATACTTAAAAATCAAGGCCCCAATTTTGGTTAGATGGCTGTATTAGACTATATCAAAATTGAATCTGTTTCTGCATCAAAAGCGGATAGAAAACTTGGCTAATTATGGCTTAACAGTGTTGGCTGACCATACAGTCCCCAGACCCAATGGAAACTCATGCATTTTACACTATCCCTTTCTCTGCCTTTTCTTTCCTTTTCTCTAATACCCTCTATGGCTAATTCGAACTTTCTAGCAAGACAAAAACAAAACAAACAAAATTTTCTGCTTCTTCTTTAATAGGAAACATCTATCCACTCTATCTTCCATTTTTTGCTCTCTTAAATTACTTTTGACATGCAAGTTCGCTATCCCACAATCAGCCTCAGTTTTCGTCCTGCACCAATCTTGAAACAGGACTCAGCATTTTGTAATTCACGCTCCCCTCCTTGCCACTCCCCACAATGCATACCAAAGCATTAATGAGCAATGGAAAATTTTCCTAAGATTTCATAGAAAAAATAGATTAGGGTGTTTACATTGCTCCCAATCCCCACTCCCTATAAACAACCTAATAAACCAGAACTTGACAATTTTTTTCTTATAAAATTTGTTTAACCTCTGACTCAATTATCCTTGCCCACTCAATTTCTGCTCTTGCTCCCCTACCATAATTCTCCTTTATGAAGTCTGGGTGCCAGCTCCTTTCCAGGAATTCAATTCAGGAGCCTGCTAGGGAGAACCTGTGTGCATCTCTTTCCAACTCTGTTGGAAAGATACACAACAATTCTTCTCTCACGCTCATTTTTTTTTTTAACCAGAGAGCCAGTTGTTAACATCTACCAACACACAACGGGTGATGTACAAAGCTTTTAATAACAGGTGCAGCACAGGCACTGAGTAATCAGAACCGACACAGTTTTGCCCCCTAAATGCATTCAGCTGAACAGCAGCACAGTTGTTTTCAACAAAGCAGGTGTCTCCTTGCAAAAGAATGTTTCTCCCAACTTCTAAGTACTTAACTGTTTCTCCAGATCTTCCGCATTGCTTTTATAAGAATTCCAGGGAAGAAATTTTGTAGTATACATCATTCGAAAATGAAAGAAATTTCATAATATCTTACTAAGATTTTTTTGAATATTGTTTTCATTTTTTCCATAAGGGAGACATTGGACCTTTGAGAAAATAGTTTTTTTAATTAAATGATGCCTTATATTTTACAATTCCATATAGAATATTTAAGCCATTGTCTTTATTAAGAGAACTGCTTATTTCAATTAAGATGAGTAAAACGTAATAAGGAAACTGGAGAATTCACTTAAAAATCCCATTTTAGAAATATTAAAATGTAAAAAGTAAAGTGTTTCTTAACATTCAGGAAATACAGCATAATTGGGTTGAGGCAGGAAAATGAAAAGAGATGGGCAAATTGAGACACATTTTGAGACTGGAAAAAGCAGCTTTAGAAGTCCATACTGCTGACATGGAGATGTTCCACTTAATCTCTCTACAGATTTCTTTGTACTTCCAGGGAAAGAGTTGGACAAAAGTAATCTTTTACCTAATTAGGTAAGAGAAAGAATACATACAAAATACTTTTTTGATAAAAGAGTTAGCATTTCCAATTAGAGTAGAAAAAACAAAAAGAGGATTTGATGTATGACAAAGCTCTGGTGTTCCTGAGTCAGACAACTCAGAAACCTTGTCTAATTTAAGGGAGAATTGGGTGAAACAAAGTAGCACTATAAGATCCACAAAGAAATTGAAAGCTGCACCAAACGGTTTCAGAATGATAACGAATTTAATTGAGCTGCTTTAAAAATCTTTGCTAAACACAACTCATCTTTAAAATAAGGAAGCATTAGTGTTATTATATTTGGTTACTGTAGAAAGGGTATGTTAAAATTAAAATTAATTACCAATCCAATGCTTCTCTTTGAATGTGTAATTATGGTTGTATGTCAGATCATTTCCTTTGGATTTATCAAATCAGGGCCTGCTTAATATTACAACACAAATGTTTGTTGCAAATATTATTTCCACTTGTTTTCTAATTTGTTAAGCATTAGTATCAGTTTTTAGTTTAATTATTTGCTTAGGTTTCTTCCTCTTTACTCTTTCTAATTTTAAACTTAGAGAAAATTATTTTAAAATTCTGTGTATTTGACTCTGTTCCTGCTCTCTGCATTTCTTCCATTGACTTTATCCCATTGAAAGACCTTCTGCATTCAGAGATAAGATCACTATTAATCTGTTTCCTTATTTCCTTTATTTATGGTTTCATGTATAGTTAATTCTTTAGTACAAATGAAAAATTTTAGTGAAAGATTTTGTGATAAGTCTAATTTTATTATTAACTCTTCAGTTAACTAATCAATCAATGGTACCAAATCTTTGCCATTTCTTTTGCTCCATTGATTTTGTAATGTGACCTTTGCAATATAACATTGCTACATAGAATAAAATCTGTCTCTGACTTTTCTGAGATGTGGTGCACTTTTCACTTTAAGATGACAGGGAATGTGTCTGGTTTACCACTGTATGCTCAGTGTGTGTGGTGGATTCTTAACAAATATTTGTGGAAGAAAGTAATCTTAATCCGCAGACACAGCCCGAAGGAGTTTGTGAGAAGTATCTAATTTTCACCATAGAATAACAGCAAATTAATTGAAGAAATTAATCTTCTGCATCAGCATTGCTTTTCCTTTGTTAATTCTTGTGTCTATTTTTTTTTTTTCTGTATCAGGTTTAAATGCCTCTGCTTAGATTTTAAGACTCTAAATAACCAGTTTATCCCCTGGTTTCAATTTAAACTTCCACTTTAACTAGACTCCTGCCCCTCCCCACGTCTCTGCCTTTGCCCTTTGCTTCCTCACCCTGGCCTGTCCCTGTTGATTCTCCAGTGAATAGACACCAGCCACTGATGCCCACTTCCATCCCCTTGCTATTCGTTGTCTAATAATCACTTTAACAATTTAATGTATTTTACATTGGGGGGGCGGTTTTCTAGTAATTATATATTTTTTAAATGAAATATTCGGCATTGTATTTTCTAACTGGTTATTTATTTACCGATTTTGTATATTTTTCTTAATGTTCACCTCTCCTTGCTATAATTCTTTTATTAGTTATAGTTGCTTACCGTTTGCTTATATTGTCTTCTTTTAGACAATTACATGAGAAATTAAGATGATTTCTACTTCCCTTTTCAGTCATTAATTATCTTAGTTATGTTTAGTATCTTAATCTATTGACTAAAACCTGCAAAGAATCCTAATGGTGGCAGTAATGAATATCTTTACCTTATTTCTGATATTAATGAAAACAAAAATTGGTCTTTGGGTGTCTTGAGATAAATATTACTTATAGAAACAAAGTATTTCTCTTTCTAGTCTGCAGCTGAAATTTTAATGGATAATTGAACTATTAATTGCTGGCCCCTTGTATTTCAAAATTAACAATCTTGTATTTTGCTGCACTTTAACTCTGGAGCCCAGTCTGAGGTGGACTGAAAACATCAGAGTGGGGCCACTCTGGTCTAGCAGTGGTCCTGTGGGGACTCAAATGGCCTTGCTTCTTCATATTACAACAACCTTGGCTGGTAGGTTTTAATCTTCCATTGTCGTGGGTAAAGAAAATGAGAGCCCAAATTGTAAAATGACATTTATAATTAGGGGTCTCATTTAAATTAATGATATTTAAATCACTCTGCCAGAGAGTGCAGGGCTGGAATTATAGGATCTTAGCCTCCTTCTCACTTGTCTCCTGCTTTAGCATCTTGAAAGAGGCCAGATTAGTCCCAGGAGTGCTCAGGGGCTTTTCAAGCCTACGCACATTTCCACATTCTGATACATTATGTCAAAAAGAAGCTGTCACAGGAGTGATCTAGTCACTCTAGAGTTCACTAGAGTAAAAGTGGGCCACACTCTCTCTGGATCCACTGAATTTACTCAGATGGTATGTGTTAAACCCAAATTTATAGGATATGAAGGGGAAAATGACTCTCAGTCAATGCTGAATTGTGACAAAGTTAAGCTTGAGTGAGAAAACATTTTGAGTGGAAAACAAAGAAGACCAGAGTGACAGAATCTCTTCCCCTCCCTCCCCTCCCCCTTCCTCCCTCCTTCCCTTCTTCCCTTCCTCCCTCCCTCCCTTCCTTCCTCTTTTCCGTTCTTCCTTCCTTCCTCCCTCCCTTCCTTCCTCTTTTCCGTTCTTCCTTCCTTCCTCCCTCCCTTCCTCCCCTCCTCCCTCCTTCCCTGCCTTCATTCCTCCCTTTATCCCTTCTTTCCTTCCTTCCTGATAGTCTTACTAGTATCCCTTCATGGAAAATAGAGTTTGAAGAGGTTTAATAGGAACCAAAGGATCAGTCTAATAGGAACCAAAGGATCAGTAGAAGAAGAGCATTCACAGCCTGGCAGGATAGCCTGGGGACCAGTGAGAGTTCACGACACCATGTTTTCCACCAAGGATCAGTAAAATAAAAACAAACAAACAAACAAACAAATAAAAAAGAAAAGAAGAAGGAAGGGCAAGAGGAAAGAAGCAGGAAGGATGAAAAAATAATAACACATAGTTTTAATCTTTATTTTTAGCAAAGTAAGAACATTTAGGAAAACCTGCAATCAATTGCCATCATTTTTTGAGAAAAAAGAACACCAAAAAGTAGAAGGGTAAGAAGTATGTAAGATTAATCTATGAATAGCTTTTATAGAGTTTACATTTAACTTTATGAAAAAAAAATCCATTATCTTGACATTTGTCTCCCTCCTAATTTTTGCTGCAGATGGTTACAAAACCACAACACAGACTGATACTTGTCCCCAGACTGGCTTTTAGGAGTCTCAGGCAACCTGGACTCTTATGACCCAAATCCTTGATTTACGCTGAAAGATAGTGACCCTTAGGGACTACAAAAGCCAAAGTAATGTTCTTAGGGAGCCGAGTCCAAAGGGTCTTCAAATGCAAAGGAGTATGTGGGAAAATTGATCCTGGTATAGGGTAAGGCAATGTGCAGCTCCCATGGGGCAGAGTCCTTGGGATGGTGAAGCCATTGGTAGGATCACTCAACAAGCAGTTAAACCCAGACAGTCACAGAGCCCTGCAGCTGGTAACTGGCTGAGACCCTTGTGGGGATCAGAATGAAGGTAAGTGGTGCTGTGAGGAGGACGTAGTAAGGAATCCAGCTGAAATTCCAGCTATTTAGAGGGAGATAATTATGATCCTTACTGAGAAAAAATTGCCTGCTTAATAAAACCACACACCTATTTGTAACATATAGGTAGCATCTGTGTCAAAATATTTTAAAATGTATTTCCTTATATAATATTTCTACTGACTATGCTGATTTGTCATAGTTCCTCTTTTGTAAAACTCATGGGAATGACTGAACAATGAACAATAACTTTCTACAGAGTTACTTTAATACACTCAGTAGCAAAAAACATTAATTCTGGGAATTAGTTATACAAATTGAGCTAACTCCATTTTTCCATGACATTTAACTTTCTCAACTTATGAGTGGCCATTAACTTAAAATGCTTAATTATGAGTTTCTTCCTCTTTGGACAATGGATGATTTCACCTTAATACCTGGATAGGTCATTCTACCTACTCTTCAGCATCTTTTGTCACAGAGCTGGATGCTGATTGCCCTGTTTGCGTATGAACTGTCTTCTTTGAACTCAGCTCCATTTTGCTGTCAGCAATCATAACTGATTTCTCTGAGTGAACAGAAGTCATCACTATAACATGTGCCTGAGTTAACTATTATAATAAACCATCATATAGTGTATCCATAATGTTATTTTAATTATTCTTAATTAATGTTTTCAAACTGTTTTCTGTTGCCCAGTTTTAAACACTTCTTGACTATCTCAAACCAAAAATACTGGACTAACATGAACCCAGATAACCACTAAGTATTTCAGAGCTTTCCATGTCATTGGTACACTGAAGAGTCATTCTGATTTCCAAGCTAGCATGTTACAAAAGCAAATTTTTGGAAGTGAAACATTTGACAATGATATTTTGCCTTGTAATAGCTGATCAGGTTCCCACAGTCAAGAGACCTGGGTTAGTAGGTGATAACCTTGAGTTTCACTGAAGGCTAGAAGAAGCAGAATCAAGTTGTATGTTCTCTGCTGAAAATTGCTGCCTCATGCTCATTTTCCTCCAAATCTTGTTGTTGTGATGGTAGGACCTGAATGGGGGGACCATCTTGTTACAGAGTCTCTAGCCTCCAGCTGGCAAGCATGTGCATTCCGTGGCAACGTTGTGGAATAATACTTTCCTTACTGCTAGTGTCTGCCTAATTCATTGTGCAAAGCTGAGGGAACTCACCAAAACTTACTTTTACATCTATCCCTTCTCAAGAGTGTTTTCTGCCTTTTACTTATATCTAATCCACCGCCTTGCCTAGAAGTGATTAACTTACATGGAGGTTCAAAAGTTGCAAACTATGAATGGGCTCAATATAACCTCTTGAAAAAGTCAGTGACTCAGGCTGATGAAAGAGCTGGGGACCACCAGCCACATGAGCCCTGGGGATTCAGAGACACTGCAGTCATGTCAGCCTATGACTGTTAATAACTAGACAACTGATACATTCTGTACCAACAGCTGGAGCTTCTGGGAGGTCTTTAACCATATCCCTGAGCAAAGGGCATTGAGGTAATCTGGGATGGAGGTCACCAACGGATGGAAAACTGTGGTGGGGTTCCTACTGGTGAGGAGAGAGAAGAGGTTACAGCTGTTTTGCCAAATCCTCTGTGGCTGGATTCAGTGCCCAAGTGATGATTTCCATTGCGAATGCAGTGTAACATTGGTGGTATCTGTCTTTGGGAGAAAAACAAGTCCTGATACTGAATACCACTCTTTAGTAAAGGGACACTGCCAAAATATGTTCTGTGGGTCTTATTTCAGATAAGAGATTTTCTTATCTAGAGCAATAATTTCAGGAATAAAAATGCCTTTATGAAATTAAATGAATGATGAAACTTAATGCATAGAAATCATCCTGGTGTTAGAAGGTCCTTTATTATTCCTGTCTCCTAAAATTCCCAGGTTGAAAGAGAAGGTGAGCAGTTTCTTAATATAATTAAAGTATGTGATATAAAATACAAGTAACTTTTTTTCCTCTACCCCTCTAACCTGCAAAGTTTTCTTTGAGTTTTTAGCACTACATGACATATTGGTAACTCAACTCATGCAAAGCCTGGTTCAGAATGTTCTTCTGATCTTCACTCTGAACAATAATCTTCAACAAAAACCGATGACCATATATATTTTTGACATTGCCCTGGCACTAACCAAAATGCATGAGGCCATACTCTTCAGGGTCTACTTCTCCAAACAAGCACAGAGGACAGATGTGTGAAAGAACAAACAATGCCTAAGATTGCAGAAATACATAATTAAAGTATTTAACAATTTTATAAGCAATGATACAAATGAGTTTTGTTATGTGGTCTGGAAATTTTGTGACTTCACCTATGATGAAGGGAGACATGTGAATTACATGTTAAGGAATGATGTCTTCTACCTATCTTTGATGTGCATGGAATGCACCCTTTGCCATGGACAACCAAGAAAGCTGAATAGAAGATTAATATTTAAGCAATAGGCCAATGAATACAAGACTCTGGCCATGCAACCAGAGCCATCCTAGGGTCAGGTTCATTAGGGGTTTGCTATGTGAACACCTGGAAAATTAGAATTCATTTTGAGAAGGCTCACCTCCTATTTGGACACAGATTACTTGGAAAAATGTGTACCTACTAACGAAAAAGCTTCCTCCATGTCCTTTTTTCCCCCCTCACCGTTATATCATTATACCAGTGTGATGGGTATATTTTTACCTGTTCAGATTATTACTATTCAAGCCTAATTTAATCCTTGTTTATTTTGCTGGAATCCATATATCAGATAAGAATCTCAAGTTTCCAAACATATATTTGCATGCACATACACATTTTCATTGCACTAGAGTTAATAGTTTAAAGCATACCAAGTAATGAAATTCTTAACATGCCTTTTTATTATAAGAATTGGGATGAATATGTTAAGATCACCATAATATATTCTTTATGGTGGTTGATTATTCAACTAGCTTTTGAGAATAACTGAATTGTGTTTACTGAGCCTTGAATATGGTCTTTCCTCAGCCTTTTACAATGAGTCAATCATCAAAACCTGGAAATTATTCCAAAGTAATATTGTCATAATGGCAGTAGGATACATCTAAAAATAGACCCATTGTTAGTTTGCCTCTTTCAAGTCTCATCTCTTCTTAATCTTTCTTACCAGAAACTGTGGTCCTTGGACACCTGTCCTGATTGTCATTTACCTTCTTAGAACTTAAATTTAATAGGAAAGGAACATTAAAACCATTTTTAACTGTTGATTTTTATAGTTAAAACTTTTTTAATTGTCCTCTCCTCAACTTGTCCCCAAAGTTTATTTTACCGCCTATGCCATTGTTTCTGTCATTGTTTATTAAAAATAAATAATGACTCTCATTTTCTGTATGATTTTGCCAAGGTCTCCTGTCTAGCCTTCTGACAGCTTATAGATCTAATTAAGTTCAATAAACATGTATTAAGTGCCTATTTTCCAGGCTCTGTGCCAGGCTCTATGCCATCATTTAGAACTAAATTATATACTGTTTTTATTTATTTTTTTTTCACATTTTCCCTAGGTATGTCATCTAGCCAGCCAGAAAGCAAGCCTCTCCCTGAGGGCATGGGCCAGTTTTATAACTCCTTCAATAGACCTGTGCTTAACACAGGCATGCACACACACTCCTTGGTAGATTTATTTACATTGTTTTTCCAGATCATTCTCCTGGGTGGTACATTATTCTCCAGTTCTCTAATCATCTATTCTCCAGTTCTCTAATCTCTAATCATCTGTAGCACTAGTTAGAGTCCTTAGTTCCTGGTTGCTCAGGACTTAGAGCCACAGATTCACTGTGTGAATCCTGTTCCTTACAATTATTCTGTCCTAAGCATTGGATTATGATCTCCTTCAAGGCGAAGCTATATTTCTGCCTTCTTCATTAGTCCCCTCAGCTTTTTCTCTGCTGTAGCAAACTTCTTGTAAACTCTGGTTTCCTTAAAGTGAGAGGTTTCTAGGGAATAAAGGGTCATGCACTTTTCTTGGCTCCTTCTTGTCTCTGTGCTCCTGGCTGGGGTGTGAGGGCTTACTGCTCAACTCTTCTTTGCCCATTTGCTGAAAGAGAGACCCAGTGCTTTTGCTCACTCGAGGAAAAAAAACAAGGGGACTTTCAAATAAGATTAAATCTTATTTGGTCAACTGCCTAAAGTTGGCATTTGGAGAAAAAGCATGGAAATACTTTGCATTATATTTGAGTCTCCTTGCAATATACTATACTAATTATGCCGGCAATTCAAAACTCAGTTCAGTGGATATTTTTCAGGTGCCCCAATTAGGCCTAGAAATAGAAGCCTGAGGCACTTCACATGACATTCAATATTCAACATTCAACACCCAGCATAGTAAGACAGGCCGTCACTCACTGAAGGTGTTTGGCTCCAGTTATGACCCTAATAGATACTAAATGGTTGGAAACTTTAGAAAATGGGTTATACCCTTCGTACTTTCCCCCCACCCCATGCCAAATAAAACAGTGTTAAGAGTTTAAACAATGTATCCATAACATTTTTTTTTCTGACAAAAATCTGTGTTATGGCAAAACAGGGCCAACAAATATGTAATTATAAAAATAGGATCGTAGTGTGCATACTGTTTTGTGGCTTTAGGTTTTTATTATGTTGGGTTTTTTGAACTTTTTTTCATACTTTTAAATTTAATTTATGTTACTAAATATTTTTCTATACTGGTAGATTCTGAAGTGAGATTTATGTCCCATGGGTTATTAAATATTACCTATTAAAAAGGAAAAGAATTTAATGATGAGATAAATTATGGAACTGCCAGGTTCAATAGGTTTTTTTCCTACTGTAGGGCAAGTTAGAGCCTTTGATTAACTAACATGCATTGGGATTTTTAAATACAAATCAGGACAGAATTTCTTTAGATTATTTTAAAGATAAATCAGGACAGAATTTCTTTAGATTATTTTAAAGATAAATCAGGACAGAATTTCTTTAGATTATTTTCCCACATACATTCCTCATGTATTATGTCTGTACATGAACATGTATGTATGCATTTGTGTAATTTTGGTGGAACAAGTGTTCTCTTGAATATACTCTGAGAAAAAAAGTAAAAGTAGGACACAAAACTGACTGTGACCAATCCTAGGACATGCCCTGGGACATTTATTAAAACATGTTAGATAAATTCTTGCTTTGAGCTTGTGTTTTGTTTGTGTCTGGATGTACAAGCTTTGTTATTAGCAAAGAGAATGAGAACTTGGACCTCAGAACCACTTATTTGGCATATCACCTGTTCCATAGGCCTATCCTATGGAATTAACATTCTGTCCAACATAACTTGGGAAATGCACCTCTGCTCTGAAGACACAATATAATTCACATCAGTTAATTCATTTTTCTAATTCTATTTTGGATCTTCATTAAAAAAAAAACAAAAAAAATTGGCCAGCAAAGAAGCTGTTAATCAATGTACTATAAAATTTGTTTTAGAATTTTTAACAAAATTTAAGCAGAAATCTTTTTTGAAAGAGAAAAACAGCAACAGTTTGATGTTCCAGCAGGGATTCACCTCCACTCACAGTGGCCAATTTCTGATTTGACTCTGTGCCCTGGCTAGGATTTTGTCCCACCCAGCCAGCAGCTTTGCTTGACCTCCCTTAAGCATATTTGTCTCCTGCTCCCATAGCTGTATATGTCCTGTGGTTTCCATTTGCTCTGTGTTTAAATGAAAAATGTATATAGTTTCTCTCTCAAGTTAAGTTGTGCTTATCAGCATTTTGCATAAAACAGTTGGAAGACAGATCTGTACCAAATGGGTTGCTTGGTGCTGCTGATATGATTTCTTTAAAAAGCAGAGGTTTCAGAAACAGCTTATCCATCAATAGCTCTGATGGCACTTTGTGGTTGCTTTGCACAAACATATCCCCTTTCTCTCCCAACCCTATCACCACAAAAGATAATTTACTTGCCGTGTTGGCTGTGTTCCTTTCAATTTTAAGATTCTTCCTTCTCTTATTCTGTTTATCGTGGGTGGTGCTGAGAAACTTCTATAAATATACAACTCAACGATGTGTGATGTGCTTCTACTAGGACCATAAGAGGAAAACTAATGAAACTATGGCTTGGACTTCGTTCTCAAGCAGAATGTAAGGGTGGCTGATCCTTTAAACTTAAACCTCGGTCTCCTGATGAAAATATATTGTTCCAGTGACTTTTTTTGGTATACTAGTCATAAATGTTTGAAAACTAATATTTATGTGAAATAAATACTGAGGGAGTTGGCTATAGTTTCCATATGGTGACTTTTTTAAAAAATACAATACTTCCTCGTAGTCTTACCTGCCTAATATAGCCATTTGTTGGTATATAACTTTCCCACAGTACCCAATTTCTTTTTATCTTCATCACCCTTCATTAATGAACTCTTATGATATGGTAGATGCTGTGCTATGCAGAGGGTATAGTCCATTATGTAGACTTACACAGAAGTTCATTATACTCTACATAGAAATATACCTTGACAAAAATCATCAGTGATACATAATAGCTAATTACATACATGGTGATAGATAAAAATCACTATCAGCGATATACATTGGCTGATTAGTAACCATGGGCAAAGGATTGTGTTGGGCATTGAAGAAAGATATAAGATCTGAGGCCTTTCCAGCAGCTGGGTTGTGGCTGAAGAAGTTTATAAGGAGGAAACTAGGCAAGTGTCACCAGAGTGGTCCACACAGGTATTTAGGGAACCTGAATTTTAAGGAAGGAAAAGTAATATTTAAATCATCGAAAAAATGCAGTGAGTACATTCCAATCAAGAATGACAGTTTGGAAATGTTTATCTTTGTAACTTGGGAAAGCTCAATTTGTCTGGAAAAACTGTCTTTTACTACAGTGATACTCTCACTGTTTTCAAAATGCTTTTCATTATTCCAAGAGCTTTTAATAATTTGGAGAACTCTTAATAAAATTTATGAACCCCTTTCTCAAAAACTGCTCATGGACCCTAAATCTCCAAGGTTTCAGTGACCCCTGAAAGTCCATTGTTGTTGACATGATTCTTAACATTTCCTTGGCATGACTATGGGCCAGATGCATTGTAGATACCCTATCTCACGTAATGATTATGACATTCCTGTGAAGCAAGCACCATTACCGTCCCTGTGTGGCAGGAAACTAAAAATGAGTTGGAGTAAGTAGATTACCTGAAATCACTCAACTGGTAAGGCTCAGACCTGGGATTCAAATATCTTGGTAAATTTTCCCTTCCTTGTGTCTCCTTTTCTTCTTTCTAAGTTGCCTCACCAACTTACTTTCCTGACCAACATCAGGGTCAACCTGATATGGTCTCTTTATCTGGAGTCTGGCTACTGTTTTCTTTAAGGCATGGCAAACAGACCCTTCCCTGCCTTGGGGTACTTATTGACCAGACAGCTCCATCATCCTGCTTGTTTAGAGAATTCAGATGTGTGTTTGTAGCGGCACATGAGCGACAGCATGCGAGAATTTATGTACCTCTTCCAGGGGCAGCATTAAAATAGAACAAGATTGTTCTTGAAACGTAAGTGATGAAGAACACAAGATATGGTATTGAAAAGAAGCTTTAGTATTTTTGTAAGGGAACTAAGGACTAAGAATCAAAGTTGAGAAGTCAGCTCCAGGCTTAGATCCAATTGTCTGAGGCACCATGAGTTTTATGAGGGTATCAGTTATTAGGATATCCGGAGACATGACCTTGTTGGAGAGGCTGCTGTAGAGAAAAAGGAAGTTATGAAGAGAAAAAAAAAATTCCGAGCTCCCCAGTGTGCCACCCTAGAGTACTAGTGAGAAAACTGAGAGGAGGCTCAACTGCCCTGTCAGCACCTCCGTGGGGCCCCTTCCGCATCATGTTCTTCCATTTCTCCTAGAGGCAGCTGATTTCAGGCTGAAACTTACTGTCATGTAAGTTCAGCCAAGTCGAAGCTGCATCCAAGTTATACCAGCCCCACCCTGACAGGACTGTGGGTGAGTCAGGCTTTCCCTGGGATTCAGGGAAACTTCTGTGAATCCAGAGAAAATCCCTCAGGAAGTCACGCCTAACCATAAAGGCTGCTGGGCCAGCGCAAATCTATCACAGCAGAGGAAAAACACTATCTTCCCCGTGATGAATAAAGGGACTGTTCCCTAACCGCAGTGTCTCTGAAGTGCTACCCAGAGCCACACCTCGGTGGTGAAATGACCCACTTTCTGCGGGGCTGCAGGCTAACTACGACAATTCTGCTTCTCTTCAGAAGACTTGGACAACACTGCCCAGCTTCTCTCTTTCCTTGACTGAAGTCACTCCCATTCACTCCTGCAGCATGAAGGAATGGAAACCTCTTTGATGGGCCTGGCATAACATAAATTCAGTGTCTCTGCCTGACTTTAACCATTTCTATCTTTTGCCAACTAGGGGCACTCCTAGGTAGTAATACTCTGCTTATGTGGGAACCGATCAACATTACAGACAAGAGTGATGAAAAAAGGACATAGCCAAAGGGGAATATCGTGCTTAGAACATATAGAACGTGACAGCCATTTTGGTGGTTTATTAATATCAGCACACCTCATTTTATTGTGCTTCACATTTTTGCACTTCGCAGACACTGCATTTTTCACAAATTGAAGTAATTATGTGGTAATCTTGCATAGGAGCAAGTCTATCAGCACCATTTTTCCAATAGCAAGTGCTCTCTTGGTGTCTCTGTGTCACATTTTGGTAATTCTTGCAATATTTGAACTTTTTCATAGTTACTATATCTGTTACAATGATCTGTGATTGGTGATCTTTGAAGTTACTATTTTAATTCTTTTGGGGTGACATTTACCAAACCCATAGAAGACAGCACACTTAATCAATAAATGTTGTATGTGTTCTGACTGTTCCACTGACCCAATTGCTTGTCCTTTCCTAGGACCTCCCCACTTCCTGAGACACAACAACATTGAATTTAGGTCAATCAATAACCCTATGATGAATTTATTTGTTTAAGTGAAAAAAAGACTCACATGTCTCTCACTTTAAATCAAAAGCTAAAAGTGATTGGCCAGGCCCAGTGGCTCATGCCTGTAATCTCAGAACTTTGGGAGGCCAAAGTGGATGGATCACGAGGTCAGGAGATCGAGACCATCCTGGCCAACATATTGAAACTCCATCTCTACTAAAAATACAAAAATTGGCCAGGCATGGTGGCGCATGCCTGTAATATCAGCTACTCAGAAGGATGAGCCAGGAGAATTGCTTGAACCAGGGAATTGGAGGTTGTAGTGAGCTGAGATCGTGCCACAGCACTCTAGCCTGGTGACAGAGTGAGACTCTGTCTCAAAAAAAAAAAAAAAAAGTTAGAAGTGATTAAGCTTAGTGAGAAAGACGTGTAGAAAGTAGAGACAGGCCAAAAGCTAGGCCTCTTGCACCAAACAATCAAGTTGTGAATGCGAAGAAAAAGTTCATGAAGAAAATTAAAAGTGTTACTCCAGTGAACATGTGAATAATAAGAAAGCAAAACAGCCTTATTGCTGATAGGTAGAAAGTTTGAGTTGTCCAATTAGAAGATCAAACCAACCACAACATTCTTAAGTGAAAGCAAAGTCTAATCCAGAGCAAGGCTCTAACCCTCTTCAATTCTAGAAAGGCTGACAGAAGTATGGAAGCTACACAAGAAAAGCCTAAAGCTAGCAGAGGTTGGTTCATGAAGTTGAAGAAAAGAAGCTGTCTCTGCAACATAGAAGCAAGGTAAAGCACCAAGTGCTGTTATAGAAACTGCAGTGATTTATCAATTTATCTAGCTGAGAAAACTGATGAAAGTGGCTACTCTAAACAACAGATCTTCCAGGTAAACAAAACAGCCTTCTACTAAAAGAAGATACATCTAGGACTTTCATAGCTAGAGAAGAGAAGCTAATGCCTGGCTTCAAAGCTCCGAAGAACAGGCAGTCTCTCCTGTTAAGGGCATCTGGTGACCAAGTTGAAGCCAATGTTCATTGACCATTCTGAAAATTCTAGGGCCCTTAACAATTACACTAACTTTACTCTGCCTGTGATCTGTAAGTAGAACAACAAAGCCTGGATGACAGCACATCTGCTTACATAATGGTTTACTAAAGATTTTAAGCCCATTTTTGAGAACTACTCCCCAGAAAAAAAAGATTTCTTTCAAAATATTACTGCCCTTTGACAATGCACTTAGATACTCAAGAGCTCTGATGAAGATGTGATGTACAAGGAGAATAATGTGGTTTTCACACCTGCTAACACAACACCCATTCTGTATCCCGTGGTTTAAAGAGTCACTTTTGATTTTCAACTTTTATCACTTAAGAAATACATTTCATAGGGATATAACTGTCATAGATAGTGATTCCTCTAATGGATCTTGGCAAAATCTATTGAAAACATTCTGGAAAGGATTTAGCATTCTAGATGTCATGAAAACATTCATGATTCATGGGAGAAGGTTAAAATAGCAACATTAACAGGAGTTTGAAAAATCTGATTCCAACCCTCGTGGATGACTTTGAGGAGTTCAAGATTTAGTTGAGGAAGTCACTGCTGATGTGCTGGAAATAGCAAGAGAACTAGGATTAGAATTGGAGCCTGAAGATGTGATTGAATTGCTGCCATCTCATGATATAACTAGTGGATGAGAATTTGCTTCTTATGGATGAGCAAATAAAGTAGTTTTTTGAGGTGAAATTTTCTTCTGTTGAAGATACTGGGAACACTGCCGAAATGACAACAATGAATTTAGAATATTACATAAACTTAATTGATAAAGCATAGCAGGGTTTGAGATGGTTGACTGGCTCCAATTTTGATAGACGTTCTACTTTGGATAAAAGTCTACCAAACAGCATCACATGCTACAGAGAAATATATATTGTGAAAGAAGCTCAATTGATGTGGCAAACTTCACTGTTGTCTTTTTTAAAGAAACTGTCACAGCTACCTCAGCCTTTAGCAACTATCACCCTGATCAGTCCACAGCCACCACCATCAAGGCAAGACCCTCCACCAGTAAAAAGATTACAACTTGCTAAAGGCTCAAAAGATTGCAAGAATGTTTTAGCAATAAAGCATTTTTAGTTAAGGTATGTACTTCTTAAAATAAAAGTAATGTTATTGCACACTTAATAGACTACAATATGATGTAAACATAACTTTTATATAAACTGGGGAACCAAAAAATTTGTGTGACTCGCGTAATTGTGATATTAACGTTATTGTGGTGTTCTGGAACCAAACCTGCAATATCTCCAAGGTATGCTTGTCATTATAAAGAAAACATATAATAAAATAAAAATTTAGAAAACACCCAGTTAAACAATATTGCATAGATTTCTGTATGTATGATTTCTTTATTTCTCTTTTATATGCTCGTTTTCTTTTTTTTTGAAAATGAAAACTATTTTTATTATCTACTCCTACTATATTCTACTCATACATGATCCTCTCAAGATTCCAAGGACACCCCTACATTTTTCTATTTCCTCATCTTTGCTCTCCTGCTAACATTCCCTTTATTATTATTATTATTATACATTAAGTTCTGGGGTGCATGTGCAGAACATGCAGGTTTGTTACATAGGTATACATGTGCCACGTTGGTTTGGTGCACCCATCAACTCGTCATTTACATTAGGTATTTCTCCTAATGCTACCCCTCCCCCAGCCCACCACCCCCTAACAGGCTTCAATGTGTAATATTCCCCTCCCTGTGTCCATGTGTTCTCATTGTTCAACTCCCACTTATGAGTGAGAACATGCGGTGTTTGGTTTTCTCTTCTTGTACTACTTTGCTGAGAATGATGGTTTCCAGTTTCATCCATGTCCCTGCAAAGGATGTGAACTCATCCTTTTTTATGACTGCATTGTATTCCACAGTATATATAAGCCACATTTTATATGCTCATTTTCATTTTGAATCTCCTAAAGAGGGGTGAAATAGGCAATACTTTCCAAACATTACTAAACATGAAGTATTTTTTAGGTGAAACATACCACAATACTATTTAAGTACAAATGTGCAGAGATTACCACAGTATCACAATGTAATAAAACTTCCGACGTTCACAATGAGAACTCAATATATAGAAAAGATTCTGTTTTGTCTATAAAATATGTATTATGATGATAAACTACACCATTAAAAATAACTCAAAGGAAATATTTTTGAAGAGTGATAACACATGGCATTTGGGTAAATGGTTGGCAAATATGTCTATTGGATATGTAAACATACCACAAAGTACTAATAATTAAATTTGTGTAGAACTGGCTCAAGAGTTGTATAAAATAAATAACAGAGAAAAACCAGGAATAGACCATAAGATATATATAAGTGGTTAATACTTATTTTTTAAAAGAGGCATGTCAAACTCTTTAAGAATGAATAGATTATGCAAAGATATTAATGCTAAGAGAAATTGATATCTATTTTTAAAAAAAGAAATCAATTTAGAATCTTACTGCCTGTGGATATTAAAATCAACTCCAGATCAATAACAGTAGTAATGTAAACAAATTAAGCCATAAAAGGTAGAAGAAATTAGAAACAAATATTTGCTTATTCTCTGAATAGATAGGGAAGGAATTAAAATAATGTTTTAAAATTATAAAATTTAAAATTAATATGTTTAAATATCTAAAAACTAGAAGTCTTCGTGTGTTTAAAAGCTTATAAATTGATGTTCAAACTGGAAAGCTTTAGAAACCAATTATTAAAAGTACCACTATCCAAAATATGTAAAGAGAAGCAACTCGAACTCAAATAGTTATATGAAGAATAAATATAAACAATTATTTCACAATAGAAGAAATACTAATACTATCGAATATTTAAAAATATGTTTAACCTCATTAGATATAATCTTAAAGATTTAAAATTATATTTTCTAATCAAGTTAACAAAAAAGCACACACAATGTGCATGATAGTAAAATATTCAAATACCTGGAAAAGTAATTGTATCATATGAATCCAGAATCTTCGGAATGGTCATATCTTATGGTTTAGTATTCATTGCTTTACTATTTAAATTGCAAAAATATGTTAAAACTGAGGAGCTTGACATTATTTGGAAGCCAATATATCTATTTTCTTTGAGTCTTTATCCTATGGGACAGTTACTTCCTTTATTAATCTATTTTTAACCATAAATTTAGCCAAGGAGAGGAATCTTCTGGAAGAAAGGAAAATGAGATACTGATATTGACTCCCTTTTTGGTTCAAAGATGATCTTACAGTGTTTATAGACTCATAGTATTTTCACTGAGGCTTATTTATTTATTTACTCTTTCATTCATATGTAATATTTTACATATTTATTGGATACATTTGAGTATTTGTTACCTGCATAGAATGTGTAATGATCAAATGAGAATATTTGGAGTATCTATCACCTTGATTGTTTATCATTTTATATGTTAGTATAATTTCAAGACCTCTATACTAGTTACTTTGAAATATACACAGTATTTTTGCTAAGTACAGTCATCCTACTCTGCTGTCAGACATTAGAACTTACTTATTTTCACGTAACTGTGTATTTTTACCCATAGCCAATCTCTTCATCCTCCCTACCCCCACTTCTTTATCTCCGATATCTATCTTTCTATTTTCTATGTTGGTAAGATTAAGTGTTTTTGCTCCCACATATGAATAAAATCATGCAGTATTTGTCTTTCAGTGTCTGGCTTATTTCAATTAACATAGTGACCTTCAGTTACATCTGTGTACCTGAAAATGACATGATTTCATTCTTTTTTATGGCTGAATAGTGTTCCACTGTGTATATATACCACATTTTATGTATTCATGTATGCACTGATGAACACTTAAGTTGATCCCATATCTTTTGTTATTATAAATAGTGCTGTTGATAAACATTCAGGTGCAGATGATACAGTTTGTCTCTGTGTCCCCACCCAAATCTCATGTTGAATTATAATCCGCAATGTTTGGGGAAAGTGATTGGACCATGAAAATAGTTTCTAATGGCTTAGCACCATCCCCCTAGTGTTGTCTGGTGATAGAGTTCTCATGAGATCTGGTTGTTTAAAAGTGTGTAGCACTTCCCCCTTCTCTCTTTCTCTCCTGCTCCACCATGGTAAGACATGCTTGCTTCACCTTTGCCTTCTGCCATAATTGTAAGTTTCCTGAGGCCTCCCAGTCATGCTTGCTATACAGCCTGTGGAGCTGTGAGTCAATTAAATTTCTTTTCTTCATAAATTACCCAGTCTTGGATAGTTCTTTATAGCACTGTGAAAATGGACTAATAAAGAAAATTGATACCAGGAGTGGGGCATTGCTATAAAAATACCTGAAAATGTGGAAGCAGCTTTGGAACTGGGTAACAGTGCCTGTTAGGAGATTGGAACAGTTTGGAGGGCTCAGAAGAAGACAGGAAGATGTGGGGAAGCTTAGAACTTCATAGAGGCTTATTTAATGGTTGTGACCAAAATGCTGTTAGTAATACGGGCAGGGAAGTCTACGCTGAGGTGCTCTCAGATGGAGATGAGGAATTTACTGGAAGCTGGAGCAAAGGTCATTCTTGCTATGCTTTAGCAAACAGACTGACAGCATTGTTCCCCTGCTGTAGGGATCTGTGGAGCTTTGAACTTGAGAGACATGACTTAGGGTGTCTGGTAGAAGAAATTTCTAAGCAGCAAAGTGTTCAAGATGTAGCCTGGCTGCTTCTAAATCCCTGTCTCATTTGCATAGCAAAGATAACATATTTAAAAGGGGAGCAGAGCATAAAAGTTTAGAAAATATGCAGCCTGAATATGTGGTAGAAAAGAAAAAAACAATTTTCTAGTGAAAAATTAAAGACTGCATAAATTTGCATAAGTAAACAAGAGCTGAATGTTAATAGCCAAGTCAATGGGGAAAATGCCTCAAAGGCATTTCAGAGACCACTGTGGCAGTCCCTCCCTTCAAGGCCCGGAGGCCTATGAGGGAAAAATGGCTTCATGGACCAGGCCTAGGCCCCCTGCTCTGTGCAGCCTCGGCATATCCTGCATCCCAGCCACTCTAGCTCCAATCACAGCTAAAAGGGGCAAAGGTACATCTTGAGCCATTGCTTCAGGCGGTGCAAGCCCCAAGCCTTGGTGGCTTCCACATGGTATTGGGCCTGCAGGTGCAGAGAAGACAAGAGTTGAGGTTTGGGAGCCTCCACCTAGACTTCAGAGGATGTAAGGAAATGCCTGGATGTCTATGTGGAAGTCTGCTGCTGGGGCAGAGCCCTCGTGGAGAACCTCTACTAGGGCAGTGCAGAGGGGAAATGTGAAGTTGAAGCCTGCACAGTCCCCACTGGTGCACTGCCTAGTGGAGCTGTGAAAAGACAGCCACCATCCTCCAGACCTCAGAATGGTAGATCCACAGACTGCTTGCTCCGTGTACCTGGAAAAGTCACAGTCACTCAATACCAGCCTGTGAAAGCAGCTTCAGGGGCATACCTTCCAGAGCCCATGGCTGCCCAAAAGCTGCCCATGGCAGTGGGAGGCTACCCCTTGCACCAGTGTGGCCTGGATGTGAGACATGGATTCAAAGGAGATTATTTTAGAGCTTTAAGATATAATGACTGCCTTGTTGGGTTTTGGAACTGCATGGGGCCTGTAGACCCTTTATTTTGGCCAATATCTCTTTTTTGGAATGGGAGCATTTACCCAATGCCTGTACCCCTGTTGTATCTGGGAAGTAACAAACTTGTTTTGGATTTCACAGACTCACAGGTGGAAGCAGCTTGCCTTGTCTCAGGGACTTTTAACTTGGACTTTGGAGTTAATGCTGGAATGAGTTAAGACTTTGGGTGACAATTAGAAAGGCATTAGTGTTTTGAAATGTGAGAAAAACATGAGATTTGGGAGGGGCCAGGGGCAAAATGATATGGTTGGTTCTGTGTCTCCATCTAAATCTCATGTTGAATTATAATCCCCAGTGTTGGGGTAGGAACCTGGTGGGAGCTGAATGAATTATGGGAGTGGTTTCTAATGGTTTAGCATTATCCCCCAGTACTGTCTCATGATAGAGTTCTCATGAGATCTGGTTGTTTAACAGTGTAGAGTACGTCCCCCTTCTCTTTCTCTCTCTTGATCCACCATGGTAAGGTATGCTTGCTTCCCCTTCACTTTCCTCCAGATTATAAGTTTCCTGAGGCCTCTCAGCCATGCTTCCAGTATGTCTTGCAGAACTGTGTGTCAATTAAGCCTCTTTTCTTTATGAATTATCTAATCTCAGGTAGTTCTTTCTTTAAATATATATATATAAATATATATATATATTATATATAAAAAATATAAATATATATTATATATATAAAAATATAAATATATATTATATACATATACATATACATATATATTATATATACTTTAAATATATATATTTATATATTTCTTTAAATATATGCATAAATTATGTATATTTATATATATTATATATATTTATATGTGTATTATATATTTATATTTATATATATCTTTATATATAATATATAATATATATTTATATTTATATATATCTTTATATATAATATATAATATATATTTATATTTATATATATCTTTATATATATATATTTAAAGAAAGAACTACCTGAGATTGGATAATTCATAAAGAAAAGAGGCTTAATTGACACACAGTTCTGCAAGATATACTGGAAGCATGGCTGAGAGGCCTCAGGAAACTTATAATCTGGAGGAAAGTGAAGGGGAAGCAAGCATACCTTGCCATGGTGGATATATATATACTTTAAGTTCTGGGATAGATGTGCAGAACATGCAGGTTTGTTATGCAAGTATACACGTGCCATGATGGTTTGCTGCACCCATCAACCTGTAACGACATTAGGTATTTCTCCTAATGCTATCCCTCCCGTAGCCCCCCACCCCCTGATAGTCCCCAGTGTGTGATATTCCCCTCCCTGTGTCCATGTGTTCTCATTGTTTAACTCCCACTTATGAGAGAGAACATGTGGTGTTCGATTTTCTGTTCCTGTGTTAGTATGCTGAGAATGATGGCTTCCAGCTTCATCCACGTCCCTGCAAAGGACATTAACTCATTCTTTATTATGGCTGCATAGTATTCCATGGTGTATATGTGCCACATTTTATTTATCCAGTCTGTCATTGATGGGCATTTGGGTTGGTTCCAAGTCTTTGCTATTGTGAATAGTGCTGCAATAAACATACATGTGCACGTGTTTTATAGTAGAATGATTTATAATCCTTTGGGTATATACCCAGTAATGGGATTGCTGGGTCAAATGGTATTTCTGGTTCTAGATCCTTGAGGAATCACCATACTGTCTTCCACAATGGCTGAACTAATTTACACTCCCACAAACAGTGTAAAAGCGTTCCTATTTCTCCACATCTACTCCAGCATCTGTTGTTTCCTTTTTGATGATTGTCATTCTAACTGGAGTGAGATGGTATCTCATTGTGGTTTTGATTTGCATTTTTCTAATGATCAGTGATGATGAGCTTTTTTTCATATGTTTGTTGGCCACATAAATGTCTTCTTTTGAGAAGTGTCTGTTCATATCCTTTGCCCAATTTTGGAGGGGGGTGTTTTTCTCCTGTAAATTTGTTTAAGTTTCTTGTAGATTCTGGATATTAGCCCTTTTTCAGATGGATAGATTGCAAAATTTTCTCCCATTCTGTAAGTTATCTGTTCACTCTGATGATAGTTTCTCTTGCTGTGCAGAAGCTCTTTAGTTTACTTAGATTGCATTTGTCAATTTTGGCTTTTGTTGCCATTGCTTTTGGTGTTTTAGTCATGAAGTCTTGCCCATGCCTATGTCCTGAATGGTATTGCCTAGGTTTTCTTCTAGGGTTTTTATGGTTTTAGGTCTTACATTTAGGTGTTTAATCCATCTTGTGCTAATTTTTACATAAGGTGTAAGAAAGGGGTCCAGTTTCAGTTTTCTGCATATGGCTAGCCAGTTTTCCCAGCACCATTTATTAAATAGAGAATCCTTTCCCCATTGATTGTTTTTTTCAGGTTTGATCAGACAAAAGATCAGATGGTTGTAGATGTGTGGCATTATTTCTGAGGCCTCTGTTCTGTTCCATTGGTCTATATATCTGTTTTGGTACCAGTACCATGCTGTTTTGGTTACTATAGCCAAACTTGTTTTGTAGTATAGTTTGACGTCAGGTAGGATGATACCTCCAGCTTTGTTCTTTTTTGCTTAGAATTGTCTTGGATATATGGGCTCTTTTTTGGTTTCATATGAAATTTAAAGTAGTTTTTAATAATTCTGTGAAGAAAATCAATGGTAGCTTGATGGGGATAGCATAGAATCTATAAATTACTTTGGCCAGTATGGCCATTTTCATGATATTGATTCTTCTTATCCATGAGCATGGAATGTCTTTCCATTTGTTTGTGTCCTCTCTTATTTCATTGAGCAGTGGTTTGTAGTTCTCCTTGAAGAGTTCCTTCACATCCCTTGTAAGTTGTATTCCAAGGTATTTTATTCTCTTTGTAGCAATTGTGAATGGAAGTTCACTCGTGATTTGGCTCTCTGCTTGTCTATTATTGGCATATAGGAATGCTTGTGATTTTTGCACATTGATTTTGTATCCTGAGACTTTGCTGAAGTTGCTCATCAGCTTAATGAGATTTTGGGCTGAGACAATGGGGTTGTCTAAATATACAATCATGTCATCTGCAAACAGTGACAATTTGACTTCCTCTCTTCCTATTTGAATACCCTTTATTTCTTTCTCTTGCCTGATTGCCCTGGCCAGAACTTCCAGTACTATGTTGAATAGGAGTGGTGAGAGAGGGCATCCTTGTCTTGTACCAGTTCTCAAAAGGAATACTTTCAGCTTTTGTCCATTCAGTGTGATATTGGCTATGGGTTTGTCATAAATAGCTCTTATTAATTTGAGATATGTTCCATCAATACCTAGGTTATTGGGAGTTTTTAGCATGAAGAGGTGTTGAATTTTATTGAAGGCCTTTTCTGCATCTATTGAGATAATCATGTGGTTTTTGTCATTGATTCTGTTTATGTGATAGATTACGTTTATTGATTTGCATATGTTGAACCAGCCTTGCATCCCAAGGATGAAGCCAACTTGATTGTGGTGGATAAGCTTTTTGATGTGCTGCTGGATTCGGTTTGCCAGTATTTTTTGTTGTTGTTTTTTGAGGATTTTCACATCAACGTTCATCAGGGATATTGGCCTGAAATTTTCTTTTTTTGTTGTGTCTCTGCTGGGTTTTGGTATCAGAATAATGGTGGCCTCATAAAATGAGTTAGGAATGAGTCTTTCTTTTTCCATTGTTTGGAATAGTTTCAGAAGGAATAATTTCAGTTTGGAATACTTTCAGAAGCAACTCTTTTTATATGTGGTAGAATTCGGCTGTGAATCCGTCTGTTCCTTGGCTTTTTTGATTGGTAGGCTATTAATTACTGCCTCAATTTCAGAACTTGTTATTGGTCTATGCAAGGATTTGACTTCTTCCTGCTTTAGTATTGGGAGGTTGTATGTGTCCAGGAATTTATCAATTTCTTATAGATTTTCTAGTTTATTTGCATAGAGGTGTTTATAGTATTCTCTGATGGTAGTTTGTATTTCTGTGAGATCAATTGTGATCTCCCCTTTATCTTTTTTTATTGTGTCTATTTGATTCTTCTCTCTTTTCTTCTTTATTAGTCTGGCTAGTGGTCAATTTTGTTAATCTTTTCAAAAAACCAGCTTCTGGATTCATTGATTTTTTGAAGGGTTTTTCGTGTCTCTATCTCCTTCAGTTCTGCGCTCATCTTAGTTATTTCTTGTCTTCTGCTAGTTTTCGAATTTGTTTGCTCTTGCTTCTCTAGTTCTTTTAATTGTGATGTTAGGGTGTTGATTTTAGATATTTCCCAGTTTCTCCCATGGGCATTTGGTGCTATAAATTTCCCTCTAAACACTGCTTTAACTGAGTCCCAGAGATTCTGGTATGTTGTGTCTTTGTTCTCACTGGTTTCAAAGAACTTCTTTATTTCTGCCTTAATTTTGTTATTTACCCAGTAGTCACTTAGCAGCAGGTTGTTCAGTTTCCATGTAGTTGTGCAGTTTTGAGTGAGTTTCTTAATCCTGAGTTCTAATTTGGTTGCACTGTGGTCTGAGAGACAGTTTGTTATGACTTCCATTCTTTTGAATTTGCTGAGGAGTGTTTTACTTCCAATTATGTGATCAATTTTAGAATAAGTGCAATGTGGTGCTGAGAAAAATGTATATTCTGTTGATTTGGGGTGGAGAGTTCTGTAGGTGTCTATTAGGTCTCCTTGGTCCAGAGCTGAGTTCAAGTCCTGAATATCTTTGTTAATTTTCTGTCTCATTGATCTGTCTAATATTGACAGGGGGTGTTAAAGTCTCCCACAACTATTGTGTGGGAGTCTAAGTTTCTTTGTAGGTCTCTAAGAACTTGCTTTATGAATCTGGGTGCCCCTGTATTGGGTGCATATATATTTAGGATAGTTAGCTCTTCTTGTTGCATTGATTCCTTTAACATTATGTGTGCCGTTCTTTGTCTTTTTTGATCTTTGTTTGTTTAAAGTCCTTTTATCAGAGACTAGGATTGCAACCCCTGCTTTTTTTTTACTTTCCATTTGCTTGGTAAATTTCCCTCCATCCCTTTATTTTGAGCCTATCTGTGTCTTTTCATGTGAGATGGGTCTCCTGAATACAGCACATCGATGGGTCTTGACTCTGTCCAATTTGCCAGCCTGTGTCTTTTAATTGGGGCATTTAGCCCATTTACTTTTAACATTAATATTGTTATGTGTGAATTTGATCCTGTCATTATGATGCTAGCTGGTTATTTTGCTCATTAGTTGATGCAGTTTCTTCATCCTTTCAATGTTTTTTACAATTTGATATGTTTTTGCAGTGGCTGGTACCGGTTTTTCCTTTCCATATTTAGTGCTTCTTTCAGGAGCTCTTGTAAGGCAGGCCAGGTGGTGAAAAAAATCTCTCAGCATTTGCTTGTCTGTAAAGGATTGTATTTCTCCTTTGCTTATGACGCTTAGTTTGGCTGGATATGAAATTCTGGGTTGAAAATTATTTTCTTTAAGAATGTTGAATATTGGCCCCCACTCTCTTCTGGCTTGTAGGGTTTCTGCAGAGAGATCTGCTGTTAGTCTATTGGGCTTCCCTTTGTGTGTAACCTGACCTTTCTCTCTGGCTGCCCTTAACATTTTTTCCTTCATTTCAACCTTGGTGAATTTGATGATTATGTGTCTTTGGGTTGTTTTTCTTGAGGAGTATCTTTGTGGTGTTCTCTGTATTTCCTGAATTTGAATGTTGGCCTGTCTTGCTAGGTAGGGGAAGTTCTTCTGGATAATATCCTGAAGAGTGTTTTCCAACTTGGTTCCATCTTCCCCGTCACTTTCAGGTACACCAATCAAACGTAGGTTTGGTCTTTTCACATAGTCTCATATTTCTTGGAGGCTTTGTTTGTGCCTTTTTATTCTTTTTCCTCTGATCTTGTTTTCACGCTTTCTTTCATTAAGTTGATCTTCAATCTCTGATATCCTTTCTTTTGCTTGACTGATTCAGCTATTGTTTCTTGTGTATGCTTCATGAAGTGCTTGTGCTGTGTTTTTCAGCTCCATCAGGTCATTTATGTTCTTCTCTAAATTGGTTATTCTAGTTAGCAATTCCTCTAACCTTTTTGCAAGGTTCTTAGCTTCCTTGCATTGGGTTAGAATATGCTCCTTTAGCTCAGAGAAGTTTGTTATTACCCACCTTCTGAAGCCTACTATGTCAATTCGTCAAACTTGTTCTCCAGTTTTGTTCCCTTGTTGGTGAGGAGTTGTGATCCTTTGGAGGAGAAGAGGCATTCTGGTTTTTGCAATTTTCATCCTTTTGTGCTGGATTTTCCCTCATCTTCGTGGATTTACCTACCTTTGGTCTTTGATGTTGGTGACCTTCAGATGGGGTTTGGCTGTGGACATCCTTTTTGTTGATGTTGATGTTATTCCTTTCTGTTTGTTAGTTTTTCTTCTAACAGTCAGGCCCCTCAGCTGCAGGTCAGCTGGAGTTTGCTCAAGGTCCACTCCACACCCTGTTTGCCTGGGTATCACCAGCGGAGACTGCAGAACAGCAAAGATTCCTGCTTGTACCTTCCTCTGGAAGCTTTGTCCCAGAGGGGCACCCACCAGATGCCAGTCGGAGCTCTCCTGTATGAGGTGTCTGTTGACCCCTACTGGGAGGTGTCTCCCAGTCAGGAGGCATGGGGATCAGGGACCCACTTGAGGAGGCAGTCTGTCCCTTAGCAGAGCTCAAACTCTGTGCTGGGAGATCCACTGCTCTCTTCAGAGCTGAGAAGCAGGAGTGTTTAAGTCTGCTGAAGCGGCACTCACTGCTGCCCCTTCCCCCAGGTGCTCTGTCTCAGGGAGATGGGAGTTTTATCTATAAGCCCCTGACTGGGGCCGCTGTCTTTCTTTCAGAGATGCCCTGCCCAGAAAGAAGGAATCTAGAGAGGCAGTCTGGCTGCAGCAGCTTTGCCAAGCTGCGGTGGGCTCTGCCCAGTTCAAACTTCCAGGTGGCTTTGTTTACACTGTGAGGGGAAAACCATCTATACCAGCCCCAGTAAAGGCAGACACCCCTCCCCCTACCAAGCTCAAGCATCCCAGGTCAACTTCAGACTGCTCTGCTGGCAGCAAGAATTTCAAGCCAGTAGATTTTAGCTTGCTGGGATCTGTGAGTGTGGGATCTGCTGAGCTAGACCACTTGGCTCCCTGGCTTCAGCCCTCTTTCTAGGGGAGTGAATGGTTCTGTCTAACTGGCATTCCAGGCGCCACTGGGGTATTAAAAAAAACTCCTGTAGCTAGCTCAGTGTCTGCCCAGTCTCCCAGTTTCGTGCTTGAAACCCAGGGCCCTGGTGGTGTAGCCACTCGAGGGAATCTCCTGTTCTGCAGGTTGCAAAGACCATGGGAAAAGCCTAGTATCTGGGCCAGAATGTACCATTCCTCATGGCACAGTCCCTCAGAGCTTCCCTTGGCTAGGGGAAGGAGTTCCCTGACCCCTTGCACTTCCCACGTGAGGCAACGCCCCACCCTGCTTTGGCTTGCCCTCCATGGGCTGCACCCACTGTCTAACCAGTCCCAATATGATGAGCTAGGTACCTCAGTTGGAAATACAGAAATTACCTGACTTCTGCTTTGATCTAGTTGGGAGCTGCAGACTGGAGCTTTTCCTATTTGGTCATCTTGCCAGCCACCTCTCAGGTAGTTCTTTATAGCAGTGTGAGGTCAGACTAATACAGCACATATTCCTTTGATATGCTGATTTCTTTTCCTTTTGATAGATACCCAGTAGTGGGATTGTTGGATCATATGGTAGCTCTATTTTTAGTTTTTTTGAGAAATCTCCATACTGTTTTTCATAGTGGTTGTACTAATTTATATTCTTACCAATAGCGTATGAGAGTGCGCTTTTCTCTGCATCCTCACCAGCATCTTTTATTTTTTGTCTTTTAATAATACTCATTGTAACTGGGGTGAGATGATATCTCATTGTGGTTTTGATTTGCATTTAGCTGCCTTATTTTTAAAATGTCAAAAAGCTACCAATGTTGGGAGCATTAGGAGTTATAAAAGAGTCTGGATTGGTGACTATAAATCCTAAAATCTATGATAGTAACAAAAATCAAAGAAGCAGCATTTTTACTAAAATCATTAAAATTCAGTATATGAAAATTTATCTATAATTTGCAAAATTTATTTAGTGAACAGATAATTCCCCAGCACTGAGAAGAAATGGAAGCTTATATTTCTATTTCTTTCAAAATCCAGTTTGCAAAAGTAAGTTAACTTACTTATTTTCCATCAGAATTTTCTACCTGACTCTAAATACAGAAGTGGCATTTGATTGACAAAATATAAATACACTTATACAATGTTTAATAATTTATAAAAACTATGAAGATCTTATTAAACTAAAAGTTTTTGAAACAGAGAGAAGAGATCCATATATTAAGACTGTGCATATATCGAGGCTACATGGTGTGATGATGAAGAACACCTGCCATTGATTCAGATAAAGTTTTGTTTCCATGCTAATTGTGTTACTTTAAAGCAGTTTCTCAAGCCATCGAATCCCTGTTTTCTTATCTGTAAAATGGGAATGGTAAGTGCCTACTTGGAATGTAATTGAGATAATATACATGAAATGACACAGCTTGATAAATAGTGACTATTACTATAATTGTTTGCATATAAAGGGTCGTTGTGCATATAGGCTCTGTGTGTGCATATGTCTAGTCAATCAGTAGACAGTCATAAAAACATACTTATATTGAGCTATATTTTCTAGGTCAATATGTATCAAAGTAATTTATTTCTCAAAAACAAAGAGAGAATTGAAAACCAAAATGATAAGCAAGATAACTCTTTTAGGGGTTAAGGAGTAATAACATAGGATCATTTTTCATACCAAAATGAAAGAACATAAAAGAACATATCAAACATGTTTGATAAAAATCAAACATAAAAGAACATGACACACCAGGGCCTGGGAATGCAAAAACTTGAAACTCAGGCTTTCCTGTGTAAAATCCGGATACTCAAAGTGAAAAACTTAGCTATAAACTCCTTTCCATTGGCAGAAGAAGATGAGAAACTTGTTTGTTTCTGACTGTATTGTTGCTAGAAAAACGTCTCCTGAAAATTCATTCCCGTGGCTTACATCACAGTGGGCTCCGAGGTTCATATTACATTACCTGCATAATTTGTGCTCCTAAAGCAAAAGAATTAACGTTAAAACTAGTCCCAGGCCGAAGATGTTTCTAAAGTGCCTAGAAGAAGCAAATGCAAAATAACTCTAAAAGGACATACGCTTTACACAAGCGAAAAGAGATTCTGATTCCACTGACAATGAGCTCACAGTCCAAAATTATAAGATATATGAAGGAAATTTCATTACTATAGTCAGGAATTTGAGGATACATCAAACTGTGGAATTAGATCCTCAAAGGCTTCAGAAAATACAGTAAGTTGATAGTGTTTTCTAAAATAAGCATGTTTAAAACAAAATCATACAAGTAGGAAGCAAAAACAAAAAAAGACAAAGCAATATTTTTTAAAAAGAAAAGAAACCTGTAGTAAAGACTAAAAAAAGTCTAGAGATGAAAAAGATAATAATTGTTACAAAAATACAAAATGCATGGGTTAAGAGTATATTAAGAATAACAAGGAGAAAATTTATAAAATGAAAGATGGTTTAAAGAAATTTCTAAGAATCCACTACAGAGAGAAAAAGTAATAAAATAATAAAAAAGAGAGTTATGGACCTGGAAAAATGAATGCATACATATATCCATTAGCAGTATCATAGCAGGCTGGGAAGAAGCCCTCTCACACCAAAGACGCTATGTCATAAGGAGAATACTTGCCAGCCTACACACATCTTTGACTCCTTGCCAATACAGATCTACCTCAAATGGAGATAAGTAACAAAGAAAGGAAGCAGCACATATTCTAAAAAATATATTAAGAAAAATAGAATAAATAACCTGGTTAAAAACAAATGGCATATAAGAACACTTACCAGAAAAATGTTGCCAGTAATGATGGCAAAGTGGAAGCAGAATTAGGAGTAATATTTATTATTTAAACAGATATGAGGAATGGAGGATAGAACTGAGAGGTTCAATTCAAATAAAATGAAAATAAATAAATAGTTTAAAAGAATTAGTAAAGAAACTTTGTAGATATGGTAAAAAAAAGGCAAAGGAGATATAACATGCACACAATTGGTCACCTTGAAGAAAATAATTGCAAAGTTAATAGAAAAAGCTATTTAATGAGGTAGCTTAAGAAAATGATTCCAAAATAATAGGAAAACTTAAAATGCAGATTGAAAAGACACACTATATTTAAGTAACAATTATCACTGAACTTCAAAGATAAATTAGAAATTTGCTGAATATCAAGGCAAAAAGTTATAGCCACCTTTAATGGGAAATTTGTTTCAGATTTCCCCATGGCAAGTTTTATTCCTAGAACCCAGTGTAGAATGCCTATAATGTGTACAAAGAAAGGAAAATGTGACTCAATAATTTCTACTCATTCACTGTTGTTCAAGTAAAAGAAAACATAAACGCAGTTTGAAGGCATTAGAAGCCAGTTAATATAGTTCCTATGAGCCTTCCTTGGAAAAGCTACTAGAGTATAAGTTTAACTCAAGAGATATATATTTATTATAATTAAAGCAAATATGTGGAATGCTTCTGGCCATGATTTAAATGTTATACATCTTGAAAATGTACAAAAGGATAAGTAATAATAGGAGGGGAAGGGAGAAAGAAAGTGAAATGGTATAATTACAATGTTTTATAGTTGTGGATAAAACAGATTGTTTAAAATTGATTATTAAAGCATTAGAACTATAATTACTTTAAAGGTATAGGTAAAGAATAAGAAAAATCTAACGAATATATAAATAAGTACAAATACAAATATACAGACATAATATATTCAAGAGATGAAGGTGAGAGAAGAGAAAAGGGAACAAAGTAGAAATATAGTACTTTTATCATTGCTAAGCATTTGAAGTCACAGGTACTATGGAAATGGAGAATTATAGTTTTAGTTATGAAAGTAACAACTTGAAAGAAAATGCAAGCCTTCTGAATTGTCAAGAAACACATATGTACTACAGAACGAAGTGAAGATATAATAAAATATATTCAAAAGCAATACAGATATAAACATTATCTAACCTATGATGGCAGAACTAAAGATAAAACACATCTGTGATATCAATAATGCTCATCTATCTTTTAAAAAGACTCACAATGGATATCAAAGTAAGCCCAACGATATGCTCTTTATAAGACTAATGTCTAAAAACTGTTAAGATTTAAAGTAAAATGAATGACAAAGAACCAGACAAATATAAATTTTGGAAAAATTTATATATATATATTAAATTTATATATATATATTTCAAATTTATATATATTTTAAATAACAAAATTTAAAAAGTTGATTTCAGTGAAAAATCATTATGATGAAAAAGAACATAAACCACAATGAAGATATAATGGTTGTGACTATACATAACAAATAACATGGCAATATTTTTAAAGCAAAAACTACAGAAAATATAAAAAGTAATAAGCAAAAGTAGCATATATTTGAAGTATTAAATTGATGTCTCACACTCCATTACAAAATAACAAAAAAAGTACATGTAGAGGATAATTAAATAACAAAATCAACAAAGCAGATCTAGTTGATATAGTCTTTTCAGCCTCAATACTGAGTATGACCCTTTTCAAATGCCCACTAAATGATTAAAAGTAACCAAAGAGTAGGTCACAGAGTCAACTTGAATACATGATAAATCAAAAGTAGGTATGGTAGCGACAATATTCTCTTTCAATAGAACAAACTAAAAATATTGACAAAGGAAGAAACGCAAAGGTCTGGAAATTCTTAACTATGTTTTATTATTTTTAAAAATAAATTGTATATATTTAAGCTACACAATATGATGTTATAGGATACATATACAGTGAAATGTTTGCTATAGTGGAACAAATTAACATTCATCATCTCACATTTTCCCCCAGTTGCAAGAGTAGCCATAATCTACTCATTTAGCAAAGATCCTAAATTTAATACACTATTATTAACTATAGTCCCCATATTGTACATTGGATCTTTTCCTTTCTTTGTTTGGTTGATTTCATTTAGCATAATGTCCTCTAGATTCATTCATGTTGTGGCAAATGGCAGGGTCTCCTCCTTTTTTAAGGCTAAATAATATTCCATTTTATATATATCTGTAATAAATTGTGATATTACAATTTCTTTATCCACTTTTCCATTGATGGACACCTAGGTTATTTCACATTTTCACTATAGTGAATAGTACTGCATTGAACATAGAAGTACAGATATCTTTATGAGGTTGTGGTTTAATTTCCTTTGGGTATATAATCAGAAGACAGATTGCTGGATCTTATGGTATAAATATCCCTTAAGAAGAACCTGTCAGGTTAGAGAGGAAATCCAAGGGTAAAGATTGCAGATTATAAAATCTTAGAAAATAAAGATAATAAAAGAAAGCATTGCAAATTAAATCACATTGGATATAAGTAAAAGAGTGTCCAAAGTAAAATTTATAAACTTAAAATTTACATTAGTAAATGATTACTAATAAAAAGCACCCAAATCAATATAGTAGAAAAAGAAATGTAAAATGCAATTAAATAATACATAAAAAGAATGTTAAAGATAAGTAAAGATAAGAATAAATAAAGACACAAATGGAATAAAAATAAAAATAAGAAAGAAATTAATGGAGTAGAAAGCAGAAAAAAATGTAAGCATAAATAAATGAAGTGCTGATTCTTTGGGGGCAAAAAACATAAAGTAGATAAACCATTATTAACAAACTAATCAAGAAAAAGGAAGAGAAAATGCAAGAACACAAAATAAGACAATAATGAGAAAATAATCACACAAATATATGAAGTAAAGAACTTGGCCAGGCGCAGTGGCTCACGCCTGTAACCCCAGCACTTTGGGAGGCCGAGGTGGGCGGATCACGAGGTCAGGAGATCGAGACCATCCTGGCTAACACGGTGAAACTCCGTCTCTACTAAAAAATACATAAAATTAGCCGGGCGTGGTGGCAGGCGACTGTAGTCTCAGCTACTCGGGAGGCTGAGGCAGGAGAATGGAGTGAACCCAGGAGGTGTAGCTTGCAGTGAGCCGAGATCGTGCCACTGCACTCCAGCCTGGGCGACAGAGCGAGACTCCGTCTCAAAAAGAAGAAAACAAAAAACAAACAAAAGAAAACTTGAAGTGACTTTGCTTGGCTCTATGCAAATAAATTTGCAAAACAAAATGAAATAACGTTGATAAGAAAACATGAAAAACTGATAGAAAAATAACCAAACAAAAAAGTCCAGAATAACTTATAATGATTGTTGAAAGAATTCTAAGTAAAATATTAGTAAACAGTAGCCTTCAGAACATCAAAAAGATTAACAAATAAAAATAATTTCTTTTATTTTAAAAATGTAAGGGTAATTCAACATTTAAAATAAGTATTAAGAATCAAAAAGGGAAAAATCATACGATCATTTTCATAGATGGCCAAAATATTGCTGTTAATTCTTGATTAAATAAGAAAAAGCTTCTTCTTGAGTATGAAATATTTTGGAATTTAAAATAATAAGGAATATATAATTGGTCACATTATGGAGATTATTATTATATACAGCTATAGATTAAATGAAAATATTATCTAAAGAAATGCAAACTGTTTCTTGTGGCTTGGAATTAATTGCTCTGTCATCAAACACTGAATTTTTATCGGTCTATATTTCAATCAAGCCAGGTAGAATTGGAAATTATGTATTCTGCACTTCCATGTTGGATGGCTCAAAAATACGGTTTTAGTCATGATGGAATTACTGGTGATGAAAAATTATTTGAAATGTCGATATAACATTATTTCATGAAATGTGATCACAGAGTAAAGCAGAAATCCTAATATATGGCTTCAATTTTATACTTAATAATGGTTTTGTATTGAATTAAATTTATTCAAAATTACATGGTGAGTAAAATGTATAATTTTGTTTCAACATTACTTCTTTTAATTGTTTTGCTTTTAAAATTACCTTTTTAAAGTGGAGTTTTGGGCATTGGCAGAGACTTTCCATGTAGTCTCAAGAAACTACAGGTGTAATTAAATTAATTTATGGTAACTGAACTTTTTCCTCTAAGTAGGAATCTTAGAAAAAAAATGCATTTCTTTTATGCTGTAAGAATCATTTTAATGGACTCATTTTTTATTCTCATTCTTTTCGTTTATTGATAAATTCTCATCTTTAATGTGACTATATACAAAGCAAAAACAATGCAAGGATGGAAAAAATTCTTCCTAGTGGACTTTCAGTTCCATTCAAAAATAAAGTTCAATCGTAAACTTTATAAAATAAATCCATGTCTGAATCTATCCTCTTTTAATTTAGAGCTCAATATAACAAAACAGAAGTTATATGTGTCCTAATTTAGGCTTCTGTGTCTGGTTTACACTGACTGGGCAGTAAAAGGAGCACTAGAATTGATGTAAGAAGCCTTGGAAAAGTAACTGTTAAGAGTCTTATTCTTCTTCCTGAAAATGTTTGGGCAAGTATTTTAATCCTTATAAATCTAAATTCTGTTATCTGAAAAACAAGGATTAGATGAGTATGATGGTTAGTTTTTTACGTCAACTTGGCTAGGCTATAGCACCCAGTTATTCAATCAAACTTTAGTCTAGAGTTTGCTGTGAAGGTGTTTTTTAGACGTGGTTATCATATACAATCAGTTGACTTTAAAGAAGATTATCAGTAATGTGGGTGGGACTTATCTAATCAGTTCAAGGCCTTAGAAGCAAAAATAGAGGTTTCCTAGAGAAGAAGAAATTTTGTTTCAGGACTGCAGCATCAATTCTTGCCTGAGTTACCAGCCTGCCAGCCTGCCAGCTTGCCAGCCTGCCCTATGTATTTTGGAATTCCCAGCCCTCACAATTGCATCATTGTATAAGCTAATTCACATTAAAAGTTTCTTGAGGCCGGGTGCAGTGGCTCATGCCTGTAATCCCAGCACTTTGGGAGGCCAAGGTGGGCGGATCACCTGAGGTCAGTAGTTCGAGACCAGCCTGACCAACATGGAGAAACCCCATTTGTACTAAAAATACAAAATTAGCCGGGCGTGGTGGCACATGCTTGTAATCCCAGCTACTCGGGAGGCTGAGGCAGGAGAATCGCTTGAACCCAGGAGGCGGAGGTTGTGGTGAGCCGAGATTGTGCCATTGCACTCCAGCCTGAGCAACAAGAGCAAAACGCCATCTCAAAAAAAAAAAAAGTCTCATCATACATACGTACACACATCTCTCTCTCTATATATATACCTATCTGCATACAAATGTGTCTTACATATAGTCCAGGATATTCATGAAAGACTGTTCTTGCTGATCCTATTACCTGTAATAGTCTTTCCCAGGTGCCTACATCATAATCTTTTCCTTCAGGTCTTTCTTCTCATTGAGACCTTCCCTGAACACCCTATTTATAATTGTGGCCATTCAGCAGGCTTTTCTCTCTTCCTTTTTTTTTTCTTTTTGTCTAGAACACTTATTACTCTCTGACAAACTATTTATTTCACTTACTATTTAAAAAAATCTGTCTTATTCTAGTAGAATGAAAGCTCTATGACCCATTAAACAGTCCCTCTGAATGAGTTTCTCCAGTCTTTTCCATTTGAGTTTGTCCTTCAGAGTCCTCAGTGTAAATCTAAGACCTAACTCTGACTTACTTACATAAAACACTTAAATGCTCAGGACTGCCCAGTAGAACTTTCTGTGCTGATGGGAATATTCCATAATCTGCACTCTCCATGGTAGCCCTAAACTTCACATGACTTTTTTTTTTTTTTTTTTTGCAACGGCATCTCACTCTGTCCCCCAGGCTGGAGTGCAGTGGCGCCATATCGGCTCACTGCAATCTCTGCCTCCCAGGTTCAACTGATTCTCCTGCCTCAGCCTCCTGAGTAGCTCGGACTACAGGCGCCCGCTGCCACGCCCAGCTAATTGTTTGTATTTTTAGTAGAGATGTGGTTTCACCGTGTCGCCCAGGCTGGTCTCAAACCCCTGAGCTCAGGCAATTGCCTGCCTCAGCCTCCCAAAGTGCTAAGATTACAGGCGTGAGCCACAGCACCCGGCCCACATGACTATTGAGCACATAAGATGTGACTAGTGCACCTCAGGAACTAAAATTTTATCCTTTAAAATACTACTTAATTTAAATTGAACCAGCTATCTGTAGCTAGTGGTAGAGTGTGTTGGACAGCACAGACCTTTGTAATAAACTCCAGTTCCTCTATGTTGATTGCTTCCTGATTTCTTCAACATAATTTCTCTTTGCCTACAATTCACACTTTATAAAACAGAAAAACTGCAATATGTGAAGTGTTCCAAACACATTCTATGAGTTCTCAATTTGATATATTTGGTGATGTGGTCCTCACAATCTTCTGTGCTCCAAGCTCACCTCTCTGTTGCCTGGCTAACTCCTCATTATTAACAATTCAACTCAGGACTCATTCCCCCAGGGTCATCCCAGCTGGATCAGGTGCTCTTCCTGTCTTATAATTGACAGCACATAGATATGCAGTTGTACTTTTAGTATTGGACTGTATTCATCTGTTTATGTCTCTGTCTCCCCTTCCAGATGCTGGCCTCCTTGAAATCAGGCTCTATTCCTGTCTATATTTTGAGTTCCTAGCTCAGTGCCTGGATCATTATTAGTGCTCAATAAATAACTGTTGAATAAATGAAGGAAAGAAGAAAAGCACTGGACCAAGGACAGTGTTAGAATGCCTTGGCCTGAGTCACATGCCAATTTCTATAACCCTTTTTGCTCTTTTTGCTCCTATTAATAACAAGAGCTAGGTAAGTATAAGACTCCCTGTCATAGGGTTGGCTTCAACTCCATTGTAAGTAATCTCCTTATAGAGAAACAAAAAGAGGTGAGACCACAGTATTAAATAATGTCCTGTTGGATGCTGGAGATGCCTGGCCTGTGTTCTGTTTCTCTGTGTTCATATAGGAGCAAAAAAAACAAAAAGGGTTGTAGAAATTGGCATGCGAGTTAGGCCAAGGCATTCTCACATAGCACCTGGTCCAGTGCTTTTCTTCCTTCCTTTATTTATTCAACAAATATTTATTGAGCACTAACATTGAGCCAGGCACTGAGCTAGGAATGCAAAATATAGAGAGGAATAGGGCCTGACTTTAAGAGGCAAGCATCTAGAAGGGGAGACAGAGACATAAACAGATGAATACTGTCCAATAGTAACCACAGCCACAGATCTATATGCTGTCAATTACAAGACAGGAAGAGCACCTGATCCAGCTGGGATGGCCTCAGGGGAATAAGTCTTGAGTTGGATTGTTAATAATGAGGAGTTAGCCAGTCATAATATCATTAGCCACACAAAAGGCAGCTTTTGAAGCGTGTTTATAATCATTTATTAATTTCCTCCCTCACTGTTTCTCACCATCCTTGAAGGTCTTGTCTGGGAAAGAAGAAATCTGAGTACTGACCACAGCAGAATCACTCTGCCAGATTTGCCTTTTCAGAGATTGTAGCTATCACCTATGATCCATCTGTGGCCATGGATAGTTCTGAGGGTGATATGACTCTAGCTGGAAGAAAAATATCTTTCTCCTGAATGAGTTATTTCTGATTCTTCAAATGACACAGAATAGCACAAATTTATAATATAAGAAATTTTGCGGCTAATTCTTGTTTCTTACTAGGTTAGGCCTTTATAGTGGATAGTCCTGATGTACCTAAAAAACACATCTATAGTGTATTCAAAGAGTTAAAAGGGGGCAAGGAAGGATCTAGGGAGAGGTGGGTAAGGGGAAAAGGCAATAAATCTCAGGCCCATGGGATTTGGACAACAAACTGCACTGGCAAATCTAACAACTGCCAGCTCTGGAATGTGTCAGCATAATATCATACTAACTGTTACCTAGTAGGTTGTCAGAATTCTAAGAAATGTGAAGATCAAAAATGTTACAACTGGGAGGTATTCCAAATGGTTTTCAATGTATATCTGCTGAAACAAGGAGGCTATTAAAATGCCCTTTAAAAAGTCCCATTAAAGTAACAATCCAATAAAAGGAGTGTATAATCTGAGAGCTTTGAGGCCAACAGCAAGTGAGTGCCAACATAGCTTACTGACTTTATTGGAGGGTTTTTTTTAATCTTTTGTTTTCCTCTTTGTGTGCTGAGCAGTGACTTTTAGTGTTGCTTCCCCAGTAAGCAATTTTATGTAACCATCTCTACCATCAAAAAAACTGTAACATGTATGTGTATCTGCATACAGAAATACAAAAGTATGACACATGGAAATTTTTGCAGAAAATGGAGGTAATCTGGAGATAAGCAGGTTATAAGGAAAAGTAAAATCTTAATTCACTGACCCATTGGATATCAATATTATGCCCCAGAAAATAATCAATTTCAAGTTCTGGCAGAAACATTGCAGCCTCACTGAAAAGAAAACAAAAAAAAAAACTACACAAGCTTTTGATTATCAAACTATTTAAATTGAACGGTATGATGTATGAATAGCTGAGAAAAAATTGGGGGTCTCTCGATTTTTAGAATATTAAAAAATATCTTATCCAAGTTTTGTCTGATCTCATTAACTAAGTTCTCTTTTGAATTCATTGAGTAGAAATTTGTTGTGTTACTTTAAATCTTTAGTACCTTCTGAAGGAACTAAACTTGTATTTCCTATATACTTTTGCCATCTTGCCATGATGGGAAATACTATCAAGCACTTTTATTTCCACCTTTTTACCACTATGTTATTCAAAAGTTTTATCTCCAATCTGACAGCCTACATGTTTGAAATAGGGAGCTCTTTCCCTGGTTTCTTCACCCATTGTTCTTTCATTATGAAAACATAACTTTGCTATACAATCATTCATTCATTTTCCACTCATTTATGTAATAAATTGATGACTTGCTATGTGCCAGACCCTTTATTCAGCAATGGAGATCCAACAGGGAATAAGACAGAATTGAAAGTTTTCCTAGCTTTAAGCCTAAAATTGGCAATGGCTCCATGTTTTTTAGAAAAAGAATTCAAACTCTTTTGATTAAATAATGAGTATCCCTTATAGTTCTAATTTTACCTCTCACTTTTTTTCCAACATAAATTCCCTACTCTTTTACTTCCAGTCATATTTCATGCTTATTCTCATTTTTACGTGTTTTCTAACTTTGTTTCCTCTGTGGAGATGCAAAAAATTCCTCCCATCTCCATTTGAATTCAATCTACTTTTTAAGGGCAAGCCCTCTCTCTCCCATGGTTTTTGCTGGACTAGGCCAGCCAGATTTAATCTCTCTCTCCTATTTAACATATCCATTTAGCTGAGTAAAATTCCTCTCAAGCTGAATAAATCCTATACCATAACTATTGATCACCTGATTTTCCTTCTCAGTAAATAGCACTGGCATCCATCTAGATGCTTCAGCTAAACCTAGGAAGTATCCTTAATTCTCTTCTTTGCATCAGCACGTCCTATCAACTTTGCTTCCAAAATATATCTCAAACTTAACCTCCATCTCATTCTCCATTCTTACTTGAGACAAGTTACCATTGTCTCCCCTGCTTAGGGTCAAAGTCTCTCCACCACTGCTTCTCCTTTCATTCTTACTTGGGGAATTGTGTACAGACAGTTCTGTGTCTTTGCAGCAGCTAAAATGATTTCTTTAAAAAATATTTCAGACCCTGTAACTTTTCTTGCTTAAAACCTTCCAATGTCTCTCCATGACACTTAGAAGAAAATCCTGGCCTAACTGGCCTTCCCTTTCTCTCTCCTTTGTTGACCCAGTCACTTGATCCTTTCCTCTGCTCCTCAGTCACAGCAAGGTTGTTACTGCCTTTGTCACTTCTGCCTTAGGGTCTTTGAACTAAGTCTACTCTCCATCAGAATGCTGCTTTTCCTCAGTCTTCCTATAGGCTGGCTCCTTGTTGCACAGCTGAAATGTCACCTCCATAGAGACAACTTTGCTTGCCCCAAACCTACCTCCCTTTTTAATAATCATCATAGAAACTGTTACCATGAGACATGTTCTTATTAATTTGTTTACTTTTATCCGTTATCATTTGTTTATTATCCCTTTATCCCCAACTAGAATAGAAACTCTGTAAGAAAAGAGACTGATTTTTCATCAGCACTGAAGCAAGACCTGACTCATGACACTCATGACAAATGAGCAAATGAATGAGTCTGTATAGCACACGTCTGAATGATGAATAAATTGGTTTTCATCATTTTCTAATTGTGTGTCCCATGTATTTTTACTGTTTCCTTAACAACATGAATTTAAGCTTTTCAATCCAAGAGACTGTGCTTTGATTTTGTGTTCAAGATGCCTACAACAAAGTTTGATAATAAGTATTGCGTAAACACATCCTCAATCTCTATTTAAAAATAGCTTGTTTAGATTACCAAATGATCCAGTAATCCAGCTTCTAGGTATGAATCCAAAGGAAATGAAATCAGTGTTGAAGAGATATCTGCATTCCCATGTTCAATGCAGCCCCATTCACAGTAGCCAAGATATGGAAACAAGCTGCATTCATCAATGACTGAATGAATAAAGATAATGTGATGTGTGTATGTATGCTTGTGTTCAGCCTTAAAAATAGTGGAATTCTGCTGATTGCAACAACATGAATGAGCATGGAGGGTAATATGCTAAGTGGAATAAGTCAGACACAGAGAGACAAATACTGTATGATCTCATTTATAGGTGAAATCTTAAAAAGTCTAATTCATAGAAAAAGAGAATAGAATGGTTGTTACCAGGGGCTGGAAGATGGGAGAAAATGGTGGTCAGATGGTCCAAACTTTTAGCTGTAAGATGAATAAGTTCTGGGGCTCTAATGTACAGTATGGTGACTATAGCTAACAATACTGTATTGTTTACTTGACATCTGCTAAGAGAGTATATCTTAAGTGTCTTCACCACACATACACCAAATAAATAAATAAATAAATAAATAAATAAATAAATAAATAAACCAGGGTAACTACGTGTGATGATGGACACGTCGACTAATTTAAAATATATATATATATATGTATAAAACACAATGTTACATATTTCAAATCATCACATCGCACACCTTGAATATATACAATTTTTATTTGTCAATTAAAACCTGATAAAAATTGTTTGATCAAATGTGACTAAAGGTTAGGTATTTGAGGAACCTATCACAGGCCTCTCAACTATTCTGGTTGCCCTTGTTAGGATACATATTACTGGACTCTCACCTTCTCTCCAGGTTAGTGTGCATAGTCCAATAGAGAAACTGATAAGGAAATAACTATTCATCCTGCATTTCTTTTCAGGTAACGTGCACATTAATGACTTTAAGAATAAAATGTGTCATCTAGGAAGTTCAGAGTGATTTCATCTTACTGTTTTTGGAATAGGTTTGCCAAACTAACGCAGGAACAGAAAACCAAACACTGCATGTTCTCACTTATAAGTGGGAGCTGAACACCAAGGACACATGGATACCGGGAGGGGAACAACACACACTGGGGCCTGTCAGGGGAAGGTGGGGGTGAGGAGAGCATTAGAAAAAATAGCTAATGCATGCCGGGCTTAACACCTAGGTGATGGGTTGATAGGTGCAGCAAACCACCATGGCACACGTTTACCTATGTAACAAACCTGCACATCCTGCACATGTACTCTGGAACTTAAAAAATAAAAATAATAAAAATAAAAAAACAGGTTTACCAGATTTTGCAAGTGAAAATTCAGAATACCCAATTAAAACTGAATTTCAGATAAACAATGAATAATTTTTATATAAGCATGCCCATACAATATTTTTATATAAGCATGCCCATACAATATTTTCTTATCCTAAAAAAGTTTGTTATTTATCTAAAATTCAAATGTGGCCAGGCATCTTGTATTTTGCAGTTTTAATAGACTTACCAGATATTTGTTATATGTTAGCTATGTGCTAGTGATAATTTAAACATCTTTGGAACTAGTATTTACTCTTTCAGGTCATTAGCGTGCTCCTGACAAACGATTGCCTTGTAGATCTGCAATATGTGATGTTAAAGAATAATTGTTGCTTCTAGCACTTTTAGACTAAAAACCAGGACTAACAGAAACTAATAAACAGTTTATGTGTGGCTGCTTTGACAGTATAAGCCATTATTGGGTACTCTTTCCCAGAATCACTACCCTTATAGTAACCTTTAGGCCTGGGGGCAAGGGTGACCTATCCACTCCAGTTTGGGACTTCAGCTTGTGGGCTCACTTACACTGAAGTCCGAAATCAGAGTAAATAACACTCCAGGGTAATTTCTTTCAGAGAACATTTGGTCCTTTTCTTTATTTTGTCACTTCAATTATGATACTTATGCTTCAGTGGTGTTCATGTTGGTCATGTTTTTCTGAAACTGAAAATAAATCAAATTCAGTGTCAGCATTTTTCCCTCACATTAAAATGTCTGTGGAGGCCAAAGAAAAATCTGCTCCAGGAAGCACAGATTTTGTAATATCCTTTGTTCAATAGAAAATCAGACTTAAGAAATACACCAACCCTCTAAAATTCCCACTGAGAGATTGTATGATTCGTAATGTTCCACGAGCTTTTCTGTCCTGACCGCTGCTGCCCACTGGCACTCCTGAAACTCACATGAGCTGTTAAAGTCAAATGCGCTCACTTATGAGATTTTGACAACTGGAGAAACATCAGCGGCAAAATACATGCTTTACTTCCATGTCCCATGGAAACATTGGGTTAGACCTTGAGGATTGAGAATTGGAAGACATTTCCTTCAAACAACCTCAAGCTTCCTGTTTATTGTCACAAGGAAATAATGGGAACCTCCAGAAAAGTATGGAGTTCAGTTATGGACATCCCTTGTTAAAGCAAATGCTGAGTATTTCAGGTGCAGTCTGGGATTCTAGTTCTTTCCAATTTGGCTACTGTTGCTCTTCCTTTAGAAAAGATGTTATTGTGACCTGAGGTTGGTGAAAATATCTTTGCACATTGATCTAATTTTTGAGATAGCTGTCACAATGGGAGTGACATGGGAGGCAAGAAGAAATAGATGATGGTATTTCTCCAGTTTCAGGTGAAATCATAGTTCTGTAATTCTATTTCATTAATGCTGTTTTCCATTTCATGAATGATGATTTTATTTTATTTTATTTGTTGATTTGGTTTGAGTATATCACAGTGTTTTAAGTATTTCATTAATATATGTGGCAAATATTTCCTTAGAAACATTTGATTTCCTTCGAAACCTTTAAGCATTTGGTTTTAAAAGCCATTCTGTTTTCTTTATTGTCTGCCTCCATCCTCTACCCCATTATAATTTTGCGGACATATTTGTATTTCTAATCATCTCTCCCATCTACACAGCCAATTAAGCCTCATTAAAGTCAGTCATTAATTCATAAAATATTCATTAAATACTTATCAGGTGCAAGGTACTCTGCCAATATGATACTTCCAGAAACAAGGGTTCCAGCATAGCTGCAAAGAACTGCATTTGGTGTTATAGGAAATACAAAGATCAGCCATATTACCCCAACTCAGAAATGGGAGGGATTAATTCCATTATTGTTAAATCAAAAGTAAATCTTAATCTACTTTCTCTACCATTGTGGAAAAATCTCTGAAACAAATCTAAAATTTTTTTCTACTTACAGTGTATCCTCACACTAGTCAACTATTCTGAACCTTAGTTTCCTCATCTATGAAATGGGAAGGGGACACATCTAGAGTCCAGCTTGATTATTCCAAAAACCAAATAAGTTTTATATTATGAGTAGTACTGAAGAGTGGCAGTTCAGGACAATGAATATAAGTCTGAGGATTGACTGGGAAAGTAATCATCAAACACTTTACAATACCTCTGGTGCATTCATATGCTGTGTGTTTTAGTTTTCCATTGCTGCATAACAAATTACCCCAAACTTAGTGACATAAAACAAATATAAATCCATTATCTCACAGTTTTCGTGGGCCAAGAGTCTATACACAGGTCAACTGGGTCCTCTGCTCATGGCCTCATCAGGCTGAAATCAAGGGGTCAGCCAGGGGTGTGGTCTAATCTCAGGATTTTCTTCCAAGCTCATTCAAGTGATTGGAAGACCTCAGTGCCTTGCAGCTGTAGGACTCATGTCCACGTTTTCTTGCAGGCTGTCAGCCAGAGGTCACTCTCAGTTCTTTGTGGGCACCCATCATTCCTTGCAGATGGCCCTCTCCATAACATAGTAATTTCCTCCTACTATGGCCAGAAATAGAAACCTTTGTACTTTGAATCACTTCTTTCAGGAAGGATGCAGCCTGATATTGTTTGGATCTGTGTCCCCACCAAATCTCAGGTTGAATTATAATCCCCAGTGTTGGAAGTGGGACCTGGAGGAAGATGATTGGATCATGGGGGTGGACTTCTCATTAATAGCTTAACACCATCCCCTTGGTGCTGTTCTCATGATAGTGGGTGAGTTATCGTGAGATCTGGTTGTTTAACAGTGTATAGCACCTCCCACCTCTCTCTCTTCCTCCTGCTCCGGCCATGTGAGGTACTGGCTCCCCCTTTGCCTTCCACCATGACTGTAAGTTTCCCGGGGGCTTCCTAGAATCAGAAGCCATTATGTTTCTTGTACAACCTGCAGAACCATGAGCCAATTAAACCTCTATTCTTCATTAATTACCCATTCTCATAGCAATGCTAGAAGGGACTAATACGCAACCCCTTTTCAGGGCTCACCTGAGTAGGTCACCTAATTAGGTCAATTAACTGAAGTTCAACTGATTTGGGGCCTTAGTTAACTCAGTGTAATCTTTTCACCTTTGCTATAGAAGGTAGCCTATAAATTATAGGAGTGAAATTCATCATATTCAAAGTCTTGTTCTCACTCAAGAAATGGGGTGTACACAGGGTGTATCTACCTGAGGTGGGAATTTCAAAATTAGGCCCATAACACTGCAAAATAATAGATGCTAGGTATGAAGAACCCCACAGAAAATGGAGAATTCTAAGATGAAAGATCGGGCTGCTTTTTAGCACCTGTGAATGAGAAAGCAGCTTCATGTCTTAAATCAGCTGAAATACATAGAGAACAAATTTTCACTTGGATAAAGTGGAATAGATGAGAAAGATAAAGTCAGAGAATGAAATGAGTTCAGGAAGATATTCTAATCTCTTACAGTAATGAGCTTTATTATCAACTAGCCATTTAAAACAAAATCACTCAATCCATTTCACACAAGAATAAAAATGGATCGACAGAGACTCAGACTTCTCCAATACAATCTCTCAAGCCTCTAGTTACTAACACTGTGTCTTTTATTTCTAGTACCATTTTAAATATTTTTCATAAGCAAGAAACTAAATTCACTGCTTCAGACAATAGTGTCTACTTATAAACACTCTGAACAAATTTAAAGAATGTAAAACATACAGGTATTTTTGAGGAAAGGGTTTAGTTTGGGAAAGAAATATGCAAAGACACAGTTGGTTAGTGCCTGAGTCGGCCAACAAATGTTTCCACTTTGGCAAAATTGATTTGATAATTTATTCAGGAATCCTGACTAGTGAAGAAAGTGATGAACACATATTTTCCTTCAGGTAAATCCAAATCTTCTCTCTCTCTTTTTTGCCTACATCTCTCTGTGGCTTCTCTGCCTCTTTCATTTTTCTTTGGAGGTCAAGGTCAGGAAGGGAGAAAGAATGAGGCAGCAGTCTGAGACTTTACAATAAATAAAGAGATAAATGAGGCTACTCTTTTCCCCAGAGCACTGTACAAGAAACTAGTAGCTTCACAGAAAAACAGTAGCTGCCTTGCATCTTGGGTGGCTTTGCCTTGGTGATACATCACATTTATGATGGTACTTGCTGTAGTTCATTAACTTGCCTATCCCATTATATTTGGTCACAATGGGACGGTACTCAAAACAACATGCCTGAAATTGAAGACAGATGGCCAAGTAAGGGACTAAAGAGTTTGTTATAATCATTTACTATTTCCTTCTTTATTCTGTTTTTCTCTCCATTTGTTATGAGTTCCATGTAAGGACATTTACACATTTTTAAAAGTGACATTTCTTTGGTAAGTAAACAACAAAAGTCATGAGGCAGGCAAGGACAAGTTGATAGTCTGCTATACCATCAGTTGGAAGCAATATTTGCCTTTGGCAATGCTATTTATCTCTACATTTGCACAGGTTTATGATTGTAGAAAGCTAAAACAAAAGGAATTTTACTTTTTTTGTTCTGTCTCTGCAGGAGGTTTGTGCAGCTAAAATATCTGACTCCTAAAATGGAGTTTCCTGAAATTATTCCTTACTCATAGTGTAATGAGGTAAGTCCACAAATCATGTCCATTCAAAGTAAAAGTATATGACACAATGTTCTGACTTTTAACAAATGGCATTCATACCAACTTTGATCTGACTGCCTGGGATTTATAAAGTATACCAGATCTATTTCTTTTTAGGCTTTGTATTAATCTCAATTCCTTAGAGTCCATGCAAAGGTAGAAATTAATCCTTGGTGAAGCTTCCTTTTTCTAAATACACATACATATACCTCCATATATTTCTCCCTAATGGGAAGACTTCCCAATATAGGCTTATTGACTATTTTTTAAAACTTATTATTTTTATTGTGGTAAAATACACATAACATAAAATGTACCATCTTAACCATTTTTAAGTTTGCAGTTCAGTGGTATACCTCCATATATTTTAAAGATTATTTTCAAAATTTTTAATCAGCACGAGAACTTCCAATATTAAAACAGTTCTTGGGAAACCATTCTAAGGACTTGCATGCAGATGAGTGTACCCAAGTTTGGCAAAACTATTCATGTGATAATATTAGAGAGACAAACTGATTTAGAAATATGAGTGGAAAGGGCAAAATAATAAATAATATTCAGAAGGCATTTTATATGCCTGGTTCTAAGAACAAAGTCTGCCATTTCCTGCATGGTTTTATACTGGGTTTTGTTGAAGAGATTGTATGTATACAGGGAAGGCAATTTATTTAGGTATGTAGATATAAAATTATATTCATTTTGTTTTCTAAATAAGAAAGTGATTTAAAATTTTAACAAGAACTTTATAATATTGATAGAATGAATGTAGATGTGAAAATGCCAGAGAGGAATAGCCACACAGAGTAAGGGTAAACAGCGAATTTTCTTTCTGTTTACATTTCAATTCCCAAAGATAATTGTTTAGTCAAGATGTTTAGCTTTGATTGTGGGTCATTAGGGGTCACTAATAAAAGACTCTGTTTAGATTTTACAAGTTTGTTTGAATCTGTATGCATTTTTTCCAGGAATCCAAACTACAATAATACTTGTACATTGACTCTAATGATTACGGCATGAAGTGTCATTGAAAATATTGGTCACATTTAGAATCTGTAGATACACAAATACAACTGAAAAATTATTTAACATTGATAGCAGATATTTGCTGTATGCATTTGAAAAAAAAAGAACTGGTGTATTTTTACATTCAGGCATTTCGTAAGTCCCTTCTCATACGGGAATGTACGTGTGGTACATTGACCTACCAGGGTATATGATGTGGTTCAATGAATATAGGGTTTGCTTGTTTTTGTCAGCTTTTATTATTTTTTATTAAGCAAGTAATATATACTTATTTTTTAAAAAGTATGTAATATATATTAAATTTTTTAATCAACCATAATCTCATTACACTAAGATTCAGATTGTTAGTTAAAATTCTCATGTAAAATCTTCAGAGGGTGTTAAAGCTTTTCTTCAGTAAATCACATTTGTGTTCTTTAGCTTGTTTTTAATAAGAAATAAAATTTTTAAAAGCATCTTAATTGTCCAGCCACATGGAATCCAGTAATGGTGTGTTCTGTTATGTGTAAATAATATGTTTTTATATGCATATGATTTATTTAAATGGTATCGGACTTGCATGTATTGTTTTGAGCTTGCCATTTCAATTAATACTATATTATGAATTGCTCTTTATATTGACGTATACAAATACACACTAACATTTAAGATGGACAGCATCTCATTAAATAGATGTATCAAAATATGTTTAACCAATTCTTCATCATTAGATATTGAGGATATTTCCTTTTTATTTTTTCTGTTACAAACAAGTGAAAATGTAAAAATGTGACTCCCTGAAGAAAGCTTTGATAATTGTGATATGAGTGCTAACTTCCATGGACTGTAATCAGAGAATCTCACAAAGAGGCTGGATGAGAGGAAGAAGAGGAAAATAGCACCATTATGTGCCAAGCATTGCATTAGGCACTGTATAAACTATTTTTAATCCTCGGCACTATCATCATTTTATAGATGTATCAACCACAGTTCAATAGAGGTTAAGGAATTTCCCATTGTTGCCAAGATAATCATTGGCAGAACTACCTGAAAATGTTGTACTGAGATTCACAAAGTCATCATTTCTTTTGGTTGATGCATGTACCCATAGCTGACCACCCACTTAACCAAGGTATTACCATATAGCTCACAGTTCATACAATGGCTTTGAAAGTTTTTATATAAATTAAACTTTGAAGATTAGATGCTATTTTACTCTGGGCATGGTGGCTCACACCTGTAATCCCAGGACTTTGGGAGGCCGAGGTGGGCGGATCATCTGAGGTCAAGGGTTGGAGATCAGCCTGGCCAATATGGTGAAACCCCATCTTACTAAAAATACAAAAATTAGCCAGGCGTGGTGGCACACGCCTGTGATCCCAGATCCTCTGGAGTCTGAGGCACAAGAATCACTTGAACTCAGTAGACGGAGGTTGGAGTGAGTTGACATCGGGCCACTTCTCTCCAGCCTGGACAACAGAGCAAGACTCCATCTCAAAGAAAAAAAAAGATTAAAAGCTACTTTAAATAATATAGTATTTATATATGTGTATGTAATTATATAAAACATATAATTATGTAACAGGGTACAGAACACTTTAGGAGTACTTTCAGTGGCTCCTCCTTTGTAAGGTCAGCATTCTTGTGCATGTAAGTAATCAATTCTTTTCTATTTTTCAAATTCATTTCATCCTAGCACCCATAAGTTTGTTTTAAGTTGGTGCACATTTGCCAGTCTTACTCTATTGTTAATAATATCTGTGTTTCACATAATTATTAAATCTGGAAATCTCCTTGGAGTTTCGGAAATAAAATTTCACGATAGAAAGCATAGTTCAGAAGCAGAGAGGTCATAGACGAATGCTGTGTTTGTGCCTGGAGAGGGAGACCTGATTCCTGGTTCTGATGTAGTCACAGATTAGCTGCAACTTCGAGGGAAGTTTAATTGATCTGTCTGTACCCATTTTCCGCCTGTGAAGTAAAAGAATCCACAGTATTGCTGTGGGCAAAGAAAAAGGGTCAAGATAGAGAAGTGATATTGAAAGAACTATTTTGTGATAGGCATTGCCCTAGGTGCTTTATATATTTTATATTTTTTCCAATACTTACAGTGTAGATAATGGATGTTGCTTGAATATAATGGAATCAGAAAGATGCTGTTAAATCGATGACTTAGTAAAGACAGAAAGTGAACAAGCACAATATCTTAACAGAAAAAGGGGTCAGGATCAGCTATCTAATGTTGAAAAGAGTGGGAAGGACCAAAGGTTGAATTCTAGAGAGATTATTAGTTGACCTTGGTAGCTGACTCAAAAACTTACTTGTTATAGTTCTCAGGACTACTTCAATTGTCTCAGATGGAAGGAGATCAAGGAACTACCACATGGGTTTAGATATGATGAACAGTAGGAGAATCTTGAGTGGCAGTTGGATAAGTATGTGGAATCCAATGATAACTTTGTGAAGATATGGCAGACCTGTTCATGTGTAAATGTGGCTTGAAAGAGCCTGGGGAAAAGGACAGGGATAAGAGATTAATAACAAAAGGCCATGTGTGGGATAATGGCTAAAAGAGCAGATAGAATTTAGTGATGACTTTGTGTAAAAAGTAAAAGCCAACATGCTTGAACAAAGCTAAGAAAGATTCTGAGAGGGATAGATAGATTAATCAAGAGTATAAGATGGGGAAGGAGTTTGAGGCAAAGGTTATCAGTAACTGAGAAGAGATGGGGTCAAGACAGGGGAAAAGGTTATGCACTTGGAGGGTAGGAGGAAGGAAAAGAGAATTAGAATTGTCATCAGGTTTGGGAGTGATGGGGAAAGACAGTTGGGCCTTTTTAGGAAATTGAAAGTGATGACAAATCTATATGATTTTTAGGTGAGTGAAAATGTCTGACAGCAGTTGTCAAAAGTAACTAGGGAGGATGGTATTTACTTTCTGAAACACTGATTTGAATGTTCAGAGTTTGGTTAGTAAGAGTATGAAGGGGATAGTCCTTTGAGGGTTTAGCTGTGGTAAGAGAATCAAGAGTGTGAAATACAAGCATGAGAAGTAGTCCCTGTTGGAGACTTCACTGATTATGCAGAAAAAGTTTTAGGGTAGAATAATTAATCTTATATATCTGTACTACATCATTTCATTCATTCATTTATTCATTCACCCACCTATTTAGCAAGTTTTTACTAGACTCCCATTGAGGTTCTGGACACTGTGCTGTATGCTAAAAGTACAAGATCAACAAGAAACAGTTTTTCTCCTTAAGGGACTTATGATTTAGCAGAAATATAAAGACATGTATCAGTCTGTATCTGATATATGTCTGTATCTTTACATGAGAAAACAATTTCACATATAATTATCAAAGTTTATAGAGAGCACAGTGGGGCCAAAGGAGAATGTGGTCCACCCTACTTCACAGGCAAGAGTATCAGCAAGGCTCCCTAGAGAAGCATTGGTAGACAGAGATGATTGTTTACAGAAAAGGGAAGAACTCGTACAAAGTCATATATGGAGGCACAAATAGCCCTGCCTTTTCAGGAACCTCTTAGCAGCTCAAGAGTGAGAAAGACAGCTGCAGCAAAGCAAAACATGCACCCAAGTCCCATTCACCTAAAACCACACACTGTCATTGCCATACTGTTACCACCTAAGACAGCTCCAGCAATACTAACTCATTCCTAATCCATAGTCAGGTCTAACTTATACATGTAGAGAAAATACACACACCTGTGCCCACACCATTTCTAAAAGGAAGAGGGTTACTGCTCAGTGAACAGGCCAGGTGACACGGAACAAGTCTTTCTTGAGTTCAGTCCTTTAACAAAGTACAGGCAATAGATTCAGTTATATTACTTCTGAGTAAAGGCTATCCCAAAAGAGGCAAAAAGTCTAGTTTTGCCACCCGCATTTGAGGTCTTGCAACATGTCTTATTCACTTTTCAATCCCAGTTATCTCAGAACCCTGCAAATAATGGGAGCTTAATAAACATCTGTTGAGTAAATGAATGAAGCAATAATTGTAGTACTGAAGTTTTGGAGGGAAGAGGGGAAAACCAGACTGCCACCTACAGTAATAATAATAATGCTCATAATGACAGTAATAATATCATTAATAATAATGTTAATATCAAATAATGAGAACTGCAATTTAATGAGTGCTTACTCAATATTATCAGACACTGAGCACTGGTCAGTCATATTTTATTTAATCCTCCCAAAGCATAATGCCATAAGAAATATTATCCCCACTTTGCAAATGAAGACACAGGCTTAGACATGTTCAGGAAATTGCTCAGGATCACCTAAGCCATAAGCTATGGAGCCGTGCTTGAATTAAAAGTCCACCTGGCTCCACATGCTATGCTCTTAACTATCATACCATAATAGCTATGGTGGCATTGCAGAGTCAAAAGAGGACTTCACAGTTCAACAGTTCATGATTCTCACCTAGCAGTATTCATGCTACCAGTGAGATGATAATATAGTCTCGTTTGCACTTTTAGTAACAACTATTAAAGAAAACCTCCCCACTCTATGGTGTTATTGCCTGTTTAACCTGCCAAATGCAGCCACCCTGCCTGTCTACAGATTAACCACTAATGCTTATTTGGCTGCAGTGACCTTAGACAGTGAGTGCTTCCTCAATTCCACTTTACTCCTGACCCACCAACAAATGTCTTAAGTACATTCGATGGGTTATTGTGCTAGGGTTTCTGCCCATTTCCTGGCAAAAGGACCATTGCCTATGAACAGATAGGCTGTAACAGACCTCACTAGTGAAAATTAAGCATGATTCAAGAAGAAAGTAACCCCTAGCATTATGTCCAACAAGGAGAGGCTGTCGTAGTTCTCAGAGCCTCTTGTTTTTCCCCCCTCACTTATTATTCCCTTCTTCCCATCATCCCTTCCTATCGCCCTTCTCTTTCCCTTCTTTTTTCCTTCCTTCCTTCCATCCTTCCTTCCTTCCTTCTTCCCTTCTCCTTTCTTCCTTCTTTCTTCCCTTCTCTTTCCTTCCTGCCTTCCTTCCTCCCTTCCTTCCTCCCTTCTTCCTTCCCTTCCCTTCCTTCTCTCTCTTCTTCTTTTCTTCCTTTTACTTAGTTGATGAATAAAAATTAATAAAACTAATATTAGTAAAACTAATATTAATAAAATTAATATTAAAATTAATAAAACTAATAATAAAAATAATAAAATTAATAAAACTTTATTAATAAAAAATAAAGCGTTGCTTCTCTCCTCTGCGCAAATATCTTTGAAAAAGTGATTGTGCAGACAAGAAGTGAAAGGCTGAGTCCCAGTGATCTGTTCCAGCCTCGTTCTTGATTCGGACATGCCATCTATAGCATCTGTTAGTTGGGCTCAGCTTACCCTGTTCTTCAAAATGTCTTGGGATAGGAAGCTCACTACTTTCTGTGACAGTCTAATCCAGCTCTCACTAACCATTAAAGGTAAGATGACTATGCAATTCTTCATCAAAACTGGGATACATTTGAGAGCAAAAGAATGGAAGTACTGAAACTCATTAAATTATATAATTGTTGCAGGGTTTACTGACTGACAAATCAGTCTTAGTAAATTGGTGGACCCAAAAAATAGTTATATTCAAAAACTATTTGGAAAAATATTTTTAAAAAAACATAAACAAGGTCCCTGTAAATTAAAGCAACATTTAAAAAGGCTTCATTATAATAATTATCTGAACATTTAAAAATTACATATCTATATAATTCTTTGTACAGATTCCTGTATTAGTTTCTTAGCTGTATACCTAAAAATGTGTCACTGGCATTTTTCTGAAGAATGTATTATTTTCAATACTGTTTTAATATTTTACATTTTTTCATAAAATGGCCTTCATTGTTCTGCAAAGCTTATTTTATGGTGAATACATTTTAAATTGTTGATATAATAAATTGACCTTTATGTATTAAGATATTTATCATTAAGAAATATACATATGCACACACACACACAGGCATGCGTGCGTGCATGCATGCACACGCACACACACATGCTGAGGTGCTCAGTAAGCTTAAAGCAAATTCCACTAAAGAAAATTCTCAATTCTATATTTTTCTGCATTAAAACTTATAAATATTTTCACAGGTGCCATGTTTTTGCCTCCATTTAGAGTATTTTTCTTTAATATATGCAAGTTCTATTAATAATTATTTTAAATATTCCACCTAATTTCAATGCTGTAAACTTGTAGGCCTTCTCAATTTCATTCCAGTCTAACTTAAAATATAAATTTATCCAACTAAAAGTAGGAACTTGATCAGATCAGTCTTCTCACAATTCAAGATATTTCAAAGTGCAATTGTAAAACTTCAAAATAAAATCCTGCAGAGATTTTGAGCTCTCATGGTTCAATTTGTTCAGTTACCTTCTTAGTTTTGTAGAAATAAATTTCAGTGTCTTTGGTTTGTGAATTTTGTTTTCAACTATTATAATTTTCTTGAATATTTTGAAATTTTTTTAAAAATTTATTTTTTGAATTCTTTGATTAAAGATTTTAATTAAGAAAATTGTGATCAAAATTTAGAAAGCTTACTTACAGAAAAAGTTCCCTGACATTAAGAATATTTAGGTAATTTTATAAGTAGTACTTTAGTGGCTCAACAATTCTAATGGTAGATTGATGATGGACAGCAAGGAAAAAAGTGCATGTTACCATATTAAACTAATTTTTTATTCAACATAGGCTTAATCACAACATGTTTGTAGTATTACTACCCTATGAATATATAAAAGTATTTGTAAATTTTAGCAACTAGAGATGCTCCCTCTATTGTAGAATATCCCAGTTTGTTTGGATGCAATTATGAATTATTCTTATGATATAACCAGTTGCTGCTTCACAGGTTTCTTAATTTGCAAAGAATATTGTTTTTACTACAATAATCTCCTTCTCCAAAATGTATATTCACATTAACATTGCATTTACCATTTGTGAATTGGATACTTCTCATTGTAATTCATTTAACTTATTTTCTAGATGAAGCATCTAATATTTACAAATATAAAATTAACATCATTTTAATGTTTGCAAAGTTCTGTGAATGAAATCAATACTAACTTTTAGTAATGCATAAAAATAATCTTAGAATGAAGAGTAAATTAAATTAGTTTATAAAAACAGTCATTTGATTAAGTGAAAAGTCTGCCTTCAAAGAATGATTTACAAATGCATCTTCTGCCATTGTTGATGTTAAATTATCATCTTTTTTATGAGTTCAGGTTTTTTTTATTATTACACTTTAAGTTCTGAGATACATGTGCAGAACGTGCAGGTTTGTTACGTAGGTATACACGTGTCATGGTGGTTTGCTGCACCCATCAACCTGTTATCTACATTAGATATTTCTCCTAATGTTATCTCTCCCCTAGGCCCCCACCTCCCAACAAGCCCCTGTGTGTGATGTGCCCCTCCCTGTGTCCATGTGTTCTCATTGTTCAAGTCCCACCTATGAATGAGAACATGAGGTGTTTGGTTTTCTGTTCCTGTGTTAGTTTGCTGAGAATGATGGTTTCCAGCTTCATCCATGTCCCTGCAAAGGACATGAACTCATCCTTTTTTATGGCTGCATAGAATCCCATGGTGTATATGTGCCACATTTTGTTTATTCAGTCTATCATTGATGGGCATTTGGGTTGGTTCCAAGTCTTTACTATTGTGAACAGTGCTGCAGTAAACATACATGTGTATGTGTCTTTATAGTAGAATGATTTATAATCCTTTGGGTATATACCCAGTAATGGGATTGCTGGGTCAAATGGCATTTCTGGTTCTAGATCCTTGAGGAATCACCACACTGTCTTCCACAATGGTTGAACTGATTTACATTCCCACCAACAGTGTAAAAGTGTTCCTATTTCTCCACATCCTCTCCAGTATCTATTTTTTCCTGACTTTTTTAATGATTGCCACTCTAACTGGCATGAGATGGCATCTCATTGTGGTTTTGATTTGCATTTCTCTAATGACCAGTGATGATGAGCTTTTTTTTCATATGTTTGTTTGCCATATGTCTTCTTTTGAGCAGGGTCTGTTCATGTCCTTTGCCTGCTTTTTGATGGGGTTTTTTCTTGTAAATTTGTATAAGTTATTTGTAGATTCTAGATATTAGCCCTTTGTCAGATGGATAGATTGCAAAAATTTTCTCCCATTCTGTAGTTTGTCTGTTCAATCTGATGATAGTTTCTTTGTGCAGAAGCTCTTTAGTTTAACTAGGTCCCATTTGTCAACCTAATGCTAGTTATTTTAAGATAGTAATTGCAAAGCAAAAGCAAAAGCAATTATCATCTAAAAATAACTAGCATTAGATTAAATTATATGATAGTACTAAAACTCTTTGCTTTGGACCTACAAAACAGCAATTTGATATAGTTCAACCTAATTAGACATTAAAGCTTTTCAGAAGATTTGTGTATTCTGGTTTTCATATGGCCAGTGATGTCACTATGGCCCCTATGTGAATGATAAATGTCAACAAATATTTTATGAAACAGAAATTCAGAACTTAAATGTTCACTACATACACAGTTTTATTTTTTTCAATATATTGCTGCTATAAGGGCTTATTACAGAACAAAATAGAATTAACAAACAGTAAATAACTAGATAGTTGATTAACATGGTACAAAGTTCTGACAAAACAATTGTAACAAGGACCTTCCAATTACTTGCTCTAGGTTCTTTGGCAGAACTGTTGGCCTTTATTTCCTGTACATACTTATTTACACTTAATTTGTAATTTTACACACTGTCCTCTGGTCTTGCTAACTGGTGGCTTGACAGCTTGGTGTACCTTGTAGGCCATAGCATGGGTCATGGCATGCAGGTTGGTATACCACGCTGCTAACAGGAGTAGCAGCATTCACTGCTGTCTCTACCATTTGAGACTGGATCGAGTTAGCTACTGATATGGTTTGGATGTCTTGTCCCATCCAAATCTCATGTTGAAATGTAACCTCCAATGTTGGAGGTGGGCCTAGTGGGAGGTGTTTGGGTCATAGAGGCAGATCCCTCATGAATGGCTTGGTGCCCTCCCTGTGGTAATGAGTAAGTTCTTGTTCTGTGAGTTCATGTAAGGGCTCATTGTTTAAAAGAGTCCGAGGCCTCGCCACCTCTCTCTTTTTCTCTCTCTTGTTATGTGATCTGCCTGCTCCCACTTTGCCTTCCACCATGAGGGAAAGCTCCCTGAGGCCTCCCCAGAAGCTAAGCAGATGCTGGGGCCATGCCTCCTGTACAGCCTGCCAAACCATGAGCCAATTAATTTCCTTTTCTTTGTAAATTACCCAGTCTCTGGTATTCCTTTATAGCAGTGCAAACAGACTTAAACGCTACCCTTAGCTCTTTGGGTTCCAAGGTACTTATCATATCAGTGAGCTCTCCATATGGTGTTCTATAAAGGGAAGTATTAATTATGTTACAACTAGAATGATAGGAAAAAGAGAGAGAGTCACTGTTGGTCACCTTTCAGATTTAACCACATGTTAAAAGTAGGAACTTTGTTCACTTGCATTCACCTCACAAATAGTAGTAAACCCATGGCGGAAGCTGGAAATACAAAGTAGAAGTAGGTCAAATCTACCCTTTCTTACTTTAATGCCACTATAATGCTTTATGAATACTTACAATAATACTTTATGAAAGCGAGAAAGAGAGAGAGCAAGAGTGAGTGAGAGAAAGAGGGAGAGGAGAGAGAGAGAGAGAGAGAGAGAGAGAGAGAGAAATCCAGGACAAATGCTAAACTAGAAAGGACACTGGCTTAACAGGTGTAAATCAAGAACTGCCCTATCAAACCAGAATATATGGTTCTCTAATTAGAGTTATTCATTCATCCCCTCCACATACATTTCCTTAGCACCCATAAAGTGAAATGTACTTTGCTAAGAAATGACAGTTTAAAGAAGAAAACTGTGTGATGAAAAAGTGCTCATGATTTTAGATTTATTAGATTGAAATCTGTCTCCCTGTAGCTGAATTCCATCCTTGGACCAACGCCTTACCTTACCAATGCCTTGGACCCTATGCCTTATCTTCTCATCTACCTTATAATAGCCCAACCATCCCTGGCAGCTTGCCCTCAGGTTCATCCATTCCAGGGGTTCTCAAACACTTATGTGCATAAACCTCATTTGGAAAACTTCTTTAAGAAGCACATCACCCCAGAACTCTCCCTCAAGTTTCTGATTCTCGAATTCTCAGGTGAAGTCAAAAATCTGCATTTTAAAAAGCACCTCAGCTTATCCTGACTCAGGTGATCAGCCCAGCACACTTTCAGAAATGCAACATAATTTTTCTTTAGTCTGTGTTTTCAGTCTTCCTGAAATATCATGTCCTCTGAGCTAGTGCTACTGGATGGTTGTTTCTAGATGCATTTTAATATGTCACCATCCTCTTTAGATGGTAGTAGCTGGATTAAATGAAATCCTTCAAAGCAGCAGCATCCAGAGAGACTACAGTCTCTGGTTCAGGCACCGTATTTCCATCAGTGTCGCCTAATCTACTCTTCTTTTGATGCAGAAAATCACATTGTGGCCTAATATTATACCCCTCTATTAATAACCATGAAGCTATATCTTTTCAACCTTCTACTAAAATATTTGATTATTATTATCTAGGCAATGGAATGTTTCAGTGAATTTCACAGTGAGTTCTGCTTTCTTTATCAAAATTCCAAAATATAAAGGCAGTCTGATATGCTGTTTCTCCCTTATCCCTCTTTCCCTCCCTCTTTTTTCCTTTCCTTCCAAAAGAGGTTATTCCTGGCAAAGTCTGTGCAAGGGAGTATGATACCACATGAGAAGCAAAACAGACCCAGATACAAATCATTTTACTGAAGTCTTGGAGCAGCCTTCGAAGAAAAACAAATTTCATACCAGCCAGAACCTGAGTGGAGGCCAAGAACTGCCAACATATTTGGAAGGCCAAACTCCTTCAGATATATGGTCCCTAACTACCTTCTAGAGAGACAATCACTTGAGAATGAAAGTGACTTGGAATTTTGTTATTTACAAACCCATCACTAAATTCAGTGTTTTGTGTTTTATTTCCATAGCAGACTTAACTTATCTTCATGAAAATAACCCCAAATAAGGCTAAAAACACCAAACAAGGATAATTCAAAGCTATTCAGATTTTCCTTACACTTAATACTGCCACAAACTCTTCACTTCCCATTCACAAAAATGCATAATGAGAATTTAAAACATGCCGTGTATTTGAGTAAAGTATCAATCAAAACTGAATAGTCTGTGGGCTATCAGAATCAATACAACATTTTTCTTATATAGTCATGAATATGTGACTTTTTAGTTAAACCAAAGTCAGCCCATTTCACTTATGCCTTAAATTTAAATGGAGAATATTGGCAAGTCCTGTGGGGAGAAGAAGCATAACCATAAATGAAGTCCTGGTTTTCTCATATATACAACTGTAAGAACAAGGAAAGGAAAATGATATCCTGATGGTAGTAGAACCAGCGAAGCCAAAAGTATTCCCCTTGAGCATTAACATTTAAAAATAAATCACAGTTACACTACTTTCCCTTTAACCCACATTGCTTCTGTGAAGAAAACTTTAAAAAGTCAAGAACAACATTGTTCAATGTTCAAAATTAACCTCAGGGTTTTTCCCTGGGTTTTTTGATAAGCAAAGTGGTGTTTTTTTGAGTCCTTTGGCAGCCCCCAAATTAGATGTGGGTAAGGAGATGTGTTTTATTTTTATTTTAGGTAAGAAATGAACAGTCAAATAGTACTCTTGGTTATTTGAGTTCTGCTCTCAGTTTATTTTATTGGGAAATTTAAAATTTGTCACTCTGGAGATAATAGTTTCTAAAAACAAAAGATATCTTAGTGTCAAAATGCTTGAAGAATGGACATGATAACTATAAAGAAGAATCTTCCAACTGACAAACCCTCCTATAATATTTTTGAAAAAATAGGTTGCCCATTCTATTCAAATAGTTATACCTATTTGCTGTCTAGGACTTATTCAATAATGAGGTCTCTTTTAGCTGCTCAACACAGAAAATATTTTATTTTTAAAGCAGCAAGACAGGAAATGTAGAAAACATCTAGTTCAGCATTCTCATATAAAGGTGAGTTCCAGAAACTTGCTTAAAAGAACAGGGTAATTAGTCACAGAATAATGAGAATGCAAGAGACCTTTGCAAGTATTTTAGGGACACTCTATGTTCTTTTGATGCATAATGTCAAAAGTTTTTCATCTGAAAGAATCAGAAGATCATTAGTTTATTACCTGAGCTGGATTCTTCAGCATTAACATATGTGTATATGAAACACTTGCCTAGCCAGTGTACAGCACCGGGGAAGCAGGATACCAGTGAAACATTCTCCTTGGATATCCCAGAAAACCTCTTCTACATTGTTTCAATGATAAGCAAATACAGCCGTCAGCTAACTCTTTAGTCCTCTGAATTCACTGGAAACCTGCTGGCCTGTTTCTTATTGTGCTTAATGAGACCACTCTTCACTCAGTGAATGCCCCACATCCAAAAGCTGAGCACCATCTGGGCCTGTTCTTTTTCTGTCACCAGCCACATTCCAATAGGACCAAGTACTAATGAATCTATAGATATTCCCCTCCTTCCCTGCCACTGAGATCACTTTAGGCCCTTGCATTCTTTTACTACACTATTGTAGTAAGAGGGGTTTTTGTTTGTTTGTTTTTTTAACTGGGCTTCCCTTAACTCTAGGATTTCATTTATCCTCCAAAATATCTCCAGATAAATCTTTCTAAAATATAAAGCTAATTCTCACGATTTACCTTCTCAGAATGATTCAATAATTTCTCTGTCATTTACAGAGAATGTTCAGCCAGCATGGCATGGCATAGAAGTTCTCTATGATTTGGCCTCAGCCAATTTTTCTAATCTCTCATCCTATTTTTTGCTGCCACCCCTCATTTCCTCTGCTCCATGTCCCATCTCATGCTAATGTTCATGCCAAGCCCTTTTCCTTCATTATCTTCATTTTATTCCTTAGGTAATAAAATGGTAGGCTCCCTGTGCCTACCATACCCTCTCCTTCCCCAGCATTTTGTCCAAATAGCAAACATCCACTTGCCTCCCATATCAAGAGTGATCTTTTATATAAAGCCTTTTCTATGGTCTTTTCACCTAGATGCTACCGTATATTCTGTTATCCTGTCTACAACACTCTTATTAACTCACTCATTTACGTATTCATCTTTCTTTCCCACAACAATTCTCGATTTTATTTCAGTGGCAAAATACATGATAGATGCATATCACATGTGAGACATTTCATGAGTACATCTAGAATTAGATCCAAGGACTGTAATGTTTGCTCCCTTATTTTTCTACTTAAAACTAGATATAAAAGTACAAGTAAAGAAGAGTAAGTTTCTAATACAGAGATCTTTAAAACAATATAATTTATAAGTTTCAGTGCTTTACTAACAAAGGTGTCACTTACCCCACTAGTAATTTTATTAAAAACAATGTTTTGAGATGCTGCAAATAGGAACACTATCTTCTTCATCTTTGTTTCCTCAGTCTAGTATAGGGCTTACCAAATAGTAGATAATGAATACACATTTGCTGAATGAATAAATGAAGGACCACAGATTAGGTGTTTCAACATGAATATCTGGGATTTTCAACCTCTAGCAGGAGACATGGATTCCAAGTAAGGCCCAGTATAAATTAATCCAGAGTGACACAAACTATTCAAATAAAAATGATTTTTTATTTTACTTTCCTTAGAAATATACATTAAAATGAAAAATATATCAATTATTTAACCATTTATGTCCCTTATTTATGGATTGCCAACCACAAGGCACTGTATCAAAAATAAGTAAAATGTGTAAATCAAGCCGAAGATAAAGCTAAAAAGAACTGTTTCTATTTCCACTTAAGTACTACTTTTTTTTTTTTTTTTTTTTTTTGAGACAGTCTTGCTCTGTAGCCAGGCTAGAGTGCAGTGGTGCAATCTCTGCTCACTGCGACCTTGCTTCCCAGGTTCAAGCGATTCTCCTGCCTCAGACTCCTGAGTAGCTGGGACTACAGGTGTGCACCACCATGCCCAGCTAATTTTTGTATTTTTAGTAGAGACGGGGTTTCACCATGTTGGCCAGGATGGTCTCGATTTCTTGACCTTGAGATCCGACTGCCTCGGATCGTGCCCAGCCAAGTACTACTTCTTTAGGTTCACAGAAGTCTTCCTTTTTTAGTTCAATTCCGTCAGACACACACACACACACACACACACACACACACACACCCCTAATCTAGCAGGGAAAAGTTGCAAGAAAAATTGAAGTTTTGAGAGAATTTTCACCTGCAAACAAGGAGAGGGGGAAGGGGAATTAAAACATATGCAACTTTGGGGAGATGATACTAGAGACCAAAAAATAAAGAAGCAATCCTGTGAGCAAATTCCACTGTGTACTTTTATCAGTACAGCATTTGATGTGTCACAAATAAATGCAAAACTTAGTGCCTTAAAACAACAGCCATTGTTTTAATTTCAGGTCATCAATTTGGGCTGGACTCAGCTGACAATCTTCTCACCTAGACCAAGTTGCTAGAGCTTACTTGAGTGTCTGAGATCAGCTAAGAAATGGCTGTAAGTTAGGGCATCTTGGTTCTCATTTAAATGGTCTCTTACTATCCAGCAGGATAGCTCAGACTTGTTCTCGTGGCATGGCAGGCTTCCAAAAACAATAGTGAAAATAAGGTCTCTTGAGGCGTAGGCTTGAACTGACTCATCACTTCTGCTGCTTTCTATTGTCCAAAGCAAGTAATGATGTCTGATTCAAGGGATGGATATACAGACTACTCCTCTTCAATGATGGACAAGTTGTAAAGTAACCTTGCAAAGGAATATATCTTCAGGAATGGAAATAATGTGTTGTCATTTTGCAATTTACCAGAAGCCTAATGTTGGATTTTGGTAGATTTGAGGAGAGCAGTTCCAACCTGAAGCTAACCAGAAGACATAGATTCCTGGCAGAAAGAGAGTTTGTTCTTTTACAAACCAACAGCTAGAATAATGTTCCTAGCTTAAGAGTTGGAACATGGAAGAAAAAAAATTGAAAAAGACAAGAAAGCAGTTGATGTGAATTATTTCTTTGAAGAAAGGAAACTGGGAGCAAACTTTATTTCTATATGTCTCTTACTGCTTTTTTGTTGCTTTGTTGCACTAGCTTTCACAACCTCCAGTACAACGTTGAATAGAAGTACTGGCAGCGGATATCCTTTCTTATTCTTGATAATAAAAAGAAGCATTTAGTCTTTCACCATTAAGTATATTATTGATTGTAGGTATTTTATAGATGCACTTTATTAGGTTAGAAGTTTCTTTCTATTGCTATTTTTTGAGAATGTTTTTATGAATGGGTATTACGGTTTTTTTTTTTTTAGAGACGGAGTCTTGCTCTGTCGCCCAGGCTGGAGTGCAGTGGTGCCATCTCGGCTCACTGCAAGCTCCGCCTCCTGGGTTCACCCGCCATTCTTCCGCCTCAGCCTCTTGAGTACCTGGGACTACATTTTTTTGTATTTTTAGTAGAGACGTGGTTTCACCGTGTTAGCCAGGACGGTCCCAATCTCCTGACCTCGTGATCCACCCGCCTCGGCCTCCCAAAGTGCTGGGATTACAGGCGTGAGCCACCCCGCCCGGCTGGGTATTATGTTTTTTCAATGTTTGTTCTACATTAAGCATTTCCCCTTCAAACTCCCAATGAGATGAATGGCATTGGTTGATTATACACTCATCCAACCTTGCATTTCTGAAATAAGCCGCTCTCTGATGCAATGTATTGTCTTTTTACTTATTATTGAATTTGATTTGCTGATATTTTCTTCAATGTTTCTGCATCTAATCTCATGAGGGACATTAGTCTGCAGTTTTCTTGTAATGTCTTTGGTTTTGGTGCCAATTTTAATAAAAATGAGTTGAGACATGTACATTCCTCCTCTACTTTAAAGGATAATTTGTAAAATATTGGCATTACTTCTTCATTAAATATTTAATATAGCTCACCAGTGAAGCCACCTGAACTTTTAGTTCTCTTTGAGGGGAGATTTTTAATTATAGTCTAAATAGCTAGAGGCTTTTTATTTCTTCTTAAGTCAGTTCTATAATTAGTCTATTTCAGTAAATATGGTTATTTTTTAATCTAAGCTTAAAAATTATTTGGCATATACTTGTTTTAATAATTCTTTGTTGCAATTTCAATTTCTATGGGTTCTGCAATAATATCCCCTTTTTATTCTTAATATTGGTAATTTGTGTCTTCTCTCTCTCTCACTTTCATTAATATAACTAGAAGCTTATTAATTTTATTAAGCTTTCCAGAGAACCAGATTTTGGTTTCATTAATTTTTTTCTATTTTATTTTATTGTCTATTTTATTGATTTCCAGTATTATTTCCTTCCTCCTCCTGAGTTAATTGTACTACTTTTTCTAATTTCTTAAGGTGGAAGTTATAAGGACCATTAATCTTAAGTATTTATTATTTCCTAATATAAACATTTAAAGTATAAATTTTTTTCTACACATTGTTTTAGCTTGAATCTTCAAATTTTAATGTGCTGTGATTTCATCTTAATTTGGTTCAAAATATTTTCTAATATCTTTTGGGATTTCTTCTTTAACCCATGGGTTATTTGGAATTGTAGTGTTTATCTTCAAATATCTGGGAATTTAAAAATATGTTTTATTATTGATTTCTGCTTTAATTTTATTGTTGTTAATGAACATATTCTATATGCTGAGAATCCTTTTAAATTCATTGAAACTTGTATCACCTAACATGGTTTCTAAGTGTTCTATGGGCCATTGAAAATTGGGTGTGTATTCTGCTGATATTGGAAGGAATGGTCTATAAGTGATAATTAGGTCAAATTGGTTGACAGTGTTATACATGCCTACTAAATTTTTTTCTAATTTTAGGTCTGCTTATACTATGAACTATTCAGAGAGGACTTTTTACTTTTTCATGTATTTTGAACCTACATGCAACGTAGGTTCAAAAATACCCTTATTATATCCCTTGTAATATTTCTTGTTCTAAAATTAATTTTGCAAGATATTAAAATAGACACTACAACTTTCTTTAGATTATTGTTAGCATGGTAAATATTTTTCACTCATTTTACTATGTTTTTTAATAGTGTGCTTTTTCTTTTTTTTTCTTTTTTTATTATTATACTTTAAGTTTTGGGGTACATGTGCACAATGTGCAGGTTAGTTACATATGTATACATGTGCCATACTGGTGTGCTGCACCCATTAACTCATCATTTAGCAATAGGTATATCTCTTAAAGCTATCCCTCCACCCTCCCCCCACCCCACAACAGTCCCCAGAGTGCGATGTTCCCCTTCCTGTGTCCATGTGTTCTCATTGTTCAGTTCCCACCTATGAGTGAGAATATGTGGTGTTTGGTTTTTTGTTCTTGCGATAGTTTACTGAGAATGATGATTTCCAATTTCATCCATGTCCCTACAAAGGACATGAACTCATCATTTTTTATGGCTGCATAGTATTCCATGGTGTATATGTGCCACATTTTCTTAATCCAGTCTATCATTGTTGGACATTTGGGTTGGTTCCAAGTCTTTGCTATTGTGAATAGTACCACAATAAACATACATGTGCATGTGTCTTTATAGCAACATGATTTATAGTCCTTTGGGCACATACCCAGTAATGGGATGGCTGGGTCAAACGGTATTTCTAGTTCTAGATCCCTGAGGAATCGCCACAATGACTTCCACAATGGTTGAACTAGTTTACAGTCCCACCAACAGTGTAAAGGTGTTCCTATTTCTCCACATCCTCTCCAGCACCTGTTGTTTCCTGACTTTTTAATGATTGCCATTCTAACTGGCATGAGATGGTATCTCATTGTGGTTTTGATTTGCATTTCTCTGATGGCCAGTGATGATGAGCATTTTTTCATGTGTTTTTTGGCTGCATAAATGTCTTCTTTTGAGAAGTGTCTGTTCATGTCCTTCGCCCACTCTTTGATGGGGTTGTTTGTTTTTTTATTGTATATTTGTTTGAGTTCATTGTAGATTCTGGATATTAGCCCTTTGTCAGATGAGTAGGTTGTGAAAATGTTCTCCCATTCTGTAGGTTGCCTGTTCACTCTGATGGTAGTTTCTTTTGCTGTGCAGAAGCTCTTTAGTTTATTTAGATCCCATTTGTCAATTTTGGCTTTTGTTGCCATTGCTTTTGGTGTTTTAGACATGAAGTCCTCACCCATGCCTATGTCCTGAATGGTAATGCCTAGGTTTTCTTCTAGGGTTTTTATGGTGTTAGGGCTAACGTTTAAGTCTTTAATCCATCTTGAATTGATTTTTGTATAAGGTGTAAGGAAGGGATCCAGTTTCAGCTTTCTACATATAGCTAGCCAGTTTTCCCAGCACCATTTATGAAATAGGGAATCCTTTCCCCATTGCTTGTTTTTCTCAGGTTTGTCAAAGATCAGATAGTTGTAGATATGCGGCATTATTTCTGAGGGCTCTGTTCTGTTCCATTGATCTATATCTCTGTTTTGGTACCGGTACCATGCTGTTTGGGTTACTGTAGTCTTGTAGTATAGTTTGAAGTCAGGAAGTGTGATGCCTCCAGCTTTGTTCTTTTGGCTTAGGATTGACTTGGTGATGCGGGCTCTTTTTTGTTTCCATACGAACTTTAAAGTAGTTTTTTTCCAATTCTGTGAAGAAAGTCATTGGTAGCTTGGTGGGGATGGCATTGAATCTATAAATTACCTTGGGCAGTATGGCCATTTTCATGATATTGATTTTTCCTACCCATGAGCATGGAATGTTCTTCTATTTCTTTGTATCCTCTTTTATTTCATTGAGCAGTGGTTTGTAGTTCTCCTTGAAGAGGTCGTTCACATCCCTTGTAAGTTGGATTCCTAGGTATTTTATTCTCTTTGAAGCAATTGTGAATGGGAGTTCACTCATGATTTGGCTCTCTGTCTGTTATTGGTGTATAAGAATGCTTGTGATTTTTGCACATTGATTTTGTATCCTGAGACTTTGCTGAAGTTGCTTATCAGCTTAAGGAGATTTTGGGCTGAGACAATGGGGTTTTCTAGATATACAATCATGTCATCTGCAAACAGGGACAATTTGACTTCCTCTTTTCCTAATAGAATACCCTTTATTTCCTTCTCCTTCCTAATTGTCCTGGCCAGAACTTCCAACACTATGTTGAATAGGAGTGGTGAGAGAGGGCATCCCTGTCTTGTGCCAGTTTTCAAAGGGAATGCTTCCAGTTTTTGCCCATTCAGTATGATATTGGCTGTGGGTTTGTCATAGACAGCTCTTATTATTTTGAGATACATCCAATCAATACCTAATTTATTGAGAGTTTTTAGCGTGAAGAGTTTTTGAATTTTGTCAAAGGCCTTTTCTGCATCTATTGAGATAATCATGTGGTTTTTGTCTTTGGTTCTGTTTATATCCTGGATTACATTTATTGATTTGCATATGTTGAACCAGCCTTGCATCCCAGGGATGAAGCCCATTTGATCATGGTGGATAAGCTTTTTGATGTGCTGCTGGATTCGGTTTGCCAGTATTTTATTGAGGATTTTTGCATCAATGTTCATCAAGGATATTGGTCTAAAATTCTCTTTTTTGATTGTGTCTCTGCCCGGCTTTGGTATCAGGATGATGCTGGCCTCATAAAATGAGTTAGGGAGGGTTCCCTCTTTTTCTATTGATTGGAGTAGTTTCAGAAGGAACGGTACCAGTTCCTTCTTGTACCTCTGGTAGAATTCGGCTGTGAATCCATCTGGTCCTGGACTCTTTTTGGTTGGTAAGCTATTGATTATTGCCACAATTTCAGAGCCTGTTATTGGTCTATTCAGAGAGTCAACTTCTTCCTGGTTTAGTCTTGGGAGGGTGTATGTGTTGAGGAATTTATCCATTTCTTCTAGATTTTCTAGTTTATTTGCATAGAGGTGTTTGTAGTATTTTCTGATGGTAGTTTGTATTTCTGTGGGATCGGTGGTGATATCCCCTTTATCATTTTTTATTGCGTCTATTTGATTCTTCTCCCTTTTCTTCTTTATTAGTCTTGCTAGTGGTCTATTAATTTTGTTGATCCTTTCAAAAAACCAGCTCCTGGATTCATTAATTTTTTGAAGGGTTTTTTGTGTCTCTGTTTCTTTCAGTTCTGCTCTGATTTTAGTTATTTCCTGCCTTCTGCTAGCTTTTGAATGTGTTTGCTCTTGCTTTTCTAGTTCTTTTAATTGTGATGTTAGGGTGTCCATTTTGGATCTTTCCTGCTTTCTCTCGTGGGCATTTGGTGCTGTAAATTTCTCTCTACACACTGCTTTGAATGTGTCCCAGATATTCTGGTATGTTGTGTCTTTTTCTTAGTGGTTTCAAAGAACATCTTTATTTCTGCCTTCATTTCATTATGTATCCAGTAGTCATTCAGGAGCAGGTTGTTCAGTTTCCATGTAGTTGAGCGGTTTTGAGGGAGTTTCTTAATCCTGAGTTCTAGTTTGTTTGCACTGAGGTCTGAGAGACAGTTTGTTATAATTTCTGATCTTTTACATTTGCTGAGGAGAGCTTTACTTCCAACGATGTGGTCAATTTTGGAATAGGTGCGTTGTGGTGCTGAAAAAAATGTATATTCTGTTGATTTGGGGTGGAGAGTTCTGTAGATGTCTATTAGGTCCACTTGGTGCAGAGCTGAGTTCAATTCCTGGGTATCCTTGTTAACTTTCTGTCTCGTTGATCTGTCTAATGTTGACAGTGGGGTGTTAAAGTCTCCCATTATTATTGTGTGGGAGTCTAAGTCTCTTTGTAGGTCATTCAGGACTTGCTTTGTGAATCTGGATGCTCCTGTATTGGGTGCATATATATTTAGGATAGTTAGCTCTTCTTGTTGAATTGATCCTTTTACCATTATATAATGGCCTTCTTTGTCTCTTTTGATCTTTGTTGGTTTAAAGTCTGTGTTATCAGAGACCAGGATTGCAACCTCTGCCTTTTTTTGTTTTCCATTTGCTTGGTAGATCTTCCTCCATCCTTTTATTTTGAGCCTATGTGTGTCTCTGCACGTGAGATGGGTTTCCTGAATAAAGCACACTGATGGGTCTTGACTCTTTATCCAATTTGCCAGTCTGTGTGTTTTAATTGGAGCATTTAGTCCATTTACATTTAAAGTTAATATTGTTATGTGTGAATTTGATCCTGTCATTATGATGTTAGCTCGTTATTTTGCTCGTTACTTGATGCAGTTTCTTTACAATTTGGCATGTTTTTCCAGTGGCTGTTACTGGTTATTCCTTTCCATGTTTAGTGCTTCCTTCAGGAGCTCTTTTAGGGCAGGCCTGGTGGTGACAAAATCTCTCAGCATTTGCTTGTCTGTAAAGTATTTTATTTCTCCTTCACTTATGAAGCTTAGTTTGACTGGATATGAAATTCTGGGTTGAAAATTCTTTTCTTTAAGAATGTTGAATATTGGCCCCCACTCTCTTCTGGTTTGTAGAGTTTCTGCTGAGAGATCCACTGTTAGTCTGATGTGCTTCCCTTTTTGGGTAACCCGAGCTTTCTCTCTGGCTGCCCTTAACATTTTTTCCTCCATTTCAACTTCGGTGAATCTGACAATTATGTGTCTTGGAGTTGCTCTTCTCGAGGAGTATCTTTGTGGCGTTCTCTGTATTTCCTGAATTTGAATGTTGGCCTGCCTTGCTAGATTGGGGAAGTTCTCCTGGATAATATCCTGCAGAGTGTTTTCCAACTTGGTTCCATTCTCCCCGTCACTTTCAGGTACACCAATCAGACGTAGATTTGGTCTTTTCACATAGTCCCATATTTCTTGGAGGTTTGTTTGTTTCTTTTTATTCTTTTTTCTCTAAACTTCCCTTCTCACTTCATTTCATTCACTTCATCTTCCATCACTGATACCCTTTCTTCCAGTTGATCGCATCAGCTCCTGAGGCTTCTGCATTCTTCACGTAGTTCTCGAGCCTTGGCTTTCAGCGACATCAGCTCCTTTAAGCACTTCTCTGTATTGGTTATTCTAGTTATACATTCGTCTAAATTTTTTTCAAAGTTTTCAACTTCTTTTCCTTTGGTTTGAATTTCGTCCTTTAGCTCGGAGTAGTTTATCGTCTGAAGCCTTCTTCTCTCAACTCGTCAAAGTTATTCTCCGTCCAGCTTTTTTCCATTGCTGGTGAGGAGCTGCGTTCCTTTGGAGGAGGAGAGGTGCTCTGCTTTTTAGAGTTTCCAGTTTTTCTGCTCTGTTTTTTCCCCATCTTTGTGGTTTTATCTACTTTTGGTCTTTGATGATGGTGATGTACAGATGGGTTTTTGGTGTGGATGTCCTTGCTGTTTGTTAGTTTTCCTTCTAACAGACAGGACCCTCAGCCGCAGGTCTGTTGGAGTTTGCTAGAGGTCCACTCCAGACCCTGTTTGCCTGGGTACCAGCAGCGGTGGCTGCAGAACAGCGGATTTTCGTGAACTGCAAATGCTGCTGTCTGATCGTTCCTCTGGAAGTTTTGTCTCAGAGGAGTACCCAGCCATGTGAGGTGTCAGTCTGCCCCTACTGGGGGGTGCCTCCCAGTTAGGCTGCTTGGGGGTCAGGGGTCAGGGACCCACTTGTGGAGGCAGTCTGCCTGTTCTCAGATCTCCAGCTGCGTACTGGGAGAACCACTGCTCTCTTCAAAGCTGTCAGACAGGGACATTTAAGTCTGCAGAGGTTACTGCTGTCTTTTTGTTTGTCTGTGCCCTGCCCCCAGAGGTGGAGCCTACAGAGGCAGGCAGGCCTCCTTGAGCTGTGGTGGGCTCCACCCCGTTCGAGCTTCCCACCTGCTTTGTTTACCTAAGCAAGCCTGGCCAATGGCGGGCTCCCCTCCCCTAGCCTCGCTGCAGCCTTGCAGTTTGATCTCAGACTGCTGTGCTAGCAATCAGTGGGACTCCGTGGACGTAGGACCCTCCGAGCCAGGTGTGGGATATAATCTCCTGGTGCGCCGTTTTTTAAGCCCCTCGGAAAAGTGCAGTATTGGGGTGGGAGTGACCCGATTTTCCAGGTGCCGTCTGTCACCCCTTTCTTTGACTAGGAAAGGGAACTCCCTAATCCCTTGCGCTTCCCGAGTGAGGCAATGCCTCGCCCTGCTTCAGCTGGTGCACGGTGCACTGCACACACTGTCCTGTGCCCACAGTCTGGCACTCCCTAGTGAGATGAACCCAGTACCTCAGACAGAAATGCAGAAATCACCCATCATCTGTGTCGCTCACGCTGGGAGCTGTAGACTGGAGCTGTTCGTATTCGGCCATCTTGGCTCCAGCCCAGCTTTTTCTAGACAGAATGCAGTTATGCCTTGCTTTAAAAAAATTCAGCCTGATAATCTCTGCCTTTCATTTGGAGTGTTTAGACCATTTGCATTTAATGTTATTATCAATAGGGTTTAATTTAAATCTATAATCTTGCTATTTCTTTTTTATTCATGCAGCTATTCTTTATTTCTTTCTCATTTTCTGCCTTCTATTTGGGAATTACACATTTTTTAGTAATAACATCATTTTTATTCTTGGCTTCTGAGCTGTTTTTTTTTATTTTTGGTTTAATTTTTAAGTACTTGTTTTGGAGTTTAGAATATGCATTTTTAACTTCTCACATTTTACCTTCCAATAATATTATATCACTTAACATATAAGTAAGGTAACCACTTATATGTAAGATAAAATCCTTGAACAGTATACTTCCATTTCCTCTCATGAGCTTTGTTTTATGTTAGTCATACATTTTATTTTCCATGTTATAAACACCATAAATACTGCCATTATTTTTGTATTTGACATCAATTATAAACTAAAGAAATTTAGGAAACATTCAAAATTCTTTAACATTTGATCACACATTTATCATTTCTGTCTGTTTTCATTATTTGGTGTAGACCCAAATTTCCTCCAGTTATCATTTTCCTTTTACCTGAAATACTGCCTTCAACATTACTTATAGAGTAGGTCTGCTGGCAACAAAGTTTTATAGCTTTTGTTTGCCTAATTTTGCTTGCATTTTAGATTACTTGAAGAACGACAGGTTGGTTGGTTTGTTTTGTTCTTAAGCACTTTAAAGATCTTCTGGATTGCATAATTCAGATGTCTGTTGTTCCTTTTTAGATGATGTAGTTGTTTTCTCATTATTGCTTTTCTCTTTATCACTTGCTTCAAGTGATTTGATATGATGTGCATAGATGTAGCTTTATTTTTTATAAGTGCATATCTTCTGTATGGTTTATTGAGCTTTTTAGAACTGTGAGTTTATGGTATTTTAAAATTGTACTTAGAAATTCCTCAGCCACTCTTTATTCAAATAAATTTTCTTTTTTTCTCCTTTGCTCCATTTTCCAAGGTTACCATTACATGGATATTGAACTACCTGACATTGTCTCACAGATTACTGAGGCTCTGTTAATTTTACTTCAGTGTTTTAGTTTTTGCTTTAGTTTAAGTAGCTTCTATTGCTATGTGTTCAAGTTCACTGATTTTCTTCTAAATGTCTAATCTGCTATTAGTTCACTGCATTTACATTTTTATTTCAGATATTCTATTTTAAAGGTCTTTACTAACTCCCTTATCTCTATTATTTCTGAATCTGTTTATTATGACTGATTGTTCTGCTGAATGTGGGTCATATTTTTTGTTTTTTATTTTTATCCCTCACATGTTTAGAAGCTTTTTATTGTATTCTAAACATTTTCAATGTTGTATTGATAAGAATATGGATTTGTTGTCTTCTTTTAAAGAGGTTTGGATTTTGTTTTAGCAGTCATTTTATTTAGTTGCAGGTCATCTTAATCTTTTCAAGTAATGTTTTTAAACTTATTTAGGGATAATCTAAACTAGTTTAGGTTTCTTACCTAAGCATGCTATTTATGGTATGTCTACTGAATTTCTCATCTGTTAAAAAAAAAAAAGACTCTTCACTATTTCTATTTGTACGTGAATGTCTTCTGGTCTGGGAACTATTAACTTTACTTTCATTTGGAGTGTTTAGACCATTTACATTTAATGTAATTACTAAATGTAAGTCTTTGCTCATACTGACTGAGTTGTACACTCTGTATGTATGGCTTACTATTCAGCCAAAGCCTTCAAGGGGCCCCTAAGAAGAGTTCTTGATCCCTTCCATGGATTTCTCCCTCCTTTGCAATATTCTCCATCTCAAATTCCAGTTGCCTCAGGCTCCTTAAACTCCCATCTTTGTCTCTTCAAATCAGTGATACACCCACGCTCTCTTGAGATCTCTCTCTTTACAACATGATAAAAAGTGTCTCTACGAAGGGAGCCAGAAGCATAAGGCATGCCTTATCTGTTTTCTTTGTCTCAGGGTTACAGTACTATATCTCCTATATCTCCTCTTGTCTCAATGTCTGTGAACTATTATTTTTTATATTTATTCCAGTTTTCTAGCTGTATATGGCAGGGAGATAACTCCAGGCCTAATTACACTAACATAATCAGGGATTTATTTTAATAAGATTTTCAGTGAAACTTTTTAGGAATTTGGCAAATTTTTTCTTTGCATGTAGTAAAAACTATACAAAAAATTACAAATTAAAATATATTTCTGACACAATAATGCTCACAGTGAAATGATCCATATGGAGTTGACATATCATTTTAGAAAAGTTGCCAATCTCCGAAATTATGTATAGAATTCTTCTCTTCTGTTTTCGGACTTTCTTTGAATCTGTTACTTTGATGGTTGTGACATAATCCTATTGCTCTTGAGAAGATTATTTATTAGTGTACTAAATTACTCTACTAGATATGATAATCCTTTTGTAATATGGTTTTTTCCCTTCCCCAATTATGTCTATTCTGTCAAATTTAAATGTTCTCCTTTTATCATTTCTTATAACTTTATTTAACATTCTTGCCTCCTCCAATCTTTACACCTCTTCTTTGACTTATATGGCGTGACACTCTCCTGATGTTGTCTTTTGATCATTTCTCAGTATTTTTTGTGACCCTATTATCTTTTCAAACTTCAAATTTTTTACCTAGAGCTCAGTCCTAGGTGTTCTTTTCTCCTGTGTCTATGTTTGTTCCATAGGTGATCTCAGCCATTGCCATGCAAATGAATACCATTTATAAGCCTATGGTTCCCAAAGAAATATCCTAAGACCTCTCTTTTGAGTTTCAAATCCTTATATATAATTATTTTGGAAATCACCATTTGAATTGCTACATTTAAAAATAAATATGCCCCAAATTTCACCACTGTTATTACTCTACACTTCTGCTCTTCATCCAGTTGTTTCAACCCTACTTCCCAAGCCACAAACATAGGAATTATCCTTCACACTGCCTCTTTATTCTCATTGTCCTCAGCCATAAGTGAGTTCTGCTGATTTTACCTCCAAATCCTGTCTAGATTTTGTGTACTCCTCGCCATCCCTACTTCTACCCCTCTTCCTGTCTTATCTCACTTTCAACCCACCCAACACCTTTAACCTGTTCTCCAATCACTAATCATAGTTACCTATTTTTTAAAATATAAATTCAAGTAAAATGTACATATATTTTTAAAATACCAAATATAGACATAAATTATTACCTCACTTAAAAAACTTTAATAATTGCACTGAAGCTATAAAGTAACATTCATAACATGGTTTTTGCACTAAATTTTAACCACTTAGGACTATTTTCAATTCAGAAATTTTGCAAATGCTTTGCACTTTTCTTAATTTTTTTAATTTATATTTATCCTCCATGTTTCAGATTAAGTGAGACTTCCTGAGATACCATTTGTATTAGTTAGGGTTCTCCAGAGAAACAGAACCAAGAGGCTGTGTATGTCTATCTATATCTGCAGCTATATCTATAGCTATAGGCTATGATTTGAATGATGGTGTCCCCTCCAAAATTCATGTTCAAACTTAATCTCCAATGCAACTTAATCTCCAATGTATTAAGTTCAAACTTAATCTCCAATATATTAAAAGGTAGGGCCTTTTGGATGTAGACCATAAGGGCTCTGCCCTCATGGATGGGATTCATGCCTTATAAAAGGGCTAGAGGGGACTAGGTAGGTCATTTTTGGCCTTCTACCTTCCACCATGTGATGTCTCCTTTGAAAAATGCAGCATTTGTCTCCTTTGAAAAATGCAGCATTCAAGGTGCCATTTTGGAAGCAGAGACCAGGCCCTTCCAGCACCTTGACGTTGGACTTCCAGCCTCTAAAACTGTGAGAAGTAAACCTTTATTATTTACAAATTACCCAGTGTCAGGTATTTTGTTATAGCAGCATGAATGTACTAAGCCGTTACACACACACTCACATTTTAGGGAATTGGCTTGTGCAATTATGGAAGCTGACAAGTCTCAAGATCTGCAGTCAGCAAGCTGGAAACCCAGGAGAGTCAATAGTGTCATTCCAGTCAGAATGTTCTTAAGGTTGAGAAGACCTGGGAAAAGATGATATTTTCAGTTTGTGTCCAAAAGTGGGGGGATGGGGAGGTGGGAACACAAGGTCTCAGCTTGAAGGCAGATAAGCAGTAGGAGTTTCCAGTTACTTAGACTTTTGGCCTTCAGTTGATGGGATGATGCCCACCCCCATTAGGGAGGGCAATCAGCTTTATCTATTGAGTTATTCAGATGTTAATCTCATCCACAAGCACCCTCACAGACACACCAATGTTTGACCAAATATAGTCATGTACCACATAACTACATTTTGGTTAATGGTGGACTGCACATATGATGGCAGTGGTCCCGTAAGATTATAATGAAGCTGAAAAATTCCTATTGCCTAGTGACATTGTAGCTGCCATAACATCATAGCCCAACCTATTATTTTTTCTATGTTTAGATGTTTTAGATACAGAAATTATTACCATTATGCTACAAATGCCTACAGTATTCAGTACAGTAACATACTGTACAGGTTTGTAGCCTGGGACCAATAGTCTGTACAATGTAGCCTAGGTGTATAGTAGGTTATACCATATAGATTTGTGTATGTATGCTCTATGATTATTGAACAGGAATGAAATTACCTAATGATGCATTTCTCAGAACATATTCCTGTCATTAAGTGACACACGACAGTATCTGGGCACCCTGTGGCCCAGTCAAGTTGACACATAAAATTAACCACACTATATATGACCAACATATCTAAATAAGTCCTACTGTGTTGATAGGATTTTGCTGTGTCCCCACCCAAATCTCATCTTGAATTGTAGTTCCCATAATCCCCACGTGTCATGGAAGGAATCTGGTGGGAGGTAATTGAATCATGGGGGCAGTTTCCCCCATGCTATTCTCATGATAGTGAGTACGTTCTCATGGGATCTGATGGTTTTATAAGGGATGTTCCCCTTCACTTGGTTGTCATTCTTCTTCCTGCTACCATGGGAAGAAGGAGATGTTTACATCCCCTTCTGCCACAATTGTAAGTTTCCTGAGGCCTCCCAAGCCATGCTGAACTGAGTCAATTAAACCTCTTCCTTTATAAATTACCTAGTTTCAGGTAATTTGTACCACAGAGAAGGGGTGCTGCTGTAAAGATACCCCAATATGTGGAAGTGACTTTGGAATTGGGTAACAGGCAGAGGTTTGAATAGGTAGGGGGGCCCAAAAGACAGAAAGATGTGGGAAAGCTTGGAAATTCCTAGAGACTTGTTGAATGCCTTTGACAAAAATGCTGATAGTTATATGTATAATGAAGTTCAGGCTGAGGTGGTCACAGATGGAGATGAGGAACTTGTTGGGAACTGGAATAAAGGTGATTCTTGCTATGCTTTAGTAAAGAGACTGATGGCATTTTGCCCCTGCCCTAGAGATCTGTGGACTTTTGAGTTTGAGAGACATGATTTAGAGTATCTGACAGAAGAAATTTCTAAGTGGCAAAGTGTTCAAGTGGAAGAGCAGAGGATAAAAGTTTGGAAAGTTTGCAGCCTGATGATGCTATAGAAAAGAAAAACCCATTTTTTAGGAAAGAATTCAAGCCAGCTGCAGAAATTTGCATAAGTAACAAGGTGTCAAATGCTAATTGCCAAGACAATGAGGAAAATGCTTTCAGGGATGTCAGAAACCTTTGCAGCAGCCCCTCCCATCACAGTCCAGAGGCCTAGAGGGGATAAATGGTTTCATGGGCCAGGCCCAGGGTCCCTCTGCTATGTGCAGCCTCAGGACTTGATGCTCTATGTTCTAGTAGTTCCAGCCATGGCCAAAAGGGGCCAACATACAGCTCAGGCTGTTGCTTTAGAGGGTGCAAGCCCTAAACCTTGGCAGCTTCCGTGTGGTGTTGGACTTATGAGTGCGTAGAAGACAAGAATTGAGGTTTGGGAATCTCTGCCTAGATTTCAGAGGATGTATGGAAATGCCTGGATGTCCAGGCAGAAGTCTGCTGATGGGGCAGAGCCCTCATGGAGAACCTCTGCTAGGGAAGTGTGGAAGGGAAATGTGGGATTGGAGCCCCCAAACAGAGTCCCCACTGGGGCACTGCCTAGTGGAGCTGTGAGAAGAGGGCCACCATCCTCCACACCCCAGAATGGTAGATCCACTGACAGCTTGCATCATGAACCTGGAAAAGCTGCAGACACTCAATGCTAGCCCATAAAAGCAGCTGGGTGGGGGCTGTATCCTGGAAAGCCACAGGAGTGGAGCTGCCCAAGGTCATGGAAGCCCACCTCTTGCATCAGCCTGACCTGGATTAAGACATGGAGTCAAAGGAGATCTTTTGGAACTTTAAGGGTTAATGACTGCCCTATTGAATTTCAGACTTGCATGAGGCCTGTGTCCCCTTTGTTTTGTCCAATTTCTCCCATTTGGAATAGGCATATTTCCCAATGCCTGTACACCCCCCCACCACACACCCCCGCTGCCATTGTATCTAGGAAGTAACTAATTTGCTTTTGATTTTGCAGGCACTTAGGTGGAAGTGACTTGTTTTGTCTCAGATGAAACCTTGGACTTTGGCTTTTGGGTTAATGCTGGAGTGAGTTGAGACTTTGGAGGACTGTTGGAAAGGCATGATTGTGTTTTGAAATGTGAGAACATGAGATTTGGGAGGGGCCAGGGGTGGAAGTATATGGTTTGTCTGTGCCCCCACCCAAATCTCATTTTGAATTGTAGTTCCTATAATCCTCACATGGAGGATTTGAATTGTGGGGGTGGTTTCCCCCATGCTATTCTTGTAATAGTGAGGAAGTTCTCATGAGATCTGATGGTTTTATAACGGACTACCCCCTTCACTCAGTTCTCATTCTTCTCCTTTCTGCTGCCATGTGAAGAAGGAAAGATTTGCTTCCCCTTCTGCCATTATTGTAAGTTTCCTGGGGCTTCCCCAGCCATGCTGAACTGTGAATCAATTATACCTCTTTCCTTTATAAATTACCCAGCCTTGAGTATGTCTTCATAGCAGTGTGAGAATGAACTAATACATGTGTCATGTTCATTTTATTTCACATATCATCATTTTGTTTGTTTGTTTATATGTTCATTTACTTATGTGTTTGTTTAATGTATGTCTATAAGCTGTATGTACCATGAGCCTATGTCGTATAAGCTCTATGAGGGCAAAGCTTCTGATTGTTTTGTTAATCACCACACATTTAATGCCTGACATAGCACTTAATTATCTTTAAAATTAAAATTCTAGATATTGTTTCAATCATTTAATGTAGATGCTCACATTTAATGTAAATGTATCATATAATTATGCTATCTGCTTTCATATGTTACACTAGAATATTAACCTCTAGTTGGTATTTTTGATAAACTCTATGCCATATCTGAATTCATGGAGTTGAGTTTTGTTTTTTCAATTTAATTACTTGTTCTTTTAAGTTCTATAGTTGCAGTAAAGTTTAAAAGCCTTAAATCAAGTCTATAAATGCATTATAAACACTATAAAATTTGTATAAGATATTATTGCCATTGGTATGATACTTTAAGAGAATAAAGAAGATTTTTATGTGGAGTGTTCAATATAGCTGGAGAACATGGTACACAGTTAGAATTTTTGGATGCTCAGGAGAAGGGCATCAAAGGAACTCTAGGACATTATTATTCTTGTAAGGTTATAAGGATACAATATGGTTCCATTGCTACCAACACATTGGCCCTAACTGGGGGCTGCAACTTTTGCTCTGCCCCATCCAGTCAGCACTGTGGGAATGGCAATTGGTGCTCTTGACTGCTGACTGCACATCTCCATCATATGGACATGCTGTGGTCAACAGAGCCAACCAGAGTTTAAAGGGCTGATCCATGCAGTGTCAGTAGCTCTTCAAAGGGACTAAATCAGGAAGTTTGTATGATGCACATATATGTAAAACTTCTTGAAAAAGTAATTTTTGCTTAGAAAAATTCAAGAGAAAAATGTGGTCTAAATGATCTTGTTTTATTCATTTCAAAGGTACTTATGGACCTTATCTTATGTCATCCTGGTGAATGTGAGTTGATCATAAGCATAGTCAATTTTTTACAAAAATGTTTTGATCTTTCAAACTTGATATTGATAACTGAAACTGAACAGAGAAACATTAGCATCTGGTTTTGATGAACGTGGTTTGCTTCTACTTTAAAGAAAAAGCATTCAGGAAAGGACTGGAAATTCCTGCTCAAAATATCAAAGTCCAATACAATTTTTCAATACCTGATCTTGTATGTTACAAGTGACTTTATTCTACCAGTTCCATATATTTTTTAGATTATAGCATTATGCTTCATTTTAAAATATATTTAGATTTTTGTTCTAGGGTTTTATAGGGTATTTGGGGTATACTTGTTTATTTTTTTGCCACATATACAAAAATGATTGCTCAGAGAAAAATCCAATACTCTCATTTTTCAACTGAGGTGAATTGCTTTTCTAACCACAGGAAGACACCTGCTACAAAAATCAAAATGATTTCTACTATTTCTTATTAAACTGTCAGAAAGACATCATACTCCAGCACAACTCCAGAAGATTTGTAACATCTTCTGCTGACTATAATTTTCTAATGACATTAACCATGTCTATTCTTTTATTGTATATTCCAGAGTTTACCTAGCCCAGGGCCTTGCAAATTGCGAAGCCTCAAATCAAATCAGAAAAATTAACACGTGATCCTTGAAATACCTGAATTTTAGAAATTTAATTACAAACATATTAAATAATTATTTTAATAAAATAATTGCTTTAATTTCCAAGGGTGTAGATTCAATTCTGTGTTCCTCCAAGTCTTTGATTTTCTTCCTTTCCTCTGTTATCCTGCTTATAATAAACACTATTGGAGAAGAAAAGGGGGAACGAGAATAAAAGTAAATGTTTAATCTTTTATGTATTACTTCTTCTGAAATAGTCTGACAAAAAGCTGTTTTCAGAAAGCAATTAAAGGCAGTGTCTAAAATGAGGCTTGGGGATTATCAATAGACATCATTTATCAGTGTTGTCCCTGTCCTACATCAAAAGAGATAATCAAGAGAGCATTTACCAGTGACTGTGTGTGTTGGCTGTGCTAAGAAAATTACTGTATTCAGCCTGAAGGAAAAGTAAAATCATTTGTACAAGCAAATATCAACCTGCTTTAGGATTGTAGAATTTATCTTTCTATTTTTCTAATGAAAGCCATGGGATAATTTAAATCTATGTACAATATTGTGGTTCCAGTGTTGAGTGCTATAATAAAATGACCTTTTCTCTGTACTTCCACTAATTGGCTTTTAAGAAGCTTTGATGTGGTTGAAAAGGTCAAAGATCAATGAGTGGCTTGTTAGTCCAAATCATTTATTTTATCAGGAAAAAAATACAAGCTATTGAAAAAAATAGAATTTTAAAAGCAATACACAGTATACTTGTCTTTGGCAAGCTCTACAATTTTTCTTTGGCTCCTCCAAGCATGAGATGGTCTAATCAGGGGATTATCAAGCAGACTGAAGAAATATAACAAAGTTTTGTGCTGCAGTAAATATTTGTAAAGCAAATCTTTGGAAAAATCCATGATATATTTTACCATTACTAATTTAAGAGATTCAAGATATTTCTTAAATTTTATGGTATCAAATTGCCCAAAGAAGTATGAGTCACACCATCACTACATAATTACTATTGTATATTTTAAGAAACAGATCAAATTTTGTGCTGAGAGAAAAGGTGACAAGAGAGTAACATAGCAGATTATTACATAAAATTTTAATCTGTTTGTAATTTTTAAAATATTCAATTTAAAATAAAATATTTAAACGTAAAAATATATAGATATAAAATGTTGATCCTTTGAGGAAATAACCAATATGATCTGACCTCTTAGGACACCATGCTTAAATTTTTATAAAAATGAAAGACATAACTTATGTTATTGCCAAGAACCAACTCATATGTAAACAACATATGTAAACAACTGATTAAACTCACTGAAATCTGTGCTCATTATGTTTAAAAAACAGAGATAGGGAGTGTTCTGTGTGCATAGTAGACTGTGCTTAAATTAAGCAATTATTACGGAGTTTCAGGACATGGAGGGGGAGACTAATGACCGATTAGGAATATTTTTTGGCCTAAAGCAAGACATTGGGTCATTAACCCTTAATGATCATTTATCCAAAAGAAATGTTCTAGGCCAAGGCTCTTAATTCTCTAAAAGAACACACAGAGACCAAAAGATACATTTGACCGCAGGTGTTTTAATGGTCACGGCAAACTAAGGGGCTTTTGCCTGGTCATGTTGGGTTTAATATCATAAATTGTTGCACAAAAAGAATAGGCAAAAGTGCCATGCTGTCACTACCATGGCAAAACCCCAGTTAGGTAAAATTTTATTTTGTTTCCTATTTATTTATTCCATTTATTTATTTAGTGTGTTCACTTGTTTATTCAACTCAATAAATATAGTTGAGTACCTATGCAATGACCAAGATGTTGGATGCCGGGAAGAAATGGTGTTCTCAAGGTATTTACAGTGTAGCTTGGGAGAGACATGTAAAATGGAATTATATACAGTGTTTTAATGGAGGATTTAAAATCTGCTTTGGCAGCAAATAGGAGGGCAGGTAACCCAGTGTTGGGAGAAATTAGCAGTTAGGGAGGACATGAAGTCTAACACTAAACTAACGTGATAATTAAGAGTTAACCATGTAAATTTATTTCTAGTTAGGGGAAAAACTACTACAGAGAGAAAAAGAGAGAGAGAGAAAAGGCTAAAAGAGGCCTCAAGTGAGAAATATTTAACCTATTGGAATTTAGCTTTATTATCAAGCTATTTTAATTCTTTAGATTTGTTCTGTAGTGTGATGAACAAATCATTTATATTCCAAAGTTGTAAAATACCCACTTAGCTATGAACTTTAAATAGAGCTAACAATTCTATGCCATTTAATCTAAAATATCTTTGGAGAAAATCCTAGCAGACCTTGACATTTTGCATTGTGGCCAGCCTTCCCCAAACTTGTTGCCTCTGGCCTCCACTTGGGAAATCTTGTCTTTTTAAAGATCATAGACAGACTAGGTAACCTTTGCTTAATAAGTGCAAGAGTCGTTAATTTAGCAAAAGTTGTGGGCATTTTATTTTAGTTTACATTGGGAATTCTGATTTAGGCTTAGCATTTCATTAAGACAGTTCTTTTCCAACTGATTAGCTTTTCTTCCTACAGTAGAATTTGCCTTTTATGTCCTTTATAACTAGTTCCTGTAGGAGACAGTGGGAAAAGAAATCAGAGATGCAAAGGGTAGTACAATGTGGAAAATATCACCAAAGTTTAGAGTAGATTAAATTTTCAGAGGCCTGGGACCACTGAGGCTACACTTCTAGGAAAGTAATTACCACTGTGAGGCAGATAGAGTTGCCACTTGCAATTGCCTGAATGGAGAAATGGAGAACTGTGTAAAGAGCTGAAGTCTCTGCTATACTCTTCTTAAAATTTTAGACCAATGAAAACTTGCTTCAATCTATCTTTTCTATTTCCTCCTTAAGTAAAGATTTTTAAAAAATACGTGAGTAACTGCACAAGAAAATGTTCAATTAATACACAGGCCACAGAAGTGTATTTGATTGTGATATTAATTATGTTCCTACATCCATACATCTAAAGAAAAGCTAACAATGGGTTTACAGGTAATTTGATATCACTTTAGAAATACTTCTCAATATATCCATGTTTTTCCACAATAAAAATGTATTATGTTTATAGGCAAAAGAATAATGAATTAATTAATTAACACACTTCTCTCTTGAGTTGTTTCCTTATAAAATTCTTACTACACTGCTAATCTTTTTCTGTGGGATATTGATTCACATTCTCATAATGAATGCCAAAAAATCTTTTAATAAATTCTGGCAGTCTCATAAGTTTTCATTTGGAAAAAGTAATTCTATTGCTTAAAACAGTTATTCTGAATTTCTGTAATTCCTCTGGTAACAGGTTAGTCTAGAATACATATTTTGTGGCATTTCTTTTCTTCTTTGAATAGAAACCTTTGTCAAATGAAGTCTTATGATGAACCTCAATGTATACAACAGCTAATGGTACAGTTACGTTGTCCCAGGGACAGAATTTTCTCTCCTGGCCTCTCCCTCACCTTCAGTTCAGCCCCACCTCCTACTTAAGCTCTCTGAAACATTGGTTGAAAGCCTCTGATTTTGAATAAGCTATAATTTGTTCATGAATTTTTTGAGTTTAGAAACTTTAATCTGAATGAATTATTCAATCTAAAGAGTTTGTTTTTAATTTCAAAACTTGAATATTCTCAAAATTTTTGTTTTGTTTGCTCTTTCTGGTTCCCTGCAAAAAAATTTTGTTCAACAAATCTTCTGCAATAGGAAAGGATTGCAATGGAAAGTAACAGACTTATTTACCATTAGCTGAGATTCAAAGAATACTTTTCCAAACACTTCCAGAGAGTATTACATGTGTTTAGAGCTCTTGTGTATGCCTCTGGATTCAAATTCCTAAAACATGTGAGCTCCACCAAAGAACCAAGAATAAGAATTTAGTTCAGTCAGTTTCCCTCTTAACTACCTTTGCCTTTGCTTCTATCTTGTCTGCCCTTCCAGAATTGGGTAAGAAGAGATATTAATGAGTCACTTCTGAAAGAGGGTGGGCAATCACACACTTGAAGGATATCATGTGATCTTACCTTTCAGAATCCAAAGGAAGAGAATTTGACTTAAGATGATATTGCTCTCAGGCACACTGGGTAAAGACAGAATGTCTAAGTGTTTGAGTTGTTTTCAGCAAGATGCTGACCAGAGCTCTGGGGCTTTTGAGGGGCAAGAAATGATCTTTATCAACCTCTGTAGCTCTAGGACAGAGAATACTAAAAGTGTTTTTTGAATAAATGAATAGATAAATGTGCACAAAGTAAATAGTATGGTGCATTGATCTTTTAATAAGGTCATATTGGATTTTAAATCTCTGTCTCTATCTCTGTCTATCATATATAACTTGCTTTTTTGACCAAGGTCAAGGAATCCACAGCTCCAGTATGATTTGAAAATAACAATCTCCTGAATTTGAGGTGGCAAGTCATTTTTGCCTATGCCTAAAATGAATATATATATATTATAAATTACCAAAAAATCTAAGACTTTCCGGCACTCTGTTGCAATCACTTAGACTTAATGAATGAAAATAGTTACAGAACTTAAATCATAATGAGACCTTTACACAAAATGATGATTTCTAGAAATAGAAATAGTTAGGATGAAGGTTTATATTACATATTTCTGGAATTTAAAAAGAAACACTGTCTGTGGAGAAAACCAAGAGACTTCTATTGAATTAAAAACAAATTGAACAAAAGTAAAACATTTAGAAACCCGTGCCACAAGTAGATTGAGACCCTGCCTGTAGAAAACAATGCTACATAATTTGCCTGACATCTTTTGCAGTAAATAGTTGTTTAATAGGGAAGTAATTAATATCAATGATTTTTAAAAATATTCTTAGCACTTCAGAAAGAGCTAACTGATTGACTGAATAACCATTAAATTTGTGCCTAAGTCGGAATCAGAACACATTTACACAAATGCAGTGTCATTCATTTTGTTTACTGCTGCATCATGTTACATCAGGTAGCATAAGGATTAATGCTTATCCCAAAGTACCTTTATTCCCATAAAGGAAATAACCAATGGGGGAAAAATCTAGCTGCCAGAATAACAGGAAAAATACAAAGGAGGCTTGAATCTTTAAGATGGAATATTGTAGCATCTGTTAGCCAATACAGAATGCGTGAGAACTTCTGTGAAAGTATGTGTTGAGAATATAAATAGTGGAACACTGTAATTCATTACAATTACATTGTATAGAATAAAAATGAAAAAAATGTTTCATGACTGAAAGCTTGGAATGTTCCTATATCAATTTTAATAAGGAGAAATTCCCTTTCAAGTCCTACCCATAAATCAGAAAAAGGAATTTACACCAGCCTGGCCATGTACAGTCTAAAATATCATACACAGACCTCCTTTCTATGCCTGCCCAAAGAGCAAGCAGGCAGCATGCAAATACCAAAGCAATGCAGTTTGCTAGTGTGCAAATAATCGACAAGCTTAGATTTACACTGAATCATAAACTCCGACACCAGTAGACTGTCACTCCAAACAATATAAATACATTTATAACCCTATTGTCAGAAATTAGAACTTGAGGAACCTTAAGTGCTTTAGTACAGTTGCTGGCCAGATCTGATAAGTTAGCCAGTATAACAAATCAAAGAAAGAAAATCCTTCAGTAGGCTGTAATGACTTTGTGCTCTAATTCTGCAGGCACTGGAAGGTCAAAGGCATACCTCCCTCTACAGCCATATATGGCCTGAGGGCCATTGGGTACTTTTTTTTTTTAAGATGAATGTTCTGGTATGAGCATGCTCCTAGAATCCAGTGACGTTCTTACTCAGGGTGGTCTGTAAATATTCTAAATCTTTGCTTACTATATAAAATTACAAGAAAGTGTTATCTTGCATCACTCACAAGCACTAGATTTCTTAAGCTATGCAAACCCTACTACGCAAATCATTCCTTTTTTTAATAAAAATAGGATGGTTTGCTTTATTTTTCTTTTTAATTTCTCTGCTTTTAGCTGTGAACAGTCTTCTTGCTGTATGTATTCTGGTTTGTATAAAAAGCATAAAATGTTACGCTTGTAAGTCAAGTTTATCACATAGCTTGTGCTTTAAAATATATGGAAAGATCAGTTTTCTACATGCAATTTTGTCTGTCTTTCACTGACTGTTTCTTTGGTTTTCTCTTTGGCTTCATGCTGTGTTTGCCTCACTCTGAAAAGGAGATTTCTCTCACTTTACCTACTTTCTGATCTTTCATCTAAACCACCCTGAGTGCATGAGCAGAATCCCAGATGAAGATGGAAAAGATGAAAAGACATTTAAAATACATCCCAGTTTATCCGTAAAAAAAAGGGACAGTATAACTTGGGGGAGAAGTTGATCCATTTTAAAGTAAAAGTATGTATAAGTAAAAACTGAAATTTTGTCAGAACTATAGTATTGATTATGTTAGGTTTTTTTCCATGTTTGTGGTTTAATTAATTGTGTTATTTTTAACTTGATGATGAGATGCAAACCACAATGTTGAATTAATATTGGCACATGTCCCAGCTGTATCATATTGTAAATGTATGTGGCCATCTACGAGAATTCCCTCTCAAATTAATATTATCTGGGGACAAAATGTTGAGAACCAGACCAATAGTTATAAACTCTTTCAACTTCTAAAGAATTAAAATGATTTTCCTGCTTATGGCTTTAATTTTGGAAAGGCAAAATTGTACGTTTTGCTCTAACACGTCTAATGTTGTTTTGCCAAATCAGACATCTTTCTTCATGGGATAAGATTATAATGTCATTGCAAAGTAGTTCTCTTGAAACCTTCTAAAACAGATTATGTTCTTTAAAAACTTGATTCTTGACTTTGCATGTTTTAGCACTGCATTCCATTAAACCTGTGTTTGAAGTTACTAGGATTTGCTAAAATATTTGATAATGCCTAAGCAGATAAGAGATTATATGCTTTATGTATATAGTGGGAGGATTTGTTCCAGCTTGGATACAGGGTATTAATTGGCCACCTACAGTGAGCAGTGTTTAATATTTTGCCCGTACCCCCCTTGCCTCACTTCTTTCTTACTGCTTTTCAGGCAGAAGATCATGTAAGTATTCACTGAACTAAATTTGCTAACTTTCTGGAACACATTTAAACAATGTGTGCTACTTGTGTCATATTACATTAACATCACTTCTAATGACAAGTTGTATATATCTGTAATAAATAGCCCCTCAGGGATCAGATCAAGATTAAGGGAGGGAAAGTACACTGTTGCAGTTAAGTAATTTACAATATCTCAGTAAATGCTTGCAAAGAAATGTTTGCATCAGTGGAGCTGGTTAACAGCACTTGTGGACACATGATTGCAGAATGTTAAACTTACCAGTGGAAAGTTATAATCATTTGGGTCCAATTTTTAAAAAGTAACCTTTCAACTCTATAGTGTTTGATACTATGTTGTCCACCATATCATATAATGTTTATGACAAAGCATCACCAGTTTTAAACAGACGAGCATGGGCACAGGGAAATGGTGGAGGTTAAGGAGGAGGGAGATGGGCAGGAATCCTTTCAGCAGTGGTCATGAAGTTGAGAATACCCTATTTAAACTGAAAGACCTTCCCTGACATGTTTATTTCAAATCAAAGCATTTTTAACTGATCAGTATAACATACAGAAGAAAATATACAAATAATTTTGGGTAGAACACAGCCAAGTTGAGCAATTGGGTCTGATTATCCAGGACACACAGGGGGCTGTATTCTCACATCATGAAAAACTGCCTGGAAGACTGGTCCTTTCACTAATGTGCTATTAAAATAGCCCACAATGAGCCTTGCCAGACACAGGCTTAGGGACTGCTCAGATTCACCTGCAGACATGGACATTTAGTATCGCAGGATTTAAAATTTTATCCTTTCCCCTTCCAAATTTGCCCAGTGCTATTCCAGATCTGAATTTAAACATTGAGTCACCACTGGATAATTCCTATTAGAATGACATTCAGTGAATTTTGTACTGTGGTTTGAACAGTTTTCATTTACTTCTATGGCAAGTAGGGTAGTGATGTCCTGGGACCCAGAAAGCTTACCTATGTGTAATCTTTCAGGAAAGTTGGGAGGGAAGCGATTGTTGTCAGTCTACTTGGGACATTAGTCAATTTCTATAAAGAATTGAACAGAGGAAGCAAATAAAGAGCCTAAACAGCTTCCTGCCTTTGCTGGTTTTCTTTATTGCAAGTTTGTGCCCTCGAATTGAGTTTGAAGTGAACTGATATCAAATGCATCCCTACACAAAAACTCAAAAATTGAATTAAATGCCTTTAAAATTATCCAAAAACTGATTATAGCAAGGTTGTATGTAACCACTGCCTCAGACACGATGGGAGGTATTCAAGTTTTTTATTAGCCTCATCTCACACATAGATACAGGGCTTTTCTGATTCATTTCAATACTTAAGTTGCCCAGGGTTACCTGGAAACATTGTGTGGGCTTTTGAGTGTCTCAAAGGTATCAACAAGCGAAAGTCAAACATGAGGCGTTCCCAGGAGGGCAATCGCTAGTCAAGGTGCTGGTTGCTGAGGCAGATAAGTCCTCACCAAATAATTAGTGGGTGGTGGATGGTTCTTGCTCCTGTCAAGGTGATGGGAGATGACTCAGCTTATGCAAAGTGGTCCCACGGCCTTCTCTGCTGAGAGGTTTTGAATTCCTAGCTTCTTGGACCTTTCAATCTTGCTGTCACTCTGCCTCCTGACAGGAAGCAAGGAATCAGAAAAAGAATTTGTGAAATCCATTCATATCTCTTCCCCAGTTTTCTCTGACTCAATAGAAAATTTCAGAGAAACAACAAAAACTTTAGCCTTGAGGGACTCTACCTAGCCTGATATTTGACCTGCCTCAGAGGCAGCGACAAGTCTTAATGGCTTTAGGCTTTGAGATATCAATGCTAAAAAAGAAAAAATCTGCAGCCTTTTTCCTTCCCTTTTCTTCCTTTCCTAACCATCCATAATGCAATGAACCGCAACCCACAATCTGCTAGAAAGAGTTGAGGGAAGAAGGGATGAAGAGATTGGATACAAACCTTTTATCCAGGAAGGATAAGAGTTATACTTTTTAAAAAACTATGTCTTGGCCAAGTGCAATGGCTCACATCTGTAATCCCAGTACTTTGGGAGGCCAAGGCCAGCAGATCATTTGAGCCCAGGAGTTCGAGACCAGCCTGGGCAACATGGTGAAACCTTGTTTCTATTAAAAATACAAAAATAAAATAATAATTAGCCAACTATGGTGGTGCACACCTGTAGTCCCAGCTACTGGGGGCGCTAAGGTGGGAGGATCGCTTGAGCCTGGGAGGTCAAGGCTGCAGTGAGCTATGATCACACCACTGCACTCCTGCTTAGTGACAGAGAGAGACCCTGTCTCAAAAAAAAAAAAAAAAAAAAAGACTTCACATCATTCTTCGAATTTTCCATAACCCCCTTAGCTTGTATAATTGACAGCTCTTTGGACAAACGAAAGCTTCTCTTTTTTTCCAAAGTCTGGTTTTAAAAAATTGAGATTGTTTCCATTAAGGTTTTTGTTGGTTCAAAAGATTTTGAAATCTCTAGTGCAGCTCGATGAATATCTTGTACCTGAAAGGCAATGATTGCTTCTAAAAAATGTACCCCAGATTTTTATCTTTTTAAGAGTGTAACTCTAATTGCCCTATTTTCTTTGTATTATTTTTATAAATATAAAATAAAACTATTTTTATTCTCCATTATTTTTGAACTTTATTTTTTAAAAGCAATGAAATAAAGTTTATGCAAAGTAGTAAAGATCAACCTATTTTTTAATACCTGTTTGGACTAGATTTTGGGAGATCCTTAATAACTTCAAGACAAATTATAAAATTATCATTTAAAACAGCACCTCCACTTAAAACAGACATGAAAGTATACTTACCTTTATATATCACTCTAATCTTCAAAATAAGTTTATACCAAGGGAAGGTTTATGAGTCACAATAGTTTATACAAAAGCAACTAAAAAATGATGAAGTGTGACAATTTTAAAGATGTTGAGGATAATTGTTCCAAAGAATATAAACATCAATTTTATTACCTTTTTTTCTAGTTTTTCCAATTAAGCTCCAACTGTTATTCTTCCCATTTTGTATTGTTTAAATGAGGTACAGAACTATAATGTAAATTGTAAAACTTATTTTTTTTATTTTTATTTTTTTTGAGATGGAGTTTCACTCTTGTTGCCCAGGCTGGAGTGCAGTGGCGTGATATCGGCTCACTGCAACCTCCACCTCCTGGGTTAAAGCAATTCTCCTGCCTCAGCCTCCCAAGTAGCTGGGATTACAGGCATGCGCTACTACACCCAGCTAATTTTGTATTTTCAGTAGAGACGGGGTTTCACCGTGTTGGTCAGGCTAGTCTCAAACTCCTGCTCTCAGGTAATCCACCCACCTCAGCCTCCCAAAGTGCTGGGATTACAGGCATGAGCCACTGTGCTGAGCATTTGTAAAGCTTTTTAAAATGCATCTGCTTTTGGCAATACAAACCTCAAAGCTCCAAACTCTATATTTCTAGTCATAATTTCTAGTTCTCACTTTGACTTTATATCAAATCACATTTTCCCAAGGGAATAGGTCATTTCCATAAAGAGAAACTATATTTAGCTAATTCTGTTTTTAAAAGTAAATTGAGTTCTGTGATTTTTCAGGATTGACTGATGTTTTAGCAGGCCAAATGAGGTTTGACAAATTTCTAATTTTGTAAAAATGGTCTCTAGTAATAGGTGAAGTATTCAATGCAATAAATAAAGTATTCAACACTATAAACAAATGACATCTTTTAAGTCTGAAAAAATGAATACTTCCTGCAAGAGCTGACCTAATTTACTTCCAGTTAATGATATGGGGAGAATAATAGTGATTGTCTGGACTCTCTTCATCTTCCTAAATCAGTAGGCAGTTCATAAGCTGGGCCTGATTGCAGAACAAGGCATTCCACTGGAGTCCAGCCTTATTTCTGACTCTAATGCTTTCTTTTGCCTTGAGTAAAACATTTAACTAACTGCTCTCCTTTCAGTTCTCCTGCTGTGAAAAGAAGATATGATAATAATCTTTTTCTTTCCTACAGTGGTGTTAGGAGCAATATTTAGCTAAAGCTTGAAAAGTATGTTGACAGTAATAAGATAACATTTCATAGCAGATTATTCATGCTCTTATGGCTGAACACCCACTGAAATGTCTCAATAGAATATACTGTAAGTAATTTTGGTATGTGAGCAAAGGATTCTGGTGATGAAATTATCCTTTTTGGGGGGGAGAGGGAGGGCAAAAATTTTAACTTCTTAGGAGCAAAAGAAAAGGGAAAAATAATTAACATGTTGATTTTGTAAATATGCTATAGTAGAGGTAGTTTTTTTTTTCCTTATTCAAGGCCTCAAGGTTGCTAGGTCTCTGTTTTTGAAGAGAACTTAAAGTGGGGTATGAGTATTGAATAAGAGACAAGGTATAATTTTTATGAGTTTTGAAGTGATATAGTAGGTTAGTGCAAAAGTAATTGTGGTTTTTGCCATTCCTTTTAATAGTTTTACTGAATAGTTTACAAATTGGTATATATTCAACTATAAGTACATATGATATTTTGATGTCATTGTATCACTTTAACTCTGGGGCTGCAATCTTCATTGAAACCGGATTTTTCCATATTCTCAGAGGTTTTCTTCCTTTTTTTCATGCCTACCCTGTAATGCCAATACAAACAGGGAGTCCCCTTGACCTCAAAGGGAGCTTTGTGCTTAGATTTCACTACTTTGGACAGGGAACAAGCTGAAAGAAGGGACATGAAGTTCTAAATTCCACCTGATTTAGTTGGCCCAGGGTCTTCAGATACTTCTCTAAAATGCTATATTTTTTCATAATTATTTCATTTCATCATCAAAGCAAAAAAAGATGGATTTCACCGTATATACCCAATGCACAATACTTCGTGCCAATATGAGAATATTTTCAGTTTCTATGGGATCATGCATGCACCAGATTTAATCAGCATGTACATTTCGGAAACCTGTTCAATCCTAGTTGTTTTCTTTTTCAAATTTTAATGAAAATAGCCTTAGAGTTGTATCAAGTGCAACCAAAATAAAACAAAATAAATTGCTAACCTACCACGAATTCAAGAATTATGTGGACACCATCTAAGTTACTTTAACGTAAGATATAAATCCAGAGATTTCTCATGCCATCATTTTGTAAATAATTACAGTTCTGCTGAATCTGTTGTATAAAGTTTACATGGGAGGTTCAGTGCACCCTTGCTCTTGTTTAGAACATTCGGAACCACCAGAGAGCTGTTGATATATGGCTGTACTGTTTCAGTGCCTAAGACATCTACTACATGGGAGCATAATAAACAGGGGCATAAAGACAGGTTTGTGCAAGCAGTTTGGAGTGACCTTTTTGGCAGCTGAAATCCATCTTGAGTACATGGTGCTGATGTGGACAGACATGTAAACTTAGTCTTGTTACCACAACTACTAGTTCTACAAATATACTCAGATGCCCAAAATGTACATCTCTCTTTGGAAAGTGATTTTAAATGGAGAGTTGTAGTTGAGGAATAGCAATCCAGATAACATCAAAAACCATTAGAAATCTCTGTGACTGAATTAACAAAAGTGTTGAAAGCATGGAGTTAGGTAGATTTAATCCAAAAGCCTATAAAATTAAGATTCTCTTCATAGCTTATTTAGATAAAACAGGATAGCTTGATGGGTTTTTTTTTAAAGCAATAGAAATGTATGAGTTGCTTGCTTCTCAAAGCTGAACTTAACACAAGAATGGCCAAGTCAATGTATTTATGACAGCAAGTTTAAATATAAGTGCATATATACTTATCTAATAATTTGAGAAATACAACAGGTACTTTTGTACTGAATTTGAACAACTGGACAATGCTTGAACTTTAATCCAATATTAAAATATTTATTCCCTAACCAATGAGGTCAGCTTGGTCTCTAGCTCCAACCCTGCTCTCCTAGTTTGTCTTATGTTTCCAGGGTAGCCCTAGAAACATCTAGGGGAAGCCCTCTGATTTAGCAAAATGACTTTGATCCAGCAAAAATGACTTTGCCTGTGTTTTTCTCTAGCAGTAGATACACCAATGACATCAATTTTTGTCTCTCAATGTGGTTGATTCTTCAGAGCAATTGGATTTCCTCCTTGTTGATTCAGTCAAGCCTCTTGCTGAATCCACTCCCTGTTTCTTCTGAAATGACTCACACCTTTTCAGGAAAAGTTTTTAGCTTATCTTCAGTTATTATTTGTTAAAAAAGAATTTTAAGATGGTTGAACAAGCATTATTATTTTGGCAATTAATAAGAGACCTGAAATCCATAGAAATTTTAGATGGAAAGCACTTTCACCAGGCACGTAAAAATGAAAATGATAATTTAGAAATAAGGAAGGGAGTTGTGTGTGAGGTTGGAATGGAGGGAGTGTTTGTTTCCTACTTCACTGGTTGCCATGAGATGAGATTCTTCCCTACATTTCCACTCTCTTGTCCCCAAGCCCCTACTCCCTGACCATCAGGAAAGTTGGAAAGACTAATCAGATTAATGAGTTGGGGGAAAAATTTGGACTTGCAGAAACGGATCCCCTTTCTCCCTTCTCTTTACCTAGGAGCCAATTTCTTGCAGAAAACATAGCTTCCAGTCTGCTTTTCCATGACTATGTTTATATGGCCACGTCTCCATGTGGGATGACCTCCATTATGGTAGCCTTTGATTGTTGAGTCATACCTGCACCTAATTCTGCAGTTCTGTATTTAAAAACTAGTCTTCAAGCTGGATCTTAGGTATAAAATTGACTTTGTTTCCCCTTTTTTTGTAACAGCTTTATTGAGATGTAATTTACATACTATAAAGTTCACTCTTTTAAAGCATACAATTCAATGGTTTTTAGTATATTCACAGAGTTGTGCCAATCAACTTTAGACTGTTCTTATCACTCCCCACAAAAACGCCATCCCTTTACCACCCCCAACCCTATCCTCCCATTGCTCCCTGCCCTAAGCAACAATTCTACTTTCTGTCTCTATAAATTTGCCCATTCTTACTATTTTCTGAAAAAAGTGACATTTTAATGTGTATCTGTCTTCATTCTTGTTGTTTTTCTTCTTTGGCAAACCTGCTGAGGAAAAGGTGTTCTATGAGAAAAGTGTATTTATTTCTGGGCCTACTCAAAATCAAATGAAAAACCTGAAACATTATTAAGGTAAATGTATTTGTTGGTAAAAATTTAAATACAATTTAAAATAAATTCTAATGCATATTATAATCTATTATTAAAATTATTTTACTGGTATTCACAACTCTTCCAATAAGTGGGGTATGGTCATGTTTTTGTGAGAAAACCATTATTAAGTATGTTGTAGAGAATGGATTGAAGTGATCAATCAGACAAGAGTCTTCCGTATAGTGGTCCAGTCAGCAAAAATCTGGATCTATGTGTCCCTCTGTCTACTGTTGTTAGTTATATTAATTGAACAAAGATTATTTTCAGAGCATGTGGAAAATGACTAGTCTTTTTCATGTTTAGACATAGATTTAAGTTCAGAGGAAATGGATGAGTTTAACTATTCAAAATAAGTGAACACTTAAAATAAGCTTGGCAATCTGATATTCTCTTTCCTAATTAGTTTTTATTTTATATCTGTTTCCAAGGCTATGTTTTCTGTTTACTAAGCAGCGCTTTAGAGCAAAACAGTTGAGAATTAAGCTAAAATGTTAGAGACATGAGAAAAGAGCCTGTGTATGTACACATGTGTATATATACATGTTTATGATATATATTACATATACAACATACATACATATTTATAGATAGATACATAGATACATAGACAGATGATAGATAGATAGATAGATAGATAGATAGATAGATAGATAGATAGATTGATAGATAGATAGATAGATAGAAAACAAGTCTCTGATTAGGAAACTTCAATCTTTAAAGCCCCAAATGGTGTTAACAGCATCAGAAATAACTTATTAAAAGCCTTGTAGTTATATAGTGTGCTGTTAAATAAGAAAGAAGCAAAATGGCATAAACTCAGGTTCTGACTTTTATGTAGCTTATCTCCTTAAGCAAGGCCAGAAACTTTTAAAGGAAACGATCACTCTAAAACATACCAATAGGCGAAAAGTCTGGGGATACAGAGTCCTTTAGGAATTACCACAGGTCCATAGCAATTGGTATGCAAATTAAGGGTAACTAAAATAATATAGGAGTTTGCTTTTCTCTCATGTCAAACAAGTCAGTGGGAGGAGGTGAGGGGGAGAAGGAGGGTAGGAAGTTCAGGGATGCTTCAGAGGCTCCCCTGTATCATTGGCACTCCATGTTCCTCTTCTTTAGTACCCATCCTCAAGGTCATCTCCAATTTGTAAGGTGGTCTCTATAGCTACTGTCATCACATCCACATTCTAGACAAGAACTACAGAGGAGCAAAAGAGCTGCTAGAACTATTAAAGAACTTTCCTGGAAGCTCTGCACATCAACTTCCTCTTATATGTCCTTGTCTTCCCCTACATATGAAGGAGGCTAGACAACATCAATATTCAGTTATATTGCTTTAATAGGAGTAGAATAGATATTAGAGACCCAATATCTAATATAGCAGTTTCTGCTATAGAAACTGAGGAAGATTTACTCAAGTAATGCTAAGACATTTCATGATAAATGATAATAATAACAATTATGACAACAAATACTCCTATTGCCTGTAGTATGTGCTTAGCTCTAAAAGCTTTATATATATTTGGACATTTGTGGAAGAGTTCCTTAAATGTCTGACTAAGCTTTTCCATGATACATGAAAATGAGACAATGGCACATGTTTTCTAATGGCATCCTCTTTGTTCCTACTTGGTAGTATTATGATCAGAAACTGTCACACAACTTCTAAACTCACAATGAAGACTTGACCTTAGTAATGCAGGATGAACAAATCTTGATGGGCACAGAAGTACAGAAAATGCCAGAACTAACTTTATATGGTCAAGAAGCATTTCAGAACATGGGCCTTAGCAACTTTTTAAAAAGCTTGGCTTCTCAACTAGTATTCATGAAAATCTCCTTTTTAATGAAGGTTTGCTCAGTTGTGTCACCATTGACATCATCACAGCCAATTCATTTCTCATTACCAATGGACTAAAACAGAGAATTGTGTAATAGGTCATTTTTTATTAAGACCATATTCCACAGCCATGTTCAAAAACTCAACAAAGAAAGTTAGACTCGGTCAATGTAAGATTTTCATTGGCAACATGGCTAAAAATCATCACTGAATTTTTTTCCTTTGATTTTCCTTGGCAGCACTGTATCTAACAGTGTGCTGATTGACCATGACACATAAAATTACATCCATGTCTTCTTTCAGCAGGCTGGTGGATAGAATGAAACACCATTCTATCAAGCATCACTCTCAAAAACAAAGCAGTATTCATGCCAATCTTTAGCATGCGAACCTGCTAAATGAATTGATTCAGGGTCTTTACTAATTCTTCAAAATCACTTTTGCCATTAGTTAACATTAACTAGTAGGAGTGAATTTTAAAAGTCTATAATGCAGCCAATCTAAAAGCGTTAAAACGGAGATGGTTCCCTGGGTGAGACATATGTGGAGAAGGGATGACAGCAGAAACCACAGTGGATGTTGTCTGTACAGTAAACCACACTGAGACAGCTTAGTAGGGGAAGAAACCAAAATATTCTGCAAGAGAATTTCAAATTAGGCAGTAAATAAACCAATAATAGGTAACACAGCAATCAGAAAAATTATTACTGCAGAATCCATGAACCCTGAAAAATTGAATGAAAGAGCTATTAGCTATAATAGCTTTTGCTGATGGTGGTTACAGTTTCAAAACACAAGTTAGCTTTCAGGGGGCCTCTCTTAAAGTAGCAGTATTTTAAAGTCATATTTTGAGTAGATGTCAGTTGTTCTGTCATCAAAATAGAGGACATTTTGAGATAATATAGAGAATGCAAGTGTTATATTCATGTATATTATATTAAAATAGAGGATGTATACATTGTATATATATACACATGATATATATGTGTGTATATATTATATGTTAATATATCACATAATATATTATAATATGTAAATTACATATATATAATTTGTTCATAAATCAAGATACCAAACTCTTCAGCCTGATGTTCCAGACTTGATATGCTCTTGAATAAGCCTACCTATTTAGACTTCTATTTTGTGCAGTATAATTTTATTTTTATGCTATTCTTTTATGCACTATTCCCAGAATAAATTCTTGATCCAGTCAGACTAGTCTCCTTCCTGTTATCAATAGACCACACACACAGCCTGGTCAAAACTTTTCCAACATTATGTCCCTGGCTAGAATGACCTTTTTTCTTTTCATTTGTTCAAACCCCTCTCTAACCATCCTGAAGACTAACTCTATGAAATAATTTCTTTATTTTAATCATGAAATCTACTGTCATCACCATGCATTGGACACTAAATCAAACTGTACTGCATTTTTATTTAGCGTCAAGTCTACCTTTTCTTTTTTTCTCCAAATGAACTGTAACCTTCATACGGACAGGGACCATGTCTTAAACTTCTTTTGTGCCTTACAGAACACCTAAGGAACAGCTATGCACATTCTATCAAGCATCACTCTCAAAACCAAAGCTTTTTTCCAAAGTGGTATTTTTGCCAATATTTTTTTTTCTGCTCTAACACTTGGACCTACTACAAGAGTTGATTCAGGCTCCTTAGTAATTCATCAAAATCACTTGTGCCATTAGTGAACATTAACTAGCAGGAGCGAATTTTGATGCGTTTCATGGTGTTTTTCAAGGCATTTGACTTTATTACTACAACTTAGCTCATAGTAACTCTATGAGAATGGCATAACAGATGCTATGATTTGCATTTTAAAGATGGGAATGTAAAACCCAGCAATATTAAATGCCTTGTGAAATAATATATAACTAGTTATAGGCAAGGCTGGGAGAAGGGCCCATATTTTCCATTCTCAACATTACTGAAGATATTTGATATTAAAAATATAAAAATCAGCAATATACATCTGTATTTTTGTACTCAGATTTTGCTCTGAATCTGCAAAGAAAACAGAATCAGAGCTAGTATTTTTACAAGAATTTCTGTGCAAAATAATTGAGCCTCAATTATTCACTGATCAGTTTCCTACAATTTTTGGGTTCTCCCCCCAGGTTTACAAATGAAACTCAGTTGGTGAGCTTTCAAAGCAAAGCTTCTTACATAGTTTAGCTATCTGGTGGCATTTAATAGCATTAAAACTGCCACTGATGATGATTTCTTTTTCAATTCATTTCCACAATACAAACAATGTTATTAAAAGTAAACTGTTAGAGATATGCTTACAAGTTGAGTCTCTCAAATCTTGCCCCACTTCCTTTAATACATAGGCATGACAAGTCAGTGGGCAGAGGAGAGAGGTAGCTGGCTCCCTCAGAATCAGCTTGCTGGCTCCTTAATGGTGCTTTGCATCATTACCTAGCATATCTTTGAAGCCTTCTCTGTTTGCACTGTCAAAGGCTCATTTTAACCTTCATTTAATTGACTAAATCAAAAGCAAAGGCCCAGCAGTGAGACTTACTATACGCATATGCCCACCTACTCTCACAGGATCTATTCCCTTTCACCTCTTATGACACAAGCAAAGAGCTCTATTCAAGGAACCCATATGGTTTATTGTCCACATCCTGTGGAAGTCTTAATGCTCAAAGCTATAGCAAGAAAACTAGAATGCACTTAGGACTGCCAGCTTAGATAAGAGACACCCAGTTAAATTTAAACTTCAGATAAATAGTAAATTTTCTTAACATAAGCATGTCCTTTGCACTATATGGGACACACAAAGAAATTATTCATCATTTATCTGAAATTCTAACTTAGCTGGTTGTTCTGTATTTTTGTTTGCTCAATCTGGCAGTTCTAGGTACACCATCCAAGATCTATCATGCCATTTTTTTCCCAATGGCCCCAGATCAGGCAGCCTTTTGTACAGTAGGTCCCCTTGCTGTGGCCTTGCCCTCTCCCCGGGTGCTGCCCTATCAAGGAGGAGAACACATCAATCAGAGTGGCACTGGAAGGTTCTTTGCCTTCATCACTGCTCTACATTGACAGAATAGAAAGACAGTCCATGTTTCTAGGTAGTACCACAAACATATAATTTTGTATGCAATATTTTAATTGTTATTGAAAATCTATTTGACTCTAGAGCACCGCTTATGACAATCATTGGTTTTGAAAGTATGTATTACTTAACTCATAAATAAATGGTTTGTTTTCTTAATTTAAAAGATATTTTTACCAATCTCTTCTAAGAAATATAGCGAAGAAAAATCTCACAGGAAAATAAGAAACTTGGTATTTAGCAACATAACCTGTGGGGTTTTTTTAAATTAAGCTTGAATTCAAAGGAAATTACTGAAAGTGCCATTGAAGAAGTCAACACCTTACAGCAGTGATTTATAGAGTTAGCTTTCAATTTCATATGGGGATATTAAATCTGTGTGTTGATGAGAAGGATCGAAGTACCTCTCATTATGCTTACAATTTATAACCAAGATATATTACAGAGATTTGTCCAGTATCACATGCAGATATTGTAGAGCTTGGGATTTGACAGTCACATCTCAGAAAGGTTTGCTTTCTATCTTTTATTTTAAAAACAACAACAAATACCCCACATCTTCCATAGGCACAGAATATTTCTAAAATAGATTTAGAGATTATTTAAAAATCGAGATACATCTTATTTACCAAATCTACTTGAACTCCTCTGACAACTAAAGAAAACAAACTCCTAATTAAATGAAATTCCTTCATTCAACAGATGTTTACTGAGTATTCACTATGTGCAAGGCATTTTTAGGCACGGAGGATAGAGTTGTGGACAAAACAGATCAAAATTTCTCTTTCATAAAACTTACCACTACTGAGAGACAGATGCTAAGTTAAATATGAAATTTGATAAATAGTATTAAGTGCTAAACAGAAAAATAAATGAGAATGCTTTGGAAATACAGATTTCTGACTAGTTTAATTATGTGATTGACCATTTGTTAATCAGAAAATGCCACTTTAAGACCTTGTTGTTGAAAAGCTTCTAAATTATATGCACTGTGCTTTCAACAAATGTTTAGCACTATCTCAGTAATGCTATGCTGACTAGCAGTGAGTCTGGCCCCACTCCAGTGAGCTGGAAATCTTAAGACCTGACACCCAATGATGATAAGTCACCTCCTAGCTTTACCACCCACTTCTTCTTGGGTATGTTATTTACTGATTTTTTCATCATTCTCTCTTTTTTTTTTTTTTTTTTTTTGAGACAGTCTCACTCTGTCCCCCAGGCTGGAATACAGTGGTGCAATCTCAGCTCACTGCAACCTCTGCTTCCCAGGGCTCCAGTGATCCTCCCACCTCAGCCCCCATCTGAGTAGCTGGGACCACAGGCAGCATCACCATGCCTGGCTAATTTTTGTATTTTCTGTAGGGACAGGATTTCACCATGTTGCCCACGCTGGTCTCAAACTCTTGGGCTCAAGTGATTCACATGCTTTGGCCTCCCAAAGTACTGATATTACAGATATAAGCCACCATGCCCAGCCATTCTCCATTGTTAAGTAAAGACATTAGACCCTAAGATTTTATGCCACTTTCCAACCTCAACTGTACCAATAACTTGAGTGTTTTCCATCATCATTTGAAAAAATAAATCATCTAACACAGCAGCCCTGCAGTTCTTTGACACTCGCAGCTCTGAAGACCACCACTCAACGTGAGCAATCCTCTCCTCTTGGCACATCTTGACTGATGCCATTGTGAAAAGCTTCCCCAACTCTGAAATCTAAATCTCTGGCATATGCATCTGCCCAGACTCATGCCCCGATTTCCTGCTTTATATCCTTCCAGTGCCTTTCAGGATGATCAACTTATCTACTCATTCTCTCAGCAAATGTTCACTGAGCATCTACTGTGAGCAGAGTATGTGAAAGACACAAGATGTAGCAGTCAAAATGAGAAACATGCTCAAAGAACCTGGAATATCTCAGGGAGAAAGGTAGTGGGCGAGTAATTACAAGTGTGATGAATATTAGAAAATGGAGTGTAGGTGCAGGGGGAGCTTACCACGCCAGGGGCCTAAGAATCTTTCTCTGAGAAGCTTGTCTCTGAGATAGTTTCCAAATTTATGTAGAAGCTAAATAATGAGGAGCCAGCCAAGCAGAATGTGAAGAAGGGTATTCTCACAGAAGGACAAGCATATTCAAAAGCTCTGAGGCATGAGATATTTGCACTTCCAAGGAGAGCAGATGAACTGAAAATACCCAAATGAGTCTGGGGCACAGGAGCTGTGCTGAAGAAAGAAGACTGATAGAGCTGAAGCAGGTTAAATCACGTGGGCTATAGGGCCACCAGTGTTTAAGGATGTTGAACTTTATCCTACCAGCAATAAAGAGTGTTTGGCTGGTCTAAACCTCCCAGTCAATCACATAAATTGCTCTTGTACCAATATCTATGACATCTTTGAACCACAAATCTGGATCGAATTCAAATCTTCCTTTTCTACTCTTTTTTTCCTTTGTACTTCAGTGCTATTGAGGGAAATCACACAGCCACGATGATTGCCATCATTTCAATCTCTTGCCTTCCCAACTCTTTCAGAGTTTTTATGCCACTTATACGTCTCTCTGCTCCTTTTTGGTCAGCTCCCTAATTCCTCTCAGTTAATATTCCAAACCTTTGTAATCATCTATTCCCTCCCCCACAATCCACAGATGGCTTTGTTTCCAACACAAGCAAGGCCATTGAGTAGAATCTACTCAATGACACACCTTCCCCTACCTAGACACACATCTATAGCCTCACTTCCACAACTACCTCCTTTCCTCTATTCATGGGTTTAGGGTCATTTTCCCTATTTACCACCTATTTCTCCCCTGTTACTTGTGAACATTTTCTCACATCTCATTCCTTCATTTATCCCTTCATTTTTCTGGATCTGTAGCCTGCCTAACAGCCTCTATTTTTTTTCTGTATTGTGTATATAAATGCTTTGTATCTTGCATCACATTGTCATGGGATATGTTTGTGTGTGTCTTGCCTTATGGATCATATCCTCCTCAGAGGTAGGGTTCATGTGATTCATCTTCTGCACCATCAATGCACATCACCTACTTCTCAGAGTAGGGCTTCCCCTCCTCTCCAGTCATTCTGAAACAGAACACAAGGCGACAGTTTCTTCCATATTCTATACATGTTTTTGAGGTTTTATAGAAAGAAATAAGAAACAAACAAAAAAGATTCCCAGGGTTCAGGAAGGAGGAAATGTTTAGATAGTAATGATCATCTTAGAGCGCTCACCAGGCATGCTATGCAGGGGGTTTCCTGGAGTTTGGTTACAGGCTGTAGGGCTGGGATGAGGAGCAACTGAGGAAGAATGTGGAAGTCATGAGAAGATGAGAAGTCTGCTGAGATGCTGCCTACCGGACTTGGCTGTTTGCTTCCCAACCTTGAGTGTCCAGGCCCAAAATAGAAGCCAGAGAGAATCAGAAATGTGGTTAGGAGATGTGAAGATACTAAGAAGCCATGGCTCTATAGTGCTGAGAAGGAAACAGAAAAGAGGAAAGAAAAGCACACTAATCATTCACATGGAAGCGGCTCATAATTAAGGGACACATGATAATTTTCTAAGTTCAGTGAACCAGCTGAAATATCGTGTATTTATGTTCTGAACCTGCAGTAAAGCAAAAATTTTGTTTCACTTACAGGAATGCTCCAGTTTGGATAGCTTCCTATCTACTGTGTTATCACAGCCTTTACTGGGACTGCTGCATACCATCATATAAGCCAACAACAGCCCTGGAATTTAGCATACCATGTAGATAATATTTCTTTATGTGCTAGCTTCCTCACAAGACAATAAGCCTCACAAAAGCAAGGAACATGTCCTCAGTCTTTGTCATCCTTCTGCCTCTAATACATAGTAATAGCTAATATATATTGAGGTACCATTATTACTCATTTATAGATAAGACAACTGAGTCACTAAAAGGTTAAGAATCTCATCCAAGGTTACACAGCTGGTAGGTGTTGAACTGGGATTCAAAACTTCAAAGGTCGCTGCTTTTTTGTTTTGTTTTGTTTTGTTTTAAATATTATGCCTGCTACCTCTGACAGTACCAGGCACCTAGTAGGTTCTCAATATAAGGAGAAATTATGTGTGGACCAAAAACAGTTACCTGATAAATGCTTTGGGGAGTGATGGGATGAGGGATAGTAATTCAAGTTAAGAAAGTATGGCTGGCAAGGCGCGGTGGCTCACACATGTAATCCCAGCACTTTGGGAGGCCAAGAGGGGTGGATCACTTGAGGTCAGGAGTTCTAGACCACCCTAGACAATGTGGCGAAACCCCGTCTCTACTAAAAATACAAAAATTAGCCAGGCGTGGTGGTCTGTGCCTGTAATCCCAGCTACTCCAGAGGCTGAGGCAGGAGAATCACTTGAACCCTGAACCTGGGAGGCAGAGGTCGCAATGAGTCAAGATCGCGCCACTGAACTCCAGCCTGGGCAACAGAGTGAGACTCCATCTCAAAAAAAAGAATGTATAATGCTCATTAATTTTAGGCTTTAGTCTAGGAAAGAATGATTTTATGGTGAACCTAGAGTCTTCATGTCGTCTATAACTAATATTAGAGTAGCTGCTTATCTCAAGACAGAGTTCAACCCTGCTGAGAGAGGACAGATAAACTTCAGCGAGATGGCAAAGGAAAAATGGAAGGAGACACCTGGGCAGAGAGCACTGAAGAGAATGGAATCTAATTGGAGAACAGAGAGAGAGTAATGCTCCCCTCATCCTATCTTGGGAAATGTAGTCAGGTTGAGCTGGAGTAAGTTGTTTTTAAAACAGTATTGTTTACAAAGTAAAGTAATCCCTTTCAATCCTACTATCTTAATCTTCGTAACTCAAAGTTCCAACATCTGACTTCTTTTTTTTTACCTTATTTCCTATAAGAGTAAAAATTCCCAATCTGTGTGCATCCAAATGGTATAGTTTATACTCATGTCCCTTAGTATGTGCACACACACTTTCAACAACACTAAAGAAAATCAATTCTGGCAGAGGCTGACCAAAGGAAAGTTGCAAATCACACAGCCTAAGAGCTAACCTCACAAGCTACTGATGCTTATTCATAAAGAAAGGCATTTATTTCTTAAATCTCATCTGTTTTTAGTAGCATTTCTATTTCTTCTGGACTATTTTCTTTGGAATTGTTTACTTTCTTCTGCAACACAGACCCCATAAATGCAGGCACAGGCCATTTTATCTATGTTGTGTCCATAGGGGACATGTCCCTATTTCCAGAAGTGGGGTGGATCACAGATAAGCAGCTAGACACGATGCAGCAGTTGGTCTAATTCTTCCAAGCACTCTGACTCAGGAAGGATGGTTCAAAGCATCTACTTAAGAATGCTTTATGCTCTCAATGATGTGGAAAATATATTCATGAATAAAACAGAAATGAAAGTCATCACAAGGATGAGTGAAACCTCGTGGTTGAGGGGTTTTGTTTACAATGCTTTTGGTTTACCTTGGAAGCAGCTTTTTATTACACAGTTAAAGTTGTGTAATCTAGCAAATGGAAATTTTAATTAGCAAATTCATAATGGGCTGTAGGTTATCAACAGGTGGATTCACTTGTCTTCTCGTGAGATTTTTAAGACATAGGCTGTTGACAGTTAAAATTGCTTCAATACAAGATGGCTTTGATTGAGGGTGACCTTACAACTCACCATATTAAGTCACAAATGTAACTGATATAAGTGAACCGGCCCTCCTCCCTGGTGGGCAAGAGTCTCAAAATCACCATGTAATATGCCCCAGTGTAGACCGAGGGGCTGTCCTTTCTTGAGCAGCAAGGGGGTCACTGCAGATGAGGGCTTTAAAGATTTTAGGCAGAGCTTTGTGTGGACACTGGTAAAGAAATTGCCTACATTGTTCTGAAGTTAAACAAAGGGTAAATATAGTGTGTTAATTTGAGTGCTTCCTAAATAACCAGTTTACAAGATCACATACTGAAGTTTATCAAATACACACTAGGGAGACTGTTCATGGACACAAAAGGGATCACCACTCAGCTTCAAATTCCTTCAAGATCCTAACAGCTACCTGTCCCAGAGTCCTGAGGAAATCACTGGAACCCACCTCAAATATACTTTCTTTCTGGCTAGACTTTACTTGGAGGTAGGGTAATAGTTATGGGGTTGTGAGGGGGTGTCACAATTTTAGTTGCCTGTTAGACTTCTACAGTTATTTAAAATTACAGCACATCTACAGACTTATCTAAAATAAAGCACAGTTTTTAAAAATGCATGTAAAAAAAAATTCTTCTTTCTCACCACTCTGCCCCCTTCTGCTCCTCTCCCCCGCACTACACTCCCCGAAGAGACTATTTAACATAATGAGCTGCAGTGTGTGGATGTGATAGCAGTTGCCTGCTAATAGTTATGTTTAAAATTCCTATTTCTTATCTTATTTACTGATTGATGGGAACTTGTGACTTGCAGATCTTCCTCCAGGACCCCATCCCTTTCCTGGGCGGAGTGAATCATTTGACACAGGGAACATTAGACAACACGTTTGCTTCCTCGTTAAATCCCGTTTGGCTACGTAAGCTAGCCGGATGCAGGGCCCCCCAGTTGCATCTGCATTGTGTCTTATCGGAACCACCTGAAGAGCCTGGCCACACAGGGTGGCCTTCCTTAATTTAAAATCCACAGAGAAGATTTTTTTTTTCTTTTTTTGGTCAGCAAACTCCAGCATATGACAAAAGGCATGCATGTGACTTTATTTTTTCAATGGCTACTTTTCTTCTTAAATCAGGCTCCCTGATTTTAACTAAAAAATAAATAAGTAAACAAGAAAACACTGGGTTACTCTCAAAGAGATCACATTTTTAAAAACTCAAATGATTTCCTACAGGCAGTCTGTTTTGCAGTGTATTTTTTTTTCTTGTTTTTCTTTTTCTGCTTTTTTCCCCCTGTAGATTCTGAAAAGAAATAACCGGCTGTAGGCATCGCCTGTGGCTTGCTGGTCGCACTCCTTGGGTGGTCTGAGCCGACTTTATGATTTATTCAGCTAATGGGAAGGGAGCATGACCCCCAGTGGCCACAGAAAGAGAGCTGCATGTGGGTTTAATGCTTTCACCACAAAAATGTCTGCTATGACTAAGCTCTGCGGCTGAAGTCACTGTCTGAATGGTGCTAAAAAGGAACTTAGGCTTAAGTGTGCACTATTTACTATAGATCGGCTCTTGGGATTAGGCCAAGGGGTTCGTACTCAGTTTCAAAGAATAGCATGGAAGCTGCTAGGAAAATTAGAGCTGTGCAATTTATTTTTACCAGTCTCCCTGGTGAGTTACTCAGTGAAGGATTTACCTCATATGCTTTTTTTCTCCCCTGTTACTAAAGAGTCATTTAAAACGTGTCAGTTTGTGCATTTTACAGAGTTTTATTGTGAAGGTATCCCTATTTTTTTGTTTATCACAGCCATGAATCACTGTTATTGTACTTTAATGTTAATTTGAAACTATAAAAGAATGCCTAATGTTGAAAGAAAGAAAAAGCAAGAGAGAGGGAAAGGGAATGAGAGGGGCTGTGGAGTAATGTTCCTTCACCACACACTGCCCTGTGAGAGAGGCCTCTTTGATCCAGGGAGTAGTCCCCCTCCCTGGCAGCATCGTTACTGGTACAGAGGAATGAACACATTTTGCTTCATGTTGATTCTTTTACCGTGAGGGAAAGGGATGGATGGAGTGGGGAGGAGGGAGACAAGGAGACCTGTTTGTAATTTTGACTAAGATGGATGATTTTTACAGTCAGTGTAATACCTGCTGTTGAAGTTCCAGCATGTTTGCTTCTGGTGGACTTTACAAATGTCCAGAATTAAGAAGTGAATCCCTTTGATGTCTGTAGCTCAGGTTCCTGGGTCTAGAATGCTGCCAGCCTTTTCAGAATATGCCTCCATAGTATAAAGTCACTGGCTTGAAAACATTGCACCTATGAAAGCCCAGCATTCCTTTGGTGCTTGATGTTTGCAGCTTAAACTAATTGCAACTTAGAGTTTAGCTCAGCAGTAGCCAGAGTTCATTGCTAGAGTAATATAGAATGCTTCCCCATTCCCCCAGATGTACTAAGGGACTTTATTTTCGGTTATTGCTCCAAACTTTTCCTTGTAAAAACATTGTTCTTATATCCTGACAAATAAATGCCATTTCTTATAATAAGGGTTAACCACTGAGAGAGACTTCAGGGCTGAGCTGGATTCCCCCATTCCCCTTGTAAGTCTTAGTCTTAGTTTTATTATAGGTAAGTCAGGGCTTTGTGATCCTAAACAATCATTCAGCAGGGCAGGGCTTCATTTTCCCCATCTGTGAAATGGAAATAGCAATCCAGGGCTGCATCAGACTAAATGGCTGTTGAGCCGTTAGAGATTTACAAGGTTATCTTCTAAAGAGAGTACTTGATCTTTTATTTTCTCAGGGCTAAAAAGATAGGGAGGGTCAGAAAAACCATGTTCCTAAGTCATGCTGTTCTCCCTGCAGGTAGATTGAAAATTAAAAAATAAAAGAAAATTTTCCCATTGTTTCCCACTTTACCTTCTTTCCTATCTCCTTTCTAGCATTTTACAGATTCGAAGGTGAGAACTTCTTTTCAAAAATGGTGATATCATATCAATAGGACATCGAGAGTAGAGAAATAGCTCAATTAACACCAAGCAAAACCTAAATTCCATGTGACCTCCTGGATTAGATCTTAGGATGGAAAGAGGACATTAGTGGAAAAACTACTGAAATTTTAATACAGTGTGTCATTTAGTTAATAGTATTGTATCAATGTTAATTTCTTAGTTTAGATCAATGTACCGTGGTTATATATGATGTTAATATTAGGAGAAGCAGAGTGAAAGGCCTACAGGAACTCTCTGTACTATCTAGCAACACTCCTATGAGCCTAATATTATCTCAAAATTAAAAGGATAAAAAAAAAACCCTAACAGACAATTGTTGTCCAAAAATCGATCTATTTGAGATCCTGATGAATAACTTCTGTCTCTTCCCCACACCCAGATACTTCCATACTCCAGTCCATTTTCCAAAGCTGTATAGAAAGTTCATTTGGGTAATACCCACAGCTTAAACGGCTATGAAAGCATCCAACTCTGAATATCTTATTCTCCCAGACCAGCTGCTTGTTGCCTGCACCATGATAGACACTGTACTGAGCAATTTAGACTCAATATGTTCTCTGTGGAAATTGCCCTATATGAGAGAAAAATAAATAATGCTATAGATAAAAGCAGGAGAATAAAAACGGCAATGATATTAAATGTTACATTGTTTTTGCAATACACGATGCAGGTATTTTTTACTGCATTCATCAGTGAGTTCTGGTGAGGCCATTTTGCCAGGTGCCATACCTCCAGGACTTAACACAAAACCAGGCATGTTAGTATTTAATAAATATTTTTGGAATGAATGACACTCAGCACACATTTCACATGAGCAGTTCACAGCTGTAACATAAAAGACACACATTTTCTGACAAAGGTTCAGTTTGCACTGACTATTGTATTGTTTTTCTTTCCATTTGTCCTTCTAGCCCAAAGTAAAAAGGCAGGATGAATAATGATGAAGGGAAGATACCACCTGAAATAGAATTGCCTTTCAGGGCTTTTTAAGCAAGGGTTGTTTTTGGCATTGTATATTCATCCTCGGGTAAAGCATTAGTGAGAGAGAGAAATGTGAGAAGAATTGTAAGGGAATGAGGATAATGAGGACCAAAGGAATCTTTCTTCTGGTGTGGGTTTCCCATCCTAATTGGATACCACTCTAACCACCAAGTGAAGCACGCTGGGCAGATGGATCTGCACCAATGCTGTGCCCGTCTACATCTGTGTATTTCTGGCACACAGGTGTTTCAGCTTTATTCAGCCAGGAAGCAGCTTTTTCCCTTTCTTTTTCAGGGCAGGGAGTTTTGGGGAGATAGGAACACCCACGATTGTTTCTCAGAATAAGAAGGAGGTAGGGGTAGGGGGAGGGAACACAGCCCACCCACTGCTTATAGATTCGGTCGCTTTCCCACCGGTCAGCCTTATTCTGCAAGGTGTAAATCAGAGGGCAGATGCATGCTCTGGGAAGTTTTCCAGATGCACACTGCACAAAGGCCCATGTGTTCTCATTGTGCGGAAATAGCATGCCATCAGAGCAGTTCTGGGACACCAGACCTGTGTTGGGACATGTCATCCTGTCTGCATGTCTTCCACTTAGCAGAGAATGATGTTGCAGACGGAGTGTTAGAGCTCAAAGCCAAGGGAGTTGACAGTTTGAAAAGCCACTCTGTCCCCTGGTGGAATTTGCAAACAGGTTTGATGGGCTGCTCTATGAAGACCAATGCCAAACAGTGCCTGCCAGCTGTGCTTGTGAGGGGTGGACCCACCAAAGTCCAAGGGAAGCAGCTCCAAACGGGAGTCCTGCTCCTCTAACATTAACTGGCAGCAGCATCAAGCAGACAGAAAAGACAGAAAATGTGCAAAGTGGCACTTCTTGCTCTTTCTATCTGCAATCCACCCTGACTCAGTCAGACCTAGGCAGTGAAGCTGCTTGTGCATATTTACCTTTTACTCCCTTGTCTCATTTTCTGAAGTGGATTTTCTAGGCAGAATAAATCTGAGGGTATATTGTTTCCTTGAAAATAAAGAATATACTAGGAGGTGACATTAATTTCCAGATCATTTGGGTGACATTTGGTTACTTCCTGTGCCAGGAATGAATATTGCATCCAGAAACATTTTCAGGGAGGGCTTATTCATAGAGAGCATTCATTTCCAGTTGTGTTAACTTATCTCTTATTGGAATCCTTTCTTTTTTCTTGTAGCATAATTCTTTCCTCTGTTGGTTTGGAGTAGCAACTATGTATTGTCACTGTTCCTCTTGTTTGCATCAGACTTTCTATGGTCTGACTCTGTTTTCTTTTAGCAATTGCTCTTCCAGAGTTTGTTTAAATTTTTACTCTTAGTTATTTTCACTACATGGGTAAACATGTTTTCAGTGACAGCTGGGAAGGTGAAAATTTACATTTCTGCTTAACTGCCTTAATTATTCTTAGGCTAGTGTCATGGTACAAGTATTTCTTTCCTTAGTAATGGAAGCCACCTTAATTCCTTTTAGGAAGCTAGCATATAAAAAACAATCAATTAGTGAAGCAGGAATACAGGCTACAGACAAACAGCGCAGGAAATAGAACAGGGATTCTACAAAGGATATTGCCCTCAGCCCCATGTCTCCAGAAGTAGCCAATATAAGATTGTGAATTATGAAAATTCCATTCTCCAGAACCCAGTTGAGGTCATAATTCAACTGGAAATTATCTTGGTTTTTCTGGCTTATTTTTCCCACCCTATTTGCAATCCTGTTTTCTAGTCTCACTTAAAACCACTAAATAAATTCCAGACATATAACTGTACTAAGAAAAATAAATTTCTTATCCACCTGTTAATTGCCCTCAAATGCTAGGGAGGTTAAGACCTGAATATGCCCCTCCCCACCTTGCTTTCCAAGGCTAGCAATAAAGGGTAGAGGAGGAATGTTAAAATGGGACTGTTTTTTATATATTAAGAAATGTTAACTCAATACCTTTTACAGTTTTTATTCTTTTCTACAAAAGAAAAAATATTTTTCTAAACAAAAAAAATGCTACCACCAGGTACCAAAATTAGAAGCCTGCGTTAAAGTTACAGCATTAATAATTGTGGGTTTTTATTCTTTGTCAAAGATTAAGATGACATGACACAGTAGATACTTTATTCAAAGCCACAATTCAAATGAAAGGTATTAAAAGTTGGGCAAGCATGATGACGCCAAAGAGGAAACAGTTTTTTGGTGGGATGATCTTGATGGTAGTCAAAAAAAACAATGAGAAACTATGACGAAAAATTTTTAAAAGCGTGTTTATTATTTGTGATTAATAGAAAAGTTCAGCCACATTATAGTCTATAATTCATCAAGGGGATAAATAAACTGTTGCATTTACTTAATAGACACCAATATCCTTTGGTTTTGTAGTATGCAGAACACTTTTTCACATATTGTTGCTTTCGGGTCCAGCTACATATTTATCAACATCTGTATCATCTCTTCCAACATGAAGAACAGTGAACTGCGCTTTTTGATATCTGTGAATGCAAATTTGCAATATCAGCAACTTGAAAGTGATTCGCAAGGTTCATGGCATGTAGTAATCCCTAATTTTGCTAAAGGTTATATTTAAGGAAGGCTTTGGAGTTGAAATTGAAGTCATGTCTTGGCTTTGTTACCAGTGAAGAGTGAACTTGAACTAATTAGTCAACCTTTTAAGCCTGTTTTCTCATCTGTAAAATGAGTTAATAATAACACCTAACTCATAAAGTTATTATGAGGATTAAGTTAATAAAACGCAAAATAAAATGCATAGTGCAGTGCTTGATGTTTAGTGAGCAGTCAAAAAAATGTAAAGAAAGTATGAGAAATGAATTTTGTAATCTGTGAGGCTTGCATCAGCTGTAAGTAACTAGTCTGTAAGTGAGCACGCATCATGGATTGGGCCAGTATATGTAGCACAAACAAAAATTTATAGCTTTATTGTTTTCTGCTTGACATGTAGATTGTTTCATAAATTAATAATAAATTATTTTTTAATAAAAAAGTGGCCCTGAAAAGAAAAACAAGAGTTTGTTTATTGAGAAAACATAGAGAAGCCTAAAGAAGTGATAGTTTTCAGCCAGCAGATAGAAGTAAAGATGAATCATAGCAGAATGCTGACTCATTTGCGACTTAGAGCCATGCTGCAAATACCTCCATCTTCTACTTCATTTAAGAATAAGAAGTAATTTATAAAATTATTTCAGTAACCACTCCAGCCAAGAAAAAGGCTGTAAGGGTGAGATAAAACTTTAGTGACAGTGGAAAAGGTAATTAATTTATGGCGTGAGGCTTTGCAAAAGAAACATGTAACTTTCAGCAGAAATAAATCTTGGAGGATACATGAAGCCTGTCCAATGTTTTCAATTTACACATTAGGGAACTTTGATCACCTTAGTTATAGCTACCATTAAGCCATCAGATACATGATTATGCATTGATCTATTACATTTTCAAGCAACTGCATTAATAGTTATTTATATAAGTGCTGAACACGTCTAAGATGACAAAAGAGCGACCACAACTTCTAAGGCAGTGATTATTCAACAAATTGGCTTTTATTTTGCATACATCCTTTATCCAGAGTTATTTTTTATAACATCTGTCTTAGTCCATTTGGTGTGCTATATAACAAACTACCATAAACTGAGTAGCTTATAAACATCAGACATTTATTTCTCACAGTTCTAGAGGTTAAGTTGAAGATCAAGGTTCCAGAAGATTTGGTGTCTAGTGAGGGCCTGCTTTCTGGTTCAAAGATGATGCCTACTAGTTGTGTCTTCGTGTGGTAGAAGTGGGGAGGCAGCTCACTGGGACCTCTTTTATGAGGTTACTAGTCCCATTTATGAACATTCTGAATTCATGGTCTAATCACTTCCCAAAGGCCCCACCTCCAAGTACCATCACACTGGTGATTAAGTTTCAACATATGAATTAGGAAAGAAAAGAAACTTTCAGACCATAAAAACACCCCATGTCCCTTTCCCAACCAAACCTTTTTCTCTATCCTCATGTTCGTAGAGAAATGATGGTAGTAATGAAAGATGCAGCAAAAGGAATAACATAGGCAACAAAAGGAACAGTTGAAATCACAGAATGGTAGGGTTGGAGGAAACCTGAATTATCTACTTTGACTTCCCAACTTTGCATATCAGAAGATGTTGGCCCTGAAAGAGAAGTTGACTCTTCCAAAGACACAAAAGTTTATGTAATATCTGACATTAGAACTCAGGATTATTGGATTCAATATTCCAAGCTACCTCTTCACCTCAGCTTAGTATCCAACAGGTCCAGTTCCACCCACATGGGACCCACTACCCTTCTCTTATTCTGACTTGGTTGCATTTTTCCATTGCATGGCTAGACTATGACCCAAAAAAAGCAAGTGAGAAACTGGATGATTTAGTTAATCTCACATATTTATCAAATTAGTGAGCATGCAACCAATTGAATGCTTTCTCATCATAAGTTTATTAAGGGAAATAGTTGTTTTGACATTCAATTGTACTAACCTGGATATTTTTTATTTCTTTATACATTTGAATTCTGTACCCTTTCCTATTTTTTCAGTAATTGGAATATAGATGTGAATATGCACTTAGTCTATAGTAACTGGTGACGGAAAGTTGAAGGCAGCAAAGTTATATTCGTGATAGTTCTCAGTTCTTTGAGGAGTATATTAGCATTCTTGTATAGTTTATGCTTTTCCCTGCTATTATGTGAAAATCAAGTATTTCGAAAATACTTAGGACTAAGTTGCTAAAAGAATATGCCACACTTGTGAATACTTCCAAAAATTATTGTGAATCGTGTTGATGTGAGTGATTTACAGTTATGTCTTCCTTTGTTGTCTTACAAGTTTTCTGGTATAACACTGTCATCTGTCATGGCTGGAAGGTTTATTATTTCTTCGGACTCCTCTCACCTTAGTTAATATTTGTCACTGTTAAATGTGATGGGTCTCTCTCAGATGTGACTTTCAGACTTCTGTGTCTCTTTACTCACTCTCTCTGACTTTTCTTTACTATCTTGTTAAGTTATCCCAAGGAAAATTGTTTTGGTTGTGGATGACAATTCCATTCTTCTGCTTTTGCTTTTTTTCACCATGACACCTTTTGTGGAACCATACAAGCAAGCAACAATTTTTATTTAAAAAACATCAATATGCCGTGGGAGTCCCTCAAAAGAGATTGTCTGCTTCTTTCTATTTTCTCTTAAAAAGCATTTCCTTCTTTACTAACCTGAATCACCATTTGGAAGACTGAGAAGTATGTTATTATTAATAAAATGAGTGAAGATTTATTGAGTGTTTGCTATTTGCTGGCCACTCTGCTAAGCACTCTAATCTAATTTAACCCTTATAACAATGTAAGGGATAGTAATGTTAGCTCTTTTTATAGATTAAACAGGTATTTTGCCTAGGATTCTTCAATATTGGTAAGTGGCAAAGCAGGTTCTGAAGACAAGCCTGACTCCATTGTTAGTGCTTTGAACCACCATGATATATGCTTCCCCACTGGGTTGCCTTATCTCTGCTGGGGTATTTCAAAGTTAAGTCATTACACCAGTGGTTTCAGTAGGGAAAGTGTATTATTGATGACAATTGTGTTCAACAGTGGCATATCTATAAAAACTATACAAAAGGTATTTGGACTTCAAAAAAATGTTTTAATGTTACATTTGAAGTTATATAGGACTCACTCAATATATATTTTTGTAAAGAAAAAACACACTGTCTTGAATACTGTAGCTATAGCAGTTCTTGAAATCTATGTAAGTCTTTCATCTTTGTTCTCCTTTTTCAATATTTAGTTTATGGCCTTTTTAGTCCTTTTGTTTTTCAATGTAAATTTTAGAATTATATTGTCAAGTTGTAAAAATTAAGTAAAATCAGTTGAAAATTGTAAAGCAAACAAAAAATATATATTTTTTAAATGTTATATGAATAGGTAAATAAATACATTATGTATATACACCGTTTCTTGTTATTTAATAAACGTTGTGTAAACTTTCCGTGTTACACCACTCCATCCTCATGTAAGTACACAGTGCAAACTCGGTTTTAAACAAAAAGCATCTTTGCAAGTAATTAACTCCAAATAATGAGTCCCAACATTTTCATTACATTTTATTGTGTCTATTCTGAAGAACCCCTTGTATTAATGGTTTTTCCCTCCCAAATTATAGTTAGCAATGACAATGTATTAATTTCATATATTTAAGTGGTTGGGCAACTGTGAATCAGAATCAATTGAAAGCATGATTAAGAGCTACAGAGTGTAGGTACCGGTGCTTTGTACAACATAGAGACGTATTAACTAACTAAATAATGAAACAGAACATTTTAGTTTTGTAATTGACTACAATGGATTCAACTTTTTCCCTTGCATTCGTATGGAATGAAAGACCCTACTGGAGGACAAAGATCTCCCTAATTGCCTCAGTTTCCTGTGGTGCACACCGTAGGAGGGCTAACACCATTTCAAGACTGGCTGTGAGTGATAAACGAAGAAGCTAAATAACTCATTCAACTGACACAAAATTATAAAACTTCAGTTGGCCCTTTTAAGGTTATGAATTAGCTTGGCACTAATTCCTTGGATGGGAGCTGTGGGGCTGTGCCCTGTGTGGGTGGAAAACCAGCATTAAATCACCACCTTTGTGACTCTTTGTAACCAGCACTCAGAGGATCTAGGACCAGAAGTTTCCTTTTTTCCTTGACGTGGTTCCTTTTATGAAAAGCATGGAGAAAGAGGCTGGGCAATGTGCCTGAATACATTATTTCACCACCACTTAGTTCCTACTTACTTCTTTCACTAGAAACAAGGACGCATTTAAATAAATAAATAAATAAATAAATAAAACTGGGACCAAAGCTTTCCCTTCCCTTCCTTGTCGTGGGGCAATAAATATGAAGAGATGAATCTTATGAAAGCCAGTGCAAGAAGAGATGGGGGCTGGAGATGGATGTTTCTCCTAAGAGTCCGTAGAAAAGCTGTTCCTTATAAATAGAGCAATTGCTGTTATGAAGTACAAAACCACATTGTTCCTTTCTTTAGTTCTGAATGGAGTTGGTTAAGCTTTCAGTGTTAAGTGTGAAAAAGGCAAGAGAAAGAAGATCATATCCTTGTTAAATGACTCTAAATAAAAGAAATTGAGAAGGACAGTTGTGCCAGTTATAAAATGTTTAGAATTCATGAATAAGATTATATGGTTTTAATTTTTGAACTATAATCTAAAAGGAACTTCACCAAAATGGTAATACTATAGCAAATTGAATGTGCAACCTCTCAGCATCAGGGAAAATCAGAGCAACATCATCACTCTTTTCAATACCCTGATTTTAAAAAGTATTCAAATTATTAGCATTTGTCAGTTACTTCTAACTTAGTCAGTCCAGGTAGGATTGAAACACAGGGCCAGGACCCTAATTATCTAATCTTATCCCAATATTGAATTTCTTAAATGATTTATGCAAAAACATACTCCAAGGCAAAAGCATACTTCACTATTGGTGCTCATTCATTCCTTCTTACTAAGGATGCCAGATATATCATCTCCTATGTGACATTCTGAGAAGAACCATGCTTAAGCTCCTTGACCCTTTAGCACAAAATCGAAGTTAGAGACAGGCCCAGGCAGCTGGCTCAACTCTTCCATGTGGGTCTTTCCTCTTGTTCCTGCTTGGCATTCAGAAACACAGCTTACCTGTGAGAATTGCCTTTAGGCCCTAACCTGCTAAATTAGTTTCACATCTGGGAAAGGAAGAAAGTACACAAAAAAAGTGGCTAAAATCAGATAAGTGAGAATTTAATTTCCAGTTTAACTTTAAATGGGTAATCTCTTTCCACTTCACACTCAAAGCTTCATTCACTATTACAGTGACCCAATCATGAGTCCCTAATGACTCCATCTGGAGACAGAGAGAGGTGTCCTTGAGTGCTTTCTAGTACAGAGTAGAATGTCCCTGATTAATCATTCACTTTTATAGGATGTATAGGTAATTAACATGTTCATAATACAATAAATAATTTTTGTAGCATAAATTTAAGCAGGACTTATAATGAAATTTTATTATTAGAAAATAATTTTATAAAAATATAATTCTACATCGCTCATTAAATTTCAAAGTTAAACATATTCTAAATATTCCAGAGTATAGGTATAGTGGAAATGAAATTTCTACAGTGTAAGGGTGTGAACCTGTCTACTGTATTAAATATATAAGAAAGACAATAGTGAGCATTTCCTAGGAAAAAGATATCTGTTTTTAATATGAAGTTATATATGTGAGAAAGAAGATTATCTGGTGGTAGCGGTGGATGGAAAAAGATTATTTAATTTGGTATTCAATAGTTTAAGCTGCTAGATGCTACCAGAGGGCACTTTAAAAAACTGATATAATAAAGAGACACTCCATGATGGGCATAAATGTCCTCATTTGCAAAATGAAGATAATAGTAATGTCTACTGCTTGGGGTCATTGTGAGGAATGAATGAAATAATACATATAAAGCATTTAGCACAGTGTCTAACACATAGTAGTTTTTAAATTACTGTTAGCATTATTACTATTGTTATTGCTATTATTACAAGAGAAATAGGATGTCATTGTAAAGCAGAGTCTTGATTAAATGCCCACTGGAATAAAAATTTAAGACTAAAGATATTCTGGTAAAATCCGTACTCAAATAATATTTCTTGACTGACCAACTGATTGACTGACGGACTGCTGAATGAATTAATGAATGAATTGCCATCAGCTCAGAAACATGGTTTTTAGAGACTATCTCATCCTTCTTTTCGCTCCATTTGGAGACAAAAGGGAGTTTCCAAAACAGGTGGCAGTAGTGGATCTGGATGAGTAACTTCCATGAATTTTTATGCAAGTACACTCTTACAGGATGGCCTTCTTGGCACTACATAAAAGAGGTAAGAGTAGAATACTGACTAATATTAATATATTTAAATATTTTATGTATAGCCCAAATTCCTCAGGCATTCCATTGCATCATTCATTCATTTGGCAGGCTTTTATTGAGCATTCCGTATAGAAGCTGTTGAAAAGGACACAAAAGAAATGTTGCAATTAAGTTATAAGTTGTGGCAGTGCAAGCTGGTGCGACATTCATATAGAATAGTTAAGAAGCTATTAAAGCAATATAATATATACTGAGGGATTCAGAGAAACGGAAAACACTCATGAGCCGATAATCAGAAATGTTTGTTTTTGATTTTTTTTTTCCTAGGCTTTGAAGAATAGGTGGTATTTGGATAGTGATATGGTTTGAATGTGTTCCCTAAAGTTCATGTGCTGGAAACTTGATCCCCAATGTGGTGATGTTGGGAGGCGAGACCTTTACGAGGTGATTTAGGATATAAGGGCTCTACCTGCATGAAAGGATTAATGTGGTTATCTCAGGAGTGAGTTCTTTATGGAAGGATGACTTTGGCCTCTTTCTCTTTCTCTCTCTTCCCCCTTTTTCCTCTTCCACTTCTGCCATGGAGATGATGCAACAAGAAGGCCCTCACCAGTGGCTAGCCCCTTGATCTTTGACTTTTTAGTCTCTAGAACTATGAGCAGATATATTTCTGTTCATTATAAATTTCCTAGTCTGTGGTATTTTGTTAGAATAGCACAAAACAGACAAAGATGGATAGAAAAGGATTACTGTTGGGGTAGGTGTGAATGTGTACAGGTGCAGAAGGTGTATATGGAGTGCATTTCTGAAAAAGTAAAGAGGAGAGATGCTAGAGTCTCCTACTGGTGAGTAATGGCAGCTATTTGTTAATGCATAAGGGAGGGTTTAATTCCATAATGGAGATTGTTAGTGGAAGAGATTAGATTTTCCCTTCTGGGTATGAAATAAATATTAGAGATTTTGGAATCAGAAAATGACATGATAATTTTCCCAATGTTTAAGGTTGATAATGGAAGGAAGATGTGGGAAGCAAAAAGTATAGGTAAAAGACCACTGATACAATAAAGTAGATTTGTTGAGGCTTATATTGGTACTTTGGCTATAGGGAGAGACGGAAAGAGTCAAGTGAAGAAAACACTCAGGGAGGGCTCCAGCGTTTTGAACCACCTAAGACACTGGGAAAATGTGTCACCACTGGTGAAAATGTGGTTCAAATGTAAGGTGTTAGAGGATGTGGTAGTAGGGAAAATGGTCAGATAGGTGTCATTTTTTTAGAATTCAAATTTATAATAGATCTTGTTTAAAAAAGCAGAGGCTTCTTTTATTATTTTTTTGGCAGAGGTATTCAAATGTCTGAAAAGAAGACTAAATTTTAAATTAGGAGATAAATCTGACACTGTGTGTGGCATTGAACAAGTCACTTCACTTCTTGTGACCTGAGTTTCCTGATACATCAAATGTGGGAATTGGATGAGTCACTTCTGGGTCTCCTCCAGTTCTGACATTCTATGGATCCATGAAATAGGCTTGGCACCTGTTTTCAATTTAAGCTCTAACATGAATTTCCTTATTCTTTAAACCTGCCTTTCTAGTAAGCTGCCACATTTATTACCAGGCTTGTAGTCATTTCCTTTTACTCTAAAGAGAATATACATTCAGTTTTTTAGCTCTAGGTTTTCTGCATCACACTGTCATCGTGTTGAAACCACTTTGTGGGAACAGCGGCTAAAGTCATCTTTCAGTTTTAGACGTGGTCATGGTTGTGAAGTGACGCTGGTCAGGCTGCCATTGGAACATTCACCCTGAGACCATGGTTTCCCTGCTTTGACGAGAATTCAAAGTGATGTTTTATACCATTGGAAGCTGTTTTAACTTATCTGGAACAATAAGGCATGCCTCGTGACAGCGCTTTATCCTGGAGTTCATTATTTCCACCTTGGACTTCCTCAACTCTAACTTCCACCATTGTATTAGAGGTCTCATTGCAGGACTCAAATAATCTGTTTCTCATTACTCACTTGTTTCTTTTTTACTTCTTTTCTTTATGTTCAGTTACCACAGCATTAACTGTCATTATCAGTCATCCAATTTAGCCCATGCTTTCAGCCAAGCACCTAAGAAAAATGAGGATAGGCTTAGAGGAAAAATAACATCAGGCCTAAACACATTCTGGCAGAATTGGGTGGGGAAGGGGAGAATTCTGACTCTCTCTTTACATTGCAAAGAGATGCTTTTGGGGGGGTCAGACAAAAGTACAATATGACCCCTGAGGCACCCACAACTCCTAAATAGGAAATAGGCAGGGATCTTTGGCAACCTGTTGTAGATGGAACTTGCATCATCATAGTCACTAGGGAAGATTTCTCTTTGTGGATTCTGAATGCACCTGACTCTGGTGGATTAAAAGATCAAAGAGAATTCATGGTAAGGCTGTCCTGCCTATAAGGTATCTTACATATGTACCCTTTCCCAGGCCCCCTAAACTATCTGATCTATCAACACATCATGCTACGGAAAAACATAAAAGCATCTAAAGAGAACTGTTCTCATCTTAGGCATTTACCCAGACCACCCGCCCTCTCATCCCCTCAACCCATTACTCCCTGCTCTTTGATGCTTCTTATTGCATTCCAGATCCCCATGTCTGCCCCAGGGCTTCCTCGGTGCTTTGGTGACCCTTTGATATTCCAGGTCTGTTTTAGTGAATAGGCCACTTCTAAGGGTTAATATTCAAAATATTTAGCAGTACCTATTGTCAGCGGCACTGACCAACTTGGACGCTGTCTATAAACAGCCAAACAGCAACTCAAGGGGTTCCTTTTCTTCTACTGGGTCCTGGTTCAGGCTTCTCATCAGTTCTTGGAAAGAAGCTGTTCCCTTCTTGAGTCTCACAGGACAGCCACTAAGTGCCCTCATCTCCTCTGTCGACTCCCCATCTTCATCCTCCAACAGATAAGATGGGTGTTACAACACGAACATTATAGTATTATCAAGTTGCCCTATTCGTAACTTTACTTATGTGGCACATAGAGGTTCTTCCTCTTATTCCTGGCGGGGAAGCATACCAGATGCTTTTGATGTCCCATGCGTGTGCCTTTGGGCCTCACAGTTCCATGGGAACTGGCTTGACTTCTGCTGCTGGCAGTGATCTCTTTCACTGAAGACTTTGGAGGATGGAGTCTGTTATGCCCTGTGCGCATGGCAGAAAGGCAGGGCCAGAAAATAAATGTCCCTCTCAGTACTTGTCGGATAAAAATCCAGACTCTTTAGCCTCTCGGGGCGACAGCTCTGAGGCTTGTAATCTTCACTGGCTCCCAGGGACCCCCGGTGGGCTTGAGCATGAGGGTTTGAAAACTCTCTTCATAGCCTGCCTTCGCTTCATGTCTTGCTTCCCCATTCTCCTAGCAGTGTTTACTGGGGTCACCTTCCAAATAAATTACATGCACCTGGATCACTGGGTTAGGGTCCACTTCTAGGAAAGCCCAAATTGAGATAAAAAAGAATTTTTTCATTCATTCATTCAAATATTGGGCATGTACTAAATATTACATATTATTTGATGATACAGGAGTGAATAAATCAAACACCCCTACCTTCTCAGAGCTTATAACAAATATAATAATTTATATATAAAATGTCAGAGGATTATGTGTTATAGGAGAAACTGAGGCAAAATAAAGGGATTGGGAAGTGTGGAGGTAGAGGTGTGGGTTGCCAATATTAACAAAATAGAGTAGGTGTCACTGAGAAAGGGACATTTGACCAAATACTTGAAGGGGGTGAGACACCCATTTGGATATTGTAGACAAATCACTGTGGCCTGAAGAAAGAGCAAGAGCAAAGACCCTGAGGTGAGGACATGTCTGTCATGTTTGAAGAACAGCACCAAGGCTGATTTTAATAAGTGGTGAATGAGTGGGAGAAGAGTAAAGATGAGATATGAGAGGTAACAAGGGCCAGATGACAAAGGGCTGGAAGTCCCCTTGTAAAGACTGAGTAAAATGCGGAGACATGAGTGTTTGGAGCACAGCAGCAAGGTAATCTGACTTACATGTATTTTAAAGGCATTATTCAGACTGCTGTTGGAAAGAACCATGGGCAGCGATGTTACACACAATCATGGAGGTTGCATTCCATATGGTGACATTCAATCTGGACTCTGCCTGCCCCACCATGTACCCTGGCATGGGATTGTGTCTGTCTGGAGGAAGAGGCACCTTTTCCTGATTCTTAAAAAGCTGCCAAACCTAGCAGTAGCTGACTAGGTGGACAAGGCAAAATAATAGAGAAGAGTGGATAAAAACAGGTAGAAGACTATTGAAATCATTCAGAATGGAGATAATGAAGACTAGGACCAGGTGGTAGTAGAAGAGATGGTAAACAGTGGTTCCACCATGGACAGATTGAAGGTAGTGTCTATGACAGCATATTGCCTCATATAGGAAATGAGTGTATTAGTTCTCTATTGCTGCTATAACAAATCATGACAAATGTAGTGGCTTAAAACAGCATAAACTTACTATCTTACAATTCTGGAGGTCGGAAGTCTAAAATCAGTTTTATTGGGCTAAAGTCAAGGTGTCAACAGGGCTGATTTCACTTAGAGGCTGAGTGGAGAATCTGTTCCTCATCTTTTTCAACTTCTAAAAGCCACCTGTATTCCTTGGTTTATGACTCCTCCTTCCATCTCCAAAGCACATCACCCAGGTCCCTCCTTCCATCATCACACTGACTTTTCCTCTGACTGACTCTGCCTGTATCCTTCCTGCAAAGATTATTGCAATTACATTGGCTCCACCCAGATTATCCAAGATAATTTCCCCATCTTAATATAGTCACATTTGCAAATTTCATCTGCCATAAAAACGTTCTGGAGATTAAGGTGTGGACATATTTTGGGGGCCATTATTTAGTCTACCACATGGAGTGTAAGAGGAAGAGAGCTTAATTTCATGTTTTATTGTCCTGAACAACTGAAATGATGGATTTGCCATTCTGTTGTAGGAGTTACTGAGAAATTATTTTAGGCAGATAGAGAGGAAAAGGGGGTCCTTGGGAAGTTTTCATTTTAAAAACTGCTCCAGAAACATTTCTTATAAAGCCCTGGCTCTTAGAGCCAGGCGGGCAACCTTTAATATGCAAATACCAGCTGTTAGAAACTGAGTCCACCCAACATGGCGATTCCCCTGGACTTCTTGCTCTTGCCCCAGGGGTTCCTGGCAACATGACCCCCCACATATCCCCACGTGTGTAGAACATCATGGCTGCCCTGCATTTGCATATTAAAAGGCTAGGGTGGGAGGGCCAGCTTTTTTCAGGGCTACGTGAATGACATGCCTTGTCAAACCAATCCCCTGAGCCCTATGCAAATCAGACACCGCCTCCTCCAGGCTCTGTATATATACCTGGCTGGTATCCGTGGCAGGCAGGGTTCTCTCTCCTGGCTTTGGAGCACCCCACTCTCTGTCTCTGTACAGGAGAGCTTCTTCCTTCTCTCCCTTCTTGCCCCTTCTTCCCTATTAAACTCTCTGCTCCTTAAAACCACTCCACGTGTGTTCGTGTTGTCTTATCTAATTTGATGTGAGACAAGAGCCCTGGTGTTCCTCCACTCATCAGAGCCGTATCAATTGCAGGTGAAGCCAGTTTGTGAAGGGGGCTAAGTGGAGGGAAGACTAGGTGTTCAGTATGGACACGTTAATTTTGAGGAGTATATGTTACATGTCTAAGATGGTCTTAGGCTGGGATGGCCTGGTTAAGTCCTCAGTTATTCAACTGTAGGGGGGAAATGATTTCTTTCCTTACTCATAGCAGGGTTCTTGGCTCACATCTCTATAACAAGAGACAAACGAATGAGAGTAAAGTATAAAAATGTATTCGCTAAAGTTTTATGTGACATGGGAGCCTTCAGAAATGAAGATCCCAATGACCCAGGAAAAACTGCGTGTTTATGCAAAGTCATGCAGAAGTATGATTGGAAGACAAAAGGGTAAGATCTAATGGTAATAAACTGGGGGGAACTTAGCAAGACCTGTTTGTTCAGATTCTTTTTGGCCTCTCTGTGTGACATTCCTTTGCTCCAGGTAGAATAGTTGTTACAAGGTCTTCAGGAGGGCAGGGAGAGAGAATGTCAGAGAGTGACCTACCTAGTTTTTACAGCCTGCTTCAGGGAGAAAGGAGAGAGGGGAATGTCAATTTCTATGGCCTGCTTCAGGAGAAAGGGGGTAGGATAAGGTCAGAAAGACTTTTCTGTTTCTGTGGTTTTCTCAATTTCTTTCAACTTAAAATATTTAGAATGCCAAGGTGCCATATATCGGGCTAGTGTTGGTTGCACCCCACCACAATTAAATATTAATCTAACTGTTGTTGTGAAGGTATTTTGTAGAAGTGATTAAAGTCTATAACCAACTGACTTTCATGAGGGAGATTATCAAAGAAAATCTGAGAGGGCCTAACTCAATCAGTTGAAAGACCTTAAAAGCATTGCTGAGGCTTTCCTGATGAAAATAATTTCTACATTGTCCTGCAGCTTCAGCCTCATAGGAAAGTTCCAGCCTGCCCTTCTTGGTGACCTGCCCTGTGAATTTCAGATTTGCCTTTTTGGCCCTTACAACTGCATAAGCCAATTCTTTGCAGTACATCTCTTAATACATAGCTCCTGCTGGTTCTGCCTCTGTGGTTGAAACTGACTGATGCAATGTTCAAATGCAGATGTTGAGAAGGAAGTGGGCTAGATTAATCTGTAGTTCAAGGGGAAGCTTAAGGCTGCAGATATATGTTATTTTGGCATAGTAATGCATTAAAAAAGTTATGCAATACCTAGTGATTAACAATAGCAAAAGAGAATTTGTGTGAAAGCATCATTCAGAAAAGTGCAAAAATTCAGGGCAAAAAGTTCAGTCAGCTTTGGCTACAAAAGAATAAAAATGGCACTCTGGCTTCTGGCCTTTTTGAGTAGAGTAAGGCATGGGGTAAAGGCGGAAACAGAGTGATGGGGTGGGAAAGAAAGGAAGGAAGGGAACAAGCAGGGGGAGAATTCTTATTGTTTATGAGGTGGACTCTAGTCAGAAAGACACCCAGTGGGAAAAGTCAGGAAATGTTTCCTATTTCCCTTAAACTCAGAGTATGTGCATAATTTGCTATCAAAAAGATTATATTATTTCTGGTAATCACCCAAACCTGCACTCCTTTCCATATGTCATGAAGTAAAATGGTGGTTTTTACTTATATATTTGCTCCAGGAGTGGCGTCTGGGCAAGAGAAAATGGGGGTTTGAAGCATGAAGTGATGGGAGAGAATGGTGGCATTGATTCTCTCAGATGGAAACAGTTATATTAGACAACTAATTAAATGTGGAGAGTGAGGAAGGAGAAACTGAGCCTTGTTCTCTCTAGCCCTCAAGAGCCAACCAAAGGGACCCACAGTCATGTAGTGTTCTGCCAGGAAGAGTTCCTGGATCCAGGCTAAAGGAGAGTTTTTCCTGGCAAAACAGTCATTTGATACCAGGAAAAGTTGTGTCAGGAGGAAGACTGCATGCAGGGGATTAGAAGGGAAAAGGAAGCATGCAGAAGGTGAGATTTAAAGTTAAAGCATAGCCATAATAGTTTTGTTACCTGATGTGCAGTGAGTCAGCATAACAAGACACTGGACGTTGCAGCAGAGAAAGAGTTTAATAATCGTAGGGCTGCCAAATGAGGAGACAGGAGGAAACCTCAAATCCACTCCCTGAGAGGTTTGCAGATGGGGCTTCAAAGGGGTCTGGACAGGTGATGAGCTAAAATGTGGGGATTGCTGATTGATTGAGAAGTGAGGGGTAAAGTCATAACACAGGGAGATGAAGAAGAAACCACATTCCTGTGCTGAGTCGGTTCCTCAATGGGGGTCTTTAGGCCAGTTGGCATCTGCTGCTCTGCTGGAATCCAGGTCTGAAGAACAATTCTCAAGCAATTCTTGGGTAAAAAGGTCCAGCCTATAGATAGAGATTCTATCCATAGGAACAATGGGGGAGCAGGTGGTCAGTGTGCTACATGACTCTTGGTTAGTTAGCAGCTGCATGGAAGTGTGTTGAAGTGCACCAGTGCACCCTGGTCAATGCCTAACTGTAATTCTGCCTAAAGCCTGGCTTGTAATTCTCACTAACCCTGTGAGGGCAATTTCAAAAGGACTGTGATGCCACATGAGTAAGATAGAGCAGAGAGAATACTGGATCTCCATGTTGGCAGCAGGCAGGGAGGTTGGCAAAGCTCCAACAACTGGGGCAATAACTTGTCCTCTCATGTGACCCTTCCACCTTGGACCTGCACCGTGCCCTCCCTTGTAGCTCTCTGTTGGCTAAGGGAAAACTCAGCATGCCAGGTTCACCCAGGTGAGACACAGGAAACATTCCCAGAAGAGAGCCAATGGGTTTATTTTTACATGCATGCAGCTTGAGGACACCCACATGATACCAGGAAGGGAGAAAGGGAAACTTGAGAGGGTTTAGGGATCTTCTCAGCACCCCCATTTCCACAAGACAATGGGGAAACTGTTTATGATAATTTTATTTAACTCATGCAGCTTCACAGCAGCGATTAATAAAAACTTTAAAAACTAGTGTCGTCTAAAAGAAAAGTAAAAATAGAAAAAGACCTCAGAGTGGGAAAACTCAGATCATTTATCTAGGCTCTGTCTCAATTAAGCTGCGTGAACTTGTTCTAGTCATTTATATTTTGGGGTACAAGTTTCCTCATATATCTTCTGTTCCATAGAAGGTTGTTAGGCTCAAATGCAAAAAAATATATAAAAGTTAGAAAACAGATTGCAAAAGTAAATGTTGATTATTGTTACTATTTCTCTATTTTGCCCTATCATGTCAGAAAAATAAACTCCACACCTTAAAAATGAAACAAAACAAAAAACTGGGAAAGTTATGTTGGATTGAACTTTCAAATTAGATACCTACTGAGTAAATTTATTGAATAATTACTCTAAGACCCCATTTAGTGAGCACTATTTAGAACATAAAATCCTGTTTGATGCAGTACTAAAAACGCCATGTATTCAATCCTCCTTTTAAAAAAATTTTAACATTTTCCCCCTAGTTGGTGGGTGGGCTCACTAAACAGAGGCCTTTTTTTTTTTTTTTTTTTTTTTTTTTTACATGGTACTTTCCTATTTTCTAAACAGAGCTGCTATGCACGCTCTCTGGATTATATACAATGTATTGTAGCTTTTTAAAAAAGCAAAGCACCATTAGAAATACTATATTTCAAAGATAAAGCATTACAGAAAATAATTGTATAAATTATTTTACATTTACATTAAATTTTCTATTATTTCTCATTTGTATTTCCATAATGTTTTTTAAATAACCATGCTCAGACCCTAAAATTGTAATAATATCCTTAACAGATTTATTTACTTTTTGTTTTACATACTAAAAGTTTATGAAAATGGAAGAATTTGCTTTGAGCTGTTAAAGGAGATTTTGTGTGCATTAAATTCATTTTAAGATGTTATTGTTTAAGAGGGTGTCAATGAATAGTGGAGGCAGAAAAACAAAAGTATATAATCTGAAATAAATATTAGTAGCTTTCCTATTCAGATAAGACAATCAATATTCATTTACTTCTTGCAGCCTGCATTTATTAAGATTAGAACATTATTTATTGTTGATTGCTGTTATAGACCACAAATAGAGGAAGAATGAGTTGACAACATTCAGATATCAAAATTCTGCTTTAGGTGACAAAACCATCTGGAAAAATTAAGTGTCCCATAGAAATGAAAAATGATCTTAAAAAGTTTAATGATCTTAAAAAGATCATTAAACTCTTATTTGTATATACATATAGCAGTGGCCTTATTTTATTGTGGTTTTAGATCTGTTTTTCCTACAATTCTGATATTATTCACACAGTTTTGCCAAAATGGGGAGGTGTCTCCTAGGACAGGTCAAAAGACTGGGATCCTAGAGCTGGACAGGATGTGGTTCAGAAAGCATCTGTATCTAAAACTTTGTACAATAAAAAACCTAAAATTATTTTGGGGGTATCCTGGACCACAAAGAAGCATTGACTAGCTTCCCAAGGAGGCTGCAAGCCTCACTGAGTAACCCAGTATTCATCATGGCATCTGAGCAGTAGAGCAGTAATGGTGAAGTGAACTGTTTAGGCAAAATGCACAGAATCCCACACCCCCTAGCAAGATGAAAAGGAGGCCCTATACCCCCAAGAGGAGCACACAGGTGGCTAAGAGAGGGCCAGAAGAGAAATCTTTCATAGACAGGGAGAGGAGGATAAAGAATGACCTATTCTTAGAAAACAGAGATGAAAGGGAAACGTTCATTTTGATTTGGATGCTGTGGAGCTAGGTGTTGACAAGCAAATATAAGCAAAGACGGCCCATCTTGGAACCTCATGGCAATGGACCAGATGCCTCTTACTCCATGAAAATAAGATTTCTAAATATGGAACAAAAAATAGTATCGTCCAAGTAGTATGGACTGAATTGTATCCCCCCTGCCAAATCCATATGTTGGAGCCATAACCTCCAATGTGATGGTATTTGGTGATAGGCCCTTAGAAAGGTAATTAGAGTTAGATGAGGTCATGAAGATGGAGCCTGCATGATGGGATTAGTGCTCCTGTAAGAAGAAACACCAGAGTATTTGGTCTTTCTCTCCCTACCATGTGAGATCACAGTGAGAAGGAGACCATCTGCAAGCCAGGAAGAGAGCCCTCACCAGAATATGATCATTGCTGGCATCCTAAACTCAGGCTTCCAGCCTCCAAAACTGGGAGAAAATTAATTTCTGTTGTTTAAGCCACTCAATCCATGCTATTTTGTTGTGGCAACCTAAGCAGACTCAGACACTGAGCCAAAACACTTTTGAGAATGAAAGGGGGCTGGGGGCGGTGGGAAGAAAGGAGACATTAAAATTAATCAGAATTATACTGTTGAAATATTTATTTGTACAACCAATTGGCTATAATATTTATATGGGCTGACTTGTAAAATAAGTTTTTTTGCAAAAATTATTTTTTTAAATAAAATTATTTCTAAAAAATAAAATCATATATGTCCTTGTAAATTAATGCCAAATATTAAAAAATTATATAGATTATCTGGACGTTAAAATAGCACAAATCACATCTTTCTCTAAAACGGATTCATTGATATTTTTCTGTAATATGATTTTATATGCAATAATGTATTATTATTTCAATATGCTCTCATTCTTTTTAATTTTATTCTTTTTAATTTTTCAAAAATTGCCCGTAATCTTCTTAAAGTTACTTTTTATACGAATATATTTTAAATGGACACATGTTTACTTTTCTCTGTAGTCTATAACAATTTAATTGAGAAAATATTCTATTTATGGGTGCCGATGAACCTAGTAAGCTCAGAGAAAATTCTATGAAGTGGAGGATATTCTCAATTCTGATTTTTATGAAATGTATAAATGTGCATATATTTTTATAGGTACTGTCTTTTTGGCCTCAATTTAGAGTTTCTCTTTTCCACAAATATTTTAAAAGGCAAAACTCATAAATTCTCTATTTATAATTCTTTTTAATGTTTTGCCAAATAGATGCTGCAAAATCATAGGTCTCTTCAATTTCATTCCATTCCGGTACATAATATAATCCAATTACAAAAAAACAAGTTTGATCAAAAGATTTTTCCTACAGGTCATTTCAAAGGCATTTACAGAATTTTAAAATTAAATCTTGTTCACTATTTGAGGTCTCATCTTTTAATTTCTTCATCTCCCTGCTTTTGTAGGGATAAATTTTCTTTTGTTTGTAGTTATTGTGAAACTTGAAGTTTTCTAGCTTCCAATTCCTTGAAGATTTTGATAAAAGATTTCCAACCAATTATTTTTAAATGCAGTTATTTAAGAAAATGTGCAGAGCCATTATGGAGACTTGCAGGTTGACTTACAAAGTAGGTCTCCATAAGGCAGAAACATTTTTAAAATCTGACTGAAAATGAACAGAAAGACAGAAAGCACATATGGTCTTGCAAAAGGTTTGTTTGCTTGTATTTAACATAAAATTTATCATAACACTTTTGTAGTCAGTTACTTTAATGCTTAGAAATCTTGATATCTACAGTTTCTATTTCAACTGATAGATTACTGCAGTTTGGTGGCTATAGTTACCACAGCCAATCTCGAGAACATTTTTCTCTATATGTCTTAATTTAGTAAGACCATTATATTATTCATGATATGCTGCATTCTGCCAGATTTGTATTCATATTAATACTACAAAAATGTGTATATTTAATGTTGAACTTTTTAACTGAAAATACTAGATTCATCTTCAACAGATTGTTACATGAACTTGATGAAAGAAATTTAACCAATAATACAAATAACTGATTTTCTATGAGTAGCACCTGGTTAAACTTCTACAAAATGGCATTCTTTAACTGGTTACAGATGTTTTCTGCTGTAGTGTAAATGTTTGTATCTCCCAAAATTCATATGTTGAAAACTAATCACCAATTGGATGACATTACATGGTGGGGACTTTAGGAGTGATTAGATCATAAGGGTCGAACCCTCGTAAATGGGATTGCTGCCCTTATAAAAAGTGTCCCCAATAAGCTGCCTTGCCCTTTCCACCAAGTGAGAACACAACGAGCAGGCACCATCTATGAACCAGGAAACAGGCCCTCAACAGACACTGAATCTCTCAGTGCCTTGATGTTCGACTTCCTAGCTTTAGAGCTGTAAGAACTAAATTTCTGTTGTATATAACCTACCTAACCTATGCCATTCTTTTTTCATAGCAACCCAAACAGACTAAAACATTTTCCCTTGCCAGTAAAAACAACATATTACAGCTATCACTTCACTATTCATGGGTGCACAAGAAACAGATCCAAAAGTGAATGAAATTAGAAAGAGAGTTATTTGATCCAAATAAAAAAGCCTACTTCAAAGATATATATGTATATCTTTGAAGATATATATATATCTTTGAAGCAGGCCTAAATATATATATCTCAGTAAAGATATATATATATATGTATCTCAGTAAAGATATATATATATATATATCTCAAAGCCCTCAAAGTGTGTATATTTAGAGAGAGAGCCCTCAAAGGTCTCTCTATATATACACACTTTCTGCAGATGTACCTGTGAAATTGATATATTTGGGTACAGGTGTCTAAAAATAGTCAATAAGCTTTTATGTGATTAGTAATACCTATACGCCTCCATAAAGTCAAAAATATTTTGTGCAATTTATATATTTGCCATTAACTCTCTTGAGAAATAGAAAATTACTATGTAATTACTGATTAAACATATGCTATTGGTTCTAAAAAAGCTTATTGCAAAAGAAAAAAATTAAGCATTTATCAGTTTTCAGTTATTTTGAAAACTGTTTTGAAAATTATTTTCAATAATTTTCAAATTATTTCATTTTCAACTGCAAACTGTTTTTCCTGGATTGTGTAAACCCAAATTTTTACAGTTGGCTCCTTGTTAGGCTGTAGTAACAAGGAGAATAAGAGGAAGATTGCAAGGTTAGAGAATGAAGAAGCAGCTTCTCTTTTCTGTTTATTTTCTGTGGGTTTTTCGCATGCTTTTGATTTAGCAAGGCATCTTCACTTCATCAAAAGAACTTCCTTTCTACAGCAGCAGGTGAACTACTTTGCAATTTTTCCAACAGGTGAACTAGTTTGCAATTTTTCCGACATTTGAAGAAACAGATTCACTCCCCAACCTTGTGAGTAGTGGCTACTTCCTTTACGAATTATTTTCATGATACCTTAGTGTTCCTTTTGCTTAAGTTAACTTAGAGTTTTCGTTTTACAGACTCAATGATTCATTCTATGTCCTTATACCTAGATACAAATGCTTTATGTAAAATTCCCTCTATTCAAATGATTGGTGTGGTTTCTGCCTTTTAATTGATCTTGACTGGTACAATAACTACTATCAGGAGTGGATTCAGGTAGCAGCCCCTCAAAGATGGGATTTTGTAAGTAGTTTGGCTGTGTTTTTGGACTTGAAAGAAATGTTGAGCCCATAATCAATGTGAAATGGGATGCTATTAATTCATTGCAAGTAGTGGTAATCAAATTAATCAATCTGTGGTTAGTTGTAACAATATTCCTACTGAAATAAGAATCTAAGGGTAAAATGATTGCTTTACTTGACCATTATGGCAGTAAAGATGACTGTAAAGTTTGTGGTGTGGAATGGATTCTTGTGATTGCAGAGGAACATTTATTTAAAAAATAAAAATAGGCCGGGCGCGGTGGCTCATGCCTGTAATCCCAGCACTTTGGGAGGCTGAGGCGGGTGGATCACCTGAGGTTGGGAGCTCGAGACTAGCCTGACCAATATGGAGAAACCCTGTCTCTACTAAAAATACAAAATTAGCTGAGCACAGTGGCACATGCCTGTAATCCTAGCTACTCGGGAGGCTGAGGCAGGAGAATCACTTGAACTGAGAGACGCAGCTTACAGTGAGCTCAGATGGCACCATTGCACTTTAGCCTGGGCAACAAGAGTGAAACTCCATCACAAAAAAATAAAAAAATTAAATAAATAAAAATAAAAAAATATATAAATCAAAGCTAAGGTCTTTAAACTCTCAACTTAAGGTTTTATTGTTATTATTTTTTAATAGAGAGTTTCTCCAACAGCCCTCAAAGCTCTCTTATTTTTTTTTCAGAAAGAACTTATTTTTTACAGTAACATGGCCAATGTTGGAAAATTAAACCCAAAATTTAATTGTGTAGGTAGCAGAATTACAACATCAATTAAATTCACAGCTTTTCCAAATATATTATGTGAAAGTTAAGACATTGGGCAGGAGAAGAACCTAAAATTTGGAATAAAGAATATCTGGCTGGATTTGGATGAGGCTGTGATTAGGGATTCCCAAGTCATGAGCCTTCTTTGTCTGTGGAAATAGCTTGCTTCCCATGTCTGTGCATAATATTCTTCCCTGTGTTTGAAAAGCCTATGAGTTCACTTTGGAAACTTGTCACGCAAGAGGATTCTCGGTCTACTTAAGACCTACCTAAATTATCTGGTTGCCACTATACTCATATCTAGGGCCAGATTTCATTATGCTCTAGGAAAAATAAAAAAGATGACCTAGGAGGAAATAACTTATATACCAAAAGAAATTTTATTTTGGCAGAAACATGGGAAATATGTGTGGGTATAAATTCTCAAGGTGTTAGACCAAGCAGGACAGAATATACCACTGGATTAGGCCAAATTTAATAATACGGGTTTACTTACGAATGATTCCAGATTAAATGTATTAGCTCTTTATGGAGGATTTATAGTATACAAGCTTAGCTAGGCTGGAACTACATTTATCAGAATTCCTTTTCTTGGAGAGTTCTGGGGCTTAGTGTGGCCACAAGACACATGTTTGTGAGACTGGTGAAGTGGAGGTGAAGCAGCAGCCGTCTTCTTTTTGTGCTAGGAAGTTTTGTACAGATCACTGGGTGCTATTGCAGTTCACTCACATTGTCACTGATCTGCTGGGTCACCTTGTTGGTGTGTGATGGCAGCCTGACCACAGCTCCTCTAGCTTCTATTTTATTTTCTCCTTTAGCTTCTCTGAATTTTAGATCAGTTGCCATGATAAAGGGCACCAACGTTTTGTGATTATACTCATAATCAAAGCTGGAAGCTTAGAAGTGATGGTGTACTACTTTTGTATCTCTGTCATAAGAAATTACTACAAACTTAGTGTCTTAAAAAGACACAAATTCATTGTCTTACAGTTCTGTAGGTCAGAAGTCTGACACAGCGCTGGCTGGACTGCATTATTTTCTAAAGGCATGTATTTCCTTACTCATTGAGGTTGTTGGCATAGTTCAGTTCCTAGCTGTCATAGCATTGAGGTTCTTATTTCTTTGCTGGCTGCCAGGTGAGAGTCATTTTAGCTCCTAAGGGATTTCCCTCATTCCTTGGCTCATGGTCCTCTTCCACCATCTTCAAAGTGAAAAACAGTAGGTCTAGGCCCTCTCATGCCTCATCTCTCCTGCCTTTTTCCCATTACACCTCTCAGTCTCAAAATCGGATAAACAATCTTAATCCTACCTGCAAAGTTAATTCCCTTTTGCCATGCAATGTAACATAGTCACAGGTTCCAGGTGTTAAGATGTAGACATGTCTAGGGGTGCCATTATTATACCTACCACAGAAACCAACATGGGTTCCAACTTATTCTCAGAGATTCCAACTTTTTCTTGCTCGTGTCTGCTTCAGTGTTTATCTTTTCTTCCTAGCTTCCTCCCTGTTGACATCAGGACCAGCACCAGATGCAGAAGCAACAGTCACATATAGACTATTTAATTTATTTCTACAATTCACTAAGGTCAAGTTTCTATAATAAATCTCATATCTTGAATCTCATTCCTACTTGTTCTGTTTTTCTTATTGAAGCATTGATACGCTAATGCGTATGGAAATGGCTCTAGCCATTTATTTGTCTATTTGACTAAGCTTTGAAATTTTCCTTTTTTCAAGTTTTATTTTAGGTTTGGGGGTACACATTCAGGTTTGTTACGTGGGTAAGTGGCGTGTTGCTGGGGCTTGGTCAAATAATTATTTTGTCACCCAGATGGTGAGCATAATACCTGATAGGTAGTTTTTCAACTCTCACAATTACCCTCCCACAATTCTCCACCCTCAAGCAGTCCCCAGTGTCTATTATTTCCTTCTTTGTGTCCATGCATACTCCAATGTTTAGCTCCATTTATAAATGAGAGAATGCAGTATTTGGGGTTTTGTTCCTGTGTGAAACCACTTAGGATAATGGCCTGTGCTGCATCCACATTGCTGCAAAGGACATGATTTCATTATTTTCTTTATGACTGCATAGTATTCCATGCTGTATATGTACCACATTGTCTTTATCCAGTCAATGGTTGAGGGGAATTCATGTTGATTCCATGTCTTTGCTATTGTGAATAGTGCTGCAATTATCGTACAAGTGCATATGTCTTTATGGTAGAACAATTTATATTCCTTTGGGTATATACCCAATAACAGGATTGCTGGGTTGAGAGAAATCTCAAAACTGCTTTCCACAGTGGCTGAACTAATTTACATTCCCACTAGCAGTGAAAAAGTGGTCCCTTTTCTTTGCAAGTTCGCCAAAACCTGTTATTTTTTCTCTTTAGTAATAGCCATGCTGACCTGTCTGAGACAGAATCTCATTGTGGTTTTGATTTGCATTTCTCTAATTATTAGCAATGTTGAGCATTTTTTCATATGTTTGTTGGCTGCTTGTATGTCTTCTTTTGAGAACTGTCTGTTTCATGTCCTTTACCCATTTTTTAATGGGGTTGTTTTTTGCTTCTTGATTTGTTTAAGCTCCTTATAGTTTCTGGATATTAGACTTTTGTCAGATGCATAGTTTGCAAATATTTTCTCCCATTCTGTATGTTGTCTGTTTACTCTATTGGTAGTTTCTTTTGCTGCGTAGAAGCTCTTTAGTTTAACTAGATCTCATTGCCAAGTTTTGTTTCTGTTGCAATTGCTTTTGGGGACTTAGCCAAAAATTATTTGCCAAGGCCAAAGTCAAGAAGGGTATTTCCTAGGTTTTCTTCTAGGGTTTTTATACTTTTAAGCCTTACAGTTAAGCTTTTAATCCACCTTGAGTTGATTTTTGTATATGATGAAAGGATAGGGTCCAGTTTCAATCTTCTGCATATGGCTAGCCAGTTATCCCAGCTCCATTTATTGAATAGGGCATCCTTTCTCCATTGCTTGTTACTGTCCTGCCAATGTTGTTGAAGATCAGATGGTTGTAGGTAGTAGCTTTATTTCTGGGTTCTTTAACCTGTTCCATTGGTCTACTTGTCTGTTTTTGTACCAGTTTTGTACCAAACCAACCTGTTTTTGTTACTGTAGCCCTGTAGCATAGTTTGAAGCCAGGTAGTGTGCGACCTTTAGTTTTTTTCTTTTTTTCTTCGGATTGCTAAGGCTATCTGGACTCCTTTTGTTTCCGTTTTTTTTTTTTTTTTTTTTTTTTTTTTGAGACAGTCTCACTCTGTCACCCAGGCTGGAGTGCAGTGGCGTGATCTCAGCTCACTGCAACATCTGCCTCCTGAGTTCAAGCAATTTTCTTGCCTCAGCCTCCCGAGTAGCTGGGGCTACAGGTACGTGCCACCATGCCTGGCTAATTTTTTCTTTTTTCTTTTTCTTTTTTTAGTAGAAACGGGGTTTTACCATGTTGGTCAACCTGGTCTTGAACCCCTGCCCTCAAGGGATCCACCTGCCTCAGCCTCCCAAAGTGCTGGGATTATAGGTGTCAGCCACCACCCCTGGGCTCCATATGAATTTTATATTAGGTTTTTATAATTCTGTGAAAAATTATTTTGGTCATTTGATAGGAAGAGCTTTGAATCTGTAAATTGCTTTGAGCAGTGTGATCATTTTTAACAATATTAATTCTTCCTATCTATGAGCATGGGATGTTTTCCCATTTGTGTCATATCTAATTTCTTTCAGCAATGTTTTGTTATTCTCATTGTAGAGATCTTTCACCTTCCTGGTTAGCTGTGTTTTTAGGTGTTTTATTATTTTTGTGGCTATTGTGAATGGGTTTGTGTTCTTGATTTGGCTCTGAGCTTGGACATTATTGGTGTATAAAAATGTTACTGATTTTTGTACACTGATTTTGTATCCTGAAACTTCACTGAGGTTGTTTATCAGTTCTACGAGCCTCTGGGAAGAGACTATGGGGGTTTTTTTAGGTATAGAATCATATTGTCTGCAAAGAGAGATAGTTTAACTTCCTGTCTTCCTATTTGGGTGCCTTTTATTTCTTTCTCTTGCCTGATTGCTCTAAGACTGACAGTACTATGTTGAATAAGAGTGGAAAGAGTGGGAATCTTTGTCTTGTTCCAGTTCTCAAGGAAAATGCTTCCAACTTTTGCCTATTTAGTATAATGTTGGCTGTGTGTTTGTCATAGATAAATCTTATTATTTTGAGGTGTTTCTTGGATGCCCTGTTTGTTGAGGGTTTTTAACATGAAGGGATATTGAATTTATTAAAAGTCTTTTCTGCACCTATTGAGATGGTCATGTGGTTTTTGTTTACTTGATGAATCACATTTATTAATTTGTGTATGTGAACAAACCTTTCATCCCAGTGATAAAGACTGCTTGATTGTGGTGGATTAGCTTTTCGATGTGCTGCTGGATTCAATTTGCAACTCTTTTGTTGAGCGTTTTTGTGTTTATGTTCATCAGAGATATGTGTGTGTGTCTTTTCTGTGTGTGTGTCTCTGCTGAGTTTTGGAATCAGGATGATGCTGGCCTCATAGAATGAATTGGGAAGGAGTTTCTCTGTCTCCATTTTTTGGAACAGTTTCAGGAGGAATAGTACTAACTCATCTTTACATGTCTCATAGAATTCAGCTGTGAATCAGTCTGGTCCAGAGCTTTTCCTGTTGGTAAATTTTTACTACTAACACAGTTTTGGAACATGTTATTGGCCTATTCAGGATTTCAATTTCTTCCTGGTTCAATTGTGGGAGGTTTTTTGTTTCCAGGAATTTATTCATTTCTTTTTTAGATTTTCTAGTTTGTGTGCATAGAGGTGTCTGTAATAGTCTCTGAGGTTTTCTATTTTTTTTTGCATTTCTGTGGGGTTGGTGGAAATATCACCTTTGTCATTTCTGATTGTGTTTATTTGAATCATCTCTTTTTTCTTTGTCAATATGGCTGGCAGTCTATAAATCTTATTTACTCTTTCAAAGAACCAACTTTTGGTTTCATTGATATTTTCTATGCATTTTTGCTTCTCAATTTTGTTCAGTTCATTCTAAATTTGGTTATTGCTTTTCTTCTGCTAGCTTTGAGGTTGATTTGCTTTTGTTTCTTTAGTTCCTCTAGGTGTGCTCTTAGGTTATTAATTTGAGATCTTTCTAACTTCTTTTTTTAATTATACTTTAAGTTCTGGGATACATGTGCAGAATGTGCAAGTTTGTTACATAGGTATACATGTGCCATGGTGGTTTGCTGCACCCATAAACCCATCATCTACATTAGGTAAAAACTCTCAATAAACTAGGTAATAATGGAACGTATCTCAAAATAACAAGAGCTATTTATGACAAACCCACAGCCAGTATCATACTGAATGGGCAAAAACTGGAAGCATTCCCTTTGAAAACCGGCACAAGACAAGGATGCCCTCTGTCACCACTCCTATTCAACATAGTATTGCAAGTTCTGGCCAGGGCAATCAGGCAAAAGAAAGAAATAAAGGGTATTCAATTAGGAAAAGAGGAAGTCAAATTGTCTCTGTTTGCAGATGACATGATCATATATTTAGAAAACCCCATTGTCTCAGCCTATCTACTTGATATAGGTATTTAGTGCTATAAACTTTCCTCGTAACATTGCTCTGACTGTGTCCCAGAGATTCTGGTATGTTGTATCTTTGCTTTCATTAGTTTCAAAGAATTTTTTGATTTCTGCCTTAATTTCTTTCTTTATCCAAAAGTCATTCAGGAGCAGATTGTTTAATTTCCATGTAATTGTATGGTGTTGAGAGATTTTCTTGGGATTGATTTATATTTTTGTGCTGTAGTCTGAGAGTATGATTGGTATAATTTTGGCTTTTTTGAATTTGTTGAGAACTGTTTTATGGATGAACATGTGGTTAATCTTAGAGCATGTGCTGTGTGCAGATGAGAAGAATGTATATTCTGTTCTTGCTGGGTGGAATAGTCTATAGATGTCTGACAGGTCCATTTGCTCAAGTGTCAAGTTTAGGTCTTGAATATCTTTGCTAGTTTCCTGCCTCAGTGATCTGTCTAATACCATTAGAGGGTTGTTAAAATCTCTCACTATTATTGTGTAGTTATCTGAGTCTCTTTGTAGGTCTATAAGAACTTGTTTTATGAATCTGGGTGCTCCAATATTGAGTGCATATATATTCAAAATAGTTAAGTATGGTTGAATTGAATCTTTTATCATTATGTAATGCTCTTCTTTGTCCCTTTTGAACATTGCTGGCTTAAGTCTGTTTTGTGTGAAATTAGAAGAGTAACTCCTATTCTTTTTTGTTTCCCATTTGCTTGATAGATCCTTTTCCATACCTTTACTTTGAGCTCATAGGTGTCATTGCATGTGAAATGGGTCTCCTAAAGACACCATACAGTTAGGTCTTGCTTTATCCAACATGCCACCCTGCATTTTAATGGAGTGTTTAGGCCACTTACATTCAAGGTTAATATTGATATGTGACGATTTGATCCCGTTATTGTCTTGTTAGCTACAGTTGTTATGTAGACCTGATGGTATGCTTGCTTTACAGGGTCAGTGAGCTATGTACTTCAGTGGGTTTTTGTGGTGGCAGGTAATGTTCTTTTGTTTTCCTGTTTAGCAACTCCTTAAGGACCTCTTGTAAGGCAGGTCTGGTGGTAACAAATTCCCTCAACATTTGCTTGTCTGAAAAGGGTTTTATTTCTGTGTTGTTTATAAAGCTTCTTTTGGCTGGATAAGAAATTCTTGGTTGAAATTTCTTTTCTTTAAGGATGCTGAACACAGGCCCCCAGTCTCTTCTGGTTTATAAGGTTTCTGCTGTGAGGTTTGCTGTTAGCCTGATAGGGTTCCCTTTGTACATGATCTACCTCTTCTTTGTAGCTGCCTTTAAGATATTATCTTTCATGTTGACCTCAAAGAATCTGATGACTGTGCCTTGGGGATGGTCATCTTCTACAGTATCTCATGATTTCCTGAATTTTCATGTCAGCCTCTCTAGCGAGGCTAGGGAAATTTTCATGTATAATATCCTCAAATATGATTTCCAAGTTGGTTGCTCTCTCCCCATCCCTTTCAGGAATGCCAATGGGTTGTAGGTTTTGTCTCTTTACATAATCCTATATTTTATGGAGGTTTTGTTCATTATTTTAAAAATTCTTTTTTCTTTATTTTTGTCTGCCTGCATTGGTTTGAAGGAGTGGTTGCTGAGCTCTGAGATTCTTTCCTTAGCTTGGTCTATTCTGTTATTAATGCTTCCAATTTCATTGTGAAATTCCTGTAGTAAATATTCATTTCCAGAAGTGAGTTTGGCTCTTTCTTAAAATGGTTATGTTGTCTTTCAGCTCTTGAACCGTTTTACTGTTTTCCTTGGATTGAGTTTTGACATTCTCTTGTATCTTCATGAGCTTCCTTGCCATCCAGATTCAGAATTCCATGTCTTTTTTCAGCCATTTCATTGTGGTTAAGAACTATTGCTGGGGAGCTAGTGTGGTTATTTGGAGGTAAGAATAACCTCTGGCTTTTAGACTTGTCTGAGTTCTTGTGCTGATTTTTTTCTCATCTGTGTGATGTTCTTTAATCTTTGAAGCTGCTGCCTTGGATAAGGCTTTTTGCCTTTATATTCTTTGATGCCCTTGAGGGTTTGACTGTGGTATAAGTTGGATTTGGTATATTGGCTTTATTTCTGAATGTTTTCAGGGGGCCAAAGCGCAGCTCAGCATGCCTAGGATGTGTGCTCTTACCCTAGGGGGCTGGGACTAGGTCACCGGCTTTGTTTTCTGGCTTCTCAAGGTTAAGCATTTGCTGCACTGGAGGGGACTAGGTGTTCACAATCCACTGGCAACAACAATTTGGCTGGTGGCTGCTGGCAGAAGTGCTCCAGTGGGATGGCAGGGGTCCCCATGCATGTGCATGGTGGCAGGGTGACAGGGGTGAGGCTCTAGGTGAGTGTTCACTGGTGGGAAAAATCTGCAGGCAGGTGTGCACTGGCAGGGGTCTTTCTGCAAAAGCACTCTGGTGGGTAGGCAGGGTCTGCTTGTGAAAGAGCTATGGAGGAGGCCTGAAGCAAGTGCTTGAGCTGGGCAGCTGAGGCTGAGCTGCAAGTGGGTGCAGACAGGCAGGGACACTGGGAGAGGCTGACAGACAGGGAGGTGCTCAGATCAGTCAGCCCTGTCTGTCTGGATCTGGCAGCTAACAAAGGCTAAAACTACCCAAAGAAGCATAGCGAGCCTTGGGGGATGGGTGCCCATGCCCATACTCCACTGCAGCCATTCCTGCACCAAACCCTCTGGGCCCTGTACAGGTTAGAGTTCTGTCTCTGTCAACTGTCGGAACAAATTTCCCTGCCAGCTCAAATGTTTGTGGGAGTCATGGGGTCTTCTGCAGCTAGGATCCTGGAGGTCCCTGGCAAGAGCGGACCGCTCCATACCCATTTTATTCACCCCTTCCCTAGGAGCCACTTGGGACCAGGAATGAGTCCTGGTACTTGACAACCATGTGCAGGGTTCCAAGCTTCCTCTTCTTTCAGCCTGGGGTCACATCCTCCTTCTGTCCATTCTCAATGCCTTCTTTCCAAAGGTCTGTTTGGAGTGTACCAGTCTATTTGATAGTCTGGCCTGTCTCAGCGAGAGAAGCTCTTCTTGGCTCCATCTAGCTGGCCGTCTTGGCTCTTCTTTAACTAAACTTTAGACTCAGCAGTGGCCCATGCCAGAACTTCTCTGGCCTAATGTAGATGAAGAAATTCAAGGGTGTAGGGAGATTAAAATTTTAGAGTGGAATCATTATGTGCAATCTGCACTTCTACTTCTCAGTTCTATCCTACAAGAAGATCCAGTGACGGATCACGAGGTCAGGATATCGAGACCATCCTGGCTAACACAGTGAAACCCCTTCTCTACTAAAAAATACAAAAAAATTAGCCGGGCATAGCAGTGGGCACCTGTAGTTCCAGCTACTCTGGAGGCTGAGGCAGGAGAATGGCGTGAACCTGGGAGGCAGAGCTTGCCATGAGCCGAGATTGCGCCACTGCACTCCAGCCTGGGCGACTGAGCGAGACTCCATCTCAGAAAAAAAAAAAAAGCCCAGTGAATGCCTCTTTCACTAATAGTTTGAGAAAAATAATTAGTGAGGAAAGCACATGCACCCTTGAAAAGATCTCTGGTATCTGTTCTCTGTTGTTTAGATATGATACTGGGGGATGCTGCCATCAAAATGGGCACCCTGATTTCAATCCAAGGGTAGCAGAGGTCAAGAGCACTTAAAAGCCAAAGACAAAGTGGGTACATTTACAATAAAGGGAATGAGGGTTGTAGCATGCAAACCCATGTGTTTCCCCTTGATGAGAAACCTTATTTCTTTGAGAAAGGAACCTACAATATTGCTACAATTATATGCTGTAAGTTACCTTCTAAGGAACCTTCAGCTATTTAATAGTGTGGCTGAAAAGGAAAAATATATATCCTTCATTGATTATTATATACCAACTCCGAAATAATGGTTATTTCTTAAAATTCAAAACACCTCTGTAGTTCATTAATTACAACAGTTTATGGTAATCAAGTGACTAAAAGGAGTCTTAGCCTAAGTATGTATCACAGTGGATCTAATAGGTCCACAAAGCCACCCCGTGGTTATTTCCCCAGTTTCTGAATGTATAATACATACACTTGACAACTGACAGAACTCCTACATTAGCCCCCTGACCTAGGAAGAACCAAGTGGAAGGTCTTGAACTTCTTCTCCCTACCAGGGCAGTAATTCAAGAGTATTATCACATCCCTGGGTGCAAAGATGAATGCTACCACCTAAGACCCAAAAGATCCACGGTGGTGATATCTAGCATAGTCCCATTTTACTTGCCAATCTTTTCTGGGAATAAGGCAGATAAATCTTAGAAGATGTTTGTGGACTATTGCAAATTTAATTAGATGATCATACCAACTGTAGTTATGCTTCAGACTTAATGTATTTACTGGAGCAAATCAATACAGTCTCTGGCACGCGATATGAAACTATTGCTTAGGAAATGGTCTTTTCTCTATACCAATGTATAAGAACTCAAGAGACAGTTTTCTTTTACCTGGCATAGCTAATAGTATCTTTTCATGCTCTTACTTACCACAGGGCTGGATCAACTTTTTACTATCTACAATACTTTACTCTGCATGGATCTTGATCATCTTTACATTCCACAGAACATCCCACTGGCCCAATACAGTGATGCCATTATTCTGATTGCATCTTATGAGAAGGAAGTAAAAAGTTATTTAGATGCCTTAGTTACACATATGTAATACAAAGGATGGAGGATCAACCCTAAGAAAGTTAAACAGCTTTCAGCCTCAGAGAAATTTGGGGAGGTCCAGGATTCTGAAACTTGTCCAGATATGCTCTCCCCAGTGAAAGATAATTTTTTCTTGTGCCATCTTCTGCTAAAAGTGGGGTACAATATATGGCTGGATTTTTTAAATGTTGAAGTCAACATACACCATATTTAAGTGTGAGATTCTGACTAATTAGCCAAGTAATTTATAACATGAACAGTTTTAAGTAGAAACCGGAGCAAGAGAAGCAGCTGCAGCAAATCCACATCTAAATACAAGCTGCTTTACCACTTGAGCGTCATAATTCAGCACCTCTGGTATCTAGATTGTCTTATGGCAAATAGGGAGGCTATATGGAGTCTCTGGAAGAATCACGTCACAAATCTCTGGGTTTGGAAGAAAATCCATGCTCTCTCCTATAGGTAAATACACCAAGAACCCTATGACCTGAACTTCTAATCATGAACTTCTAATTATTGGCCATCACCAGCTGAGAAGGCCCTCCTTCTCAGAAATTTGAGTCTCAGTGCATTGGGGCCTCTCCTATATTTCTAAGTTTTAATAATTCCAACTATTTCCCTTTGTTCCTTCAGTCTTAGCTTAGGTAACTATTTTCTGTACTTTCTGAAGTAGCTACCTCTATGTTATCTTACAGGGTTTTTTTTTAACCTTTTCAATAACCTGGTTAACTGTATACATCTAGTTAGCAAGTGTTTATATTTAAATACCTCTTCAGATAACTGGTGTGGTATCTGTTTCTTGGACAATATACCAAATAATACATTAAATAATTTGCTTTAGATGTACAATAGACAATAAATAGCAAAACCACCATGGCAAGAGCAATCAGAATGTTCTTTGTATTCTATAGTAAGAATGCTCAACCTCTATTTTTTGCACATATTACATTATGCGTAATGTATATACTTTTTCACACTTTCCATTCTGCTTCCAATGCCTTGAGCTGAGGTGCTGTGTGCATGCCACACAGGCCATAGCTGGTACTCAACTGGCTGTTATACCACGTGACCAGCAGGGGCAAATACTTTCCCTACTGCCACTTGAGATATAAATGAGCTTACCTTCCCTAATTGCTTATGACTTGGTGCATTTCATTTTGTGGTAAGTGCCTCACACACTAAGAGGGATATGTTAGTTTCCTTGAGTCTGGGAAAGGTTATAAAATAGAAGCAGGTTGTTACTGGTCATTTTTCAGATTCGTCAAATGTAAAGTGAGAACTGTGTTCATTGCACATGTGTCATGTGTGGGAGACCAAGGTAGAAGCTACCAGTACAAAGGGCAGTTCTACCAAACTCATTTCATATTATTTTTATAAAATTATCATTTATAATACTTCATTAAAATATAAAACTTTGGAGTAATACCAAGCCAGATGATACCCCAGGACAAAGAAATAAGCCAATGTCACAGCAGGCAAATTGGGGTATATATAATTACTATTTATACACACACACACACACACACACACACCCTAATATGTGCATATATACTTTCCTCCTCACCTCCACCTACTCCACCTACTCAATAACGTAGATTATTACCAGAGAAAAATTCAATTGACAAGGTTTGGTTTGAACTGTCAAGATTAAATGTTGTACCATCAAAGGAAATGAACCCTTGAGAATAAATATAAAATCAGGAATAGAGAAATTTCCAATGTATACACTTAATTTTTATGATTGTGGCATTTATTTCTGCTATAAACTCTAGAATGGTAAAGCATCTATAAATCTTTTCTTATGTGCTCTTTTTTTTCTACCCAATTTCTCTACCATTGTCTTAAATATATATATTTCAGACTGACTGGACTACCGATATCTTTAGACTACACCAATTTCTTTCTTTCCTCAAGGTAGTCGTACTTACCATTCCCTCTGCCTGAAAATTCCTGGCCTTCTGTTTGGCCTGTTCTATTTTTTCAGGTCTCTTAGCTTTAATGGAACTTCTAAAGAGAGGTCTTTCACAATTACTGTATCTAAATTAGTCCTTAGATTCTTTTTCTTTATAAATAACTCCTTGTTACTTTATGGTTTTTTTAATCTTGATCCATATTTTTGGTTTATTTATTTGTTCACTGCTCTATTATTTCTCTACCATTTGAATATAAGCTCCAATAAGGGTAGGAAAGTGGCAGGAACCATGTTTTTCCAATGCACTGTGAGATCTCCAATGAATAGTGAAGGGCCCAAAACAGAGCAGGTACTAAATAAATACTGAGTGAACAAATCATTGAATTAATGCCCTTTAAGAAATCATTGAAGAAGGTGATTCCTTCTCTCATTCTCTTCTTCAGCAAAAGCTACATGAAAGATTTTAATCCAATAAAGAACTTTCTGACTTTATCAAGATCCATATTCTTAAGCCAGAAAGTTTTTTGAGATCTCTCATCATGTATGTTTCATAGGTGTCTCAAAATCAATATATCTAAGTGCACTAATTATTATATCTTCAAATCTGTTTCTCTATTTCAACTCGTGGTAGATGGTGTTGTTCAAACAATGACAAAGTCTGAACAATTCTTGCTCATTAATATCTGTTGTATTTGTCTATTTCTTCTTCATTCCCAGTATTCCCTTTTTACTTTAGTTTCTCCTAATCTGCAATGAACTCCTAATTACTTTTCTGCTTCCAGCTTTGTCCCTTTCTTATTGTTCCCCAATATGGTCTTTAAGGCAAACTAATGCACAAAGCTAATAAGCTTAAAACTCTATAATTATTTACCATTCCCAAAGGAAAAAAAGTACAAATTTCTTAGCAAGGTATAAAGAACCACCAAGATCTGGCCTTTTACTAACCTCCCTGTCTTTAATTCTCAAGACTTTTATCTCTTTCTATTCTCAAACATATCCTATAATTTTGTCCTACAGAACTACTTTCAGTTCTCTGATTTTGCTGTACACTTTCATGTTCATATCTGTGCTCTTCTTCCTCTCTATGCCAAAAATACCCTTTTTTTGGCCCGGGGAGAGATTTGCCTTTCAAGATTTGACTCAGACAACATGACTTCACAAAGTTTTGATCTCCCATGGAGAAAACTACAGTTAAAGATGGAATATACTGTTTTCTGAGATGTTATATTACTGATGTTTAAGAATCAATGTTAAAAGAACTAAAAAGATTACTGACCCAGTTGGTAATTAAAGTCTCTTCATTTTCTTCGATTCTGGGAAATTGAGCATCAACAAATTACCTCTGCATCAAAATAGAATAAGAAAAGGTACGGAATCAATCTGCTAAAAATCTCTTTTAAATATTGCTGTAGGATGTTTGACAACACATATATGGATGACCACTTTATTGCTCAATCACATTAGAAAACTTAATAAAGCATAACAGTAAAATAAAGTTGAAATAAATGAAAAAATCCCCCAGTAACAACAAGAAAAATGCAAATTTCTAATGAGAATTTCAGCCCTATACACTGGATACTGTGAGTTTTCACAACCTTAAGGGAATGATTGATAGGTTCTTCAGCCCAAGAGATGTAGGGAGCTGGAACTAAGCTTCTTGCACAGAACCAAAAACTTTCCAGGCATTCAACCTGGAAGGAAAGTTTTCCCGCTTCCCAGGAATTCAACAATGTAGTCATCCATCTGAGAATGTGGATAAGGAAAAAAAAAATACCTATAAGAAACCAAAGGGCAACCCCTGGTCAGGCTTAGGGACTTGAAATAATACTACCCTAATTGTGTAAAGTCTCAAGACAAAAAATAATATAAAATATATACTTAAAAAGAAATAATATAAAATAGAATACATAAGAAATTAATGTAAAATATGAAATTACAAGATCAGGTAAAACAATCTTGAAAACAGTTTCTAGGGCCATTCACACAACCCAGAGTGTGGGACTTTCACAGATGTGGAAAAAAGAGATACAGATAGAGATGATAGAGAGAGAGAGACAGAGACAGAAAGAAAATGAGAGACACAGCTCACAATAAAAATGTATCAACCACAGTAAGATGTTAATAACAATGAAGGAGAATTAACACATTCAATAGACAAGATAGTTCCACAAGAACTAATGCTATAGAATAATCTGTAAACAATTGTTGCGGGAAGTCAGGGACACTGAACAGAGCGATTGGCTGGAGCCGTGGCAGAGGAACATAAATTGTGAAGATTTCATGGACATTTATCAGTTCCCAAATAATACTTTTATAATTTCTTACGCCTGTCTTTACTTTAATCTCTTAATCCTGTTATCTTCATAAGCTGAGGATGTATGTCACCTCAGGACCACTGTGATAATTAACTGTACAAATTGATTGTAAAACATATGTGTTTAAACAATATGAAATCAGTGCACCTTGAAAAAGAACAGAATAACAGCGATTTTTAGGGAACAAGGGAAGACAACCATAAGGTCTGACTACCTGCGGGGTCGGGCAAAAAGAGCCATGTTTTTCTTCTTGCAGAGAGCCTATAAAAGGACGTGCAAGTAGGAGAGATATCACTAAATTCTTTTCCTAGCAAGGAATATTAATGTTAATACCCTGGGAAAGGAATGCATTCCTGGAGGGAGGTCTATAAACAGCCACTCCAGGAGTGTCTGCCTTATGCAGTTGAGATAAGGACTGAGATATGCCCTGGTCTCCTACAGTACCTTCAGGCTTTCTAGGGTGGGGAAAAAACCCCACCCTGGTCAATTTGTGGTCAGACCAGTTCTCTGCTCTTGAACCCTGTTTTCTGTTGTTTAAGATGTTTATCAAGACAATACGTGCACCGCTGAACATAGACCCTTATCAGTAGTTCTCCTTTTTGCCCTTTGAAGCATGTGATCTATTTCCTGTTCCTACACCCCCTCCCCTTTTGAAATCCTTAATAAAAAGCTTACTGGTTTGAGGCTCAGGTGGGCATCACGGTTCTATCAATATGTGATGTCACCCCCGGTGGCCCAGGTGTAAAATTCCTCTCTTTGTACTCTTTCTCTTTATTTCTCAGCTGGCCGACACTTATGGAAAATAGAAAGAACCTATGTTGAAATACTGGTGGCGGGTTCCCCCGATAAACAATTATATACTAAGTTTGTTTAAATTATGGTAAAGGTAAAAAAGAAATAGAAACAAGGATGGAATAATTAGTCTCTAAGAAAAACAAAAAGACAGATTTGAAATAGAACCAAACTGAACATTTAGAAAATTTTTACAAAGATATGTAGTCACTGAAGTTGAAAACTTATAAAATGAGTAAAGAAGTAGATTAGACATAGCTAAAGAGAGAATTAGTGAACTAGATGATAGGTCTTAGGAAATTATAAAAAAAACTAAATAGCATAGAGAAACAAAAGTATGGAGAATGTGAAAGAGATGCTAATAAACACGAAGAACAGAATGATAAAATCCAACTTATGTTTAGGAAGACTTTCAGAAGGATAGAGAATGTAGAGAATCTGGGAAGGCAATATTCAAAGAGATAATGAGTAAGCATGATACAGAGTTGGAAAAAAAAAAAGAGAGAGAGAAAAGGTAAATTACCTGCAAAAAAGGGTCCTGGGGAGGAGAGAGATCATCATGGTGGATGGGAGGCAGGACTAGATTGCAGCTCCACACAAAGCAGCATGTGGAGGCTTGCATTGTGAATTTTAGCTCCTGATCAACTGCAAGAATGAACCAGAAATCCTGAGAGGACAACAGACCCTCTGAAGGAAGCAGACTGCTCCTGCAAGACTCAAGAGACACATCAAATACTGTGAGTACCCCAACTGTGGAAGTGGGAAAGGGAGACCCTCCTCTCCTGAACAAACACTCCCACTGGAGTATCCCAACTGTGGAAGTGGGAAAGGGAGACCCTCCTCTCCTGAACAAACACTCCCACTGGAGAAGCTGAAGTTCTGTTAGCAGAAACTGGTAAAGTTTCCAACTTTACCTGGAGCTGAGTCAATTTGGAGAGCCTAGTGAAATACAGGGGTAGAGGAAGCAGCAGAAAGGCCCTAGAAGCTCACTGGGTTCCCTAGCAGGCCATTCCTGCCTGGCACCACAAGGATCCATCCAGAGGGCAGCTAGGGTGGCAGAGAGTAAAACTCCACAGGAAGAAGAAAATCACTAGCTGAACTTTAAACAATTTGAATGGGATGAGAAGCCTCCTGGCCAGAACTTGGGAAGGGCTCAAATAGGGTATACAGACTCCATGGGTGGGTGAAAAGCAAGCCCTTTTCTTTCACGGCTGGGAGTCAGACAGCCTAGGGCAGGCTTTTTAGCCCATCTTGCCCTCCATGTAGAAATGGACTCGGGACTATTGGGAGAGGCATGGTGGGAGTGAGACTGGCCCTTTAGTTTGTGTGGGAGCTGGGTGAGGCCTGTGACTGCTGGCTTTTCCCTGCTTCCCTGACAACCTGCATGACTCAGCAGAGGCAGCCATAATCCTCCTAGGTACACAACTCCAGTGACCTGAGAATCTCACTCTCATCCCCTAAGGCAGCTGCAGCAAGACCTGCCCAAAGAGAGTGTGACCTCAGACATGCCTAGCCCTGCCCCACCTGATGGTCCTTAACTACCCACACTGGTAACTGAAGACAAAAGGCATATAATCTTGGGAGTTCTAGGGCCCACCCACCACCAGTTCTTCCCCATACTACCACAGCTGATGCTCTCTGGAAAGCATAACCTCCTGGCAGGAGGCCAACTGCTAAAAAATAGAGCATTAAACAGCCAAAGCTAAGAACCCTACAGAGTTCATTACACCCCTCCCCTGACATCTCCACCAGAACAGGTGTGGGTATCCAAGGCTGAGAGACCAAGAGATGGGTCACATCACAGGACTCTGTGCAGACAACCCCAGTACCAGCCTGGAGCCTGGTAGACTCGCTGGGTGGCTAGACCCAGAAGAGTGACAACAATCACTGCAGTTCAGCTCACAGGAAGCCTCATCCACAGAAAAAGGGGGAAACTATGACATCAAAGGAACACCCTGTGGGACAAATAAATCTGAACAACAGCCTTAGGCCCTGGACCTTCCCTCTGACAGAGACTACCCAAATGAGAAGAACCAGAAAACCAACCCTGGTAATATGACAAAACAAGGCTCTTCAACACCCTCCCAAAAATAACACTAGTTCACCAGCAATGGTTCCAAACCAAGAAGAAATCTCTGATTTACCTGAAAAAGAATTCAGGAGGTTAATTATTAAGCTAACCAGGGAGGCCCAGAGAAAGGTGAAGCCCAGGTAAGGAAATCCAAGAAATTATACAAGAAGTAAAGGGAGAAATATTCAAGGAAATAGGCAGCTTAAAGAAAAAACAATAAAAAATTCAGGATACTTTGGACACACTTTTAGAAATGTGAAATGCTCTGGAAAGTCTCAGTAATAGAACTGAACAAGTAGAAGAAAGAAATTCAGAGTTTGAAGACAAGGTCTTTGAATTAATCCAACAAAGACAAAGAAAAAAATAAGAAAATATGAACAAAGCCTCCAAGAAATCTGGGATTATGTGAAACAACCAAATCTAAGAATAATCGGTGTTCCTGAGGAAGAAGAGAATTCTAAAACCTTGAAAAACATATTTGGAGGAATAATTGAGGAAAACTTCCTCAGCCTTGCTAGAGACCTAGACATCCAAACTCAAAAAGTACAAAGAACATCCAGGAAATTCATCGCCAAAGATCTTTGCCTAGGCACATTGTCATCAGGTTACCCAAAGTTAAGACAAAGGAAACAATCTTAAGAGCTGTGAGACAGAAGCGCTGGGTAACCTATAAAGGAAAACCTACCAGATTAGCCAAGTATTTTGTATCCAGCAAAACTAAGCATCACATATGAAGGAAAGACACAGTCTTTTTCAGACAAACAAATGCTGAGAGAATTTGCCATTACCAAGCTACTACTACAAGAACTGCTAAAAGAAGCTGTTAATCTTGAAACAAATCCTGGAAACACATCAAAACAGAACCTCTTTAAAGCATAAATCACACAGGACCTGTAAAACAAAAATATAAGTTAAAAGGCAAAAACAAAACAAAACAGAAGTACACAGGCAATAAAGAGCATGATGAAAGCAAAGTTACCTCACATTTCAATATTAACATTGGATGTAAATGACTTAAATGCTCCACTTAAAAGATACAGAACCACAGAATGAATAAGAACTCAGCAACCAACTACCTGCCACCTTCAGGAGACTCACCTCACAAATAAGGACTCACATAAACTTAAAGTGATGAAAAAAGGCATTTCATGCAAATGGACACCAATAGCAAGCAGGGATAGCTATTCTTATATCAGACAAAACAAACTTTAAAACAACAGCAGTTGAAAAAGACAAAGTGGAACATTATGTAATGGTAAAAGACCTTGTCCAACAGGAAAAATATCACAATCCAAAACATACATGCACCTGACACTGGAGCTCCCAAATTTATAAAACAATTAGTAATAGACCTAAGAAATGAGATAGACAGCAACACAATATTAGTGGAGGACTTCAATACTCCACTGACAGCACTAGACAGGGCATCAAGACAGAAAATCAACAAAGAAACAATGGATTTAAACTATACCTTGGAACAAATGGACTTAACAGATATATACAGAACATTTCATCCAACACCTACAGAATACACATTGTATTCAACAGTGCATGGAAATTTCTCCAAGATAGACCATATGATAGGTCATAAAATGAGCCTCAATAAATTTAATAACATTAAAATTATATCAAGCTCTCTCTCAGATCACAGTGGAATAAAACTGGAAATCAACTCCAAAAGGAGCCTTCAAGACCACGCAAACAAATGGAAATTAACCTGCTCCTGAATGAGCATTGGGTCAAAAACAAAATCAAGATGGAAATTTAAAAATTATTCAAACTGAACAACAATAATGACACAAACTTTCAAAACCTCTGGGATACAGCAAAGGCGGTGCTAAGAGGAAAGTTCATAGCCCTAAATGCCTACATCAAGAAGACTGAAAGACCACAGACTGACATTTTAAGGTCACACCTAAAGGAGGTAGAGAAACAAGAACAAACCAAACCCAAACCCAGCAGAAGAAAGGAAATAACCAAGATCAGAGCAGAGCTAAATTAAATTGAAACAAACAACAACAGCAACAAAAATACAAAAGATAAATGAAAAAAGCTGATTCTTTGAAAAGATAAATAAAATTGATAGATCGTTAGCAAGATTAACCAAGAAAAGAAGAGAGAAAATCCAGATAACCTCACTGAGAACTGAAACAGGAGATATTACAACTGCCACCACTGAAATACAAAAGATCATTCAAGGCTACTACTAAGGGGAAGAGTTGACAGGACTTCCTGGGCTGGTTCGGGGACTTTTGCAAAAGACCCTGTGACTCAGAGTTTTGAGTTTTTAATCAATTGAGGAAGGATTCAAAATTAACCACTCAACCATTGAGAGTGAAAAAAGAACCACTCTCAATGGACACAAAGAAAGAAAGGGGAGGGGGTAACACAGGGATATAAGCCCTAACCACCCGAGCCAGCAATGGCAACCCCTCCGGATCCCCTTCCACCACGTGGAAGCTTTCCTTTGGCTTTGTTCAATAAACTGTGCTGCTGCTCACTCTCCTGGTCCATGGACTCTTTTTGAGCTGTAACACTCACTGCGAAGGTCCGCAGCTTCATTCTTCGAAGTTAGGAGACAACGAACCAATTGGCAGGAAAAACTCCTGACTCACTATGAACACCTTTACACACATAAACTAGAAAACCAGAAGAGATGGATAAATTCCTGGAAAAATAAAAACCTCATAGCTTAAATCAGGAAGAATTATCCAATTCAGGCTATCTACCCTGAACCAACCAATAACAAGCAGCAAGATTGAAATGATAATTTAAAAATTACCAACAAAAAAAGTCCAGGACCAGACAGATTCACAGCAGAATTCTATAAGACATTCCAAGAAGAATTGGTACCAATCCTTTTGACACTATTTCACAAGATACAGAAAGAAGGAACCCTCCCTAATGCATTCTATGAAGCCAGCATCACTGTAATACCAAAACCAGGAAAGGACATATCAAAAAAGAAAACTACAGACTGATGTCCTTGACGAACATAGATGCTAAAATCCTTAACAAAATAGTAGCTAATTGAATCCAACAACATATCGAAAAGATAATCCACCATGATTAAGTTGGTTTTATATCAGGGATTCAGGGATGGTTTAACATAGGCAAGACAATAAATATGATACCCCACATAAACAGAATTTAAAACAAAAATCAAATGATCATCTCAGTAGATGCAGAAAAAGCATTAGACAAAAATCCAGCATGCCTTCATGTTTAAAACTGTCAGCAAAATTGGCATATGAGGGACATAACTCAATGTAATAAAATCCATCTGTGACAAACCCACAGCCAACATCATAACCGGGATAAGTTGAAAGCATTCCCTCTGAAGACTGGAACAAGACAAGGATGCCCACTCTCACCACTCCTCTTCAGCATAGTGCTGGAAGTCCTAGCCAGAGCAATCAGACAAGAGAAAGAAATAAAGAGCATCCAAATCGGTAAATACCAAGTCAAACTGTCATTAAGGACTCCTCCAGAAAGCTCCTAGAACTGATAAAAGAATTCAGCAACGTCTCCGGATACAAGATTAATGTACACAAATCATTAGCTCTTCTATACACCAAGAGTGACCAAGCAGAGAATCAAATCAAGAACTCAACCCCTTTTACAATAGCTACAAAAAATATATAAAATAATTAGAAATATACCTAACCAAGGAGTCAAAAGACCTCTACAAGGAAAACTAAAAAACACTGCTAAAAGAAATCATAGATGACACAAACAAATGGAAACACATCCCATGCTCATGAATGGGTAGAATCAATATTGTGAAAATGACCATACTGCCAAAAGCAATCTACAAATTCAATGCAATTCCCATGAAGATACCACCATCACTCTTCACAGAATTAGAAAAAACAACTCTAAAATTCATATGGAACCAAAAAAGAGCCTGTATAGCCAAAGCAAGACTAAGCAAAAAGAACAAATCTGGAGGCATCACACTACCTGATTTCAAACTATACTATAAGGTCATAATCAACAAAATGGCATGGTATTGGTATAAAAATAGGCACAAAGGCCAATGGAATAGAATAGAGAACCCAGAAATAAACCCAAATACTTACAGCTAACTGATCTTTGACAAAGCAAAAAAATAACATAAAGTGGGGAAAGGACACCCTTTTCAACAAATGGTACTGGGGTAATTGGCTAGCCACATGTAGGAGAATGAAACTGAATCCTCATTTCTCACCTTATACAAAAGTCAACTCAAGATGGAATAAGGACTTAAACCTAAGGCCTGAAACCATAAAAATTCTAGAAGATAATATTGGACAAACCCTTCCAGACATTGGCTTAGGCAAGGATGTCATGACCAAGAACCCAAAAGCAAATGCAATAAAAGCAAAGATAAATAGCTGGGACCTAATTAAACTAAAAAGCTTTTGCACAGCAAAAGGAACAGTTAGCAGGGTAAATGGACAACCAACAGAGTGGGAGAAAATCTTCACAGTGTATACATCTGATAAAGGACTAATATCCAGAATCTACAACGAACTTAAATCAGTAAGCAAAAAACAAACAATCCCATCAAAAAGTGGGCTAAGGACATGAATAGACAATTCTCCAAAGAAGATATACAAATGGCCAACAAGCATATGAAAAAATGCTCAACATTACTAATGATCAGGGAAATGCAAATCAAAACCACAATGTGATACCACCTTACTCCTGCAAGAATGGCCACAATCAAAAAATCAAAAAACAGTGATGTTGGTGTGGATGCAGTGAACAGGGAACACTTCCACACTGCTGATGGAAATACAAACTAGTAGAGCAACTATGAAAAACAGTGTGGAGATTCCTTAAAGAACTAAAAATAGAACTACATTTTTTTTTTAGTAGTCTTTTTTTTTTTTGAACTATAATTTTATCCAGCAATTCCAGTATTGGGTATCTACCCAGGGGAAAAGAAGTTGTTATTCAAAAAAGGTACTTGCACACGCATTTTTATAACAGCACAATTCACAACTGCAAAATCATGGAACCAGCCCAATTGCCTATCAGTCAATGAGTGGACGAAGAAATTGGTATGGCCGAGCACAGTGGCTCACACCTGTAAACCCAGCACTTTGGGAGGCCGAGGTGGGCAGATCTCAAAGTCAAGAGTTCGAGACCAGCCTAACCAATATGGTGAAACCCTATATCTGATAAAAATAAAAAAATTAGCCTGGTGTGGTAGTGGGCACCTTTAATCCCAGCTACTCAGGAGGCTGAGGCAGGAGAATTGGTTGAACCCAGGAGGCGGAGGTTGCAGTGAGCCGAGATGGTACCACTGCACTCCAGCCTGGGCTGGAGTATATATATGTATTATGAGTATATATATGTATTATGTGTATATATATGTGTATATATACACATATACACGTGTACATATACACGTGTATATATACACATATACACGTGTACATATACACGTGTATATATACATATATACACGTGTACATATATATATATATACATATATACATATAATGGAATACTACACGGCCATAAAAAGGAATGAATTAACAGCAGTCCCAGTGACCTGGATGAGATTGGAGACTATTATTCTAAGTGAAGTAACTCAGGAATGAAAAACCACACATGGTATGTTCTCACTGATATGTAGGAGCTAAGCTATGAGGATGCAAAGGCATAAGAATGATACAATGGACTTTGGGGACTTGGGGGGAAGAGTGGAAGGGGTGAGAGGGATAAACGACTACAAATATGTTGCAGTGTATACTGCTCAGGTGATGGGTGTAACAAAATCTCACAAATCACCACTAAAGAACTTACTCATGTAACCAAATACCACCTGTACCCCGAGAACTTATGGAAAAAATAATAATAATAAAAAGAAAGTGTCTTTTATATTGATGGCAGGCTTTACATCATAAAAGACAATATAACTTTATCTTCTAAGTTCTCAGGGAAAAGAAATTTTAATTAAGAATGTAAGCCCAATGAAATTATCACTCAATAAGGGTAAAATGAAGACCTTTTTAGATAAGCACTAAGAATTCTTATCACTCACAGGCAGACCCTTACTAAAACAACCAACAAACAAACACTAGAAAACATATTTCAGAAGAAAGAAAGATGCATCTCAGAAAGGAGGAGTGAAATGCAGGTTCAATAAATTTATGTCAAGTATACGTGCCAAAAATAGATCTGGGTTGAGTTACCAGCTGTGGGACATTATGTATTCAATTGTTTTTCCTCAAAATGAGTTTGTGCCAGATTATGAGTTAGTTGTTCTAAGGCCTTATCTGGTGTGGTTTTATTATCCAGATATATGAAATTACCAAAAAAGAGTGTATGCTTGTGAAAAAAGAGCACTTTAGAATTATAAATAGATACTCACATTTGTAAAGGATCTTAAAGGTTATCGAGTTCAAACTACAGTTGATATTTTAATCTCCTCATTAGTGGCAAATTCATATTAACCTTAAATAGTTTCTTTGCCATAACCCATACTTAAACTTTATTCCTAACAGACTCCTAATTGTTAGTTCTTGGAGGATTGGTGTTGGAAAGCAAGGTCATAGTGAAGCCTTTTTCTAAGTAAAAGAAATAGATTTCCTTCTGAAAGTTACATGACGAAGTCTTCTGCAAGTGGATCAGGGATGGGTTTGGAAAGTCACTTTAGAAGTACAATAAATAGTTCCCACGCCTTTGATACTTTATTATAACCACACTGAATCTATAAATAGGGTTATGTTTGTGATGAAGAGTCTCCATCCTTGAAAGTTTAGAGAAAGGAAAGGCTCAAAGACGCACACTCTTACTGAGCTCTAGTGTTTTCTGACAAAATCTGCAGAATTTCCAAGAGATATAAGTGCTACAGCATGAGGGATAAAGCCTTAATTCTCTATCAGACCCTCAGAGAGGAAGACTTAGGGCAGGTGAGTTTTAATGGTCAAAAGGAATTTAGAAAAGATTAGGCATGTGGGAGACTATAAAAGTCAGGCCTACATAAGAGCCTTGGTGGGCAAGGAGGCAGCTTTACTTTACATACTTTGCACAAAGACTCTGCTGAAACAGGGGGTGTCTTATATGTGGACAGGAGAGATCCTAATGACTGTACTTACTGATACATTAACATCTATCATACTCTGAGAGAATTGCTTCATATCTTCATTTAACAAATTTGCATCTTTTGTAACTCCTCTCACAACCTGGAGGACATGTGAATAATTTTAGTAAAATCGTTGCTTTCTCCTGTGAAATCACATAGCCATTTGATAAGATTTTTGCTAGTACTGCTTCCAAATAGAAAATCAATTTGGCTATGCTTGAGGACATAATTGGGATCTATCTGTTATTTTCCTCTGAAAATAAAGTTATTCTTTTATACCTTTTAATGCCTCTTGAATTGTTCTGTACTCACAGCTAAAACTGTAAAGGAAAAATTGGGATCTTCTAAGACCTTTGTCCAGTGAGGAACATGGTGGCACGTGCAATGAAAGAGGAATTGCATTTGAGGACAGATAGAGTCATTTAGGAGCAAACTCAAATAAATGAATAAACAATATGCATACAGAAAAAACAAACAAACACTAATTTATTTTCCCAAAATTATTCCATGAAAAGACCTATGAACTGGTTTAAATATGGATTTGGTTTGCCGTGGAACTACATGTTTTAATTTGCTCTTAATTGAATCAATGAATTAAAATGTCTATGTAGAAGGCTTTTGTGCATTTTCAAAAGAAATCATCTTTGAAAATCTGTTGTGAACTTGGTAAAATCGTGGTGGTTTGGTTGTGAGCTTTTAACCAGAGCGACCACAAGCTGCCTAAAATATGCCTAGACTATTCCTTCTAACCCAGTTTTTGTACCAGTGGTTTGGAATTTCAAAGTTCTTTACCCACCCTTGTCTGCATATAAACAATGAAAAGCTTCCATTTATCAAGACTTTGAGATTCTATTCCAATATTTTTCTTAGGATTGTCAAAACTAAGCTTACCACATCTAGCTAATTTTCCAGAGTGAGATAACCAGTCTGCAGGTAATTATGATATTACCTGCCCTTGGAATTAGCCTGGTCCCTGCTTAAATTACAACTGGAAAAAGAGTATGGATCCTGAGAAAATCTTCCCCCTTTCCATATTTTAATAATTGACACATTCATTGTAACTATAAGGAATACTTTACATCAACAAAATAAACTGCAGGATTGTTGTCAATGCTTTTAAAATGATTATCAGTTCATAGCTGACATAAAAGGCAGTACGTAAAACAAGGAAAATACATCATTCCTGTCCTCATATAGTTATATAACATGGAAAAGATGGATGACATAAACATTTTGGAGCTGTTTCATATTTTGAGGGAATGATTTTGAAGCTTTTAAAATTGTGAGCAAGATTGGAAGGAATTTTAAGTATTATTATCTGCAGCGTTTCACTTAAAAGTGGCATTGCTCTTTGGGGACGGTGCCTGGGAAGAGCATGTCTTTATATATCTCCTTTCTCTTTAAATCGCAGTCTCTTATGGGAGGGAGAATAAGAGTCCTTGAGTCATAGCATCATTTTTCAACCACTGGATAAAGTGATATCCAGTCAAGAGTTTGGGTGGTGAATTCTTTTTCCTAACACACAATATAAAAATGTGTAGAGAACTATATCGATTTTATTTTTGCAGGTGGAGGGAGGGTTTTGTTGGCCCTTGAAAAATGATGCCGTGACTAATATGACATCATTTGGTCCCCCACAAAGTTAGCTCTTCTACTTAGGAAGTGGCAGCTGTGAGAAAAGCAAGTGTCTTTCTAAACACTAGTGCTGTGTTCATTTTTGCTTATGAAAATTATCTATTATTAAGAGGGTTGGGAGAGAGGGTGTAGGACTGATAACATCTGAAGACCTCCAACTGTGGTACTAGCTGAGGATGCTGAAAATCTAACACACATGCAAGGGATTTGTTGATTTGTTTTTGAGCATTTCATGCACTGATGTCAAAAGTGGACAGAGAGCTCTAGAGGCAGAGTCTGTTCAACACCAAACCTGGCAAACAACAAACCCGATGATACATTATGGGATGCCATTTCCCCATGGGTCTCAACTCAGAATCTTTCTTCTGCTCAGGTTTTCTCCCTGACTCTGATTTATATAAATAAATACCTCTTCTCCTCTTCTTCTGTCAGCATTAGTTATACCCAAAGGATGAATTTAACTATAATTTGGAAGCAGAGAAAGGGTACTTCTGCTGATGAGCCAACTGGTGTGGACTCCTAGGATACATCAAGCCTAGATTAAATACCTGAACTCAAATCTTCACATAAGGTGATCCACTTTTGGCAGGCACAGCTCCATCTCCTTTCAGTTACCATAGGCTTTTCCAGGGAGTTGGGAATCTTTTTACTCTCAACAATCTTTCAGGGTTTCTGTTTGTTAATTTACTGTGGTCCTTGGACATGAGCTGAGACCTCTATTCCCAGCTCAGTTAGCACTTCAATGGAGGGTGGGCTGGAAAGTGAAACTCCAGTCTAGCCATTTAGCAGCTCCACAGGTGTGGTGGGGATGAAGGGTGAAATTAATGACAAAATGAGGCATAAGAATTCACAAAGGACCTTCATTAGCCATGTTCCCCAACCTCATGGATAAGCAGCAATTGGCTGGAGTCAGACCACTTCCTGGAGTCTGAGAGGGAGACCAGAATGTCAGGAGTCAGAGGGGCAGTGGAAATGCTTTCTCATGGCTATCAAATTTCCCTAATGATCCATTTGCACCCCACTGTTATTCAGAATAGAAATGTCTTCTTAGGCATATTTTCTAAAAGAGGTGTGAGTGCTAAAATTTCACTTTTCCTTCATACTAAAGTTCGTCTGGTTTCAGGACACGTCTGGTCTTGCTGTTCCTTTCTGAGCAGTAGAGAGCTTGTTTCCCACTTAATTCAAAGCATTTTTCGTCATTGGATTTTAGCCTGGGAGGAGGCTAGGTCTGGCAGAAGAAAAATGAGTCTGAGCTGAAAATGCCATCAGGGCAGCTCTGCCCAGGCAGGGCCAAGAGTATGTGCTCAGAAAGACCACCAGCTGCAGACTGCAAGGAGATAAGAGAAAAAATGGGCGGTCCTGGGAGTGACAGAGGTGGTGACGATGACTTCAGACAGGCTTGCTCTGAAAGTTACATCATTCTTTCTGAATAGCTCTGGTACGGTAATTACAAATGGCCCTTAAAAAATTTAAACTACTTCTAACTTGTCTGTACTAGTTAGGTGAAATCCAATACGGGCCTATCCCAGAAAGTCAGCTAAGAGGACTGTGCCAGTTCCCTTGCCAGCAGACCACCTCACCAGATAGAGTTTCTAAAGGCCCCAGAGATACCTGGATGTTTGGGCAGTCACGGACCTGACTACCCTCTTACAAGTTAGGGAGTGGTGGGATATCAACATTATAGGGTCAGATTTTTTTTCCTATATACTTTTTGCTTTCTCGTGGCATCCAAACAGCAACTATAGGATGGGAGTATAGCAAAACAAAACTCTTGGAGGTAGAAAGGAGTCTCAGGGAAGTTAGCAAAGTTAGCAAGTCATGAAGGCCCTTATCTTGTGACTTGAAGACTTACATAGCTACTTGAAAAAGTTTCCTAAGAACCAGATAAAACTCACCATCATGGACAACCAACTTTCATTGTGTACCTACTGTGAATGAGGCACAGCCAGGTACTCCATATACTAACATGGTGAAAATAGTCATGACTCTCAAGAAACTCACAATAAATTACAGGATAAGACATATATATGCATATATGTACACATACACATATATAGATATACAGTTATATGTATATGGCAGTGTATATATGCATATATGTGTGCATATATATGTTTGTGTATGTATATAGACACATGACGGTAAATATACACACACACATATATATATATATATATATGTTTATACACTGCCACTATATCAGCCTTACATATGAACTGGTGTGCATTTCCCAGTAGCTTCTTCCCTAAGGTCTTATTCTCTAATTACTATATTTTCTAATGGTATCCAAGGTTTCTAATGCCCTTGGATATCATTGCCACAGTAAATGGTCCCTGGTTTAGCTTCTAAAACTAGCCACTCAAATGGGATTGCTTCCTATGGTTAGTGGTTAGAACTTTCTTTGGTGGCTGATTGTTGGTCTTGGCCTCCTCCCTTGGAATTGAAAGTTTTGGTCTTCCTGAGCCTTCCTTTAACCAGGAATCAGACTTGGGTTCCATTTTCTCTGCACTTTAAAGTTTTAGGCCAGTGCCATATTCTTCAACATCAAGACCCCAGCCCTAGAAGAGCACAGTTTCAAATCTTTTCAGAGGAGGTTCCGAAGAAGTGAGGCTGGGCCCTTGCAAAAGTCACTCCAATTCTCTGGGCCTTAGTTAATCACTTATATGAAAGAGCAAACCGCTTAATTATTATGGAAGCTCCCTTCCAACTCTAAAATATTGGACTTCTAAAGAAAAAAAGTATGATAATGATCCAATCAGTGGTAGAAAAAGAAAGTCTTAAAGGAAAATGACAGTGGGCTAAATCTCACAGGGCTGGGTCTGTTGGAGGCAGTGTCCATGAAGGTGGTGAGACTTGAATTTGATTTTGAAGGATGACTAAGCTGAGGCAAATGGGGAGGAATGGGGAGAGGAAGAGGATGCTACGCAGGCAAGCAGATTGTGAGCCAAAGTAGCATGAGGCACAGTAGGTAGGCATATTAGTAAGCTAACACATCTGTTTGCCTTAGACAGTGAATGATAAGAATGGAGCTTTTTGGTGGGCACTGCACATCAAGTGTGGCTTTGGGGATTGATTCCTTTGGGCCCTGAGAATGAAGAGCTGCTGGAAGGACAGCATGAACTCTTATGGGCACTATGGGCAAGGGTGACCGGGGATATCATAGAGTGAAGTGCTTGTTATTGGTGGTGTATATTCTCTCCAGGTGATAGCATTCCTGGGAGCGGGACTGTGGGGAAGAGCAACTCCTCAGGGAGAATTATTCTGCCCACAAATAGATCCAGCTGGTGAGGCTGGCATCTCAGAACAATTATAGCACCCTGTAAGAAGCATGGGATTTCTTGGAATGTAGTGATTGTGGTAGACAATGGATACAATATGAGCTAAGTATGGCCGAACAGCTGTTGCTTTTCGGCAGCAGGTCAGAAAGGAAGACAGATGTCTTCAGGATGACCTTCTTGAATGAGTGTGTTTGTGAATATAGGAATTCCCTTGGGGGCTAACAACATGTCATTGCTTGGTAATCACTGTGAACAGTGTAGCATTACATACCTCAGGTGCAAACAAACCATAAAACTCTGACAGGATAGCTGGAGAAACTATAGCAGCCAGGTTTAGGAGGGTGGTGAGTACAAATTGATTTTACTGAAATAAATAGGGAGATAGGAATTGAGGAAAAAAGCAAAGAGGCTGAAATCACCTTAAGAAGCATTATGAAACACGGAATTCTGTAGATTTAGATAAGACAAGAAGACAAAAACTGAGTGTGAAATTGAAAGACTAAACTGTAGGTAAAGTTAAAACTGAGACAGAGTTGTGAAGACCTCAGTTGCATTCACTTAAATGAAATGGGATCATCTTACGAGAGAACCATTGACAGCCTGTCTCTAGGCTACATAAAAAGAGGATAGAATTTCTTTAGTCCAAATTCCACAGACCACCTTGTGTAGTCCCATGTAATACCTTGACCTTAATCTTGGCCACAGCCTGGGAGGGCATCTATTTCTCATGTAGCATATCCAAAGGCTTTAATGACCACAAAGAAAAGAAACATTGATCTCCTAACCATCTAGAGATGCTAACGCATCTATAAACTGAAAGTGCTACTGTACATTAACCTACATTTACGTAAGTATATTCTGATTTTACTTTAAATTTTAAACTCATAGGTATACAAATCAAATTTGCAAGGTAATTCACATTACAATAAGAATTTTTCATTTCACAAAAGGGATGGTTAACACTCCTAAATTTTCAAATATTCTGCATGTACCTAACTTTTCAACAATGCATCTGTCATTAAAATAATATAAACTTGACTTTCTCTGTTCTATTTACTTGAGTAAAAACTGTTTAATAAAAATAGTCATTTGTATGCACACATTTCAAAAATAATATGTATCATCTATATCTATATTATTAAAAGAATATAGATTATTTTTCATTTTGAAGGGTTGTTATTTGATTTTTATTCCTCATTTCAGAAGTGCCAGTTTTATTATGAATCAAGAACACCATGTAATTAGCATGTTTAATACCTCATTAAAGATCAAATTAGATTTCTTACTACCTATAATCAAATAATATTAATACTACTTTATATACTAACTTTTTTAGAAAAGTGAGAAGCATGGAGTTTTATGTTTTAAATGACACCCTAGTTTTTCAGTTGGAATTGAAGAGTATGTATAATAAAACATGGTAAACAGTATTGTATCAGCAGGCTTCTACCTAGTACATAGTCATTTCCAGTTATTCATAAGTTCTTTATGCATAATGATTCATTTAATCTTTACTACAACTCTGTGAAGTAGTTACAATATTAATTCTTTTTACAGAAGAGGCCATGAAAACCCAGAGAGCTTAAATTCTTTGCTCAAGTTCACACAGCTAGTCAGTGGCAGATCTGAAATTCACAACCAGGGACTCTTGCCCTGATGCACATTCTCTGAACAACTCCACTCTTCTGCCTCTAGAAGTTTGTTTAGTGTTTTTAAAAAGTAGTCTGTTTGTTAAGCAGTCACAAAGCTCTTGGGAACTCTTCTGCTCTGTATGGGAGCAAATGTCATTATCTTGACCTTCAGTGTATAGAATGCACCTCTTCCTTATTTATTGCTTTCTGCTACTGAACTAAATGTTTCTAGATACAACTGGCATTTTCTAGTATGTTTATTCTCTATATATGTAACATCATTAAATAAAATGACTAGAAATGGAACCAGGACTGGCAGAAATGGGATCTATCTCTCCATATCCTCTACAGCTGTTTCTCCCAATATTTTCTGAATCAGAACAGATCTGTTTAAGAGGAGCATATGAGCATTGTTCCTGCTGCATTTTCTTCAGGTTTTTGTTTTGTTTTGTTTTGTTTTTTTCTAAGCCTCCCTTGTCCCTTAGGCAGAACTTCTTAAGGTTGACCACAAGTACAGCTAAATGCCCAAGACGGGTATAGGAGACTAAGGAGACTACTGTCCATCAGCTAAGGCAGTATATGCAAATCCTATTTTGACTGTCAAGAGTTTTCTCTGCATTCCTTCCTGAGTACAACATGTGCATTGCATCAAGAATGGTAATGTTCCGTGAGTCCTCCTTCCTGGGACACTGGCTACCATTGACTGCATGTAGAAATCTGTCAACAATTCTTTCCTTTCCCCTGCTCTCTAATTTAGCCCACTGCCAAGGGAATAATAAAGATGTTGTATTTTGTGGCAGGAAAATCAATTTCAGGGGCGTAGCTGGTGACACAATCTAGTATTAGTACTGATGTAGTCCCTATGCTAAACCCTGACCTTGTACCTTTTATTTTTTGAAATGTTTATCATCAATCTCCTTTCTTCATTTAGCAAAAATGTAAGCTATCAGCTGGAGATTCCCACTGTAATATACTCTGCCAGCTAAACTTTATATTTAGTTCTTATAATTTCCAGGTTTCTTCTTCCAGTAGTGTGTCATTTAGTTTAGCCTGTGATTCACTTTATTTTTATTTTTTAGTTTAATTTCTCCTTCCTTTATTTTCACCAGGGGAAAATGTGACATTAGCTGTCAATGTGAGTAACACATGTTTTCTCTTCATACACGCCTACTGACAAAATTTTAAAATAACCAACCCCTCAAAATAAACATATACATTAATAAAACAGAATTGAGAGTCCAGAAATAAACTCTTATATTTAAAATCTATTGATTGCCAACAAAGGTGCCAAAGCAACTTCACCAGGACATTTGGATGGCCATATGCAAAAAGGTAAACTTATCTCATGCTATACACAAAAATTAACTCAAAATGGATTAGAGTTAGAAATAAACCCATACCTTTATGGTCAATTAATTTTAGACAAGGGTGCCAATAAAATTCCAAGGGCAACTGAATATCCACATGCAAAAGAATAAAGTTAGATTCCTGCCTCACACAATATGTAAAATTAATTCAAAATGGATCAAACAGCTAGATGTTATAGTTAAAACTATAAAACCTGTAGGAGAAAGTTTATGTGTAAATACTTGTGTTCTCAAATTAGGTAATGGCTTCTTAGATATGACACCTAAAAAATAAATAGACTTTGGCAAAATTAAAAACAGTATTAAGTCTTTGCTTGTCTGTGAGTGTACTAAAGAATAAAAAAGTAAAATTAAATTAAAAATTAAAATTAAAAATTAAAAAATGCTATGAAGTTCTTTGTGAAAAGATAACCCACAGAATGAGAGAAAATATTTTCAAGTAATATATCTGATAAGGATCTACTAATGGTACCCAGAACATATAAAGAACCCTTACAACCCAATTTTTAGAAATGGGCAGAGGATTTAAATAGATATTTTTCCAAAAAAATGTAAAAATGGCCAATAAGCACATGATACAATGCTCAACATCATTAGATGTAAGAGAAATGCAAATCAAATCCACAATAATATACTATATATCTACTAATTATAATTTAAAAATAGGACAATACCAAGTGTTGATGAGGATGTAGGGAAACTGGAATGCTTGTACACTGATGGTAAGAATATAAAGTGAGTCTGGGTGCAGTGACTCACTCTTGTAATTCCAGCACCTTGGGAGGGAGAGGCAACAGGATTGCTTGAGATCAGCAGTTCAAGACTAGCCTGGAAAACATAGCAAGACACTGACTCTACAAAAATTTTTTAAAAAAATTACCGGGGCACAGTGGCACAACCCTGTAGTCCCAGCTACTGGGGAGGCTAGATCAGGAGGATCTCTTAAGCCCAGGAGTCTAGGTTGTAGTGAGGAACAATCCCGCCACTGCATTCCAGCCTGAATGACACAATAATACCCTATATCTTAGAAAAAAATGTAAAATGACACAACCACTTTGGAAAATAACTTGGTAGTTCCTGAAAGGTTAAACATAGAGTTACCATAAGACTTAGCAATTCTACTTCTAAGTATATGCACAAGAGAATTGAAAATATATATTCACACAAAAACTTACACATGAATATTTATTGCTGCATTACTCATAATAGCCAAAAAGCAGAAATAGCTCAAATGCCCTTCAACTGATGAATGATTAAACAAAACATGGTATAGCCATACAATGGAATATTATTCAACCATAAAAAGGAATTAAGTACTGATACGTGCTATGAAGTGGGTGAGCCTTGAAAACATTATGCTACATGAACGAAGACAGATAAAAAGACCATATGTTGTATTATTGTATTATTGCCCTTAAATGAAATACCTAGAATAGGCAAATCCACCTAAGAAAGTAAATTAGTGTTTGCCTGAGACTTGTGTGGGAACAGTGATTAGCTGACAATGAGTACAGAGGATCATATTAGGGTGATGAAAGTGTCCTAAAACTGGATATTGTTGTGGTTTTACAACTTGATAAATTTATTAAAAATCACTGAAGTGAATATTTAAAATGGGTAAATTATATGATATGAACATGATACGCCAGTACAATTATAGAGAAACAAAATGAGAACCAACTCTGAGGGAATGCATGAATGAGAGATGCCAGCAGACCCTGGAGTACCCGGAGTATCCCTCAAAAATGATGTGTGCATCTAGGTCAATAGCTAATCCTTCCTGGCCCAGGAAGCAGGAAGAGGCTAAAGGACGGGACCTCATTAGATCTGGAAAGGAGTAAGTTAGAATGTGTTTAAGTTCTGCACGTATAGAATTTTGCTTGTATCTCCAAAAATCTCCCAAATAATAGCTAATATTAAAATGCATTTATTAAATTATTTATGTGGATTATTTTATGCAATCCTTTACTAAAACACTATGAAGTAGACATTCTTTCTATCATTTCCATTTTTCAGAAGAGGAAACTGAAGAAAGAGATGTTGAATACTCTATCAAAAACCATGCAACTAGCAAGTAGCTTATCTGAGAATCAAATACAAGGCAATTTGATTCCAGAGCCACTCAACCTTTTTGAGATATGACACAGATGCATAGTTGTTCAGTAAATCATGCTTTGCGCCTTATTAGGCAAAATACCTGGTCCATGGCTCAAACAAGTTTAACATGATGGGTTCATCAAGAATGCCCTTGGTGAGATCTCATTTCAGAGGAATTGGATAGTTCTCTAAATCATTTTTTAAAAGATAACAATAAAAATGACTTTTTAAAAATTAATTGTTACGTACAATGAAACCATGAGTTTAGCAGAAAGCAAGTTAGGCTGGAAAAGACAAGGTAGAATCTATTACATTAAGTGAATGGCAACTTCCGGCCTGCCTGCAGTGGCCACAGTGACCTCCTGTGCCTCTGTCTCAATGTTGGTATTTCAGTTTACTGTGATTCATATCCTAAAATTCTGTTTGTAGGAGAACTGTTTCAAGATTAGAATACGTACACACTTTTTCATAGAAATAGTATAATACATGCGAACACACAGATACACATCACACTATACAGATCCACAAGAAATGTGGATATTTTTAGAGACAGAGTCTCGCTCTGTCACCCAGGCTGGAGTGCAGCAGAGCGATCTCGGCTCACTGCAACCCCCACCTCCCGGGTGCAAGCAATTCTCCTGCCTCAGTCTCCCGAGTAGCTGGGACTACATGCGCATGCTGCCACGCCCGGCTAATTTCTTCTTTATTTTAGCAGAGATGGGGTTTCACTGTGTTGCCCAGGCTGGTCTTGAACTCCTGAGCTCAGGCAATCCACCCACCTCAGCCTCCAAAGTATTAGGATTACATGTAGAAGCCACCGTGCCTGGCTAGAAATGTATTTTTACAGGCTTTTTTTTTTTAGAAAACACTATTATAATCATTAATGGAAATAATAGGCTTTAAGGTAGACTGTTAACCTTAAGTGGTAACTTAGTAGCCCTGTAACCATGGGCAATTTACCTAACTTCTCTGAGAGTTCCTTATCAAAAAAATAATAATAATAAATAAATAAATAAATAAAAATAAAATAGGAAATTACCTGCATCACAGGGTTACTGAGGATAAAGTGTACTTTATTTAATCACTCACCATTTCCAAAAAGACATATATGATGGGTAAAGTACATATAGCACTTAGCCCAGTGGCTACAACAGATCATGAATCTAGAATAAATGCAAGTTTTCTTTCTTTTTCAAACAATCTCATATAATAGAGGATTAGACTTGAAGTCAAAGGACTGGAGTTTAAATTCCAACTCTATAATCATGGAAAAGCCACCTTTCCTGTCTAAATCTGTTTCTTCAGAAGCAAACATAAAACCTCTCTGTAGAAATTTATCTTAGACTTCAATTATCTTTGGATTTTTTAATACAGTGTGCAACACTCAATAAAAAGGCATATGTTCTACAGATACATACTGAAATATTTACAGGAGGTAAAGAAGTGGGTGGAGGTATAACTGAAACAAGTTTGGTCATGACTTGGTAGTTGTTGAAGCTGGGTCACAGGTACACAGATATTTTTAATATTAGTAGATCTATTTTTGTTTATGTTTGACATTTTTCATAATGAAAAGTTTTTCAAATAACCAAGCATTTTCAACCCAAAGCTTTCTTTTTCCTAATGTAAACAAGCATACCACGGACACTATGGTTAGAAGACCAGGCATGACTGTGTGTTTTCCAGATGGAATTAACACATAATAATTCTATTCAGGAGGTTAAACTATCAAAAGCTAAAACTCTCTTACATCTAATGTACAGTTTCTCCTCATTCTGTTTCAGATTCATGCTTTCCATTCTGACCTGATCACAATCTCTCTATTTCAATTTGTGTGTTTCAGACTGAATCCTCTGGCCTCATGGTATCCATATATCTGTGTCTAGGTTCTAAGCAGTACCACCTTATCTAAGCTCAGACTGTTCCTATGTTCCTTACTCCACTCCATGATGACCCTCACAATACAGGCCAATTAACAGGACTGTAACCCACAGTGGCTTCCAAATGACAAAGGTAGGCCAGAGGCCTGACTGGTGACACAGAAGATCCATGCCTCCTGTCCATGTCCCTACACTAAACCACAGGCCACTGGACTCTATAAAGAGATACCAGAGAAGGGAGAAAAGCCACTTAGCCTCTTTGAACCTGTTCATTCATTTGTAAGATGGAAATAATTCACTTTTCTAATGTAACAGAGTTTGTGAGCAGCATAGAAGATAACAAATGTGACAACTTTTGAACGCTATAAAGCACTGTAACAAACAGGTCATCATTATTAATGTGTAACACATTTCGCGAATCGAATCTGATCTTGCTCCAGACTTCTACTACACACAGATTTCCTTTTCAAGCTAAGTTTAAATCTGGCATCATCATTACTGAACATCAATTTTACAAAATCAGACCTGTCTAAAAACATTGCCATCATAATTCAAAACTTTGGAAAACTAAATAATGTACAGCATTGGAAAAATTAAACATTAAATCTTCCATCAAAGTTTTATTATTCACCCACCAACATGAAAAAATTTCCTATAAATAACTACCTTTTAACCAGGCATTAGTTTTTCTTTAAAATAAGTTTAAATAAATTAATATTCTACTATCAAAGGGAAAGCTGAATATCCTTAACATCTCAGTTAAGCTTTTGTTGGTTTTCTTTATCTTCTGGGATTCATACCTGTATTTAGTGGTAAGACAAAGACAACATTTATTTGGCTTTTGTTCCTTGGGGGGATACGGAGGCGAGGGATGAAGTTCATTTGCTGGTATCTGGAGAATTTTAAACCTCATTCTTTTATTTTTTTTTATTTTCCCCCAAAGATTAGTCTATCCCCTTGTGCCTTCTTAACCCCCTTTCCGTGGAATCCCTGTGTGTTCACACAAGTGTTAGAACTTGTGTGGCTGCCCCTGCTTCAGATTATTTAGTGCACATTACAGAACCAACGTGTGTATTTTTCTTATCCATGGGTCATTTCATTGCCACATACCTAAACAGCTAGAAAGAACTGACACTCAGTGTTGGTTATTCACTCTACGTGATGTTTGCATTTATGTCTTTTTTAGTAATTTAAAGGCTAGTTTGGGGGTGAATGTCAATTTTATAAACTTCTTTTCAGCCAAATTTAATTTGATTTATTTGCTTCTTGGTATACTTAGCTTATTTTTAACGTTCATTTATTCATTACAAAGAAATATTCTCATTAAAAGTATAGATTATTGTGCATTTTTAGCTGAAAAATTCCAAGAAATTAGCAGCACTGTGATAGATCGGAGGACAAAGATGCATATAAGAAAAATAGGCCAATATTAGATCAATACAATTCATTCTATTGTATACTGTGCATTGATCTATATTGACAGTTACAGGTAGAGCATTACATCTCTTTAACAAGTTTAGAAGCAAAGAGAAAAGTACACAGAACTCAATTTTGAGCAAGATTTTACGAGGCAAGTTTTTATATAAAAAGCAAAATAAAGCAGAAAAATAATTTTAAAAGTTTATAAAGTTTTCCACTGAATGAGTTCATTCTTAACATATAATCACCATCAATATTTTATTTTCTGTATGTGTGTATATGTATAATCTAATTTGGCTAATATAGCCCTATTATTAGTTAAGGCAAGCATGCTTTTACTTGTGTATATATCTAGCTCTCCAACTTTATTCTCATTTAGAATATATTTACATATAGAATATATAGTCAATATATATACACACACATACATGTATATATACATATACATATACATATATATATATATGCCAAAGGCAGATCGATCGATCGATCGATCTATATCTATCTATCTTCCTTTGATTTGACTTCTGTTGTAAACTAGGTAATGTTCATAATGTTAACTCATCAGTAGAACATTAGGGAAATTGTGTATGGAATTGCCCCAGTTGTTCTTTGGCTATGTCTATCTCCCCAGCCAACAATTTGGGCCCTCTTTGACTAACAGAAGATCTATTCAGTCAAATCATTTGACTTATTTTTCACTAAATTGATGAGCTTGTATTTCTTTCTTTTCTTGAAAAATTTCTTGAATAGCTTAGTTGCCTCATTCAACTAAATCAGCAAAGTAGGTCATACAACCTATGGTGAAACCTATACAATTTAAATATTTTTGGAGGGAGTTGCTTGTCAGAGTTGGGTATAAGTATGATGTTTCTTCAGTGAAGAGCTCTGGGCTCTCTCTCTCCCTCCATGTCTCTGTTCTTGTTCCAGTTCCAGTTTCTGGGAGACAGTGATTCCAGAGAATCTAACTTGGCTAATATAACCCTATTATTAGTTAAGGCAAGCATGATTTTTCTTGTGCACATATCTAGCTCCCCAACTTTATTTTCATTTAGACACTCTCCTGTTTAAAGTTTCAGACAAGCCTAAAAAATCCTGCTGAATTATTTATGAACCCAACACAAATTGTCAGCAATTTGTCTTTGATTCGTTAGCTTGCAACATTGTTCTTTCCAAATCGGAAAAGCATTCTGGAAAGTTTATTCATAGACGAAGCAATCAAAGCTGTGCCTTTTAAGTTTTGAGCAGTTTTTGTTTTCTTGGGTCAGGACTGCCACAATTTCATCATAAAAATATTTCCAAACAGAATTGTCTGCTATGGTAAAAATGCCTGTTTACCCACATCCACGTACAGGTAATTACCAGAGTTAACCAGTAATGTTACTTAAGTAATCATTTTTTATTGAATAATTATGTAATTGTGATTATATGTAGCATATTATTATAGAGGTTTCCAAAAGCACATGTCTTTTCAGTATGGAGAGATAAATTCGAGCTTGACGCTGTAATTGGAATCATCCAAAATCATACAAAATAGTATCTCGGAGGATGTCTGTTCTCTGTCTTTCATTTATTTTTTAAAGTTTCTACTACCCAGAATAAAAATATCTGGAAATTTACCCTTCACTCAAAAAAGAGAAGAGAGATTCTGAATCTTTGTATGTTTCCATTGACACAAAGATGCAAATTAGCAAAAATATATATGATTTGAAAAATGTTTCTAGACACTTATTTTCTACTCAATAAAATGTAATCAAAACCTTAGACAAGATCAATGAGATCAGATTAGATTAATGAAGACAGAACTCAGAAATAATCATAGATGCTTAAGCTAGAAAGCTCTTTCCCTGTACTTTATCTTTCCATGTCTTTAGTCAAGAAGGTGGGTATCATCCCCAATCTTAAAGAGTTCTACCCTAACAATACTTCCAATCATTGTGGGTGTCTTTCTACTAAATTGATGTTTCCTCTGCTGTAAGAGCCAACTCCTCCACCCTCCTCATCCTCTAGGTCCTTTAGGAAAATGAATTTTATTAAGCACATATTTTCCCTTAAGACATGATTATGAAGCATTTGGAAAAGATAAACTGATTTGAAATTGATTGGCAACTTTTTTTAGCCTTTTTTTTCTTTACAATACAAATATTTAGTTACATATTTTCATACAAGACATGGTCTTTGAAAGTTTTTAGGAGTGTGTTTAAACAGTGCTTCATGCCGGTGTTTTGATGCATTTATCAATTTAAAGTGTAAATACATAACTAAACAATAAACATCTTCAGTTTTAATATGCTTTATAAAACACACATTTCTAATCATTGCAACACCTCAGATTCTCTAAATTCCTATAGTGGGGTTTTCACCACTTCTAGGCTCTTTTCCAAATTTTTCTTCTCACATATTTTTACTGTATCAACTCTAATGAGAAAAAAAATTTAACTCTTGCAAAACAGAAATTTGAAGATTAGAGAAATGGATTAATGAGGCCACTTGATTTCTCTTTCTCCTTCACATCCATTAGACTATTCAAAAATATTTATAATACTTATACTATAGCCTAAGGATTAAGGTCTGTGTTTAAATCCAAGCCTTAACAAGTACCAACCTTGGACAAAATACTTAATATCTCTGGGCTTCCATTTCTTCCTCTGCATATTGTGGCACAAGTTCCCCCTTGCTTTGTGGATGTGCTGGGAGGAATAAATGAGTCACAGGGTAGAAAGTACTCAGAAATATGCCTTAAACATAGTTTTAAATACATGTTAGCTACAAAGTAATGATATTTTTACATTCTAATATTTTTCCCAACTAACTCTTGAAGCATATTGAAAATCTGAGTCATGGATGTTACATAGGCACCTACCAATGAATGTCTCCTTATTCAGTGCTATTTTCTCCCATTCTTCCTTTAGTCAAGCAGAGCATCTCCTCATTTGCACACTCATCTGTTACCCTAAGTCTATGACCCTCCTTGAAGTCTTGTCCCCAAACCCATTTTATTCACTAAATCTGTTTTACCCCTTTTGTGGTTGCTATTCATTTTATTCTTGTTCCATAAAATCTTTCAAACAGGTAAGAAACTAACTTTTACCTATTCATTGTTTATTCAATTGGATACAGCAGGCTAGTTACGCTTATATTTGTTTTATAATGTGTGTGTGCATGCATGATAGGTGCTCATATAGGATTTGTCTAGCTTCCTTTTTAATCCGGGAGAACAATGTTTCTACTGTAGACTATGTGCAGAAGTGTCATTCTAGAATTCAAACTAGATCTTATATGATCAGCCCATCATCAGAGTAGTCTCAGAAATGGAAGGAGCCACCATACATCTTTTTAAACTTTAAAAATGCACATTTGCATATGCTGTATATATTACATCTGCATTCCGTCTGTATATATATACATCTGTATATAATTCATCTGCATTCCACCACCACAATTTTTGCCATGTCAGATGACCAACTGCTCTATTAGTCACTTAATATTTTTTAAAAAGTAACCCACTTTTTGTTTTCACCTTAACAAAATAATTTTTAAAGGACACTACATTTTTATTACCATATATGGAAAGAAATGTGGTACATTTGCCTTACTAAACAGGAAAAATGAGTACAATGGCATCCGTGGCCTATGGCTCACTTCCATCTTCATCTTGATGGAGGGGAAGGAATTTAATGCAGGTTCCTCTCTGTCTTCTTTCTCCTAGCAGCAGGTTCCAGCCTTAACTGCATATTAGAGTCAGCTGGATGATTAAAAACAATGTACTCATGCCTGTAAGCCACCCCCAGAGATTAAGAGCTTTGTGGTAAGGCTTGAGCATCAGTAGTTTCAAAGACACCCGAGGTGATTCCAATGTGCAGCCAAGGCTGCACAGAGTAGAAATTACTCTATTTGAATGAACTTTAGAGATGAGTCAAGACTGCAAACCACAGATAAAAAAAAGCCAGGCAGGCTGAATGTACCCTGCCATGGTGTATACCACTAGGGTCATCTGGTTTGGTAGCAAATGGTGTATATACTATATACTATATACAAATGGTGTATATACTATAGTTTTAGAAATGTTGGGATGGTTTCGTTCTCTTTGTGTATTCTGCTATTGTTTTTCTGCCTCATGGCTTGTTTCTTCCTAGCTTCTGCCTCTTCTTAACTTACATAACTATCATAGTTCCAACTTGTCTCATGAATGTTTCCTGTGCCTCTTCAACACCAGGTCCCTTGGCCCAAGGACCCCATTAACTCTGTTTTCTAATGCAAAATGCTGACAACGAGTAATTGATTGTTGCAGCTCGTCATTGTAGGATGGTCTGCATCACTATTGATCTTAGCGTTGCCAGCATGTGGATCCAGTCAGCCTCTCTGACACATGGGGAGAGGGCAGGGAAGCAAAGTAGTCTGCCATCCAACAGGGCCGCCTCTGCACTGAGGCCTAAAGATTCTCTGAAAGGGCTTGGCCCTCACTTGGGCATTGACTGGTTTGTCCTGGACAGTGTTTCCCACACTTGGCCCATCCATCATCAAAATTAATGCAGGACCTTGAGAGTTTTGGTTTAATCCTCCCAAATTCTAACTCAGTAAGCCTGAAGGAGGGCCAGACTTTGAGAATTAAAGTAAAACTTAACAGTCACTTTGAATTGGGAACTCTGGGTTAAGTAATCCCTATGATTTTTTATTCTACAACAACTCTATGGTTCTAATAACCTCTACAATAGTGATATTAACATCTCAGAAAGCAAAGACCACAGCTCCTATTTATTGAGATTTGTGGAACATGATTTCTAGGAAATATTAATTAGTATCTGGACAACAAAGAATAATAAAAGGAAATGCTGAATATTAAATCCTCCTCTTCAATATTAACAATGTGCTAGAAGATTAGAGACCCTGAGAAGGCCTGTTGTAAAAGAAATTTGTCTTTTAACCATTGAACTAATAGTGACATTGAGCTAAAAGTGACAACTTTGTCTCACTAAGTCTATTAACACTTATTTAAATTATTTTCCCTCAACGGGATTTGGAGGCTCCAAGCCTCCACATTGTCCTGTATATGGTGAATTCTCAATAAAAGCTATTGATTGACAAATGGCTGGTAGAAGAAAGGCATAAGACTGCAACTCAGATTCATCAATTTTGTTAATTGTTAGCAGCCCTGGTAAAAGTTTTGATAAAGAGTTCAGAACTAATGGTTCCAATGAGGTTTTAGTATTAACTGAGTTTCATTCATCTTAGCTGCCAGTGTATTTGATTAATCTACACTAGTATCTCCTCCCACCCAAAGAGAATAATAATTTTGTTTCTATACCATATGGTGGTAGAACAAAAACAGGGCTTACAAATGTGGACTGTAAGCCATTCATCATCCTCTTCAATCTCATTTGCATTTCAGAGTTTCAAATGCAGTATAATTAATATTCATTAATCAAATAGACGGCCTACCCAGTACCTGTACATAAGTAATATCCAATATGTGTTTGTTAAATGAATCACAGATAATTCTTGCATCTTTGCTCTCTGGATTTTCTTTTTCAACCACACCTAAACCAGATACTGCAAACAACTAGGTGAATTTGCATTATTAATATAAGGGAAAGGGAACTAGTATTTGCCAGAAGTTGATCTTTGTTTCGGGTGGATTAATCACAGCTGAGGTCAAGGAGAATAAATCTACATTCCAGAATTTCCCAGTTACAGTTCAAGACTAAAAGAAAACAAAGGAAGTTAGAGGCTAGAAAGAGGAAGGAAGTGAAAGACTCTCCAAAAGAAAATACAGGTGTTCTAAGAGTCTCATTATTGTTATAATTTGACTTTGTAAAAAGTCCAATTGGACTTAGTAATGTTTGCTCTTAACAACACGCTGTATTGTGTCAATTCCATGATGTGACAGAGAGGATAATATCTGGGGGTTAGTGTTATTAAAAATTATATTTACATAAAAAGGAATAGAGCATTTTTAGTACTTTTATGTTAGTATTTTATATATATATATATATAACTTTTAACATAAAAGTACTAAAATACATATATATGTTAAAAAGTTAAAAAGTACATATACATATATATATACACACACACACATAGACATACAGAGTTGCTATAACACACACACAGACATACAGAGTTGCTATAACACTTGCTCTCTTCTACAGGAAAATAACTCCTTTTAAATTTTTCATGCTGTTCATCTTCAAAATAAACTAGGACTGTGAATAGCTATATATTTTTAAAAGTCACTAGGTTAGGTAAAAACGGTTTAAATAGCTACATGCTTGCAAATGCACTTAGAATATAACATAGAAGATTCATTTTCAGTGGTATCCCACTAAAGCAGTTGCTTACATTATTGAAAATGAGGAAGTTTTTGCTGCTAGGGTCAGTCCATTTTCATCTCTGACTACCCAAAAGCATGTGTGAATATTAACCCTTCAAGAGCCTGACCAGACCCATTGTCCATGGATTGCAGTTGAATGAAGGTAGAAAATGTACTTGTTATAAAGCTTCTAGCCTGGGTGTCTAGATAGCATGGTGATAAGCATCATATAAACAAAGAGAGGGATGGAATTTAAGTTACCTTTATCTATATCTCCTTTCATATACAGTATGTGCCATAGACAGACACCAGTGTCTCATTACATGACCACCCACAGAACATTACCCAATGTGACATTCTTCAGGGGAAATTAACAGAAATGTTTTTACCACATCAGTCTCTTCCAAGAACACTGACTCAATAATGGTACTTAAAAAGTGACCAGGGGACCATGGAAATGTCTCTCTTCCATGGTCTTGACTAGAGGGCATAATAAATACTCCACATTCTAAAACTACATAAAGCAGAAGGATACAGAAGGAAACACTCCCCCCAACACAAACAGACTCATGGATATACACACACAGATATACATGGATGTCAGCTTACTCTTTAGTTGGTATTTCTGATTGTACAGTATTTTCTCACTCTAGGTATGTAACCATCCTCAAATTTTTCTACTAATTGTATGTCATCACAGTAAACTTGTAATAGTTTATTATGGTTCTTTCCCCTTTAAAAACATTTTTAAAATTCAAGAGGCTCATTGGATTTCAAGGAATAATGATCACAAATGAAGTTCCAGACTAGAAATGTTGAAGAATAGAATTAGTATTAGAAATCTTAGATATCTGAATTTTTATAACCTAATAATTTTTGAAAAATCACCATATATAAAAATATATATGTGCATTTCATTATAGTCTGTTTTTTAAATAAGGAGGATCTGGCATTGATTTTGATGCATATTGGTTTTCCAGAGAAGCAGAACTTATTTGAGGGTTGACATATTTAGTGATCATTAATTGGAACATCCATGGTAGAAATGAAACACAACCTTCAGTCTCATTTTGTTTTCGCATAGATAGTATATTTCATTGTGATCTGAGGAGAAAACTGTATGACCGGTATTTTTCCAATACCAGGTACAGCATTTGGTGATTAGGAGGGAATAGATAAAGGATAGGGAGTGACAAGGACAGATCTCTAAAGAGACTGGGGCCTGGTTTGAAAAGAGGAATTAGGAGGAGGAAAATATTACATGCAGAACCACTGTTAATTGGACACATCATGAAAGACCATGAATATTTCGTGTGTGTGTGTGTGTGTGTGTGTGTGTGTGTGTGTATGTGTGTGGTGGTGGTGGTGTATGAGCTACAAGATGAAACTGATTTCAGGGCTTCATGTTTGTCAGCTTCATAAGCTGTAAAAATTGGTGAAACAAGCTAACCTGTCCAATACCACTGAGTTGAATTAAATTTACATGCACTATGAAGAACCTTGAAAGTTCATGCGGCTGGATAAAGAGTTGAAGTGCATTCTCTTCTCTAAATAAGCCTGTAACTATAGCCTCAACTTTGGGGCTATCACTTGTGTCCATTATCAAGTAGTTTTTCACTCAAAGTGAAAAGTAAAGGGCAAATGGGAACCATAAAGACATTTTTTATTTTCTTTTTGGCTTGCTATTATCAGACGGCCTAAAAATAATTGATAATTTCATTTATTTCTAATTCCTCAAAATTGAAAATTTCTCGGTTTTTTTTTAATTCTTAAAACTAACTACTTTGGAGGTAGGAGTATGTTAGCAAGAAACTATTTTGGTTGTTTGTTCAGAATTCTCTAAATGTAAGTTAAGTAATCTTTAGAAGAACAGGAGGTGCTGATAGAATAATTGTGTTTACTCTTCCCACTTCATGATTTCTTTCTTATAAACATTGTTTGGCATTATTGGGCTCCACACTCCTTTTTCTCATCTGATGTTTTACAAATATTTTTCTAATTGCCTGAGACAGTGTGGTCCAATAAAATTAAATTGACTTTGGGTTGAACTTGTTTCTCTGATCTCTTGCCAGAGGTTATAGTCACCCACTTGAACTGACTTTCACTCTGTTTGTTGGTCTCTGTCTCTTTCTCTCTCCCTTTTATGTTATTTTGCACTATTTATCTATTTTTTTCTCCCTCTAACCTAATGTACAACCCTCAAAGTAATTCTCAAGATTTCCTTAAACAGAAATTATTTTTAAAGAAATTCTATCTATCTATCTATCTATCTATCTATCTATCTATCTATCTATCTATCTATCTATCTTTATCTCTCCACCCATTATCCATCTAATTACTTTAGCCACCTAAATCAACAGTTCAAAGTTTCAACCTAAGTCACTGGAAGAGGTGGATTAAATGCTTAGAAAACAAGAGCGCTTGGAATAGCCCAGTTGTTTGACGTCTGGAAACACTTTACAAACAACCCCCAGGAAAATAACAAAGCAAATAGCACTGGTCTACCGCAATGGAACAGATACGGTGTGTGATCAGTTAGCTGCAACCCGCAAATAAACACAGACAGGCAATCTAGCAAGCAAAAACAGAAACCACATTATTGTCCACCACAGGCTGAAGACTTTAAAGTAAACTTAAAGCCTCATATGTGTGACTTCTAGACTCTGAAAAGGAGGTTACAAGCTTCAAGGACTCTTCCTGGTTTTGTATAGTAAGCTCCCGAGTTTCCTTTTAACCCCAAAGATCAACATTTATTTTAACATCTACCCACTTTGACCAAAGCCTAAGTCTTGGAAGTCCTCATTCCTGTAGTTCTCTCTGACTGCTTTAGAGTAGAGCTGGCACTGCAGACCTTGACTTCTCTTGGTGCAGTTATAGTTCCTTTGCCATATTTCAAACAGTTAGACCTAGGACTGGTCCACGAAAAGCAAAATGGCACCATGAGATATGAACCATTTTAATGCATTCAACTTATTTTCACATGAAGTTGAAATTAGTACATCTGGGCTACAGCTCCACTTTTGCCAAGAGTAATAAACATTCTCAACTTTTTTAGAAATCACAAGTAATCTTTTTTTTTCTTTCTTTAAGGTGTACGTGTTGGATCTATTATAACTTTCTTTCACTCCATCTCTCAGAATAGATGATCATCCTCATCTTTGCATCATATTCCAATTAGAAAGGTGAGTTTTTCTTTTTTTTTAAATAAGCAAATTATATTATATATTAAGTTTAAAAAGCAGGACACAAATTATTAATTATAGTTAATATGCCAGGTAAAAATCATAGAAAGGTGAGTTTTTCATCTTGATTCTTTTTTTCCCCATCCCATATCATAGATCTATTCTCATCTGAACTTATTTGCAAAGTAATATTAGCCATAATTTAGGAAGAAAGAATTGTTTGTTTCTTTTTGTTTGTTTTGTTTTCGTTTGTTTGTTTTGTTTTGTTTTGAGATGGAGTCTCGCTCCGTCACCAGACTAGAGTGCTGTGGTGCGATCTCGGCTCACTGCAACCTCCAACTCCCTGGTTCAAGGGAAAGAATCATTTTTGTTTCTGCTGAGCCTGAGATAATAGTGTGCTCAGTCTTCCAAAGTTTAATCTTTCTTCTTTAAAACTTTAGCTCCTCATATTTCTCTTCAGCAGGCCACCTGATTACTGTACTTCTGATTCTTTTTCCATGGCTTACACTCATATATTAGGTTCATGGAGCATGGAATAATGTTGCATTAAACATTAAACAGAGGGAAGAGAGAACATATTTTATCTAATATGTTAAGATGAAATTGGCCTGTAATTAGGGTAGACAAGATGATACCCAGTGAGTAACTAACCCATTTACCTAATTGAAGTTAGATGAAGACGAAGAGATGGTCATCATCTTTTACTTTCCTTGATGCTTCTCAAATGACCAAGGTCCTACAGGCTGAAGAGCCAATGGCCAACCTGATGTTCACCTGTTTTCAGTGTTAAAGTTATATACAAGAGAAAAATAATGGTGGTATTATTACTGCTCAAAGTAATCTACAAAGAACAAACTCTAGTTACCTCTAACCACCCTTAGTAGTGTTCTGGCAAGAAATGGCAGCCCCCAATTTCTCCTATCCCCATAAATTTACCAGAATGCATCAAAATAATTCAATCAGAACTATCATCATGCCCTGGCTAACAAAGAAGGAAGACATTAAAAGTCAGTGTAGTTCTTGGTTGATGACACCAGTTTCCAGAGAAAGGAAGAAAGAACCTGATACTCCTCACAGGACTCTCCATACCACTGGGCTCTCCACAGACACAGAGCTCTCCACAGACACAGAGCTCTCCACAGATGCAGAGCTTATAAGAGCTTATAAGAAATTGTGAAATCTATTGGGAAGGGCCAGAATTATGCAAATTAGAGAAATATTCTTTCTTCAATATATTGTTGACTAAATGGTAAGTAATGCTTATCTTTAAAAGATTACAAAATGAGTCTCTATAAGGATCAAGGATGTTCACACTCCTTATTAGTGGGGACACTGAAGCAGAAATAGGAGTCCTTTGTTTATTTTTGCTCATGAACTGGAGCCAATACCTACCACCATTAGTTTTCTCTCATATATAATTTTAACATTGAATGCAGGTGAACAACAGTTCTTATTCTGCTAACACATGGGATATTACTGTAGAAAACTTTCACCAAGGGGTGAAGTAACCTTCTTAAGAGGGCAAGGGATGGAGGTGCTAGTGGGGTGTAAATTAAGAGACTGTAAGAAGGAATGCTTGTAAACAGAGCTAAACCTGATGGCTAGAGAGTCAGGTCAGAAAGGGTCGTAGCATTGATAGTAACATCATCCCTCAGAACGTCTGCATCATAAAATGACTGTTTTTTGTTAAAAAAAAAAGACTATTGTTTATTTATTTGGTTAGAATTCCTTCATTCTACAAATATTCATCGAAGAGTTACCATGTGCCAGCCATCATTCTAAGTGCTGCTAGAAACAAGATAATGTCCTTGCACACATGGGCAGGTTTTTTTTTCACAATATAATGAAAACAAAATGGAAAATTTTACACATACCCACATAGGCATGTGTGTGTGCATGTGTGATTTCAAACAGTAATACATTTTATGGAGGATTAATAGGGAGCATTAGGAGATAGCAGGAGTGTGGTGGGAGAGAATTGCAGACTTGGCTAAGTGGTTCACACAACATCTATTCCAACCTCCTTCCACTGTTCCTTCTAGCTGCAAAGACAAAATAAAATAAAATTTTTATTTTTAGACTCCCTTGAAGTAGAGTTCTGGATGTAATATAGGTTCTACCAATCTTTGTACTTACAAAAGACTTGAATTCAGACATGAATTAAGCATGAGACAGTCACCATGAGGCAACAAATTTTGCTACTAAGGATCTGTCAAGTGCTGAGTAGCTCTTGAGTCAACATTATGTCAGGTATATTCCTGCAGGTAACAACTGCAGTATTCACTTTCTGGTTTTTGGGTGTATGGCTAAGATAGTGTGATTCTGAAGCCAGAAGTTTGGAGTGTGCTTTCTGATAACCCAGTTTCCAAAATGTAGCAAAAATAATAGTCTGCTGGTAGATGTTTTTATAATCATTTTGGAAGCCTAACATGGAACCTCCTACCCAGTCATTCCAATAATTTGGTAAGTACCTAATGGCTTTTCTTTTAATATAGCAAGAGTAATTTTTGCTTTTTGCAATTGATTCTGGCCACAATAAGGGACTCCTTATACTGTGTGGTCAAGAATCACATCTCTGAGGAAAATTTGAGCTGATACCTGAAGAACTTGGAAGAATCAGCCTAAGAACAGCCAAAACAAGGGAATTTAGGCAGGAAGACTAGCAAGTGAAAACATCTTATGGCAAAAGAGCTTGCACATTGGGACTCAAAAAAGGAGACTTTTAGTACAAGATGAAATTAGGGAGATTGGTAGGAACCAACTTACGGCAAATAATTTGAAGATTATAATATGCGTGATAGGAAACCATCAGACGGTATGAAGCAGGAAAGTGCCATGATCTTTTTAAAAAGATCATATTGGCTAATGTAGAGAGAATGAAAGGCTAGTTTGTGAATTTATGCAAAAGTTGGTGATATTTTGGAGGATCATAGTAGTCAAAAAATCTAAATTGGTAAAAATGACATATTTAGGACATACCTTGGAGGAAAAGTTGATAGGAATTGCTGACAGATTAGATAAAGGTATTTAAAAAGGGGGAAATAAAGTTGATACCAGGGTTTTCAGCTTGAGCAGTTGGGTAGCATTGAGAGGAAAAATACAGGATGATAATCATATCTGGGTGGGGGAATAAAGAGTTCAATTTGGTGCTTGTTAAGTTTGAGATACCTATAGACTCTATAGCAGTTGTCTTTTACTGTGTAACCAGCCATTTCAAAAAAGTGGCTTAAAACAATTTATTATTTCTTACAATTCTGTGGGCTGGTTGAATGATTCTTCCATTGGTCTAACTTGAGCTCACTTATGTTGCTGCATTCAGCCAACATTTCATGGTCTGGAAGATACGAGACTATTTCATTCACACATCTTAAAGTCGGTACCTACTGTTGGCTTTTTCTTTGGGTATTTTATCCTCCAGTAGGTTAGACTGTTTTCTCACCATGAGAAGGGACATGAGTGCAGGACATTATCTTGTTCGGGGAGCATGGAGAATGATGGCTGGCACTTAGACTGGCTTTTTACGTGGAAGTCTCTCAGGTTAACAGTCTAAGAAAATGAAAGCAGAGACTGCCAGGCCTCTTATGACAAGAGCCTGATAATTGTATTTCTACCATACTCTATTCATCAAAGCAAGTCAGACCAGCCCAGATTCAAGGGAAAGAAAAACAGACTCTACTTCTTGTTAGGAGCACCACGGTCACAGGGCAAAGGATCATGGGAAAAAATTGTTGCCTTGGGAAATATCTTCAAAAGGAATCTGCCAGAGGCATCCTAGTAGAAATAGGATGTAGACAGTCAGATAGGGTCTGAAACTAAAAGGAGAAGTCTCAATTCACCTATGTGACTTTATTGCCAAGTAATTATCCAGGAACTAAGTACAAACTCAGTTACTGATCTGTTAGATTAAATGTTACTATTCGCAGACTATCTTTTCTCACTCTAATGCTGCCGATTTTTCAGCATTGTATAGGAGATTTAGAAAATATAAGTACTGTATTAATCTTCTGTTACTCTATATCAAGTTATCACAAAACTTAGATTAAAACGGCAAACATTTATTATCTCACACTTTTGCTGGTCAGTATTTTAGATAGTTCTCTCATGGTCTTTCGTGAGGCTGCAGTCAAGCTCATGGCCAGGGCTACTATCATCTGAAGGCTTGACTTGGGCTGATGAATCCGCTTTTAAGATATCTTATTCACATGGGTGTTAATAGAAATTATTAGTTCCTTGCCATATGAACCTCTCCATAGTATTACTTGAATATTTCCAAGTGTAGCTTGTCCAAGAAAGGGCAAAAAGAAGGCCAAAGTGTTTTCTATAACCACGTCCAAAATGACGCACTGTAACTTCCACCATATTATGTTTGTTAGAAGCAAGTCAAAATACAACCCATGTTCAAGTAGTGAGAAATGAAGATTTTCCTCTCAAAGAGGAAATTCAAAGAATTTTTGGAGAAAATTTAAAACCATCAAAAGTATAGGTGTAGGTGTGTAGAGTTGGTTGGGAAAAGGCAAAAAAAGTTCCTCTTTGACTGTAATTTGTCAGACTTCCTGGTGCAGTGCAAGGGAAAATCCAAATTAACTAGAAATTTTGTTTCTCCTATGCTTTTATGTCCTTCTGAGATTTCACCTGCCATAGAGGACAAGATGTTTGTATTTTGCAGCCCACAATGTTATACTGATAGGCTTAAACAAGACAGAGAAGCAAGAGCAGTGAGTGGTATACAGAGCTGGCAGGAGATGCTTTAGCCCATCTCCTTATTATCTCTGAAAACCCCTATGTGCCACTCCGAATAAGCACACAATAAAAATAACGTTCCTGGTCTGCAAATATGACTTTTAAAACACAACCTTAAGTCCCCTTTCTACTCTTACTTTCTTGTCATATTTCCACTTTTAACCTCCTTCAGTGCAGGCATTCTGGAGCTGCCTGTGGCTTTAGGGAAAGGGGAATGTGCTTTATGCCATCTCCTGGGCTCCAGCAGAGAAGGAGCTCTTTAGGCAGTGCAGAGTTTCAGTGAAGACACCTACCTTCTTGTGGATCTCTAAGATGAAACAAGAAAGAGACAGTAAGAGTGAACCTCCTGATTGCCTTTAAATTATCAAGAACACCCTAAATATTTAACATCTACTCTAAATCTACACTCAGCATTAGATGCTGAGGTACAAAAACTTCTGCCTTCAAAGAGCTTACAGCACAATATAGGGAGCTGGAATACATAAACCAGTAAGTGCACAAAATTGTATACTATGATCGATATCTCTGTAGTGGAAGAATGTGGAGGTGGAGGGCCTAAAAAATTTCTTAGAGGAGGTTATATTTGAGTTATTCTTGAATATGAGAAGGGCATTTTAGGCAGAAGAGCAGCAGGATGAAACATGAATTAACAATCTCAAATAGAATTGTGGGGTTCACAAACTTTGGAATTAGGTAATATTGGGTTTCACTAACTACTACTTTCAAGATTCAGCCAAGGGAAGGAGCAAGAGGGATATTCATTTAGAAGAAGAGATTAGATGGTTTTCTATGAAGGGAAAACCTAATCTCACTTATTTTAATGGTTCCTATTAAGGCAAGTCCATTCAGATCAAAAGGGTACGCATTCAAATGATTTTCTTTGAGATGTACATTCAGGATTTTTTGTAAGAGGAGAAAGGCCATATTCCATCATTCAGGACTCATTTATTGAACTTGCAGAGAGTTTTTATATTTTAAGGTATATGCAACTGATTTAGGTAGACTATACCTCTTCATTGAAATACCTCCTATGCCTGATAATAAATAATATTACCTTAAGTAAATGGGTTTAGGAGTAAATTTTCTACTTATATTTAATTAAAATAGATGTTCCATAAGCCAAATTCATGTAAACCCAGTATATAAAGAAAATACGAAGGACAGACTTTGAAATTTGTGGAGACTATTCCTGATAAAATTTCCCTAAGACTATTCTTCAAAGTCACTATAATTCCCATCAAAAAATTGAATGCTGCTATAGATGTTGAGCCTTCTTTTAAAATTTCAATTCAATTTAGCTGCATTATAGCATATTTATTATAATAGCATTTATTTTTTATTAATCTCAAATTATTTTCATTATTAAATTAGAATAATTTCTTTAAGATGTCTTTAGGTTAAAGATGAAAATTTGAAGTAGTTTCCTGTCTTTCTTATAATCATCTTCCTTCTGATTGGTGTTATGTTTTATATTGTTCTTATATAGTCATGTCCATTAGGGAAGGGGTCGCTAAACTATGACCTGAGGGCTAAATTCAACATATTGCCTGTTTTTGTGGCCATGAGCTAAGAATTATTTTTTCTATTTTTAAAATGGTGGAAAAAAATCAAATGAAGAATAATATTTTGCAACACGTGAAAACTATGTGAAATTTTAATTTCAGATCCATAAATAAAGTTACACAGGAGCACAGTCATATTTAGGACATACCCTAGAGGGAAAGTTGATAGGAATTGCTGACAGATTGGATAAAGGTATTTAAAAAGGGGGAAATAAAGTTAAAGTTGGAAAAAAATCAAATGAAGAATAATATTTTGCAACACATGAAAATTATGTGAAATTTTAATTTCAGATCCATAAATAAAGTTACATAGGAGCACAGTCATACTCATTCACTTACATAGTGTCTATGATTATTTTCATGCTCTAACAGCAGTGTTAAGTTATTGGGAAAGACATCGTATGGCCTGCAAGGCTTAACATATTTATACCTGGCCCTTTGCAGAAAGTTTGCTGTTCCTTGCCTTAGATGATAGGTTTAAATGCATCTCCACTAGATTGCATCGTGTAGCCCTTATATTTGGTATTTTTAACTATACAAATTAAGTGTTCAAAATGTTGCCCTTCTTCCTAGCTTCAGAGGATGAAAAACTGGAAATATAAGAAATGAAGTTTCTTGGATCAAACTTATTCATTTAAATTTTACTATCTGAAGGGACCTAATCTACTGAGGTTAAATTAAAAAATTGTAATCTGGTTTTAGGAATAGCATTTTCTGTGACTGTAGCATGAGTGTTGAAATTTTGTGCCTATGCAGAATGCCAGGGGGCCACTCCTGAGCCCATTTTGGATATAAATAAAGAGGATTACAGTGTTTTGCACACTTTTTCAGTCTGAAATTCTACAGTGCAGTAGATGAAGCATAATATGAATTGTTTTGGCATTGCTGGATTCATATAAAGCTCCATGCATTTACACATCTGTGTCTGCAAAAAGAAGAGATAATTGTTCCACTCTATTGCTGTTTATGAATCAGAAGAACAAAAAGGCAACAGAATAAACAAAATGTCATGTCCATACAAATCCTGATTAGGATAAAATCATCTGGCTGGCATTGCCTGTGTACAACATCGCCAACAGGGCGCCAGCCCATGAGGGAAGCCTGCACAAGTCCCCTGTCTTAGGTCTTCAAAGCTTGGGAAAGCTTATTTGAGGGTTTACAAAAAAGCTAGATCTACCCCAAACAGTCAAGATTTAGTCTCCAAGTCTTTGCAATTATTAACCAACTTGTCTTTTAAAATCCCTGAAGTCTCAGGAGGTTTCATAATAATTGCAGCATTTAGTATAGGGTGCTTATAAAAGTATGCTTGATTAATATTTAGATCAGGGTTGCTCAACTTCAGAACTATGGACATTTTGGGCCAGATAATTCTTTGTTGTGAAGGTCTACCCTGTGAACTGTAAGATGTTTAGCAGTATTCCTATAATTTTTCCTCTAAATGCCTATAGCATTTTCCCAGTTGAGACAACTTAAAATGTCTCCAGACACGTGACAAATGTACCCTAGGGGGCAATACTTCCCCTAGTTGAGAACCAGGATTGAGAAAATCTGTTTCATATTTCAATGGAATCAAAGGCGCTCGCGGCCGCCATGAGAACAGATTTAGATTGAAAAGACTCAGAATCTGAGTTTTAGAGACATAAAACAATTATCTAAAAATCAAAATAATAATTACCTAAAATTTATTTTAAAAATCTGATTATACATTTGGATTTCCAAAACAGTCTTAGGTTTGCTTATAAAGAAGATAAAATCAGAATACATGGTAGCTCTTTTACCTATTCCAGTTTTTACATGCCCAGTGGATGCAAAGGCTGAACCAGTATGCTTGTCTGCAGAATTTTCGGTTCATTGATTCACCTAACTGATAGTGACTGAGCACCTTCTGAGGGCTTTGTCAGACTCTCTGCTGGGTAGAGGGGCCCATAGCTTATCGGGTCACTTTTTGATAACATGGCCCTGGTTTCTGTTTATAAATCTTCCATGGCTCCTCTCAGTCTAGAAAATAAAATTAAAATTAAAGTAAGTCCTTTATGGTTTTCTCTGTCATTACTACCCCCAAATCCATTCAATTTCCAATGATTCATCTAAGTTGGAGTTTCTCAATTCTGGCTATAGATTAGAATATCTTGGGGAGATTTTTTTATTTAATTACCAAGACATAGGCCCTATTGAATCTCAGTTGTTGGGGCATCAAGGTTTTACCAAAACTCTCTGGGGCATTCTAATATGCAAACAGGATTGAAAGCCAGTGGTCTGAGCCATGGGCAGTGATTCTATTTTCCCCTTGTCAATGTCTAGTTTAGGAATGAGCACATGGCAAGACATCCTAATGGGATATGAGGAGAAGTCAGTGTTATGTAGGAACATGATTCTGAGAAAATACTCCTCTCCTCAAAAAATAGTCTTGAGGAAAATGACCTTTGGGCCCTGGGTGATGTTAGATCTGGATCACTCATCTGGAACAAGATGCAGGGCTACAGTCTTCTTGTTTCAAGCCTGAGGATGAAGTCAACATGTGTAAGAGGAAAGAGACAAGAGACTTCATCACAAAGATGCCTTAGTGAATATGCCTGAGCCTGACTCCTTGGAACTTCCTGTTTCATTAATTAACTGCCTTATTTTTTAAAATCCAGTCTGAGTTACCTGTTAGTTGCAGCCAAAGCATTCTAACTTATGTAACATTCCAGAATCTGCTCAGTCCTCCCTGACCCAACAAACTCAGTCATTTTGTCCACACAGACATGCTGATGCTGCAGCCACTTCTGACTGTTGCCACCCTCTGGTGACATTTCCATGGCTTTACTAATATTTTCTCTCTCAGTAGAATAGCATTGTTTTTCACACTACTTCTAGTATTGTATTCCAATATATAACTGCTAAAACTCAATAGAACTTTACTTCTTTTTCACTGAATATTCCAAAAAGTTTTCTTTGATGCAATGAATCAGGAACACAGACTTCTTCCATCTTGGAACTCTACCATTCCCAGATTCTTGACATTTCCACTTGCTCACAGCCAGCAAAAAGATAAAGAGAGAATGCATTAAAAGAAAACACCCACTTCTGAAATCCTTAGCTTAGCAGCAGCACATATCACTTCTGCTCATAGAAAAAGTTGTCTTATGACTACATGTAGTGCTAAGGAAAGCTGGGAATATGGTCTTGCTATGTGCCATGGACGAAATAAAATAGGGATTTTGTGAATAGCTAGGAGTTTCTGCCAGAAAGGCTCATGTCAAATCTCACCTTCCCAATCACTCAGCCATATAGGATTTCTATTCTGCCTATGGCCCTGTGCAGTCTGGGAGGTAGCATTAGTTGTGCTGGAATCATGAATGATCTTTCCACCTAGCTAACATTTTCTCCCACTGGATTGTAAATTCATTGAGAATAGAAACTGTTTTTATGGTCCTCTTTCCTGTCCGTGGTATCCTTATCCTGAAGCAATGGTTCTGAAACTTAAGGTACAAGAGAATCACCTGAAGGACTTGTTACAGCGCAATTGCAAATTCTCATCCCCAGAGTTTCTGGTTCAGTTGGTTTGGGATAGAGCCTAAAAATTTGCATTTCTAGCAAGTTTCCACATGGTGCTGGTGAAACAATGGACCTACATCAATTCTTACTTGATTTTGTGGTTAACAAACGGTAAGAGGCACACTTCTGAGTTGTTAGTAGTATAAGGGAGGCACAGAAGTCAGGTTTATGCTACCTTCTGAGTCTACCAAAGTCTATACCAACTACTTCTCTTTCTCTCCTCCATATCCCTCTTATTTTTACTTGTGTGCATCCCATCTAACTGGAGCAAAGCAACCCGAGGAGACAACTTTTTGCCATTTTCAAAAACATATATAGTTTTTAAAATGGGATACCCATAAAAAATGATGAGTTCATGTCCTTTGTAGGGACATGGATGAAGCTGGAAACCATCATTCTCAGCAAACTATCGCAAGGACAAAAAACCAAACACAGCATGTTCTCACTCATAGGTGGGAATTGAACAATGAGAACACATGGACACAGGAAGGGGAACATCACATACCGGGGCCTGTTGTGGGGTGGGGGGAGGAGGGAGGGATAGCATTAGGAGATATACCTAATGTTAAATGACGAGTTAATGGGTGCAGCGCACCAACATGGCACATGTATACATATGTAACTAACCTGCACGTTGTGCACATGTACCCTAAAATTTAAAGTATAATTAAAAAAATCTAGTTTGAAAAATAATTTGCGTTAAAAGATGTTAATTTAATTTAAAAATCCTCAACTTTGTCCTGGGAAAGGAAGAGAAAATACTAGTAAATTTATGACAGTAAGAATTCTTTTGAATCACTGTTATTTGTCATAATAACAATACAATTTCCAGTTAGGAAAGTCACACGTCCTTTGAAGTGACAGTAAATTTTAAGTATATTTTTAAAATTAGCATTTTTCAAATATAAACTAAATACAGTTTTATTCCACACAACAAGGTGTTTACTTTTGAAAACTATATCACTGGGTGCAAAATTTTCCCTTTAAAACAATAAAGACATTTTTGGTCTGAGAAAACATTTCTGACATTTTAACAAATTTACTGTCTTATTTTGTCTGCAAGACACACGGTAAGATAAAAAAAAATTATGGGTCAAATGAGTTGCTATGTCACAGGAAATCATAATAGAATCTTGTTGATTTGAGTCATCTGAAATTGAACCAAACCCTGGGATAAGTAGAAGAAAGGGGTACAATATAGCATTGGTTAAAAAGAGGCATCAGTGAAGCATGCTAATTGGACTTTTAGAATTTGAGCAATACTTCACTCTAATCAGTGGATTTACCAAGCATCAACCCAATATTTGCTTATAAGCCTAAAGTGGAAGGAACTCCAAAGAAGTGATCATATCAGAGGTGAGGAAATGTAATCCTTTTCCCTAAAAGTAAAACTGGCTTACATAGTTTTAGTGCTGGATACGGAAAACCTGTAATGGATTAAGACAATGACTATAACCTGCTGTAAGTAGAAGGGTCAACTTAACTTTGGTTATTTAAAAAATCTGTCTAAATGGAAGTTTCATTTGAAATATATACGTGTCACCTGTGAGAGATGGAACATTTAAGTCAGGCAAAGCATGGAATAGAATAGTTCGTCATAAAAAGTAAGGACTGAGGGCACTGCTTTCTGGGCAAGTAATTTTGCTAGAGAATGAGAAGTAAGACAAAGTTTCTAGCAAGTTGAACTCCACAGTTCGGGCCCCAGGCAACAGAAACACAATGGATCCTGGGAGCTCAGAGGCCAAGAGAGCCCTGAAAGGTAGGATGATCAGAAATATAATCTAAAGTGAAACACTTTTGTGAGTAAAAGGGGGTATTACTAATAACATCACCAGGAATATAGGCGTAAACTGGGACTGTCTCAGAAAATCTCATGTGTATGTTTCCCTAACTAATAGGTGAAGAATACTAGATGAACTTTGGGAGATTAAGATCATTGAAAGAAAATTAAGACAAACATTAGTTCATTGGGTTGGTCTTAAGCCTAGTCGTGATTGTTTTTGTGAATTATCTGGACTAGTTTAAAATCCTGATATTTTGGGGTTTTATGAGCATTATTAGTTCTCTTATATAATTAGAACTGCTTGGCTTACAGAACACGTCTCAATCAAACAACATGTCGGAGGCTGTACTCCACAAGAGTCAGCATGGCCTCAGTATTCACACAGACCTCAGTAGGGAATGTAACTCTACTATTTTCTAGCTGTGTGACCTATCTCAACCTATATCCTCATCTGTAAAATAGGGATAAGAAAACTACTCTCTCAGGATGTTGTAAGGATTGAATTAAATGATATATGAGTGTTTGATACAATGTACTCAATAACTCTTTCTATTAACTCTTGTGCTACATAATTTTTTTAAATCCCAAATCCTTTTTTAAAAAATTTAAGATTCAGAGGGTACAGGTACTTGTTTGTTACATGGGCACTAAATGTGTAATGATGGGGATTGGGATTCTAGTGTACCCATCACCCAAATATTGAACATTGTATCTCACTCTCTGGAACCTCTCCCCACTTTTGGAATTCTCAGTGTCTGTTATCACCATCATTATGTCCATGTGTACCCTTTGTTTAGCTCCCACTTATAAGAGAGAGCATGTGATATTTGATCTGCTTCTGAGTTAGCTAGGATAATGACCTCCAGCTCTGTCCATGTTGCTGCAAAGAACATGACTTTATTTTTTTATGGCTGCATAGTATTCAATGGTGTATATACCACATTTTCTCTATCCAATCAACCATTGGCAGACACTTGGGTTGATTCCATTACTTTGCTATTGTAAATAGTGCTGCAATAAACATCTGAGTGCAGGTGTTTATTTTTTTATGTAATGCTTTCTCTTCCTTTGGGTAGATGCCCAGTAGTAGGATTGCTGGGTTAAACAGTAGTTCTATTTTTAGTTATTGAGATATTTCCATATTGTTTTCCATAGAGGTTGTACTAATTTACATTCCCACCAACAGTGTATTAGCATTCCCTTTCTCTAAATCCATGCCAGCATCTATTATTTTTTGACTTTTTAATAGTAGCCATTCTGATTGGTATAAGATGATATTTCAGTGTAGTTTTAATTTGCATTCCTCTGATGATTAGTGATTTTGAGCATTTTTTCATAGGTTTGTTGGTCACTTATATTTCTTCCTTTAAGAAATTTCTGTTCATGTTCTTTGCTCAATTTTTAATAGGGTTGCTTGTTTTTTCTTGTTGAGTTGTTTGAGTTCCTTGTAGCTTATGGATATTAGTTTTTATTGGAGGCATAATTTGCAAATACTTTCTCTCATTCTGTAGATTGTCTGTTTGTTGATTATTTCTTTCACTGTGCAGAGCTTTTTAGTTTAATTTGGTCTCATGTGTCTATTATTGTTTTTGTTGCATTTGCTTTTGGGGTCATTGTCATGAATTATTTGCCTAGGCCAATGTCCAGAAAAGTTTTTTCCTAGGTTTTCTTCTAGGATTTTTATAGGTTCAAGTCTTCCATTTAGGTTTTTAATCCATATTGGGTTAATTTTTATATATGATGAGAGACAGGGGTCTAGGTTTGTTCCTCTGCATATGGGTAGCCAATTTTATCAGCATTATTTATTGAATAGTATGTCCTTTCCACATTGTTTACTTTTGCCAGCTTTATTGAAGATCAGTGGGTTGTAGTTATGTGGCTTCATTTCTGGATTCTGGATTCTGTTCCATTCATCTATATGTCTATTTTTGTACCAGTACCATGCCATTTTAGTTATTAGACCCTTGTAGTATAATTTGAACTCAGACAATGTGATGTCTGATTTGTTCTTTTTGCTTAAAAGTGCTTTGGCTATTCAGGAATTATTTTTTAGCTCCATATGAACTTTCCATGCTACAGAATCTTAAACTTAGAAAAGACACAAAAATCATTTTTCAAATCTTTTGTCCTAATTTATTTATTTATCCAGTAGATATTGATTGAACCCCTAATACATGTTAGGTATTCTGCTAGGCATAAACTGTGAAATAACAAAACCATCTTGTTCTCAAACTCACAGAGAGTCTAGAATACTGAGGAAACATAATATCAAATAGGGAAGCAATCACACATAAAATTTCACTGGGATTTCTGCTATGAAACTTAGCTATCTGTACTTACTTACAAGAGGAATACTTGACTGATTCTTTGAGAATGAGATGGATTTTTCAATCGTTGAGAAAATTTTTGTATTGAAAAGGTAACTTTGAAATTCAAAACAGAGTGGAGGGGTGTCAGTGTACTACCCCTCATTAACCCAGGAAAGAGATAGCTCTATATTTTTTTCCCTCAGAAAATAAGGTGATTATACCACCAAACCTATAACCTGCTCATGAGGTGGCAGTTTATTCAGATTCATTGGATCAAAACAACAGATCTATGTATTTAGTATTTGTGTGTTATATAGATGCGTAAATGGATCTTATTATGCATGTTTATGGTTAAAACAAATTTTCCTAGTTAGAATACCATTAGTTGATAATCGTGTGCTATTTCTTTACTTTTTAATCATGTAAAATTTATAAAAGCAGGGGAAAAAATTTACGTGTGTGATTTTAAAAGCAATATATTTTCTTTAATATATTGATTTACTATATGCAGAGTATATGCATATTACATGAGCCAGATACTCAAAGAATCTTCACCTCAGACTGTCTTCAAAATAAATTCTCATGAAATTATTTTATATGTAGGTCCTCTTCAGCAACTCTCCCTAGTAAAATTTAACAATTTTATAACTTTGACAATGGCTTAATGTAAATTCATATCCAGAAATTTGGTGCAAAATATTAGTTTTTTTTCAAACTCATTTAAAAGTTTCAGCTCCCTTAACATGTGAATGAAGACACTGTGCAGGCAATATTGAGACTGTGGAGATGGGCAGGGCAGAGCATGAGGCAACACCTGACTAGAAAACTTGACTCGGTGCAGCATCTGCTTGCACTGGTCCTGCTAAACACCTACTTTATTCAATGCTCATCTGCAAAATATTTTTAAAAAGCAAAAACAAACAGTAAAACAAAGAACCTCAATGCAGTCAATGTTTTATTAAATGCTTAAGAAAAGAAAACATGTACCCTGCCCATATGCTGCTACAAATCTTCATGCTCTGTCTAGTAGGGGTCCCTGATTGTCAAGAAGAAAATTAGATTCTGAGAAGAGTATTTTTCTGCACTTCTTAGTCATGTACCAGTTACTTAATGCTTTTCTGTTCTTTTCAGTAAGACTCCATGTATATGAGACTTGAAAGTCTTGCAAATTATACTTCTCATTTTAAAGAGCATTACAGCCTGTTATTTGTAAGTTCAGAGTGAGGCAGATCTGAGTTTGAACTCTCCTCTCATTTATTATTTGACACTGGGCAAAATACTTAACCTTTTAATCTTCCATCTCTCAAGCAGCTAAAAATGAAGAAAGACACCTGTTTCCTAGGGTTGTTAAAATGACTAAATGAGATAATGTAAGAAAGATTCTCCACAATAACAAGCACTCATAAATTAATAGTAATAAAAACAAAAGTGGGCCTTCATTATTAAAGTGTTACAAAATATAGTAACTCTAAAAATTATCATAGTATAACTTTTATCCAGGAATATCGCCATTGACTTTTCATCCAAGATGAAAGACTGCAAACTCTGTTTTTTCTTTGCTTAGGATTGCATCCACAGTGACCAATACAGTCAGTGCTCAGAACATATTATTTATATTTAGTTTAGACATGGGTAGTTGGGATGATCAATCTCTTATTGCTCTAAACTATTGTTCTAATGGGTGTCATTTACACAGTAGGTTAAATGTGAATAAAAGATCTCTTATATCTCTCAGTGATATGAGAGATATAAGAGAAAAGAAAATTTGCTTTTCCCATTCAAGTCATTGTGCTTGTCTGCAGCAGCCAGTGCTTTGTTGTTTTCATAGTGTATTGTCCCTCAGGTGTTACTTGTAGGCAGAGCTCTCTGTATAATGGTTAGAACTTGTCTGGTCTTGCAATCGAGGTTATCACAAGTTCTGTGATAGTGATGCCAGGGCTTGCTTTCACTCTTAACTCTCATCTTGCTTTAACATGGAGGGCTCCAATTAACTTCAAAGACCATACCATGTATAGAAAAACTCTGATGAAGTGGAACAAAAATCTCACTTAATGTTTGAAGTTCATGGGAATGTTAATGAGAAGAGAATGTAATTATCACTGTGTAAAAATAGAAAATTAATGTCTAGCTCTATTCATATATATATTTTTCATTATTTGTCACAGACAAATTCATCCAAGATATGCAAAGACAAATAAATACAACTCAGTAAGGTATCTTCTAAATTTATTTACAGTGAAAAACACCACATGTTTGATAACCATTCTCTAATTAGGAAAATAGTTTCTAACTTCTCCCTTTGTTTCAAATTTGATACACATTTGTTTTCCATTATAAAATAGTTTGTAAAATGCAGTGAACCAGAAATTTAACTGTAAGCAAATTGTGCTTTCACTTTAGTCCAGCACTGTTTGATAAAGTGTTTCACAGGCAATTTTACCTATTATTTCCAGGCAGTATGAAAAAGTGCCCTTTCCCTCTAATTTCCCCTAAGGAAAGTCTGCCTTCTATGGAGGGGAGTAGAAAGAGTAATATAAGATCTGAAAGAATCTGTGAGAAATTGAGAACATTAGTATCACCAGACATATCCTTTAAGTAGAAAATAATAGTAAGGAGAACATACTCTGGACATACTCATTCATTCCATATTTTGTTGCACTGTTTGGAACTACTAATAACACATAACAGACTGATCATGTTTTTCAGCCAATAGAGAATGGATATGAATTATCATGTGTGTAGAGCAGTTTCACATTTCACAATGAGATTTTTATCTCTGGACTCTAATATGATTTAAGGAAGACAAATCAATATGCCAAACATGAGCCTGGGGAGCCAGTCTACTGGGCATAGCTATGATGATGCCCTGGGAAGAAACCTGAGCTGAGAGGAAAGTGGGAATTCCCTGAGATCCACTCTCAGTTCTATCACTTACTGCCTCCTGATCCTGTATAGGGAGAGGTTATTTTACTTCTTTGATTGTTACACAGTCTTATTGCAAAAGAAGAGATAATATAAATGAAAGTGCATTGGAAACAATATGATTGTTCTTTTTAAATTATTATTATTATACTTTAAGTTTTAGGGTACGTGTGCACAACGTGCAGGTTTGTTACATATGTATACATGTGCCATGTTGGTGTGCTGCACCCATTAACTCTTCATTTAGCATTAGGTATATCTCCTAATGCTATCCCTCCCTTCTTTTAACCAAAAAATCTTGCCCTTTAAAAGTTAGCCATAAGCTTTTTCACTGGCATTTAATTTTAACCTAGAGCAGTAAATCTTTCTATTGAAGAGTAAGGTGTACTTTGAAGTTTTGCTTAGCCAAAGTGTTCTGCTTGAAATTTTGTGAGATGCATATGTTTTATAGAATGACATTTATCCAGGAAGATGAAACATAATTGAAAATTATATTCACATGAGATAGAAATTTAGAAGTAAAAAGGAGCTTAGATGATAAGTAAAAATTACTGAGAAATCAAAAGCTAAGGATATATTATTTAAACCATTTATTCAGCAAAATAATTCATAAACATCTGCTTAGTGTAAGGCTCTGGAGTCAAAAAATTCTGATTCAAATCTTTCTCTGTCACTATTGTCTCTGTAACTTTAGGCAAGTTACTTAAACTTTCTTAGCCTCTGTAACTTTAGGCAAGTTACTTAAACTTTCTTAGCCTTAGTTTCCTTATCTGTGATAGATGAGGAAGCTTTGTTAGAATTCAGTCAAATGTGACATATCAAGTGCGGTAGCTATTACATAAAATATATTTAATAAATATAATGTTATTCTTATTATCATTATTACTGCTAGGCTTTGTGGTCCTAAATAGTAGGTACTCAATGAATATCGATTGGCCATGACAGATAAATGGAATATAATGGCATTTACATAAAAAGAAAGGTTGCATAGAGGCACTACTATAATGGAAAGCTTAAAAATCAGGAAAAAAGGAATTAAAAGTCCAAAACAATAAGAATATGTTTAATAAAGGCCATAAAAGAAAATGTTAGAAAAATCAAACTTATGGTAGATTGTGCTCCAAGCAGTTTAGAGGAAATATAACTTTTCAAAAAGTCTGTAATTAAACCTTTCAGATTCCAAAACTTTGGAATTTTTGACCTATTTATTCTTTGTAAAAATTTGGGCTAACATCATCATTAATATCAAAGGGTTGATGTAATTAACCTTTAAATTTAGAATTTTTTAAATAAAATACTTTCAGGCACTATCCCTTGGAAATTAATAATTAATTTATGTTCATCACAGTATTATACAATACTTACGTACACATAAGTAATTGTAAAGCAATTTTAGATATTTATTATTGTTGTATCATAGTTATTCATATTTTGGGACACATGATGTTTTGATACATGTATAGAATATGTAATGATCAAGTCAGAGTAATTGGGATATTCACCACCTCAAATATTTATCTTTACTTTGTGTTGGAAGTGTTACAATTCTTTCCTTGCTATTTTGACACATATACAATAAATTATTGTTAACTATAATTTTTGTACTATGCTATTGAGTACTAGAACTTATTCCTTCTATCTAACTGCATTTTTGTATTCATTAACCAATTTCTCTTCATCCTCCTCTCCTTCATTCTATTCCTTACCTATAATAACCACCATTCTACTCTCTACCTACATGAAATCCACTTTTTTGGCTCCCACATATAAGAACACATGTGATATTTATTTTTCTGTACTTGGCTTATTTTACTTAACATAATGACCATACTTCTTGTTGCAAATGACAGGATTTTATTATTTTTGATGACTGAATACTATTCCATTGTGTGTATATGCCACATTTTAAAATCCATTCATCTGTTAATGAACATAGGTTGATTCCATATCTTAGCTATTGTGAATAGTGCTGCAATAAACATGGGGGTACAGATACCTCTTCAATATATTGATTTTTCCCTTTGGATATATAACCAGCAGGGAAATTGCTTGATCATATGGTAGTTATATTTTTGGGTTTTGTTTTTTGAGGAAACTCTGTATTGTTTTACATAAGGGCTGTACTACTGTACATTCCCACTGACAGTGTACAAGTGTTTCCCTTTCTATGTAATCTCATCAGCATTTTTTATTTTTTTTGTCCTTTTGATAATGTACATTCTAACTGGGGTAAAATGATATCTCATAGTAGTTTTGATTATTTACATTTCCCGGATGACTAGTGATGTTGAACATTTTTTCATATGCCAGTTGGGCATGTGTATGTCTTCTTTTGAGAAATGTCTTTTGAGGTCTTTTGCCCATTTTTTAATTGGATATCTGGGTTTTTTTTTTTGCTATTAAGTTGTTTGAGTTCCTTATATATTCTAGTTATTAATCCCTTATCAGATGGATAGTCTGTAAATATTTTCTTTCATTCTGTCCTTTTTCTTCACTTTGTTAATTGTTCTTTTTGCTGTGCAGAAACTTTTTAGCTTGATGTGATCCCATTTATCTGTTTTTGCCTTGGTTGCCTGTGCTTTTGATCTTTTACCCAAAAAACTTTTGCCCAGATCAATGCCCTGTAGCATTTCCCTAATTTCTCATAGTAGTTTCATAGTTTCAGATTTTACATTTAAGTGTTTAATCTGCTTGAGTTGATTTTGTGTATGGTGAAAGATGGGAATCTAGTTTCATTCTTCTACATATGGATATCCAGCTTTAACAAGCACCATTTATTAAAAAGACTGTCCTTTCCCCCAGTGTAAGTTTTTAGTGCCTTTGTTGAGAATGAGTGTGTGGATTTATTTCTGGTTTCTCTATTCTGTTCCATTGGTATCCTTGTCTGTTTCTATGTCGGTATCATGCTGTTTTGCTTACTATAATTTTGCAGTATAATATGAAATCAGATAGTGTGTGCCACCAGCTTTGGTCTTTTTGCTCAGGTTTTCTTTAGTTGTTTGGGTTTTTTTGTGGTTCTATACAAATTTTAAGATTGTTTTTTCTATTTCTGTGAATAATATCATTGGTATTTTGAGAGGAATTGCATTGAATCTGTAGATAGTTTTGGGTAGTATAGACATTTTGACAATATTAATTCTTCCAACTTATGAGCATGAAATATCTTTTTAATTATTTGTGTCCTCTTCAATTTCTTTCATAAGTGTTTTATAGTTTTCCTTGTATAGATCTTTTACTTCTTTGATTAACTTGATTCCTAAGTATATTTTTGATAGCTTTTGTAAATGGAATTGTGCTCTCGATTTCTTTTTCAGATTGATCACTGTTAGTGTACAAGAATGCTACTGATTTTTATATATTGATTTTATATCCAGCAATGTTACTAAATTCATGTATCAATTCTGAGAGGTTTTTTTTCATGAAGCTTTTAGATTTTCCTAAAAAAACATGTCATTTGCAAATAGTAGTAATTTGACTTTTTTCTTTCCAATTTGGAAGCACTTTATTTCTTTGTCTTGCCTAATTGCTATAGGTAGGACTTCAGTACTATGTTGAATAACAGTGGTGAAAGCGGGCATCTGGTTTGTTTCAGATCTTAGTGGAAAGGCTTTTACTTTTTTCCCTTATAGTATGACAGTATGATATTAGCTGTGGGCTTATCATATACAGCTTTTTTGCATTGAGGCACATTCCTGATATACCGTTTGTTAAGGGATTTTATCATGAAGAGATGTTGAATTTAACAGAATGTTTTTAGCATCTATTGAAATGATCATACAGTTTTTGTTCTTGATTCTGTTGATGTGAAGTATTTTGTTTATTGATTTGCATATATTGAATCATCCTTGCATCCCTGGGATTAATACCATTTGATCATAGCTAATGATCTTTTTAATGTGTTGTTGAATTCTGTTTATTAATATTTTTCAGGGTTTTTACATATATGTTCATCAGTGATATTGGCCCATAGGTTTTCTGTTTGTTTTATCCTTGTCTGGTTTTGGTATCAGGGTAGCAGTGGCCTCATATATTGAGTTTGAAAGCACTTCTTCCTCTTCTATTTTGGGAAATAGTTTGAATAGAATTTGTATAAGTTATTTTTCAAATGTTTGGTAGAATTTAGTAGAGGTCCTGGCCTTTTCATTGATGTGAGACATTTTATTACTTCTTTGATCTTTTTACTCATTATTGACCTGTTTATGCTTTCTATTTTTTTCATGGCTCAATCTTGGTGAGTTGTATGTTGCCAGAAATTTATCCATTTCTTCTAGGCTTTCCAATTTGTTGGTTTATAATTGTTCATAATATTCTCTAATGATCCCTTGTATTTCTGTGGTATCAGTTGTGATGTTTTATTTTTCATCTCTGATTTTATTTATTTGCTCCTTCTCTAAGTTAATCTAGCTAAAAGTTTATTGATGTTTATCTTTTCAAAAACCCAATTTTCCATTTTGTTGGTCTTTTTATTATTTTTGTCTCAATTTTATTTATCTGCTCTGATCTTTATTTTTTTTCCTTCTACTAATGTTAGGTTTGATTTATTCTGGCTTTTTTAGTTCCTTGAGGTGCATCGTTAGGTAGTTTATTTGCTACCTGTTTTTTAGACGAAGGCATTTACTGCTATAAACTTTCTTCTTAGTACCATTTTGCTGTGTCTCATAAGTTCTGGTATGTTGTGTTTTCATTTTAATTTATTTCAATAAATTTATTTACTTTTAAAAATATGCTCCACATAAGTAAATACATTTTTAAATTTCCTTCTTAATGTCTTCACTGACCCATTGATTGTTCAGGAGAATGTTGTTTAATTTCCATGTTTTTGTGCAGTTTTCAAAGTCCCTCTTATTATTGAGGTTTTTAAATGTTCTTTTACTTTGTTGTGGTCAGAAAGAATACTTGATGTGATTTTGGTACTTTTAAATTTATTTGGGATTGTTTTGTGACCTAACATAGGGTCTGTCTTAGAGTATGTTCTATGTACTGATGAGAAGAATGCGTATTCTGCAGCAGTTGAATGAAATTTTCTGTAAATGCCTGTTAGGTCCATTTGGTTCAGAGTATGTAGTTTTACACTAATTTTTTTTTATTTATTTTCTGCCTGGATGATCCATCCATTGCTGAAAGTAGGATGCTGAAGTCCCCTGTTATTATTATATTTCATTCTATCTCACCTTTTGGCCCTATTAATATTTGCTTCCTATATTGGGGTGTTCCAATGATGGTTGCATATACGTTTACTATTTTTTTATCCTTTTGCTGAATTGACCTCTTTATTATTATACAATTACCTTTTTGTCTCTTTTGACAGTTTCTGACTTAACATCTGTTTTATCTAATACAAGTGTAGCTACTCCTGTTCTTCTGTTAGTTTTTTATTTGCATGGAATACCTTTTTTTATTCCTTCACTTTCAGCCTATGTGTGTCTTTATAGGAGAAGAAAGTTTCCTGTAAGCAGCATATACTGAAGTATTGTTTTTTTTGTAAAGATTAGGTCTCACTATGTTGCCCAGGCTGTTCTCACACTCCTGGATTCAAGCAATCCTCCCACCTCAGTCTCTTGAGTAGCTGGGATCACAGGCATGTGCTGCCATGCCTGGCTGTGAGGTTTTTAATCCATTCAACCACTATGTCTTTTAATTGGAGAATTTAGTCCATTAAACATTCAATGTTATTATTGATAGGTAAAACTACTTCCATTTTCTTGCTTGTTTACTAATTATTGTGTAAATCCTCACATCATTTCTTCCTTTCTTCTTATCTTTGTGGTTAAGTAATTTTCCCTGATAGTATGTTTTAATTCATTGCTTTTTATTTTTAGTGTATCTGTTATAAGGTTTTGCTTTTGTTTACTGTAAGGCTTACCAAAAACATCATATAGTTATAACAAATATTTTAAACTGATACCAACTTAACTTTGATAGCCAAAAAAGCAAAGAAACAAAGCAAAAAAACCCAAAACTAGTACACATTAAATCTTTTATCCCCCCATATTTTGAATTTTATGTCAGAATTTACATACTTTATATTGCCTATCTCTTAACAAATTGTTGTAGTTGTTATTATTTTAAATTGTTGTATCTTTTAGTCTTCCTACTAAAGATATAAGTGGTTTAAATACTGCAATTACAATATAAGCATAACAATTATGTTAGTGGCCTTTTCTTTCGATTTGAAGAAATCCCTTTAGCATTTATTATAGGACAGATGTGGAAACAATAAATTCCCTCAGCGTTGTTTGTCTGGGAAAGTCTTTTTATCTATCCTTTATTTCCTGAGGTCTAATTTCACTGAGTACAATATTCTTGATTGCTTTTTTTTTCAACACTCTGAAAATATTGTCCCACTCTCTCTTATATGTTACTTTCTTCTTTTCTCTCACTGCTTTCAGGGTTTTCTCTTTGTCTTTGACCTTTGCAAGTTTAATTATGACATGTTTTAGAATATCTTCAATTGAGGTGAATCTGATTGGTGATCTTTGACTTTCCTGTACCTGTGTATTTATTTGTATCTTTCTCTACATTTAGAGGGTTTTCTGTTATTATTTTTTAAATAAGCTTTCTACTTCTTTTTCTTTCTCAGTTTCATCTTTATCTCCAATAATCTGAATATTTGTTTTATGTTGTCCCACAGATTCTGTAAGCTTTGTTCATTTCTTTTTGTTTTTTTTTTCTTTTCTCTTCTCTGTGTATTTTCAAGTAGTCTCTCTTTTAAATCACTGATTCTTTCTTCTGTTTGATCAATTCTGCTGTTGATGCTCTCTATGGCATTTTCAGTTTCATTCATTGTATTTTTCAGCTCCAAAATTTCTGTTTGATTTTTTAAAAATTATTTTAACCTGTCTGTTAAATTTTTTTCTGATACATTTCTGAATTGATTCTCTGTGTTTTGTTGAAGTTCATTGAGCTTCCTTAAAACAGCTATTTTGAATCCTTTGTCTGAGAGATTACATGTGTCCGTAACTTTAGGGTCACTCTCTGCTGCCTTGTTTTGTCTATTTGGTGAGGTCATATTGCCCTAAATGTTTTTGGTACTTGTAGAAGTGTGATAATGCCTGTGTGTTGAGAGTTAAGGTATTTCAGTTTTTGAAGTCTGGCTTTCTTTGTGCCTGTCCTTCACCAAAGAACTTTCCAGAGATTCTAAGGTGACTGGCTGTGGTCTTTCCATAGCTTGTGACCAACTGCAGCCATCTCAGCACTGAGGGACACTTTAAGCCCAGGTCTGCTACAGTTCTCATTAGGACTTCAAGGTTGACACAGCTTTCCAGCCTAGATGAACCTTAACTTAAAGATTTCCACAGAGACTTTTGACTGTGGATGAATACAGAGTATGTTGTTGAGGAGGGGGAATGTGAGCAAATTCCCTTCTATTCTGCCATTTTTGTAATGTCATGCCTCACAATTTTTATATGCTGAATATTTATTATAATATTCTTATTTCTTTCAAGTTATGTTGTACTTCATTCAGTCAATTTACATTTATAACTTAGAAGTACTCATGGAACAAAACCATTGTTTGCTAAAATTTTTAACCCAAAATACAAAAATCTTTTTATTTTTATTTTTTTGATACAGAGATTCGCTCTTGTTGCCCAGGCTGGAGTGCAATGGCGCAATCTCGGCTCACTGCAACCTCTGCCTCCTGGGTTCAAGTGATTCTCCTGCCTCAGCCTCCCGAGTAGCTGGGATTACAGGCACCCGCCACCATGCCCAACTAATTTTTTGTACTTTTTTTTTTTTTTTCAGTAGAGACGGGGTTTCACTATGTTGGCCAGGCTGGTCTCAAACTCCTGACCTCAGGCAATCCACCGGCCTCTGCCTCCCAAAGTGCTGGGATTACAGGCATGAGCCACCGCACCCAGCCCAAAAATCTTAAATGTTAATGTATCTCTCCTTTGGATGACTTCTAAGTTTCTGACCTAGGTAACTTAATATTTTCTAAAATTTTGTTTGTTCAGGAGTGATCTTTTGGTTCAATGGAAAGAGTATAGTCTTCCTTCCCATACAAAACCCTAGAAATAATATAGAATATTTTTAAGTGACTGTGTCATAATTTTTCACATTAAAAAAAGAATAAATCTTAGAGAACTAGAAACATTGAGGAAAACACAACCCAAATCTACGGCAGAATAGCAAAGCAATATCAAGTTTAAGATGTGTCTGAACATGGCAGAAGAAGAAGGCAGAAAGAGACCGAGGAGAAATTAACAAGGGTTTAGTTGGAGAACTGTGGTGATATCAGCCAAGGCAATTTACCCCTACATGCATTAACACCCTTGTGCACTAAGAAGCTGCAACAGAGCTATATGTCTTCAGGTAGTAGAAGTGCTTAAGGCAAGTTGCAGAGCAGTGGTCTGATGGCTGCTGAGACTAGGAACAATTTAGTTCAGTTCAGAAATACATCTGCAAAGACACCTCACTAAGCAGTATACCTCATCAGTCTATCTCTTATAGCAAAAAATAGCAAAGAACAAAAACTCCAACAATCTCTTTTATCACTCCTCTCAGGTAGCCTGGTCAAGAAGGGGAGCTATCTACCAGGAGATTTCAGTTGCAAAATGTAGGAAGAAAGAATAAATATGCACTTCTCCCTCATTTTAGGACAAAGCCATTTTTAATATACATGAAGTTTATCATTTTATCATTATCACTTTAAAAGTAAGGAAGCAAACAATAACTTATACCCGAGAAACAGAGATAATAAAGCATCTAGAATTGAACTGCAGGTAAATATAATTAATATTTTTGGAAAGAAAAAAGATATTGAAGAAGAATGAATCAACAGTGACAAAAATAAAAATATAATTGTTAAATTTATAATTCAAAAACATAATAGACTAGATGAATAGCTTAATGGATGTACCTGAATAACAAATCTTCCAGCTACAACTTGAAGTTGAGGAAGAAGAATGAATCAAGAAGCAATGGCAATCAAATACATTATTTAAAATTACTGTTGTCTAAATAAAATTGATGAACAAGAGAACCAGTGGGGACTGGAGAAGGGAGTAGAGAATAAAGAAAAATAAATAAACATAGTAAGAAGGTTCAAACAGAAATGTTATTGTCTCATAGTTCTGGAGGCCAAAAGTTTATAATCAAGGTGTCGGCAAATATATATTTCCCGTGAAATCTGTAGGGGAGAACCCTTTCTTGCCTCTTCTTAGTTTCTAATTATTGACATTCCTTGACTTGTAGGTGTAGCATTTCCGTCTCTTCCTCCATCATCACACAACACTTCATATGTCTGTCTTCTCTTATAAGGACACCAGTTAAATATTGAATTAAGGGACCTCCCTAATCCAATATGATCTCACATGAACTTAACTAATTATATCTGCAATGATCCTATTTCTAAATATGGTACTGTGAGACATTTTTTGGTGGGGAAGACACAATTAAATTCACAACCTATGCCATATTCATGGAATGGAAGTGTCAATATTGTTAAAATGCATTGGTCCCTAAATTGATCTGTAGATCTAATGCAATCCCAATCAAAATCCAAGTAAGATTTTTTTAAGAAAGTGACAAGATAAAATCTTATATAGAAATTTTAAAAAACCTAAAATTTACAAAATCATTGTGAAAAAGAGAGGTGTAGTCAGATGATCTATGCTACCTAATTTCTAGACCTAGTAAAAAGTTGCAATATTCAAGTGTGGTATTGACAAAAGGATAGAAAACTAAATCAGTAGAACAGAATCAAGAATCCAGAAAGGTATCCAACACATAAATTTTTTATGAAAGTACCAAATAAATTTAGCAGGGAAAGACAAGTTTTTCAACAAATCATGCTGGAATAACTGGATATCTATATTTTAAAAAGCCCTCCTCGTACCATACACAAATGAACTCTAATGGATCATAAATTTAAATGTAACAGCAAGGGCTATAAAGAAAAATATCTTCATGACCTTGGGGGCTCCTGTGATGAATTCTTAGAAAAGATACAGAAAGTGCTAAATAGAAAATTGATAAATTAGACCTCATCAAAATTTAAAACATTTGAGTATTAAAAGAAACTGGCCAGGCGCGGCGGCTCATGCCAGCACTTTGGAGGGCTGAGGTGGGCGGGTCACTTGAGGTCAGGAATTAGAGACCAGCCTGACCAATATGGAGAAAACTTGTTTCTACTAAAAATATGAAAATTGGCCAGGCGCGGTGGCTCACGCCTGTAATCCCAGCACTTTGGGAGGCCAAGGCGGGCAGATCACGAGGTCAGGAGATCGAGACCACGGTGATACCCCGCCTCTACTAAAAAATACAAAAAATTAGCCAGGCACGGTGGCGGTCACCTGTAGTCCCAGCTACTCGGGAGGCTGAAGCAGGAGAATGGTGTGAACCCAGGAGGTGGAGCTTGCAGTGAGCCGAGATCGGGCCACTGCACTCCAGCCTGGGCGACAGAGCAAGACTCCGTCTCAAAAAAAATAATAATAATAAAAATAAAAAATAAAAATACGAAAATTAACAGGTGTAGTGGCACACGCCTGTAATCCCAGCAACTCGGGTGGCTGATGCAGGAGAATCGCTTGGACCCGCGAGGCGGAGGTTGCAGTGAGCCGAGATAGTGCCACTGCATACCAGCCTGGGCAACAGAGCAAAACTCTTGTCAAAGCAAAAAAAAAGAGAAGAAGGGAGAGGAGAGGAGAAGGATGGAGAGGAGAAGGATGGAGAGGAGAGAAAAGCAGAGGGGAGGGGAGGGAAGGGGAGGGGAGGGGAGGGGAGGGGAGGCCACAAATGAGAAAATATTCATTCACAACATATATCAATAACAGAAAGTTTGTATCAAGAATCTGTAAAGGACTAAACTCAATAATAAAATAAAGTAAACTTTTTAAGAAAGAATGGAGAAAAGTAATCTATTTTTAAAAAGGCCAAAAGATTTGGAAAAATACTTTACAAAAATATAAATACAGGCATTTAATAAGCCTATGAAAATGTGCTCAACATCATTACTTGTCTGAGAATTGTAAATAAAATGACAAGACAGCATTATACATTGACTCGTGGCTAAATTTTAAAAGACTGACAACACCAAATTCTGATGAGTCGGTACCATCTGGAAATTTCATAAATTGCTGGTATGAAAATAAAATGTTAAAAACTGCTTTGTAAAACTATTAGCCAGTTTCTTAAGCAGTGAAATATGTACTGTTCTATGACCTTAGATGTTTAACAAGAAAATGAAACATATGTCCACAGAAAATCTCCTTAATACATTTTCATAGCAGCTTTATTCATACTGCTAAAAAATGAAAATAGTACAAGTGTCTATCAACCAAGAATGATTAAGCAAACTATGGAATATTCATATTACAGAATATTACCTAGCAACAAAAATGAATGGACTACTGAATATTCAATGATGTGGTTAAATCTATAACACCAAATATTGAGCAAAAGAAACCAGGCACAAAAAAACGTATAAAGTGTGTGATTCCATTTATACATAATTCTAGAACACATCATAGAAAACAGCCAATGATGGCAGGAAACAAAATAGTGGTTGCTTCTGCATTGAAGGATTGACTGGGAGAGAAACAATAGGAAACTTTCTAGAGAGGTGATAGAATTGTTCTGTATCTTGATGGATGTAGATTACATTTGTATGTGTTTGTCAAAGTTGATCCGGCTATTTACTTAAGGTATGTATACTTCACTGTAAGTTATATGTTATTTTTTTAAGGACTTAAAAATCAACACTAATGATTCTCATAACGATCACTGGTGACCTTAGGCAGACACATTAACAAAGCATGGTTTACTAGACTGTGGCTTCAGTGAAAGTTGAGTTTACAAAGATTTCTGAGACAATAGGATGGCTATTGGTAAAAAGCTGATAGGCAGGCCGGGCACGGTGGCTCACGCCTGTAATCCCAGCCCTTTGGGAGGCCAAGGCGGGCAGATCATGAGGTCAGGAGATCGAGACCACGGTGATACCCCATCTCTGCTAAAAAATACAAAAAATTAGCCGGGGGCGGTGGCGGGCGCCTGTAGTCCCAGATTCTCAAGAGGCTGAGGCAGGAGAATGGTGTGAACCTGGGAGGCCGAGCTTGCAGTGAGCCGAGATCGGGCCACTGCACTCCAGCCTGGGTGACAGAGCAAGACTCTGTCTCAAAAAAAAAAAAAAAAAAAAAAAAAAAAAAAAAAAAGCTGATAGGCAGAAGGACAGATAAGGGGATTTTTTTATACTAGGAGAACTTGCCAGGTCTGTCAAAGAACAGCACGGAATGGAAATGGAAAAGGATAAAATTATCTCCAAAATTAACTTTGCCTGCTGAACAATTTTGTCTTGGAAGACAGTTTATCAGCAGCAGCAACTTCATGGCAGTCACCATCACCATCAGCATCACATCAGTTCTACTAATCTCAGTCCTAAAATCATTCCTCTCATGTGTATTAAGTAAGTCTGCTATTTTCAAAATCTACCTTCCAAAACAACAGAATTTCTCTGGACAAATGGGATATTAAATCCAACTAAGGATTTTTGGGACAATGGACCTGGACAATACTCTCATTGTCACCTGACACTCTTGATAGGCAGGTAAATTAAGAATTTAGTGCTTCAAGTCTTGGTTAAATCATTTCCTCAACATCCATTCATCTTTCAGGTACTCTGTTAGGTTGTCAGAATATAATGATAAATGAATTATCTAGGAATGTAAAATTTAGAACAAGAAGCCTGAGGTAGCTAAAAGCTGTGAATATGGACTGATACTCTCTGGAGACCTAGAGAAGATAAGAGATAGGATCTGAACAAAATGAGATAAAATATATAATTTGAAATGAATCCCAGGAGATTATAAAATAACTAGCTTTTTCTTTTCGTATTGTTTTGCCCTTTTTTCTCTACCAATTCCAAGTCCTGCCACCACTCCAAGCCAACACTACTCACCATTGCACATTCCACTGACACATTGTGTTAGAGTCAGCAATGGTGCTCTCATGGGAGAAGTGGTATAGTCAGCTTACATATTCTGATGCAGAAAGAAGAGAGATAAGGGGCGTGGTTTGCAAGTTGATGAACAGAATAAGAGGAAGAAATTATGGCAACAATAAGTAGTAATATGAGATTTCTCTTTTTCTCCTCTTTCCTATTGCTGGTTCCCATATGAAGTCATTATTTCCTCCAAGTTTTCTAGAGTAAGGAGCAGCATGGATTGTGCAAAAAGAAGCAGTAACATAAGACCTAGTTAGAAACTTGAGAATATTAATAGTGTAATCAACAGTGACCATGGGCATATTTCAAGGGCCGGACTGGCAGTGATCACCAGGGTTGGTGGCAGAATTGATAGGCCAAGAGAAAGAGGAGTGTTAAGGATAAGAAAGACCAAAGTTTTTCTCTCATACTTAGCATAGAATACTTTTGTGGGAGGTTTTCGACACATACCAAGCAATTCTGCAGCAGCCACCAGCTGGGTGTCCTCTCATTCAATTCAGTTCTGACACTATCTACCCAGAGATAGTATAAGATCCCACAGGTTGAGGGCTGAGTCCTAAAAAACGGCCCCCACTTCAGATGCCTATTGCAAGCCCCAGGTTGTGACCTGTGCTTCTGACTAACTGGCTCTAAATTGGGTTTCAACTTTCTCCCCATCTTTGAATAATTTGCTAGAGCAGCTCACAGAACTTGGGGAAACACTTTACATACATTTACCAGTTTACTAATAAATGCTATAAAGAAGGGTACCCATAAACAGCCAAGTGAAAAGGTATGTAGGGGAAGGTCTGGGAGGGTCCTAAGCACAGGCGCTTCTGTGCTCATGGAGTTGGGGCATGTCACCTTCCCAGTATATGGACATATTTGCCACCCCAGAAGCTCTCTGAACCACATGGTTTGGGAATTTTTTTGGAGGCCTCATTGCATAGGCATGATTGCATATTAACTCCATTTTCAGCCTTTCTTCCCTCCCTGGAGAATACGACGGTGGGGCTGAAAGCTCCAAGCTTATAATCATGGCTTGATCCTCCTGGTGACCAGACCACATCAAAAAGCCCACCAACAGTCACCTCATTAGAACAAAAGTTGCTCTTAGCACCTAGAATATTCCAAGGGATTTGGGAACTCTGTGTCAGGAATTAGGAAGTCGAAAATCAAATATTGGAAGAATAGATTCTGTTAGCACCCTTATTCTTTAGGAAACTATGAGGATTCTAGAAGCTCTGGGCCAATATATAAAGACAGAGACCAATATATATGTTTCTTAAGACTTCACAAGGAGATGTGAGGGGAGTTACAGATAGAGATAAGGTATCACAGAAACCACTGGATACCATTGAGAAAGTGAGTCTTTAGCTGGGGTTTATATATAGTGATACCTGTACACATATGTAATTTGGGTGCATGGTGATTCTAACAAGTGTTCAAAAATTGAGATATTATCATATGGGAAGGCAGCAATCAATGTTTTGATTATTTTCATTGTTCCCTTTCTACAGGCAATATAACAGCTCTTAGAGGCTAAGTAATTGACACTAGGCCATATAGCTTAGACATGGCTTGATATCTTTTAAAATGAATCTATTTCTTTCAAGATTAAGACTTAACCAATTTTAATGACTGAGGTTTTATATTTAATAGAATTTTACCTGAAATTATTTTCAAATAGTTTTTAGTTGAATGAAAACATTGTTCCAAGTGCTTTTATAACTTAGGCTAGGCTTTTTCGCTCTCTCTCCTCATCAACTATCTGCAAATAGTACTTACACATACCTGTATGATGAACAACAGAGAGGGGAATTACTATTTGTTAGTTCTATAAGAGAAAACTTAGAATTATATAATCATTTTTTATATATTTGTTATCAATTTACATTGTGTACATATCTGTAGGCCATCCTAATCAGCATTTGTGCCTGCCATCACATTGTATCTTATTCATCCCTCTATGCCTAGTGCCTTACTGATTTCCAACCATAGAAGGAGCTCAAGTAGTCACTATTAAATTGCAAAATGGGCCCCTTCCTCTTGGCAGAAATAACTCCAAGTCAGAGCACATTGTTGGTGAACCAGCAGGAGATGAATTTCAGTCCCACTCACCCCAGTGCATTCCTTGGTGCAATAAACAACCTGTACATCATATGTGTTGGTCCAAGGAGGGACATGGTAAATATTTGTTCAATGAATGTTTACATTTGTATAGAGCTTTATAATGTACAGAACCCCTTTCTGACATGTATTAACTTATTTAATTCTCGTAACCATATGAGATAAGAGGAAAGATACAATTTTCATATTACATTTTAGAAAATAATGTTCTTAAAGGGAATTTCAGTAGCAAAAAAGAGACTGCAAGAAAGTGTCAAGTGGAAATAGTAGAAATAGAAATCATGAAACAAGGAATAAATAATGTATTTGACAGGCTTATAAAAGACAATACATTGAAGAATCAATAAAGTTTCAGATAGATCAATATAAATTATCAAAATTAAAACACAAAGAAAAAAACAAGTGAAAAACAAACAAAACATACAAAATCTGGGGGACAATATCAAATCATCCGATATATGTAGAATTACAGTGTCAGAAGAAGAGAAAGAGAAAGGCAAGAATAATGTCTGAAAAGTTGATAGTTAAGATTTTTCTAAAATAATAAAAGGCTAATAGATACAAGAATCTCAGAGAACCTCAGTCTAGAGAAATACAAATGCATGTACAGAAACACACCCCTAGACATGTAATAGTTAATCAACAAAAAGCAAAGATGAACAAATACTGCATGCAAAAGTCAAAATAAATATTAAAATAGAGTTTTCACAGAAACTATGGAAGTTAGAAGATAAAGTAAGATATTTAAGTATAGAAGGGGAAAAATCAATCTAGAACTCTAATACAACTTTAAAAATAAAGATAAATAAATATTTTTACAGGCAAGTAAAAGCTGAAAACATTAATTGCTAGCATACAAAAAAAGTTAATAAAAGATTTTCTGAAAGAAGGAGTACAACAACAGGTGGAAAAGTATATCAATACAAAGATATGAAGATAACTACAATTGGTAAAATAAGAATAAAAGGTAATTTGTCTTATATTTAAAACTTTTAAAAGATGATAATCTAAAGCAAAAGTTGTAACATTATATAATGGTGCTGGTAATATTTGTAGAAGTCAAATTCATGGTAACAATAGAGCAAATGATGGGAGGTAGAAGAGAGAAGCATACTGTTCTAAGTTTCTTAAAATGAACATTAAATGTTACAACACTATTTGAAGGTATAATCTAATAAGTTAAACATGTAGTTTAAAGCCTAAAAAACCAATAAAATACAATAAGGAGGTATCACCAACTAACAAATTGTGAAGATAAAAATAGAAAAAAACTTTAAAAAAATCCAATTAATCCGAAAAATTCAGAAAAAGAAAAAAAACACTTGGGATGAATAGAAAATAATTAATAAGGTAGTAAACTTAAATGCTACCATAGCAATCATATTAAAGATATCTAAATATCCTAATTAAAATGTAGAGATGGGCAAACTGAATTAAAAAGCAAGACCCAACTACTTGCTGCCTACAAGGAAAACACTTGAAATATACAAACATATTGATGAAAATTAAAAGGATAGAAAAAGACAATTAAGCAAATGCTAATCAAAAGATAAATTTCAGGTAGATAAATCCATGAAGATGAGGAAAAACCAGTGCAAAATGGCTGAAAATTCCAAAAACCAGAATGCCTCTTCTCCTCCAAAGGATCACAACTCCTCACTAGCAAGAGAACAAAACTAGACAAAGAATGAGTTTGATGAATTGACAGAAGTAGGCTTCAGAAGGTGGGTAATAACAAACTCCTCCGAGCCTAAAGGAGCATGTTCTAGCCCAATGCAAGGAAGCTAAGAACCTTGACAAAAGATTACAGGAATTGCTTACTAGAATAACCAATTTGGATTAGAACATAAATGACCTGATGGAGCTGAAAAATACAGCACAAGAACATCGTGAAGCATACACAAGTATAAATAGCTGAATCAATCAAGCGGAAGAAAAGATATCAGAGACTGAAGATCAACTTAATGAAATAAAATGTGAAGACAAAAGTAGAGAAAAAAGAATGAAAAGGAATGAATAAAGCCTCCAAGAAATATGGGACCATGTGAAAAGACCAAACCTACGTTTGATTGCTGTACCTGAAAGTGACAGGGAGAATGGAACCAAGATGGAAAACACACTTCAGGATACTATCCAGGAGAACTTACCCAACCTAGCAAGACAGACCAACATTCTAGTTCAGGAAATACAGGAACACCACAAAGATACTCCTCGAGAAGAGCAATCCCAAGACACATAATCATCGGATTCACCAAGGTCGAAATGAAGGAAAAAAATGTTAGGGGCAGACAGAGAGAAAGGTTGGTTTACCCACAAAGGGAAGCCCATCAGACTAACAGTGGATCTCTCTGCAGAAACGTTACAAGACAGAAGAGAGTGGAGGTCAATATTCAACATTCTTAAAGGAAACAATTTTAAACCCAGAATTTTATATCCAGCCAAACTAAGCTTCATAAGTGAAGGAGAAATAAAATCCTTTCCAGACAAGCCAATGCTGAGGGATTTTGTCACCACCAGGCCTGCCTTACAAGAGCTCCTAAAGGAAGCACTAAATATGGAAAAGAAAAACTGGTACCAGCCACTGCAAAAACACCAAAATGTAAAGACCATCAACACTATAAAGAAACTACATCAACTAATGGACAAAATAACCAGCGAGCATCATAATGACAGGATCAAATTCATACATAACAATATTAACATTAAAAGTAAATGGGCTAAATGCCCCAATTAATAGACACAGACTGGCAAACTGGATAAAGAGTCAAGACCCATTGGTGTGCTGTATTCAGGAGACCCATCTCATGTGCAAAGACACATATAGCCTCAAAATAAAGGGATGGAGGAAGATATACAAAGCAGATGGAAAGGAAAAAAAAACAGCAAGAGTTGCAATCCTAGTCTCTGATAAACAGACTTTAAACTAACAAAGATCAAAAAAGACAAAGAAAGGCATTATATAATGGTAAAGGGATCAATGCAACAAGAAGAGCTAATTATCCTAAATATATATCCACCCAATACAGGAGCGCCTGGATTCATAAAGCAAGTTCTTAGAGAGTTACAAAGAGACTTAGACTCCCACACAATAATAGTGGGAGACTTTAACATCCCACTGTCAATGTTCGACAGATCGATGAGACAGAAAATTAACAAGGATATTCAGGACTTGAACTCAGCTCTGGACCAAGCAGACCTAATAGACATCTACAGAACTCTCTACCCCAGATCAACGGAATATATATCCTTCTCAGCACCACGTAGCACTTATTATAAAATTGACCACATAATTGGAAGTAAAACACTCCTCGGCAAATGTAAAAGAACAGAAATTATAACAAAGAGTCTCTAAGACCACAGTGAATCAAATTAGAACTCAGGATTAAGAAACTCACTCAAAGCTGCACAACTACATGGAAACTGAACAACCTGCTCCTGAAGGACTACTGGGTAAATAACGAAATTAAGGCAGAAATAAATAAGTTATTTGAAACCAATGAGAATAAAGACACAAGGTACCAGAATCTCTGGAACACATTTAAAGCAGTGTGTAGAGGGAAATTTATTGCACTAAATGCCCACAGGAGAAAGGCGGAAAGATCTAAAATTGACACCCTAACATCACAATTAAAATAACTAGAGAAGCAAGAGCAAACACATTCAAAAACTAGCAGAAGACAAGAAAAAACTAAGAGCAGAAATGAAAGAGATAGAGACACAAAATACCCTTCAAAAAAATCAACGAATCCAGGAGCTGGTTTTTTGAAAAGATTAACAAATTAGATAGACTGCTAGCCAGACTAATAAAGAAGGAAAGAGAGAAGAATCAAATAGACACAGTAACAAATGATAAAGGGGAGATCACCACTGATCCCACAGAAATACAAACTACCATGAGGGAATACTATAAACACCTCTATGCAAAGAAACTAGAAAATCTAGAAGAAATGGATGAATTCCTGGACACACACACCCTCCCAAGACTAAACAAGGAAGAAGTCAAATCCCTGAATAGATCAATAACAAGTTCTGAAATTGAGGCAGTAATTAATAGCCTATCAACCAAAAAAAAAAAAAAAAAGCCCAGGACCAGAAAGATTCATAGCTGAATTCTACCAGAGGTACAAAGAGGAGCTGATACCATTCCTCCTAAAACTCTTCCAAACTATAGAAAAAGAGGGACTCCTCCGTAACTCATATTATGAAGCCAGCATCATCCAACACCAAAACATAGCAGAGACACATCATAAAAAGAAAATTTCAGGCCAATATCCTTAATGAACATAGATGTGAAAATTGTGAATAAAATACTGGCAATCTGAATCTAGCAGTGCATTAAAAAGCTTATCCATCATGATCAAGTTGGCTTCATCCCTGTGACACAAGGCTGGTTCAACATACACAAAAAATAAAGGTAATCCATCACATAAACAGAACCATTGACAAAAACCATATGATTATCTAAATAGATGCATAAAAGGCCTTTGATAAAATTCAACACCACTTCATGGTGAAAACACTCAATAAACTAGGTAGTGATGGAACATATCTCAAAATAATAAGAGCTATTTATGACAAACCCACAACCAATATCATACTGAATGGGCGAAAACTGGAGGCATTCCCTTTGAAAACCGGCACAAGACAAGGATGCCCTCTCTCACCACTCCTATTCAACATAGTATTGGAAGTTCTGACCAGGGAAATCAGGCAAGAGAAAGAAATAAAGGGTATTCAAATAGGAAGAGAGGAAGTCAAATAATCTCTGTTTGCAGATGACATAATTGTATATTTAGGAAACCCCATCAACTCAGCCCAAAATCTCCTTAAGCTGATAAGCAACTTCAGCAAAGTCTCAGGATACAAAATCAATGTGCAAAAATCACAAGCATTCCTATACACCAATAATAGACAAGCAGACAGCCAAATCATGAGCAAACTCCCATTCACGATTGCTACAAAGAGAATAAAATACCTAGGAATCCAACTTACAAGGGATGTGAAGGACCTCTTCAAGGAGAACTACAAACCACTGCTCGAGGAAATAAGAGAGGACAGAAACAAAAGGAAAAACATTCCATGCTCATGGATAGGAAGAATCAATATTGCCAAAATAGCCATACTGCCCAAAGTAATTTATAGATTTAATGCTATCCTGATCAAGCTACCATTGACTTTCTTCACAGAATTAGAAAAACTACTTTAAATTTCATATGGAACCAAAAAAGAGCCCACATAGCCAAGACAATCCTAAGGAAAAAGAACAAAGCTGGAGGCATCACGCTACCTGACTTCAAACTATACTACAAGGCTATAGTAATCAAAACAGCATGGTACTGGTACCAAAGCAGATACATGGACCAATGGAACAGAACCAAGGCCTCAGAAATAATACCACACGTCTACAACCATGTGATCTTTGACAAACCTGACAAAAACAAGCAATGGGGAAAGGAAAATTGAAACTGGACCACTTCTTTACACTTTATGCAAAAATAAACTCAATATAATCAGATAAGAAATATTTCCTCCTCTATTTTCTGAAAATGTCTTTATAGAATTGGCTTTTTAAAATTCCTTAAATGTTTGGACCCCTTATGAACTCCTTCCTTACAACTTATACAAAAATAAACTCAATATACTCAGATGAGAAATATTTTCTCTCTATTTTTCTGAAAATGTCTTTATAGAATTGACTTTTTAAAATTTCTTAAATCTTTGGGTATATACCCAGATGGTAGTTTTTTTGCTGTGCAGAAGCTCTTTAGTTTAATTAGATCCCATTTGTCAATTTTGGCTTTTGTTGCAATTGGGCATATACTGGGTATATACCCAAAGGATTATAAGTCATTCTACTATAATCATTTTACTATAAGGACACATGCACATGTAAGTTTATTGCATCAAATTAAAGATTTAAACATAAAACCATAAAAACCCTAGAAAAAAACCAAGGCAATACCATTCAGCACATAAGCATGGGCAAAGACTTCATGAATAAAACACCAAAAGCAATTGCAACAAAAGCCAAAATTGACAAATGGGATCTAATTAAACTAAAGAGCTTCTGCACAGCAAAATAACTACCATCAGAGTGAACAGGCAACCTACAGAATGGGAGAAAATTTTTGCAATCTATCCATCTAATGAAGGTCTAATATCCAGAATCTACAAAGAACTTAAACAAATTCACAAGAAAAAAACAACCCCATCAAAAAGCGGGCCAAAGATATGAATGGACACTTGTCAAAGAAGACATTTATGTGGCCAACAAACATATGAAATAACTGCTCATCATCACTGGTCATTAGAGAATGCAAATCAAAACCACAGTGAAATACCATCTCATGCTAGTTAGAATGACAATCATTAAAAAGTCAGGAGACAACAGACACTGGAGAGGATGTGGAGAAATAGGAATGCTTTTACACTGTTGGTGGGAGTGTAAATTAGTTCAACCATTGTGGAAGACAGTGTGGTCATTCCTCAATGATCTAGAACTAGAAATACCATTTGACCCAGCAATCTCATTACTGGGTATATACCCAAAAGATTGTAAGTCATTCTACCATAAAGACACATGCTCACATATGTTTATTGTGGCATTATTCACAATAGCAAAGACCTGGAATTAACCCAAATGCCCATCATTGATAGACTGGATAAACAAAATGTGGCACATATACACCATGGAATACTATGCAGCCATAAAAAAGGATGAGTTCATGTCCTTTGCAGGGACATGGATGAAGCTGGAAACCATCATTCTCAGCAAACTAACACGGGAAGAGAAAACCAAACACTGCATGTTCTCACTCATAAGTGGGAGTCGAACAATGAGAACATATGGACACAGGGAGGGGAACATCACACACCAGGGCCTGTCGGGGGGTGGGGGGCAAGTGGAGGGATAGCATTAGGAGACATACCTAATGTAGATAACGGGTTGATGGCTGCAGCAAGCCGCCATGGCAGGTGTATACCTATGTAACAAACCTGCATGTTCTGCACATGTATCCCAGAACTTAAAGTATAATTTTTAAAAAGGTAGATTTCAGAATAATAAATATTATAATAAAAAGGAACACTAAATGAGGATAAAGGAGATGGTTCATTGAAAAGATATAGCAAAATATATAATGAGAAAACAGAACTGAACGAAATCCTAGATGGATTTCTGTAAATATGGTTGGAGATTTCAACACCGTTTTTTCAATAGTTGATAGAACACGTAACCAACCAACCAAATAAAAACATCAGAAAGGACATGAAGACTTGAAAAACATTATCAACCAACTTGACCTAACTGATATTTAGAGAATCTTTCAAACCATAATAACCAAATATACAATATTTTCAAATGCACGTGGAATATTTATCAAGAAAGATTATATATGGGACCACAAAATACACCAAATTTAAATAAATTGCAATCATACTGTGGAAGTTCTCTGTCCACAATAAAAATACATTTGACTGGAAAATGTTCACATATGTGTAAATTAAACAACATATTTTTATAATCCATGAATCAAAGAAAAAATCAAAAGAAAATTAGAAAATATGTGGAGTTGAATGAAAATTAAAACATACCATATCAAAATGTATGAGATGGATCTAAAGCAGAGTTCAGAGAAAAATTTATAGCATTAATACTTATATTAAAATCTTAAACCCATGCTGTAAGCTTCTGCCTTAAGTAATGAGAAACAGAAGACAAATTAAACCCAGAATGAGAGTAAGAAAATAAATTCTAAGGATGAGAACACAAATCAATGAAAAGGAAACAGAAAAACAATAGAGAAAATCATAACAAAAACTAGTGCTTTGAGTCAATAAAATTGACAAACCTCCAGTCAGATTGGTCTAGAAAAATAGAAGACACAAATAACCAATATCAGGAATGAACAAAGGGATATAATTATAGATCCTACAGATATTAATAAGATACAGAGTATTGTATGGGTAACACTTTTCAATAAATTTGAAAACCAAGATTAAATGGGGAAATTCTTGGAATGACACTAATTATTTGAAATTTGGTTAGCTACAAATTGAATTTATAGTTAAAAACCTTTCCATAAAGAAAACTCCAGATTCAAATAGCTTCACTGGTGAATGTATCAAACATTTAAGGAATTTTTAAAAAGCCAATTCTATAAAGACATTTTCAGAAAATAGAGGAGGAAATATTTCTCATCTGATTTGATGAGACAGCATTATCCTGATGCCAAAACCAAAGTAATTTTTATACAGACACACACACACACACACTCAGAGAGAGACCAATACTCCTCATAAAGATAAGATTTTTTTTTACTTAATAAAATTCTAGCACTTTTTTTTACTTAATAAATTTCTAACACATTAATATATAAAAAGGATGATACATCATGATCAAGTGATGTTTATCCAAGAAATGCAAATTGACTCAACATTCAGAAATTAATCAATATAATCATTTATTTAAACAGACTGAAAGTGAAAAAAAATAGGTTTAACTCAAAAGATCCTGAAAAAACATTTGGCAAAATCAATATCTATTTTTGATTTTAAAAACTCAGCAAATTTGAAAGGGAAGGAAACTCTCTAAATCTGCTAAAGGACATCTATGAAAAATCTACTGCCCACATTACACTTCATGGTGAAAGGTTGAGTGTTTTTTCCCAAAGACCTGGAACAAGGCAAGGATGTGTGCTTTCACCAAGTCTACTCAACAGTCCCAGAGGTTCTAGTCAGTAGAATAAGTTTTAAAAATAATTAAAACCTATTCATATTGGAAAGTAAAAGGTAAAGCTGTCTTTATTCACAGATGATATGAATGCTCACTAGAATACTAGCATGATGCTTTTAAACCAAATGAGTTTAGCATTGCCCAAAATATAAGATCAATGTATAAAAATTATTTTTCTATACATGTGCAACAATCTTTAGAATTGAAAATTTTAAAAACTATATACCACATACAATAGTATCTAAAAACATGAAATAGACATAAATCTTTAAAAGTTGTGCAAGATTTGTTTGCTGAACACTACAAAACATTGCTGAGAGAAATTTTAAGAGACCTAAATAAGTGGTGATATATATGTCTTGATTTTAGATCAAAAGACTCAATCTGGTTAAGATGTCAGTTCTTTCAAATTGATAGATAGATTCAAAACAATGCTAATCAAAATCCCAGTAGGTTTCCTTCTTCCTCTCAAGAAACTGAAAAACTAATTTTAAATTTTATATGGAGAGAAAAAGGGATTTGCATGGCAGAAACAATCTAGGGGAAGAAAACAAAATTATAAGACTCACATTTCCTGATTTCACTAATTAGGGAAATGCTACCATTATCAAAATAGTATGACATTGTTATAAGAATAGCTATATATATCAATGAAATAAAATTAAGAGTCCAGAAATAGACCCACACTTATGCGATCAATTTAATTTCAATAAAGATGCCAAGAACATTTGTTCTTTGTTTATAGATCACACTTAAAAAATAATGCTGGATCAAATGGACACTCACATGCAAAAGGAAATGAATCTTTATGTTTACTTCATGCCATATACAAAAATTAATTTGAAATAACCATAGACCTAAATGTAAAAGCTAAAACTAAAACTTCTAAGAGACAATATAGAATAAAACATTTTCAACTGTGGATTAGACAAAAGTTTCTTAAATTGAATACCTGACAAACCATACAAGAATAAAAATAAATTGGACTTCTAATTGAACACTTCCATTCTACAAAAGCCACTCCTAAAAGATGAAAAGACAAGCAATTGATTAGAAGAAAATGTTCAGAAAACATATATTTGACAAAGAACTTGTATACACAATATAAGAAGGCAAACAACCAAATTAAAAAATGAGGAAAATATCAAACAAATGCTTCACCAAAGAAGATAAACTGATAACACATTTAAAGACACTTCATATTATCAAGTTATAAAAAATCAAATTAAAACCACAGTAATATTCCACTATCCATCTAATAAAATTACTAACTTTTTTAAAAATAAAATTATCAAATGCTGGGGAGGATTCAGCATATCCATTGATGAAAATCCAAAATCACACACTGTAAAACGTTAGCATTTCCTTTATTTATTTATGTTGATTTTTTTATTTTTAAATGTTGTGGGTACATAGTATGTACCTAGATGAGGTATTTTGATATTTTAAATTCATACTAATCACATCAGGACAAATTGGGTATCTATCACCTCAAGCATTTATCCTTTCTTTATGTTATAAACCATCCAATTATACCCTTTTAGTTGTTTTTAAATGTATAGTAAATTGTTTACTGCGGTCACCCTGTTGTGCTATCAAATATCAGATCTTATTCATTCTATCTAACTATATTTTTGTACCCATTAACTATCCCCGTCCCTCCCCACTCCTTTCTACCCTTTCTAAAGGGTCTATAGTGCAGATTAAGTCACATGTTTCTTTGTTGATTTTCTATCTGAAAGACCTTTCCAATGCTGAAAGTAAGGTGTTGAAGCCTCCAACTATTACTGTGTTGAGGTCTATCTCTCTTTAGCTCTAATAATATTTGCTTTATATATCCCGTGTTAAATGCATATATATTTGCAATTTATATCTTCTTGCTGAATTGACCCCTTTATTATTATATAATTACCTTCTTTGCCTCTTTTGATAGTTTTTGTCTTGAAATCTATTTTATCTGATGTTAAGTGTAACTACTCCTGCTCTATTTTGGTTTCTGTTTGCATGGACTATCTTTTTCTATCCCTTTTTTTTCAGTCTGTGTGTGTGTCTTTATACGTGAATTGTGTTTCTTCTAGGCAAAAAATCATTATGTCTTTTTTTTTCTTTTAACCCATTCAGCCACCCTATGTCTTTTGACTGAAAAGCTTAGTCCTGGAATTTATCCATTTCTTCTAGATATTCTATTTTATTTGTGTAGAGGTGTTTGTAGTATTCTCTGATGGTAGTTTGTATTTCTGTGGGATTGGTGGTGATATCCCCTTTATCATTTTTTGTTGCGTCTATTTGATTCTTCTCTCTTTTTTTCTTTATTAGTCTTGCTAGCAGTCTATCTATTTTCCTCGACACATACAGTCTCCCAAGACTAAACCAGGAAGAAGTTGAATCTCTGAATAGACCTATAACAGGATCTGAAATTGTGGCAATAATCAATAGCTTACCAACCAAAAAGAGTCCAGGACTAGACGGATTCACAGCCGAATTCTACCAGAGGTACAAGGAGGAACTGGTACCATTCCTTCTGAAACTATTCCAATCAATAGAAAAAGAGGGAATCCTCCCTAACTCATTGTATGAGGCCAGCATCATTCTGATACCAAAGCCGGGCAGAGACACAACCAAAAAAGAGAATTTTAGACCAATATCCTTGATGAACATTGATGCAACAATTCTCAATAAAATACTGGCAAAAAGAATCCAGCAGCACATCAAAAAGCTTATCCACCATGATCAAGTGGGCTTCATCTCTGGGATGCAAGGCCAGTTCAATATACGCAAATCAATAAATGTAATCTAGCATATAAACAGAACCAAAGACAAAAACCACATGATTATCTCAATAGATGCAGAAAAGGCCTTTGACAAAATTCAACAACCTTCATGCTAAAAACTCTCAATAAATTAGGTATTGATGGGACGTATTTCAAAATAATAAGTGCTATCTATGACAAACCCACAGCCAATATCATACTGAATGGGCAAAAACTGGAAGCATTCCCTTTGAAAACTGGCACAAGACAGGGATGCCCTCTCTCATCACTCCTATTCAACATAGTGTTGGAAGTTCTGGCCAGGGCAATCAGGCAGGAGAAGGAAATAAAGGGTATTCAATTAGGAAAAGAGGAAGTCAAATTGTCCCTGTTTGCAGACGACATGATTGTATATCTAGAAAACCCCATTGTCTCAGCCCAAAATCTCCTTAAGCTGATAAGCAACTTCAGCAAAGCCTCAGGATACAAAATCAATGTACAAAAATCACAAGCATTCTTATACACCAATAACAGACAAACAGAGAGCCAAATCATGAGTGAACTCCCATTCACAATTGCTTCAAAGAGAATAAAATACCTAGGAATCCAACTTACAAGGGATGTGAAGGACCTCTTCAAGGAGAACTACAAACCACTGCTCAAGGAAATAAAAGAGGATACAAATGGAAGAACATTCCATGCTCATGGGTAGGAAGAATCAATATCATGAAAATGGCCATACTGCCCAAGGTAATTTACAGATTCAATGCCATCCCCATCAAGCTACCAATGACTTTCTTCACAGAATTGGAAAAAACTACTTTAAAGTTCATATGGAACCAAAAAAGAGCCCGCATTGCCAAGTCAATCCTAAGCCAAAAGAACAAAGCTGGAAGCATCACACTACCTGACTTCAAACTATACTACAAGGCTACAGTAACCAAAACAGCATGGCACTGGTACCAAAACAGAGATATAGATCAAGGGAACAGAACAGAGGCCTCAGAAATAATGCTGCATATCTACAACTATCTGATCTTTGACAAACCTGAGAAAAACAAGCAATGGGGAAAGGATTCCCTATTTAATAAATGGTGCTGGGAAAATAGGCTAGCCATATGTAGAAAGCTGAAACTGGATCCCTTCCTTACACCTTATACAAAAATCAATTCAAGATGGATTAAACACTTAAACGTTAGACCTAAAACCATAAAAACCCTAGAAGAAAACCTAGGCATTACCATTCAGGACATAGGCATGGGCAAGGACTTCATGTCTAAAACACCAAAAGCAATGGCAACAAAAGCCAAAATTGACAAATGGGATCTAATTAAACTAAAGAGCTTCTGCACAGCAAAAGAAACTACCATCAGAGTGAACAGGCAACCTACAGAATGGGAGAAAATTTTTGCAACCTACTCATCTGACAAGGGCTAATATCCAGAATCTACAATGAACTCAAACAAATTTACAAGAAAAAAACAAACAACCCCATCAAAAAGTGGGCGAAGGACATGAACAGACACTTCTCAAAAGAAGACATTTATGCAGCCAAAAAGCACATGAAAAAATGCTCACCATCACTGGCCATCAGAGCAATGCAAATCAAAACCACAATGAGATACCATCTCACACCAGCTAGAATGGCAATCATTAAAAAGTCAGGAAACAACAGGTGCTGGAGAGGATGTGGAGAAACAGGAACACTTTTACACTGTTGGTGGGACTGTAAACTAGTTCAACCATTGTGGAAGTCAGTGTGGGGATTCCTCAGGGATCTAGAACCAGAAATACCATTTGACCCAGGCATCCCATTACTGGGTATATACCCAAAGGACTATAAATCATGCTGCTATAAAGACACATGCACACATATGTTTATTGCGGCATTATTCACAATAGCAAAGACTTGGAACCAACCCAAATGTCCAACAATGATAGACTGGATTAAGAAAATGTGGCACATATACACCATGGAATACTATGCAGCCATAAAAAATGATGAGTTCATGTCCTTTGTAGGGACATGGATGAAATTGGAAATCATCATTCTCAGTAAACTATCGCAAGAACAAAAAACCAAACACCGCATATTCTCACTCATAGGTGGGAATTGAACAATGAGACCAGATGGACACAGGAAGGGGAACATCACACTCTGGGGACTGTTGTGGGGTGTGGGGAGGGGGAGGCATAGCATTGGGAGATATACCTAATGCTAGATGACAAGTTAGTGGGTGCAGTGCACCAGCATGGCACATGTATACATATGTAACTAACCTGCACAATGTGCACGTGTACCCTAAAACTTAAAGTATAATAATAAAAGAAAAGAAAAAAAAACTTAAAAAAAAAAAAAGAAAAGCTTAGTCCCTTTATAGTCAATGTTATTATTGACAAGTAGGGAGTTACTCCTGCCACTTTGTTACTTGTTTTCTGGTTGTTTTTTGGTCTCTTCTTTCTTTTCCCTTTTGTCTTCTTTTTAGTGAATGTGATTTTCTCTGGTGGTGTGTTTTAATTTTTTGCTTTTTGTCTTTTGTGTATCTATTGTATGTTTTTTGATTTGAGGTTACCATAAGGCTTGCAAATAATCTTAAAACCTATTATTTTTTCTGATGACAACTTAACAGTTGTCATCAAAACAAACAAACAAGCAAAGAGAAAATTAATAAAAACTCTACACTTTACTTCACCCCCCCACCCCTAATTTTTAACTTTTTGTTGTTTCAGTTTATGTGTTATTATGCTGTCTATGTCTCGAGAAGTTGTAGTTATTATGTTTGACTGGTTCATCTTTTAGTCTTTCTACTCAAAATATGAGTAATTTAGACACCACAATTACTGTGTTATAAAATTCTGTGTTTTTCTGTGTGCTTACTATTAACAGTAAGTTTTGTACCTTCAGATAATTTCTTATTGCTCATTAACATCCTTTTCTTTCAAATTGAGGAACTCCCTTTAGCATTTCTTGTAGGACAGGTCTGGTGTTAATGAAATCCCTCAACTTTTGTTTCTCTGGAAAAGTCTTTATTTCTCCTTACTGTTTGAAGGATATTTTCACTGAATATACTGTTCTAAAATAAAAGATTTTTTTCCTCCAGCAGTTTATATATGTTACACCATACTCTCCTGGCCTATAAGGTTTCCACTGAAAAGTCTATTGCCGACATATGAAAAAATGCTCATTATCACTGGTCATCAGAGAAATGCAAATCAAAACCACAGTGAGATAGCATCTCACAGGAGTTAGAATGGCGATCATTAAAAAGTCAGGAAACAACAGATGCTGGAGAGGATGTGGAGAAATAGGAAAGCTTTTACACTGTTGGTGGGAGTGTAAATTAGTTCAACCATTGTGGAAGATAATGTGGCAATTCCTCAAGGATCCAGAACCAGAAATACCATTTGATCCAGTGATCCCATTACTGGGTATATACCCAAAGGATTATCAATCATGCTGCTATAAAGAGACATGCATACATATGTTTATTGCAGCACCATTTACAATAGCAAAGACTTGGAACCAACCCAAATGTCCATCAGAAAATATGGCACATATACACCATGGAATACTATGCAGCCATAAAAAAGGATGAGTTCATGTCCTTTGCAGGGACATAGATGAAGCTGGAAACCATCATTCTCAGCAAACTATCACAAGGACAGAAAACCAAACACCGCATGTTCTCACACATAGGTGGGAGTTGAACAACGAGAACACATGGACACAGGGTGGGGAACATCACACACTGGGGCCTGTTGGGTGGGGGGCTGGGGGAGGGATAGCATTAGGAGAAATACCTAATGTAAATGACAAGTTGTTGGGTGCAGCAAACCAACATGACAATGTAACAAACCTGCAGGTTCTGCACATGTACCCTAGAATTTAAAGTATGATAAAGAAAGAAAGAGAGAGAGAGAGAGAGAAAAGAAAGGAAAGCGAAAGAAAAGAAAAGAGAAGAAAAGGAAAGAAAATTCTGTTGCCAGACATTTTGGAATGCATGTTATTTGTTTCTATTCTCTTGGTATTTTTAGTATCCTTTCTTTATCCTTGACCTTTGGGAGTTTGATTTTAAATGATTTAAGGTAGTCTTATTCCAGGTAAATATTCGTGGTGTTTTATAATCTTCATATACTTGAATATTGATATCTTTCCCCAGATTTGGAGAGTTATCTATTATTATACCTTTTAATAAACTTTCTACCACAATCTCTCTCTCTCTTCCTCTTTAAGGCCAATGACTCTTAAATTTGCCCTTTTGAGGCTATTTTCTAGATCTTGCGGGCATACTTTATTCTTTTTATTCTTTTTTATTTTATCTCTTCTAACTGTATTTTCAAATAGCCTGTCTTCAAGCTCACTTACTTTTTCTTCTGCTTGATCAATTCTGCTGTTAAGAGACTGATGTGTTCTTCAATGTGACAATTGCATTTTTCAACTCCAGAATTTCTACTTGATTCTTTTTAATTATTTAAATTTCTTTGTTAAATTTATCTCATAGGATTCTAAATTTCTTATCTGTGTTATATTGAATTTCTTTGGTTTTCTTAACACAGCTATTTTGAATTCTCTGTCTGAAAGATCACATATCCCACTCATATCTGTAGGATTACTCACTGGTACCTCCTTGTTTAGTTCATTTGGTGAGGTCATGTTTTCCAGAATTATGTTGATGCCATCCAGGTCTTAATGCCATCTTCTGGATGTTCATCAATATTTGGGCATCGGAGAGCTAGGTATGTATCGTAGTCTTCACAATCTAGACTTGTTTGTATTCATCCTTCTGGGGAGGGCTTTCCATGTATTCTAAGGAATTTGGGTGTTGTAATCTAAGATTTGGTCACTGCAGCCATATCTGAATTAGGCAGCACCCCAAGCCCAGTAACACTGTGGTTCTTGTAGACTTGTGTAGGTACTGACTTGGTGTTCTTGGATAAGATACCAAATAACTCTCTGGATTACCAGGCAGAGACTCTTGTACTTTTCCTTTACTTTCCCCCAAATAAATGGAGTCCCCCTCTCTCTGTGTGATGAGCTGCCTGAAGTTGGAGAGGGGTGACACAAGCATACCTGTGACCACCATCACTGGAACTGTGCTAGTTCAGATGTGATGCCAGCACAGCACTGGGTCTTATCCATGGCCCATGGTAACCATGCCTGGCTGCTGCTTGTTTACTCAAGGTCCTAGGTCTCTAAAATCAGCAGGTGGCAAAGCCAGCTAGGCTTGTGTTTTTCCCTTGAGGGTGGCAAGTTCCCCCTGGTCCCAGGCAGGTCCAGAGATGTCTGGGAGCTGGAGGCTAGAGTTAGAACCCCTAGGAATCTACCTGGTGCTCTAATCTACTACTGCTGAGCTGGCACCCAAGCCACAAAACAGTCCTTCTCACTCTTCACCTTTCCACCATCAGATAAATCTCTCCCTATATCCATCACTATCTCAGGCCCGTGGCAAGTATTGCCTAGCTACCACCAATGTTCATTCAAGGCTCAGAGGCTCTTTGGTCAGGTTGTGGGGAATGCTTTCAGACCTGAGACTTGCCATTAAGGGCTATAGCCTTCTCTCTGGCCCAAGGTAAGTCCAGAAATGTCATCCAAGAGCCGAGGCCTAGAATTGGGGACCCTAAAAGCCCAATTGGCACTCTACCTGACTATGGCTGAGCTGACACCTAAGCTGAAATAAAAGTCCCTTTTACTCTTCGCTCTACTTTTCTCAAGCAGAAGGAGTCCCTCCCTGTAGCCACCACAGCTGAGAATGTTCTGGGTCATACCTGAAGCCAGCATGTTTCCGAGTCTCACCAAAGACCCATGGTGAGTACTTCCTGGCTACCACTGCTGAATTTAGGACCCAGGGGCTCTTTAATAAACAGGTGATAAATTCTGCCAGGACAGGGTCCTTCCCTTCAAAGTAGCATGTTCTCTTCTGGCCAACAGTGTGTCTAGAAATGTCATCCAGGAGGTAGGGTCTAGAATGAGGACCTCAAGACTCTGCCTGGTGCCCTATCTTACTGTGGCTAAGCTGATAGCCAAGTTGCAAGACAAAGTCCTCTTTACTCCTCCCTCTCCTCTACTCAAGCAGAAAGAAGGAGCTGCACTGCCTGGGGTTGGGGAATGCACTCCCTTGGCTGCCCCAGCTAGTGTCTCACTGGGTCATGTGCACCCCCAAGTCTACTGGCCTCTGAGCTCATTACAGCACAAGGACTTGTCCAGGGATTACAATCTTTGTGGCCTAGACAGCTTTTCAAGTTTATTTAAGACCTCAATGCACATTAGCCCACAGTGGTAGGGCTTTCCAGAACTCAGGTTCCAACCAGTGCAATGTATGATTCCCTTCTGGTTAGCGCTGTTCTAAATTCTCCCTCCGCAGTCATCAGCTGAATTTTGCCCAGTATAGCTTTCTTCTGTGAAAGAGCAGCACTGAGTTCCAAAGAAAAGCCCCTCAATCAATGCACTGTCCCTCCCTGAAGCAAACAGATTCTCTCTCTGCACCATGAGGCCACAGCCAGGGTATGGGGGCGGGTTGATGCCAGCAATTCACAACTGTCTTTCTTATCTTCTTCAGTGTCTTTTTCAGTCATATAAAGTTAAAACCAAGTACTATGATTGCTCACCTGATTTTTTTATTCTTACAAAGGTGCTTTTTTTGTGTGGAAAATTGTTCAATTTGGTGTTCCTATGGAGAGAATGATTGGTGGAAGCTTCTATTTGGCCATCTTGCTTCCCATTTTCTTTAAAACTAAGCATATAGATACCATATGACTGAGCAATTTCACTGCTAGGTATTTACTCAAGATAAATAAAAACATATTTTCACACAAAGATTTTTTACCTGAATGATTATAGCAGCTTGTTTATAACAATCAAAAACTAGACACAGTCCAAATGTTCATCTATAGTAAGTGAATAAATTGTGAAAAATGTATATAATGAGTTACTGTTCAACAGCAAACAGAAACAAAATCCTGATACATGCAACAACATGAATGAATCTCAGAATCAGTCTGCTAAGTCAAATAATGTACTGGGTCATACCTGAAGCTAGCATGTTTCTGAGTCTCACCTTTGGGAACCAAAGGGATACGTAATAACTGATTTTATATATATGACATTGTGGAAAAGATAAAACTAGAGGGATAGAAATCAAATCAGTGGTTGCCAGAGACTGAGAGTTGAGATAAGATTGATTCCTCTAATAAAGTACATAAAATCTATACTTTGACCTTGGTGGTAGTTCTATGGCTGTATATATTTGTCAAAAGTAATAGAATTGTACACTTAAAAGGATGAATTTTAGTGTTTGTAAATTATACCTCAACTAACCTGATATTAAAAATAAATAAATATAGAAAACAGTATAGAGGTTCCTCAAAAAATTAAAAATAGAACAACTACATGACCTAGTAATCCCACTACTGGGTATACAGCTGAAGGATTTGGAATCTATATGTCAAAGAGATATCTGCATTTCTTTTTTCATTGCAGCATTATTTGCAATAGCCAAGATATGGAATTAACCTAAGTATCAACAGATGAATGGTTAAAGAAAAGATGGCACATGTTCACCATGGGATACTATTCAGCCTTAAAAAAAAGAAGGAAATACCATCATTTGTGACATGAATGACCCTGAAGGACATTATGCTAAGTGAAATAAGCCAAGCACAGAAACACAAATGCTGCATAATGTCACATACATGTGAAATCTAACAAAGTTAAACTTGTAAAAATAGAGTAGAATGGTAGGTACTAGCGGCTGAGGGTTGGGTGGAGTTGAGATGTTGGTCCAAGGATAAAAAATTTTAGTTAGATAGGAATAATTTCAAGAGACCTATTATATAACATAATGACTACAGTTAATAACAATGTATTGTATTCTTGAAAATTGATGAGAGTATATTTTAAGTATTTCACCACAAAAAATTATAAGTATGTGAGGTAATATGTATGTTAATTAGATTGATTTAGCCATTCCACAATGTATATGTGTTTTGAAACATCATGTTACACACCATAAACATATACAATTTATATCTGTCAAATAAACAAACAAACATAAATAGACATATGCTGAATAAAAACCCTTGAAAATAAAATTACTTATATTAAAGAATGGCTTGTAATAATCACAGTAACTAAACAAATGTGAAAAAAAATTAAAGCAAACAGTAAAAAATATATATATGGAAGACCAAGATATACTAGCATAACAGTATGTGGTATCTCAGAAGTGCATAAGGCACTTCTAATCTGCAATGGAAGATATATATTCAAAGATATTACAGAAGAAAACAACCACGTCTGCAGCCACTAGTGGAATGTTTATAAAATGATGATAACTCTATACACCTATTAAAATGGCTAATATGAATAATGCTGAAAATACCAAGTGCTGATGAAGGGAGCATTGAATGTTCATACGTTGCTTGTGGGAATGCAAAAGGGCATAGCCATTCAAGGGAACAATGTGACAGTTTCACCATGTATGTAAATTTATATACTTCCATATGTTCCAGCAGTCATACTCCTGCATATTTACCTAAAATAAATGAAAATATATATTGACATAAAAACATGTAAATGAATGTTTATAGCAATTCTATTCATAACAATTAAAATGTGAAAACAAGCCAAAAGTCCTTCAGTGGGTGAATAGATAAACAGTCACATTCACATACAATTAAATACTACTCAGCAGTAAAAAGAAGTGTGTTACTGACACCTGTGAAAACTTGGATGAATCTCAAAGGCAGTATTCTGAAAGAGTCAGTCTCCAAAGAGTACATACTACATCATTTAATTTATATGACATTCTTCAAAAGCAAAACCATGTGACAGGGAACAGACCAGTGGTTGTCAGGGGTTGAGGTACAAGGAGGCTATGACTATAAAGGCATAAATAAGGTAGATTTTTGGACTGATGGGACTGCTCTGTGTCCTGATCGCAGTGATGGTTACACAAATTTACAGATGTGTTAACATTAGTAGAACTCTACACATACACACAAAAGAGGCAGTTTTACTATTTGTTAATTTTAAAATAATATTAAAACAATGCAAAATAAGAAAATGAAAACAATAAAGAATTGTGAAGTGTTAGTAACTAGAACAAAAAATGTAAACTAAACACCGCCAACCAAACTTCAATTTCTGGGGGCCTACTTTCTACAGGAAGATTACAAACCTTTGTATTGCATCTCTTTCACTCACAGCCAGCCTAGGAATGTGCCATGATGAGTAACTTTACAGTTTCAGCTGCAGCTGGATCTCTATGTTAGTAACTGTGAATAGATGGGTAATAACAAGCTCCATTTCTTATATACTTCTAATACTCATAGGCCCTGTAGTGACGCATTATCAGAAAGAGAACTGGTATTACCCTATCAGAATATGTCATTCTGCATTGCTGATGGCCATCTTGTGTAGATCATATTGCTTACAAAGATTTTTTTCTTTCTTAATGTGGATCTAGAGGCTATACTGTAATGTCTGTATGAATTGATGTGTTTATCTTTATGAGCTGTGTGTGTGTGTGTGTGTGCAAGAGCCTGTGTGGTATCTTGGTGTGCTTGCATGCTCGGAATAACTAGACAGACTCGCCATTCTCTACCTATAACTGCTTGTGGACATTTTAAGGAAGCTTGACCTAAAGTGTCAAAGCTGATATTGGACTATCCTGCTGTAAGAAGCCCCTACTCCACCTCGCCTCCCACCTCCAACTAGTTTACACTGCTATACTCCAATTTCAGAAGCTAAGAATGTTTTTCTGGAAACATTGTGCATTTGGAAGGGTTGGACAGAAAAGAGGAATGAGGCACCAGGCAACAAAGTCCCAATGGAAGAGATGTGAATGTTTCCTAAAGAAAAGTGCAGGGACATTTTGGAAGAGCAGTAAAAACCGGAGTCTGTCTACAAGGGTACACCTAAGGGAGGGTTAATTTTAATGTGTGTTCTTTCTCTTGGAAAGAGCTAGTGGAATATCCTTATAAACCATATAGCCTTGTTTAACAACCTACGTGCTAGTTTCCCTTAATGAACCCCATTTGTCACTGAAGTCTGAGACCCCCTCCTACATTAGCTTTGTGCGACAAGGGACTACAGACAAGACAGAAGAAAGTAAGGGCATGAGCAGACAGCTCCTCACTCACTCTTGCACTGATGCTAGGGAGATGAAGCAACAAGCTGGGGAGGGAGACAGAGTTCAGAATGGCCAGAGGGTCTATAGTTATGAGGTGAGTGATGGACTTCAGCAAGGCTGGGGCCACGGAGAGAAGATGCTCGTGGCTGCCTTCAGGAGCTGACTTGAGATACAACTCTTTCATTTCCTAAAATATACAGGGCAGCATTTCTTAAGGGACTGTCTACTGACCTGGGGACTTATGTTTTAAATGCACATTCCTAGGCTCTACTTCAGACACATTGAATCAGAATGTTCAAAGGTAGAATCAAGACATTTTACATTTTAAAATGTAACTCCTAGGTAATTCTCATGCAGCATGAGTTTTGAAATTTTATCCTTGAGGTGACCCTTCAGTGAGTAGGTAAACTGACCCTTAGTCATCTCTTTCTCCTCCTCCTTTTTCTTCCTCCTCCTTCTTCTCTTTCTCCTTTCCTCCCTCCTCCTTTTTTTCATCTCTCTTCTCCTCTTCTTCTCTGCCTCCTCATTATGATGATGATTGTTATTTTTATTATTATCTTTACCAGAGAAATTAGAGGGATGGGGATTTTTTTTCTACCACAGACTAATGTAGTTATGAGTTAAATATTTTTAAAGAACTATGAAAAGCAGTGTTCCCCAGGGCCTTCCCTCTATCCTAGTTAGGGATAAAAAATTACACTATTTCATGCTCCCGAAAGAGAATACTTCTCTATAATTAGTAATGCTGTGAGCTGCCACTGTGGAAAAATTGTTTACACACAAAGTTTCTCCCCTGCTGAAGAACGTTCATACGAGTTATGTGAACCCAGTAAAAATGTATCTGTCAGCAAGAAGAGTAATAATTCAGTTCACATGTATTTTTATATGTAGTAATTTCCATAAACTAAGTTTCACACCTTGAATATGTTGCTATAAGGCAGGAATATTTTATAATCTGGAACATTTCCCAAGTATTTTGGATTGGTAATGCCACTTTTTTTTTTTAACATCGTAAAACCCATCTTCACTCTTCCCCTGAGTGACTCAGGTTATAAATTTTGACAATATTCAGGGCAGTTTTACTACATTTTTTTATTTGAAGTCTCATATTTTTTAATAGTTAAAATGTATCCTTTGTCCAGACAGAGAAAAAGTAATAAAAAGATGTTGTAGTGAATTCACAGAAGGAAGAAAACTATTTCTCTTCTAAATGTGTAGATTTCCAAAGTTAGTTTCAAAATTCCTCATTATTCTATGCTCTGTTTATAAGAATATGCATTCATCCATTGTATTCAGTTCTCTTTTAAATACAGTATATTAGAGAAAGCTTTTCAATATTACTTTGGAAAAATATTTTACTACAAAATAATACCTTTACATATTTAAAATGTGTTGGGTTAGAGAATATCAATTTGGAAACATCCTGTTTTTTTTCTTTCCAACTTTTACGTTCAAGGGGTACATGTGCAGGCTTGTTACATGGGTAAGTTGTGTGTCGGGGGGTTGGTATGTAGATTAATTTTGTCACCCAGGTAATCAACATAATAGCCAATAGGTAGTTTTTAAATCCTCACCCTCCTCCACCCTCAAGTAGACCTCGGTGTCTATTGTTCCCTTCTTTGTGTCCATGTGTACTCAGTGTTTACCTTCCTCTTATAAAGGAGAACGTGTGGTATTTGTTTTTCTGTTCCTACATCAAATTGTTTACTATAATGGCCTCCAATTCCATCCATATTGCTGCAAAGGACATGATTTCATTCTTTTTATGACTGCATAGTATTCCATGGTATATATAGAGACATCTGCTTTTATTTTAAAATTACATCTTTATGTCTTAACCTTGAGATTTATTGACTCCATTTTATATACTCCATAAAATATTCAAGAAATGGGTATTTGTGAGACAGCTAAAAAAATCCTGCATGTATTAAATGCCACCCACTGTGAATTAACTCTTTATCACAACACCCTAACATTCTATTTATCCTCATTTTACAGATAGAAATACTAAAGTTCAAAGAGGTTAAACACCTTGCCCATGCCCACATAACCAGTAAAGGAGGCAGCTAAATCTCTAGCTAAGGTCTTCATGACCTCCAAGCTTTTATGGTTCCCAATATGCCAGTGACTTCTCAGCTGCAGGTAAAATAATGCTGAAGTAAATAAGCCTGTTCTGCTGCAAGTCTACTTAAATGCATTATTTAGAAACCAGTTTCAAATATTTTAAATAATTTTATTCATATCACTCTTATTATTGAATAAATTATGAAAATACTGCTTAGTGTCTTATGAACACCACTCCTAAGAAAAAGTATAGAATAAAACAGCATAAATTTTCTCTACCTTAGGATTTTTAAGTCTTTTTAACAGTCCCTTCTAATTTCTGTTATTTTATTTTTTACAAAACAGAAGAATACGAATTTAATAACTATTTTTATAGATTTAAGAATTTCATCATTTAAAATTGTAACTGAAGCAGAACAACTAAATTTACACGACTGTAACCTGTCAGAGTCTTGTCGATTACTCTAACTCTGCCTTTCTAACCATTTGAAATTGTTCTGTTGGTAATTATTACAGTGCTATTCTAGCAATAAAAATGATAGAACCCATGGATAGTTTTATTTAGCATATGTTTATATTATATTTTATTATATGTTCTAAAATTATAAGATTGTTTTCAGGAAATAAAGCATATATCATGTGACGTTTACAGTGGGACCTTTGTGTGAGACCCTACTGATTGATCTTTGGGAAGGACAGACATACTTGGTCATGAATCTGGGGTTACAGCTTTGGAAACTATAGTGATCTTACCCCTACTTGATTCTTCTCTTTCTTAGATCCCTACCGTGTGAAGGATCAAGGCAACACAGAAATGTATATTTACCTTGACACTCAAGAGTTATATATGCAAGAGCAACTGTTCAAAGTCTTTTTAATTTCTAAAAAATCTTTGATATATTGATTTTATTTGCAAATTTCTAGTCATTTTTATATTTATATAACAGTTGTATATACAAATTAACTGCTCAAAATCTTTTCAATTTCTAAAAAAATCTTTGATATATTGATTTTATTTGCAAATTTCTAATCATTTTTATATTAATTTTTCATGACAAAGTAGTAAGCTTAAATAAACTGTAGCCACATAGCAAATAAGTAGTAGAGTAGGGATTCAAACCCAGGTTTATCAAACTACAAAGCCTGTGCATTTTTAGGTAGACCTTTCTGCTTTCGTGATTATTTTTAGCCCTTCTATTCTATGATTTTACCAAGCCCAGGGCATATTTTGAATTTATTCTTTTAATCTAATAAATTCCTGATAACAACTTTTGTCTTTGATTTGCCCCTTTCTCTAAAATGCCAGGTGATGAAAAATAATCAGTTAATGGTTTCAGACCCATTAATCAACTTTTTATTCATATTAAATAATAAAGCAATTTACATGGGTTGGGAATAGGGAGTGGGAAAAGGCAGAAATATAAAATTTGCTTAAAATACCAATTGCTCTAATTTTAACCCAGCAATGTGGGATTTAAAACATGGAATAGCTATTTCATTCAGTCAGGCTTTTCTTTGTTAGTTTTTAACAATTTGGGTCTTTTTTTTTTCTCTTTACAAAATAATAGAGTTGATTAGTTCTGTCTAGAAGTAGGTTTTTGTCTTAAGACTATGTGAAAATAATTTTCGTATTTTTTTTTTACTGGTTTTCTTTCTGTTCAGTTCTTTAGATTCTAAAGTTTAGGAGATGTAAAAAAATATTTATTTATACATAGAGAATGAATTGTTACCATAGTAAAAACAATATATCCCATAGAGATATGTAATATAGGAAAGATAGCAATTATGATGAAAAGTCAGAGTTGACACACTGCTAACAAGACGGTGAACGATTTCAAAATGGTGGTCAGTAAACCAGGGCGCTCCTGGCTCAAGCTGTCTACTATTTATTTTACTAGGAAAAGCCCAGTAATCCCAAATAATATGTTCCAATGAATCTATGAATGTCACTAGTTTTATAATATGTTTTTTGTTTTTTTTTAAACAAAGTGTTCTGGTGTTCATTTCTCTTTTACTATCTGTGTTTATGTCCATTAGGCCATACAGGAAATCCGCTACTTGTTTATACTGCTCTGCCTTGGAAAAAGACAAAAAGACAACATTTTTTCCTAAAATACTTGACATATTTTAGTCTCTCATTATAACTTAAAACAATTATCTTTGCAAAGATTTGTTAAAGCTTTTTTACTTCAAAAGAATAGTAATTTACCCAATTTGAATTTCTTTTCAAAAATTTTAATTGAAGAAACCAAAGCCATATTAGACAGTTTTATTTAATTTGGGAATAATTTGGAAAATATTTCTATTCTATACTTTATTCAAGAGAAAACTACAACAGAATTCAGCAGAAGTAAAGTGAAAAAAGGACAAAGAATCTTTCATCTAAGACATTTCCCACCACTTCCTGTAATACAGCCTTCTCTTTAAAAAAAAAAAGAAAAAAGAAAAAAGAAAAGAAAAACCTCTGGAAAAATGCCATTTTCTGTTATCTCTTTAGTCTACTTCTATTTAGCTTCAGTCATTTTAGCCTACCAACAAATCTAATAAACAGCCCTATTTGGCATGTTTTTTGTGTTTATGCATTTATAACTTTTTTTACTTTTTCTTTATTTACTTTTGTGTTTCTCCCCCTTTTAATGTATTTTATGTTCTGTGAAGAAAGGGACTTTGTCTTTTCTTGACCTTAAAAACTTGAGCTTAAAAGCTTGTCTATAGATGGTGTTCTCATCTATTATTGAATGATCAAAAAAGAAAACCGTATTTCATATCTTCAAATAGCAGAAGTCAACAAGGAAAAGCCTACCTACTTTATTAGAAGAGAATTTATTATCAATCACTTTTAATCATTTGATTGAGATCTTTATTTTTATCTTGCTAGATAAATGTTATGGTATAGTCTTCCAAAGAAGAAGTCACAGTAACTACTATAGGCAGAAGTCATTTAAAGGAAATATAAAATTAAAAGACAAAATTACATTAGAAATTCATTATAAAAGCAAATATAAAATTAAAAGATAGGGCGGGGTGTGGTGGCTCACATCTGTAATCCCAGCACTTTGGAAGGCCAAAGTGGGTGGATCACCTGAGGTCAGGAGTTCAAGACAAGCCTGGCCAACATGGCGAAACCCCATCTCTACTAAAAGTACAAAAACTTAGCTGGCATGGTGGCAGGTACCTGTAATCCCAGCTACTTAGGAGGCTGAGGCAGGAGAATTGCTTGAACTTGGGAGGCGGAGGTTACAGTGAGCCAAGATTGTGCCATTGTACTCCAGGCTGAGCAACAAAAGCAAGACTTCATCTCAAAAAAGAAAAAAAAAAATTGAAAGACGATTACATGAGAAATCCATAAGAATTGTAATTTCACACACATATACACTGTGACAAACACACACAATGTGTAGTCATTCATAGGAGTTTATGTAACATAAGTCCTTCTAAAACTTAGCCAGTTTTGTTCTCTTTAAGATGGATAATGTGTTAGCAATATAATAGAAGGATTTTGTGCCACGTAAACCAAGAATTCAGAATGCAAACCATTGGACCCACAGGATAAGTTTGTTTTATCTGAGCTTGGAAGAAAAGGACCTATGAAAACAAACCAATTTGCTTCCCATCCAAATTATCAACTGGAGAGATTCTTCAGCAGAATACCAGAAACAGATGTGAATGCCTTTTCTCCGTGACTGCAAGCCAGTAAATAATTTCTTGCTATTTTATCCCTTTATGATAAAACCTCAAGCTCCCATTCATACCAGGAGAGAGGAAAACCCTAGGAGAAATATGATATCATTTTGCTCAATTTTTTTCATCTCTCCTGTAGATACTGGATAGGTTACCAGGTCTCTCAACTGTGTTTTACACTGACAGTGTTTTTAGGATATGGCCTCTTTAGAACATACTTTCTCCAGTCTGCAAAATAAGCTTAGTTTCTGAATTTTGAAGAGGTGACATATTAAGCATCCTTCCACTTTTAAAACAAAGGGGACTCATATAGTAATGATTTTATGTACTAAAATGACTGAATTTTCTATTGAGAATGATTTATTTTTCTGGAGCCTGTATTTTCCAGGAGAAGCTAATGTGTTAGCTTTTGTATCCTTGGAAGCATGAGTTCAAATTTGGCCCATGGTTAAGCAACAAGCAACAGTGTTTGGCCTGGTCTCAAGCTATTCTCTGGGTTTCTACATCATCATCTCCCACACACAACTCAACACCATTAACACAACTGGAAACATCTGCTGGACAAAGAGCCCAGATTTGAGTAGACAGGATAGCCAAAGACTCCCAATACTGCACTATGAGAAAACCAAAACTTACCGCTATAATCAAAAGCAAAGTCAGGAAACTATTTGAGATTTACATAGATTAGGGGGAGCTGGCCAATGGGTTCTAGAATTCTTTATAGAAATCTGGACTTTTAAAGAAAACTGTGCTGTTCACTTACATTTACAACTATTTGACTACTTGGGTGGGCCCCTCTCTGAAGATAAATTCATGGAGCCACATATCCTCCAAATGTACATAGGTTGTAGATTTCAAGTGGTGTAAAATGTCCTAGATCCTTATGAACTTAAACACAATCACAGATGTTCTGGAATGAGGGAAAAAGTCATGTTTAAAAACGCTAGCAGGTAGAGCAGTCAGTTTAAAACTAAATGGAGTCATTTTCAAAAACTTTCTTGCTTTGTTCTTAGCACCTCATTCCCCCCCATTCCCCTTCCTTTAACAAAAGAAAAAAAAATTAAAGTGTTTATGTAATGAAAGATATCACTATGATATTAAAAATAAAATTGTTTCTCGAGAGAATTTTTTAAGTCTGCTATTTACCTTAGGTACAGCATTCATCATCTGATAGCACTCTGTGAAGGCACCTTAACTCTCAGCTAAGCTGCTCATAATTAATCCCATTTTACAGACTGATATTTTCACTTTGTAATGTTTTAAAATCTTGTAATAAATATATACTGTAGTTTCTGTGATCAATAATATTTAAAAGAAAAAAATGGTCATCTTTCTCAGGAAATTGATCTTGAGAAACAAGGTTATACATGAATACTTAAGAAAAAGTTTGCAGGGATGTGTGTTTTTATGACCACATAGAAAGGAGGAGAATTCAAACATGCCAAACAGTTTCATCCAGAGGAACGATACCACCAAACATCTTCAATAAAATGTAAAGTCATCAACTGTTGTATTTGAGGGCAGAATATGAGCTGAATCAAAGAGAGATCATAAGAAAAAATAGTAGAAAGATGATCTCCATACAACACTCATGTCAAGTTTGCCCCAGTTAGGTTAAATACAGAATCTAACAGTGACATTTTTTTGACAGGCACAATTTGGTTTGGAAAAAGCAGTCATATTCTGCATCAACATCTGTTCCTTGGTGTAGACAAAGTAAGAAGAAACAGATACAGAGTAACTGCAACAACTTAGTCTATCAAAGGGCTTCATACAAAATTCCCACTGCTTCAGAGCAACCTTAAGAATGAGAATGAGCCATGCCTAAAATGGACTACTGCTGAGGCTTGAGACTCAAAAGGAAGGTGCAAAGCAAGTTAGTGATTCCTGACTAAAAGCAGGCACATGGTTCCAGGAGTCCTGGCAAACCTCTAATCATAAAATCTAAGGAATTGGCTGATCACGGTGGCTCACTCCTGTAATCTCAGCACTTTGGGAGGCCGAGGCAGCTGTATCACCTGAGGTCAGGAGTTCAAGACCAGTCTGGTCAACATGGTGAAACCCCGTCTCTACTAAAAATACAAAAATTAGCCAGGTGTGCTGGTGTGCGTCTGTAATCCCAGCTAGTCTACTCGGGAGGCTGAGGCAGGAGAATTGCTTGAAGCCAGGAGGCAGAGGCCACAGTGAGCCGAGATCGTGCCACTGCACTCCAGCCTGGGCGACAGGGCAAGGCTCCATCTCAAAAAAAAAAAAAAAATCTAAGGAATTTTAGAGGCAGGGAGAATAAAAATTACCTAGTCTTATCTTTCAACATTTTACTCAAGGATACAAAACGGAAAAGGGACAGAGCCAGTTCTAGAATCCAGGTCCTCCAATTTCCAGTTCAGTGCTGTTTCTACCACACCATCAGGCCTATGTGACTTAGCAAACATTGAGCCAATGACAGCCTTGGGTAAACCCTGGCTAGTGCAAGTTTGGTTCTACATGGCTCTGTGCCTTGAAGTTTCAAGTAAATGGAGTGCTCACATTCCTAAGTATCTCATCTGCTTATCTTAGTTTCTTTTGTGTGGTACTGGAATATGCCTATTTTTCATAGCTTTAGGAAGCTGGAAATAACTGCAGTTTCGAAAGAAAAGCACAGAATAAATACTAAATCATTTCCCAAAAAAAACTCAAAAATTAATTTGCTAATTATGGGTTTGTCAAGTATTCTATAAATACTTTAATTTGGGCCTGAGTTAACTGCAGACAGTTTTCAGCAAAGGCAAAATGAAGTAATTCTATTCACCTTTGGGTGTGTTGTAAATTCCAGCATTTCTCTTGAGGACCACCCCTATTATGGGTTGAACCTGTCCCCTAAAAAACATGTGTTAGGTTAATCCCTGATGCAACAGTCTTGGTAGGTAGGGCCTAATGAGAGGTGATTAGGCCATGAGGGCACTGCCCTCTTGAATAGATTAATGCCATTATCTCTGACTGGGTTTCTTATAAAAGGATGAATTAGCACCCTTTTTGCTCTCTCTCTCTCTCACCCTCTCATGCTCTTCTCCCTTTTGCCAAGGGATGATACAACAAGAAAGCTCTCGTAAGATGTCAGCTGCTTGATTTTGGACTTCGCAAACTCTAGAACTGTGAGTCAATCAGTTTCTGTTCACTTTAAATTACCTAGTCTGTGGTATTCTGTTACGGTAGCACAAAATGAACTAAGACAACCTCCAAAGAGGAGATGTGGGCAGCAGCCCCTGGGCTAAACGTGGGTGTGACTGCAGGGCAGGGTCAGTTGCTCAGCTTCCACAAGGCTCAGAGTCCAAACCCCTTCTCACTGTTTTCTCTACCCAACACCCACCCATACTGCACAGAGCCATGGAACAGAGTTCCCAAAGAGGTCACTGCTTCTCTAGGTTAGCAGTGGGTTGGGTATGTTTTACATGTCCAGAATTTTATAAACAATAACTTATTAATTGTTCTTGGCAGACTATTCTTCCAACTCAACTGTACTTATATTTGCTATTCTATGAATTGTTTATTCAATGACTGGACTACTTCTATGAATGGAATTAAACCAAAAGCTACATATCATGGCAGTCAGACATGAGAATTTTTCGTCTGCTCCTTTACCCCTTGTTATAAAGCAATGACAGCACATAACAACATTTCCTTGAGTACTCTATTATTATAAATCCTATCTGTTTTGCATGGATGATGAGGGAAGGGATGCATGGATAAATGTGTGTAAAAAAATTCAGTAAAAATAAAAAGCCTGGCCAGGCACAGTGGCTCACGCCTGTAATCCCAGGACTTTGGGAGGCCGAGGCAGGTGGATCACGAGGTCAGGAGATCGAGACCATCCTGGCTAACACGGTGAAACCCTGTCTCTATTAAAAATACAAAAAAATTAGCCGGGTGTGGTGGTGGGCACCTGTAGTCCCACCTACTCGGGAGGCTGAGGCAGGAGAATGTTGTGAACCCGGGAGGTGGAGCTTGCAGCAAGCCGAGATTGCGCCACTGCATTCCAGCCTGGGCGACAGAGTGAGACTCCATCTCAAAAAATAAATAAATAAATAAATATAAAAAGCCTTAAGTTGTCTGTCTCCTTAAATGGATAAGCCACAGAATAATAAGTCTAGAGAAGCCCTAAAACTTTTCCATGGTCTACAATGAAGTTTTCACTAGAATGAGGCAAATTAAGGAAATGTAGTGAGTTTTTGCAAAAGCTAAATTTTCTATGATTTCAAATATCTTATTTCTTAGGCAGCAAAATGTCATTTTATTTAGTAAATATGGAAGATAGTAGAAAGTAGTTTTGTTTTTAATGTTACACTTGGCAAAATAAAATACTAACTTTTCTATTTAATAGTAATTTAACCACTCTGACTCAATTTTCTTATCCATAAATGCAATAATAACATCCTTATACACCTCAAAAAGGTATTATAAGTCAATTAAAATAACATTTGAGTAATGTAAATGAATGTAAATATCTAATTTAATATATAGTTGCCAATTATCATTGTCATTATGGCAATCAATTAACTGTGTACAGCAAGCAAGGGGAAGCAATGGAAAAAGTTCTGGCTGAGAAAATAAAAAATAGAATAGCTTTAACTTCATTGGTAGGATAAATGCATTTGGAATTTTTAATGGGGTTGCGGGGCACATTTTTTGTTAAACTTCTTCTGGAAAAGCTTCATGGAGGCTACATGGTCAAGTAATGTTTTGAATTTGTCTACAGATGTAGGAGGAGGTATGCTTTTCCACCGAACAGAAACTCAAATATAAAGACAAAGAGACAGAAATAAGCAAACTTTCAGTGGGGAATGATGAAGGACTGGCCCAGCTGAAGGGGGAAGTTCAATATTGGGAGAAGTGGGAGAAAAGTTTCAATGCATTAGGTGAAGCCAATTTGTGATGGGCCATGAAAGCCAACCTAGAGCATTTTTATTATGTTGGAGGGGAAAGGAGTGGCATATGAAAAGTGATATTTATAGGACATGGTGTCTCCTAAAATATCAGCGTAAATGAATAACTGTGGAGATTTCTCAAGGTCCCCCTTTTAGGAGATGAAAAATGTATCCAACAAAAGTGTAAGAGAGCGGATCTAATAATTAACTGACCCAGAAATACAAAGGGAGGACACAATTTTTTTAATATTTAGACTATAGTTTAAATTGCATGAGAATTTTTTAAAAGGTCTTAAGAGCTTCCACAGCTTTTTCAAGATATGGATTCTATGCCCAGTCTTCATGCATAAGCCAAACTAACAATATCTTGATATTGGACTTCTTTGGTGCATTTTTGCCATAAGTATATATTTCAAAATATTTATTTACTCAGATGAGAGAATATATAAATACTGCTTATATCTTTCTTGCCAGAGAATTATTTAGAAAAAGATACATAAATGAAAGACTAAATTATAATATTCTTGAGATTTTTCATCTCATTCAATTCTTTCTCTTTCAATTGATGAGAAATAGCTGGTACACTAGCAAAAGTCCCAAGTTGGAAGGCAGAGTAACATGTAAGTTCCTATTCTAGTTCTGCCACTAATTAGGTGATGATATGGTTTGGCTGTGTCCCCACCCAAATCTCAACGTGAATTATATCTCCCAGAACTCCCATGTGTTGTGGGAGGGACCCAGGGGGAGGTAATTGAATCATGGAGGCTGGTCTTTCCCATGCTATTCTTATGATAGTGAATAAGTCTCACAAAATCTGATGGGTTTATCAGGGATTTCTGCTTTTGCTTCCTCCTCATTTTCTTCTGCTGCTGCCACATAAGAAGTGTCTTTTTTCTCAGGCCATGATTCTGAAGCCTCCCCAGCCATGTGGAACTCTTAAGTCCAATTAAACCTCTTTTTCTTCCCAGTCTCAGGTATGTCTTTATCAGCAGCATGAAAATGGACTAATACAGTCAATTGGTACCAGAAGGGTGGAGCATTGCTGAAAATATACCCAAAAATGGGAAAGCGACTTTGGGGCTGGGTAATAGGCAGAGGCTGGAACAGTTTTGAGGGCTCAGAAGAAGACAGGAAAATGTGGGAAAGTTTGGAACTTCCTAGAAGCTTGTTGAATGACTTTGATCAAAAGCCTGATAGCAATATGGATAGTAAGGTCCACGCTGAGGTGGTCTAAGATAAAGATGAGGAACTTGTTGAGAATTGGGGCAAAGGTGACTCTTGTTATGTTTTAGCAAAGAGACTGGAGGCATTTTGCCCCTGACCTAGAGATTTGTGGAACCTTGAACTTGAGAAAGATGATTTAGGGTATCTGGCACAAGAAATTTCTCAACAGCAAAGCATTCAAGAGGTGACTTGGGTACTGTTAAAGGCATTCAGTTTTATAAGGGAAGCAGAGCATAAAAGATTGGAAAATTTGCAGCCTGACTACACGATAGAAAAGGAAAACCCATTTTTGGGGGGAGATTCAAGCCAGCTGCAGAAATTTGCATAAGTAGCAAGGCGCCTAATGTTAATCCCCAAGACCATGGGGAAAATGTCTCCAGGCCACATCAAAGACCTTCACGGCAGCCCCTTCCATCACAGGCCTAGAAGCCCAGGAGGTAAAAATGGTTTCATGGGCCAGGCCCAGGGTCCCTGTGCTCTGTGCAGCTTTGGGACTTGGTGCCTGCGTGGCGGAAAGGGGCCAATGTACAGCTTAGGCTGTGGCTTCAGAGGGTGGAAGCCCCAAGCCTTGGCAGTTGAGCCTGCATGTGCATAGAAGTCAAGAACTGAGGTTTGGGAACCTCTGCCTAGATTTCAGAAGATGTATGAAAGTGCTTGGATGCATAGGCAAAAGTTTGCTGCAGGGGCGAGGCCCTCATGGAGGACCTCTGCTAGGGCAGTGTGAAAGGGAAATGTGGGATTGGAGCCCCACACAGAGTCTCTATTGGGGCACAGCCTAGTGGAGCTGTGAGAAGAGGGCCACCGTCCTCCAGAACTCAGAGTAGTAGATCCACCAACAGCTTCACCATGTGCCTGGAAAAGCTGCAGACCCTCAACACCAGCTTGTGAAAGCAGCCAGGAGGGAGGATGTACCCTGCAAAGCCACAGGAGCAGAACTGCCCAAGACCATGGGAACTCGCCCCTTGCATCAGCATGACCTGGATGTGAGACCCGGAGTCAAAGGAGATCATCTTGGAGCTTTAAAAAATTTGACTACACTGCTGGATTTTGGATTTGCATGGGCCCTGTAACCCCTTTGTTTTGGCCAATTTCTCCCATTTGGAATGGCTGTATTTACCCAATACCTGTACCCCCATTTGTATCTAGGAAGTAACTAGCTTGTTTTTGATTTTACAGGCTCATAGGAGGAAGAGACTTGCCTTGTCTCAGATGAGACTTTGGACTGTGGACTTTTGGGTTAATGCTGAAATGAGTTAAGACTTTGGGGGACTGTTGGGAAGGCATTATTGGTTTTTAAATGTGAGAAAATGAGATTTGGAGGGGCCAGGGGCGGAATGATTTGGTTTGGCTGTGCCCCCACCCAAATCTCAACTTGAATTGTATCTCCCAGAATTCCCACGTGTTGTGGGAGGGACCCAGGGGAAGTAATTGAATCATGGGGGCTGATCTTTCCTGTGCTATTCTTGTGATAGTGAATAAGTCCCACAAGATGTGACAGGTTTATCAGGGGTTTCTGCTTTTGCTTTCTCCTCAGTTTCTCTTGCTTGCTCCTGCCATGTAAGAAGTGCCTTTCGTTTCCGGCCATGATTCTGAGGCCTCCCCAGCTGTGTGGAACTGTAAGTCCAATTAAACCTCCTTTTCTTCCCAGCCTTGGGTATGTCTTTATCAGCAGCATGAAAACAGACTAATACAGATGATAAGGAAAATCACTGAATGTTTCCATGTTAGTTTCCTTTTTAAAATGATGAGGTTAAACAAGTTAATCCCTAAGACTTCTTTTAAAATTACAATCACCTCTTTGTATCCTGGCCCATACCAAAATCCACAGATGCTCAAGTTTCTTACATAAAATAACATTTGCATATAACCTAGGCACATCCTCCCATATACTTTAAATCATCTCCAAATTACTTGTGATACTTAATATAATGTGAACACTATGTAAATAGTTGTTATATTGTATTTTAAATTTGTATTATTTTTATTTTTGTTTTTTTCCTTAATATTTTTGATCTGTGATTGGTTCAATTGCAGATGCAGAATCTGTGAATTTGGAACCTGCAGATATGGAGAGCCACTGTGTGGGGTTAAATAAGTTATTGTCTAAGAGTTTTTCCAGCTGTAACATTCCCTAATTGTAATTTCCTAGTCCTGTGACATTGCAATGAGTTCTTGACTACCTAGTTTAGGCAGTTATAGATAAAAAATACTTTGGAGTAAAAGAAAAAGAAAACTGTCTATAAAACGGAAAAACAGGGACTTTTTTTTTTACTTTTGTGTAAAACCATTTTTATGGATTGGAGTCAACATTATTTAGGAGATAAAAGCCATGGGATTGAAGATTTTAAATAAAATAAGTACTAAATCCCATTTGTATCTGTGCAGACAAACGCTAAAGGATGGAAAGAATATTTTAAATAAAATAAAGTACAAGTTATAAATTCCAACCTCTGTGAAACCTATAGTTAGAACCCTTGTTTCCACAAATTTTAGAGAATATTTTTTCTCTAGAGAATATTTTACTTTTAGAGGATATTTTTTCATTAAAGATGTGTGTGTGTGTGTGTGTGTAGTGTATATACATATACATTCAGAAACTGAACACATTCTCAAAGTGTGTGTGTGTGTGTGTGAGAGAGAGAGAAAGACACTATGCTATGCACATATTATAGAAGATAAAATCTAATAGAGTACCTTCATCTTTGAAAATATAAGGCCTACTAAACTGCTGAATAAAGAGATAATCAAATAATTATGGACACAAATAGGTTTTATTATACTCAGAAAAGTAAGGTCAGATATTTGCACATTAAAATTATATTTGGGGAGTCAAATATTTATTGATGGTTTACCTTACTTTTATAAAAAATTCAATGTTTCCCAAATTTAGATGCTTAAGAATATATCTCATGCTTATTGGCTCTTGGGAAATTATTATAGGAGTGTGACCTAATCAAAAATTCAGTTGTTTAATTCAGTTGATAATAAACTGAATTAAAAGATATATTTCTGCTGTTATTTGGTTGGTTCTTATGGTGTTATTTAAGGAAAGAAACATCATACTAAAAAGTTTAACCTAGAGCTGTACTTTGTAAGCATAAAAGGTAAATAAACAAATTCATGACATCAACTATCACAACATTGGATGAAGTTCTGTACTGTTCAATTTAAAGTGGTGTGGGTTATTTAGATTAGGTTCAGAGGAAATAACTGCAGGCCCCTGCAGGAAAGATAGAAGTAGAAATTAGCCAGACCTTTCGCCTTTTCAGCCATGGCACACTCAGTTGTCATGGGTTATAGGTGTTCCAAGATACGGTCCTCCCAGCAGCAGGTTGGTCATGGAGACTTCAGTAGATCACCTTCAGCCTCATGAAACTTCTTCCGCCTACTCTAATGCACTGTACAAAATTATCATTTTCTATGTGTTCTTTCTGAAGAGGGTTGGGCATACTGGATCAGTCCATATTTAAGAAAAGCTAGGGACAACCTATTAGTAAAAAGCATATATTCAGAAACTGACTACAAAATACTAATCAAATAAACATTTGCCCCACCATTTTTCTAACACCTGGATGTTCTGAACACCCATACTATTGACATAAGGAAAATATGCAATTGGGTTAGCTCCTAAGTACCCACAGACATCAAGTGTCACATAGTTAACAGTGGGAGCATTGCTTTCCTCACTCCATGGTACAGACACAATGAACTCATCTCCCAAATGCTTTTTGCAAATCCACACAAAGACATCAAATTAAGTAAGATATTACAGAATTTAACTGAAGGTGACATATGAAATAGAAGTTGCTGAGGAGGGAATCTGAGGAGTTGGCCAGGGTTTTACACTGAAATTTCCCCCTCTTGTGCACACTTTTTCCAGGAGAGCTATGTCCAGAAATCATCCCTGCTTGTTTTCTGTGAGGCCACCACATCTCATCAGCTAACAATTAGAACTCCGATAGGAACATGTTAGAGTAGTTAAAAGGGTGAAGCTATGAGTTGTTTCCTAATTACAAACTGGTATCCTGAGAACGCAGAACCCTTATTAATAAACGAGTACATTGCGAGAGCACATTTTCCATTTCTTAAATCAGGAAGATTTATGACACTATGTGGTCATGCCTTGTAACTGATGTTTCCAATGAAGACTAATCTAATTTCCCAGTGCAAATCACACTGATGTGACCTAGAGACATTTCTGTTATGTCACAACAGCATTTAATATGAGCTGAAATTAGCCAGAATTACACCATGTTTCTGGCAAATAGTATGCTCCAAAAATATCACCATAGTAACATGTGTATTCTATCAACAATTCCCCTTTCATATTTTAAGGTTGCATTCTATCAATAATTTTGAAGTGCATGAAACAATTGTTTTGGAGCACCAATCAGTTTCTATAAGGTATCTGTAACTCAATTTAAATGGCATATAGGATTTTTAAAAATATTTCCCTTTACTTAAGGAAACATTTACTTGCTCATTAGGCCAGATCAACTTTGCAGATGTAGTGAGAGCTTCCAGAGATGTTTTATATGACCAAGTGCTGAAATTCATTTTCTTTTTACTGTTTCTTTCATCACCTTCTAAGAAATTATATGTTCATTCCAAGGAGTTAAGTCTCAACTGACCATGGAAAGGTAATTTTTTAAAGTTTGCTTCTTTAAGCTAAGAGGACTCATACAGGAAACATTGCAAGTTCATATCCTCAAAGAGGCTTTAGTTCTCACTTCAGCAATTGATGGAGAAATCTCTTTTGATTATATATATATATATATATATATATACACACACACACATGAATGAAATGGTTATAACTGGCCCTTCACAGTTTTAAAACCATTCATTTCCTCCTTTCATCAACTAGGTTTGTTAACTGTTTATGTAAGTAACAATTAGTATGGGGTGAATTTGAAAAATGATAACTAAATTTATTATAATACTCCAGGTTGATGTGTGGATGGTTAAAAGGGAAAAAAAGAAGAGAAAAGAAGAAAAAGAAGACAAAGGGAGAGAGGGGATATTATTTCAATGCCATTGGTTTTCACACAATGGATATTGTACAAGTAACAACTGGGTTTTAAAGAAAAAAATCACTTTTTTGGTTTTCCTGAAAAAGGAGCCAAAATTGTAAGATGCTGAACATGAGCGCTTGTGGGTGAAAGGCAAATAATGATGCCAGAGGATGGGAAATAATTTCAAAAGGCTGTAATTTGATAAAAGTTTAAAATTCTCTTAACTGAAGTAATGGCCTATCATGTGAAGATCATGTGTGAACACTTCAGTTTTCTGTATATAATAAACTTCAGCTTGATACCATTAGGAATGATAAAAGGATTGTTTTGTATAAAGAGATGGCATTTGATTAATCATATTCAGGGTACTGTATATGAACAATGAACTTTTCAAAGATGTTAGCTTTATCTTTACGTTTTTGTCGCCATCTGTAAATTAATGATCTAAAAACCAAAACATTTCATGTAAAGTCATTTATTTTTTAGTTTGACTTGAACTCCTGAACTATATTGCAACTCTATGTTGGCATTTTCTCTTCTAACAACATACTTCGTGTGCTCTATTGGCCTCATTTGAAATAACTTTTTGTTTGTTTCTCTCTGTGTTTATCTTTCTGGTTGCTTGTATCGTGTTTCATTAAGTTTATAGCAATGTGGACAGTGACCTATATTTTAGTTTTTTTTAGTAGAATTCTTCTTCATTCTTTGATAAACAACCATTTATAACTTGTGGGAAACTTTGACACAAAGAAACAGGACCATATTTTGTTTAAACTATGACAACAGAGAATTTCTTTGATATGGCATTCACTTATTCAACACTGTTTCATTAATAACTATGCTGTTCTAGGTATTGTGCATCTCAGTGGGTGGAAATGTGTAAGCAAAATATATATGGTCCCTTCCCACTGACACTGATAATCAAAAAACAAAAACAAAAACAAAAACACATAGCAACATTTCTAATAATGAATATCAATAGGTGTTATAAACAGTGTATAAGTCTAGAGAAAAACAAGATGGGACATAATTTAGATTGGGGAGCTAAAAAAGGTTCCCTAAAGTTTAATCTGATACTTGAAGATTTGTCAAAGAAAGAGAATTTGTGTGATGGTGGCTGGTTAAAAAAAAAAAAAAAAACAACACAATATGTGTATTGCAGGGGTGGGGACGGGGTGCAAGGTGGAGGGAGCTAGAGATCTGCATCATAAGGAGTTAGGACAGAGCAGTGACAGATAAGGTCAAAGTGATGGGCTGGGGTCAGAACCACAGGGACCCCAAAGGCCTTACTAAGAGGTTTGAATTTTATTGTAAGTGTGATGTGGTGTGATTTGAGACTCTTAAGACTGACAATGTGATGTTTTCAAAAAATCACTCTAGCTACTTTCTGAAGAATGGAATAGAGGGAAGGAAGACTAGATACAAGGAAACTCAGAAGACTAAAATCCAAGCAAGATATTATGGTCCATTTGATGGGAGACTTGGCAGTAAAGATAGAGAGAGGTAGATAGATTTGAGATGTATTTTGGAAGCAAATCAACAGGACTTGATGAGACAACGAATCTTAGAAAATTATTCTCAGGTTTCTTGCAATGGTAGGCAGCCTCTATAATGCTCCCAATTATCTCCACTTCCAAACCTCTCCCTCATTGTAACAGAGTTGTTCTGTGTGTTCAACAGAATATGGCAGATATAACAGCACGTAATTTCCAAGGCAAGGTCATAAAAGACATTGTAGCTTCTGCCTTGTCCCTTCCTCTTGGATCTCTTGCTATGGAGTAGCAGCCCCATGAAGACACCCGTGGTGGAAGATCACTGAGGACTCCTGCCAACAGCCACCCAGTGACTGAGGCCTCTTGCAGAAATCCATATGAGTGGGCCAGCTGACAAGAAAATCTTCCAGCTCTAGTCAAGCCTTCAGGTAACATTTTGACCATAATCTCATGAGAAATCCTGAACCAGAACCACTGAACTAAGCTGCTTCTGAACTCCTTATCCACAGAAACTGCAAGATAATAAATTGGTAATATGAGCTACTATGTTTTGCAGTAATTTGTTACATAATAATAGATAAGTAATGTATTTACTTAAGGTCATTGGGAGCACTATTTACTAAGTGGCTAAAGACTAGGGAAGAAAGAGATTTATAGGGAAGGATCAAGAGTTAGGTTTATACATCTAGAACTGTATATTCCTTGAAATACTCTAACATTGATGTCATGCAGAGAACAGAATACAAGAATATATGGAATTCATAAATGTGATCTGAGCTAATGATATAAATTTTGGAATTACAAGGTTATAGATAATGTCAACCATAAAAACAGATATAATCACTGAGAAAGAATATGACATATTAATAAAAAAGATGGCCTAGAATCCCAAAACTCAGATGTCTGAATCTGAATTCAGATATCTAGGAATCCCAAAATTCAGATATATTGAACCTGTCTTACACCACTTTAGCCCACTTCTCTCTCCAAGTCTCTCTTCTTCCAGCCACTTTGAAGGTGACTAATTCCACATACACTTCTACAACTTTTGAACAGTTGCAACCTGACAAGACCTCTTATCAGCCCACGTTGGAGCTTCTCTGTGTGCTTCTCATGAGCCACTCAGCACTCATGCATGTATAATTTGAAAGTGAAGAGCAATTATTGCCCATGAAATCACCAATGGGAGATCAAGCAGTGATGGATAAATGCTTCTTCTGTTCTTCCCCAGGCACATAGTTCTGAGATGCATTTCAAAGGGTCCTCAAAAGCTATTCCAGGATCCAGGACCAATTGCCCAAAATTGTGGCTGACTTATTTTTGTATTGGTTTTCTCTCTTTTCCTATTTCCCTTTCTCTTTCCCTCAACCCTGCTTCCTGGGATCACAGCACGAATAAACTATTTGCCTGCAAGGTTTTATCTGCTTTCTGGGAAACTCAGTGATATGGTTAGGCTTTGTGTCCCCCCACAAAATCTTATCTTGAATGGTAATCCCCATAATCCCCAAGTGTCAAGGGAGAGACCAAGTGGAGGTAATTGAATTATGGGGGCAGTCTCTCCCATGCTATTCTTGTGATCGTGAGTGAGTTCTCACAAGATCTGATGGCTTTATAAGGAGCTCTTCCCCATTCGCTCAGCACTTCTTCTTCCTGCCATCTTGTAAAGAAGGTGCTGTGCTTCCCCTTCACCTTCTGCCGTGATTGTAAGTTTCCTGAGGCCTCCCCAGCCATGCTGAACTGTGAGTCAATTAAACCTCTTTCCTTTATGAATTACCCAGTCTTGGGCACTTATTTATAGCCGTATGAAAACAGACTAATACACTCAGGCTAAAGTAGTCTGGTAGAAAAGGACCGACTGAGCCAGCAAAGTAGATATGAAAGAAGTCAAAGAGGTGGAGGAAAACCAGAAAATGAGTGCCATGAATGCTAAGAGAAAATGAGGGTCACCTATGTTGAATGATTCTTAGAGGACTAGTCAAATGAAGGAAGTTGCACAACGCTTTACTTTTCATCAAAGTTTCGTATCCTGTGACCCTCGTAGCAGTTTTATAAGGTAGGCAAGTCACATGTTTCTCAAGGCCCAAGTAAGATTAACATCCAGAACAGTTAAGTATGTGTCCAAGCTTATGCATTAAGGATCCACATGTTCTGACTCTAGTTCATTTATTGCACAAACCATTATGTATATCATGGTTGTCTGAAATAATCTTCAACGAGTACAGATGCAGTCCATCATTTAGAAGAATTTCATTGTAGACACATGTTGACAATATAGAAATAGTTTAAATTCTGGAAGTTCTTTGAGAAACCTTATACTGGAGAAAATAGATATTTTAAAAAGACTTAAGTCTGACTAGATAACCATAAAGTGTTGTATGAACTGCAACTATTTTACAGCTACTAAAACATTACTAAATAAAAATTATAGGAAGGCAAAACACTTCAGTCAGATTGAAGACTGAGTCCATTTCAACCTGAGATTTATTTTAAGACTCCATTATTCTAGAAAATTTCCAGGCCAAATAAATCAGTGGGATAACTTGAAAATTTAGATTGTAGTTGTTCACGTAATTGTTGGGATTTAAGAGTGCCTGGTAAATGACACCCCTTTCCCTGCCTGAATTCTGAATATCTGAAACAGGAGCCAGTCTGTTGGAGATAAAACTTTATGCAACAGCTGGGTTACAGTACATGGCTTAGATATGCAACCAGTGGGATTTTTACCATTCAGTGCCCCCACCATTCTGAATCCAGGCCTGTGAAAATAGGCATCCACAATACCTAGTATTGCTGCATTGGACTGTTCAGATAAAAAAGAAAAAAAGTTTCCAGTATATACAGCCTTTTAATATATCTGCCCTCTCAATTAAGAAATGTTGACTAATAGATGTCATACACTGATCAGAAAGAGGAACAGACAAGGACGAGAAGTGTGTCAGAGGTGGGGCAAGCCAGGAGTGTCACTGTTGCATGGTGTCACTCTTCAGACTAACCTAATGACAACTGTGGATCCCTAGAACCCAATCCCACATTGAGAAGATTGAGTGAGAAGGAAACACGTGGCAAAATAGAAATAAGATGACATTAGAACTCTACATAGCCTCTAAAAGAAGTATCATTTTGGATGCATACAATTGCACATACAGGAACACACAAATGATGATCTGGGAGCCTCCTGGGAAACATGTATTTCATACCCTACCAAGTGGCTAACCACTAGGTTAAGTGACTTTGGCTTTGCTTCCTTCACGTCATTAAACATTACCTAGACATGATACTAATATTTTTCAATACTGCAAAGCACATCAATTTGAAATAACCGTGTTTGCAGAACTCTTCTTTTAGGTTCTTATATTCTGAAACAGACACTGATTTAATTTTCACTAAACCTTTGTTTATCAAAATAAGAACTTTTTTTAACAAAATCATTTCTTCTTAAAAGTTTTTTTTTTTAAAGAAGTTAAGCATTTTACCTGATCGTAGAAACCACACAGTGTTCCTTGCAATAAATGCAATATAAAATTATCAGCAAAAGGGGCTGGGGCAGACACATAGGAAATAGCAGAACAAATAAGACAAATAAAGAAAACCATAGAGGAAAAAATCTACATTTTGCATTCCATCATTAACAGTAAAGCCTGTGGTGATGAAGACTGAAGACAGCTTTATCCACGCAAAGAAACACAAAATAAGCAAAATATTTCTTCCTTTATAATTTACAATGTTGTTTCTTAAGCTTCATGAGCAAAATTCCAAAGAATACTAATTATTAACATTTTTGAGGCTAACAAAATAGCCAAGCCCTCAAAACTACTAATAACAACATTTGGAATATGCTTAATAGTTTTAAAATGTTTTCTTTCTCTGGCTACATTACAAGGCAACCTATGTAGGCTGTGAAGATTATTTAAGGGACTGGAAGAAACACACATACTTGGATGCCTAAATACAATTGAGAAAAAAATGTCAGTATAAACCTCGAAATCAGTAAAAATTGGGATTATTGTTGAGAATTTGGTCCTGGGACTTATTCTTGCCTTTTCAATTTAGACACTTAAAAACATAATCCTTGTATTTCAAGTTTGCCATAGTTCATTGATGAAAGAAAGGATTTCATAAGTCTGTGTTTATTAATCACATTGTGTTTAAACAAAAAACTACCCACATGCATAAACATCAAAACAGTTGTTTTTTGCTGGTGGTGGCTGATGTGTGCTGCTTTTACTATTCTTTTTTTATTTGTTAGAACTGTCTTTCCCTGATAGCTGTTTTCTAGTGAGTATCTGCTAGAGAAAAGGTATGCCTGTTGGGGTTTTAAAAGTGCTAAATAGTTTAATTAATAATTAGGAGTCAATGATGATGGGACAGGAGGTTTTACTTAAGCCATATTGAAAAATACTTTGTGCATAAACGGAGTAATTCTTTGAGTGCTTTCTCTGACTGCTTGCAGTCAATTCCAGTGCAAGGACCCACACAGAGTGTTTAGTCACTGAGTGCCAATTGATGGCCTGGTTCTGTTCTCTGTGGCTGGCATGCCCTGAAATGATGACATTACATAGGTAATGAAGCTCTGCATTGAGTGAGCTCATAATTCCCGCTTTCTGAAGATTGACTTATTCTGCATTTTCTCTGTATTCATGTACAAAATTTCAAAATGAGCTCTAGTCACAAGGTATTTTAGAAATTGTGCTGGTTTTGAATCAATCAAACGCTATTAAACACCACCTCATACCCTATATTTGGTTCAGTTCTGAAGAAAATCTGAAAACCTTTTTAAACATAGTCTGTGACAAAAAAAATCTACAACCCAGTTTGGAAGAAAAAAACTCACACAGAAATGAAGCAGAGAGCAACAGAATTGCTAAACTTCTGTGCATTTAATTGATATTACTAATAGCTTAAATTTATTGAATAGCTTTTGTATATTGCACTTTGTACTAAGGACATTACATACATTATCTCATTTGATCTCATACAAACCATCTGAGATAGATTTTTATTATTTGACCCATTTTATAGGTGAGCAATGAGACTTATGGAAACAAATCTGCCTAATGCCATTTAGCTAGTAAACACAAAGAGAAGTCCAGAACCTAGCCCTCTTTGACCTCTCTGTCCACACTCTCAGCTACTAGAGGATGGAGACTGGCAGGAGAAAAGCAGAAGGTTCTGGAGTCCAGGTAAGCAAAACCTAAAGAGATTTCACATCCAGGATTCAAGGCTGAAACTCATTCTTCAGCTGTTGGGGTGAGGCCAGTGCTAGGGAAATGTGAATTGAAGCACAGTTCTGCAGTTTGGGATTTTTTTTTTAATTAACTTTTAGACAGGCAATACTAAGTCTGTGAGAGGGGTCAGTTGACCCCTAAATGCATGGACAGAAGGAAGACAAAGGCCAGGAGCAGGCAGGGACTCACACACCAAGCTGTCTTCTCCAGATCCCAGGGCTGTGGTAGCAAATGGGTTGGTGCTGTGATGATTCGAACCTATTAGGTTCTCTGCAAGAACCTAATCAGCTGAGCATTCACCCAATGAATGAAATAGAGGATGGTCCTAATCCTGGATAATAACCATTTAATGCGATGACTGTCTGTCTCTCAACTCAACAGTAGGTGTAAAATGTATTCTATATTTAAAAATGAAATAAATGTTTTTCATAGATGGTATGAGCTCCTTAATATAACGGAAGGCTTCTCAGGACAGAAGATGGGCTTTTCAGGGTCCTATAAAGCAAAGCATCTTCATATACTGCTCTAGAGGAAATTGTCCTGGGGAATCAAGTCTGTGAGCCAGTTTCCTCCTTCTATATTATCCCTGAGCTGAGCACATCAATGCTGTGTCTTATATTGCATTAGAAGCCTTCCAACAGCCAAAGGACTAAACACCTTTAGTGTTGCAATCTCCTCTCTTATCTCTGAACATTTCTTTGGAAAACTATAACAGTCGTTGCAAAGTAATATTTCCATCATTCTCAGGCTTTCATTTATATATAATGCACAATTAGTAAAATCATTTGGACTAATGCACTTAATCCACTAATCCAAGTGATGCTTCTTTGAGCATGTTCAGGGTTTGACAAGATATTTGTTCATTGCAAAGGATTATTCCTTACATCCTGTGCTCGCTTGTAGACTGAGCTTCAGAGACACTGTGGCAGGTGGGGTCCATAGGTTAAGCCTACCTGAATGTTAACAATATCAGGTGAGAATTGCTAATTCCAAGGTGCTTACCTCTGGGTGTCACTGACAGCAGAAGCCCTTTCATTAGACACAGCTAGATTTACTGCCACGTTCTGCAAAGCACTAGAGAAAGAGAGTTTGGGCCAGGGAGTCAAGGGGCATGAAGGCCACTCCAAGTCTACTGGCTCAATATTTAACTGAGGACATGTGGCTTAATTGTACTCAGATTCCTCAACCCTAAAGTCAAAGGAAAATAATAATTAAGATGTTTTAGTGTCTTTAGTGCATTCCACCTGATAGGTTAGTCTTTTTCTGACCTAAAGAAGTGAAGTGACTTGTTCAGGGTGAAGAGTTTCTCAATACCTAGGTAGGGAGGTGCTCTCATATTCCTGCCTTGCAGCACAGTGCTCTGCTTACTGTACTGTCACCATGGCTATGCTGCCAGCCTTGGTTGGAGGAAAAGTTATGAAACCATTTAAGTTTGCTTTTGCTGAGTATTCAACTCAACCTTTTACAAAGTTATAGGCCAATGTTTCTTTTTAAGGCAAATGTTATAAATACATAAATAAGCTGCTTCAGGCTTGCAAGTAAGCTTTGTAAACTTGAATTTCATCCTTGTTTAGAAGCTGACTCAGGCTGGAGTTTGTTCAAACTCCTGTTTTAGCTCAAAAGAAAAATGCCTCCCAAACATTAGCCTCTCAACACTTGTGCTTCAAATTAGCCAGTAGGAACTGAGATTTCAATAGACTATTCATTCTGAAGCAGAGAACAGTACCCCAAATACAGTGGCATTCACATTAAGTTCTCAAAGACTATCTGTCCATTTGTTTGTCAGTCTCTTTGTAAATCCAAATTGTCTAAGAGAGATTTAAGTATCTAGTCATATTTCCACCAACAGAAGTATGAATCTAACTTTAAAACCAAGAACACTTTTCTTTACTGATATAGAATCTATCAGGCATTATTTTCTATGCCTCATTTGTCTACACTGACAATTTGTTAGGAAAGTCGACTCCTCCTCTTGGTAATCTCCGCAAGTGTGTCAGGCAACTCCTTGGCCACTTTTGTGTCTATGCTGCTGCCTTGCCCTGTACCTTGATGTTGTATAGAACCCAATCAGCAGAACTCTTAACATGCTTAGTCTTTCAGTCCTTGAACCAATGTTTAGTCATCTCTTGAATCAATTTTGGGCTCATAGGCACTTAGCCATTTATCCTGATCCTTTGCCTACATGCTTTAAGTGTTCTATTTTTTCTCTGCAGTAGATATGATTAGTTGCATCCACTCCCCACTTCTTCCTCCATAACAGAATGCTAATTGTCTCCAGGTATTCACCCCTATGTCACACAGCCAAGCATCTCCCTAGGAGCTATCACCTTGCCTCATCCTTGCCATTCCTGTTCAAAGAATGGATCTGATTGAGAAAATTTAAAGTCTTCAATTTCTGTGACTGATGTAGAAATAGATACGGACACAAAGCACAAAAGAAGTATGAACTAAAAAAAACCCAGCTACATCATAGGCCAAAGGGTAGCTCAAAAATCAAGAATTAAACACATGATTAACTACTAACAATGTGCATAATACTCAATATTAGCATAATATCTCTCTGGAGAGGCATTTGTTATTGACTTGAAAGGTCCTAATGGCGGTCCTCTACATACTGTCCTTAGCCTGTCAGTGAGTGAGCTTTTATGGATATATTAGTCCTTTTTACACTGCTATAAAGAACTACCTGAGACTGGCTAATTTATTTAAAAAAATAAAAAGAGGTTGAATTGACTCACAGTTCGGCAGGCTTAACAGGCAGCATGGCTGGGAGGCCTCAGGAAACTTACAATGATGGCAGAAGATGAAGGGGAAGCAAGCACTCTCTTCACATTGTGGCAGGAGAGAAAGAGAATAAAGGGGGAAGTGCCACACACTTTTAAACCATCAGATCTCATGAGAACGAGAACAGCAGGAAGAAAATCTGCCCCCATGATCCAATCACCTCCCACCAGGCCCCTTCTCCAATTCAACATGAGATTTGGGTGGGGACAGAAATCCAAACCATGTGGACATGGAATTCAAAGGATTTTTATCCTCCAATACGTTAATTGCCCTAAATAGGTTTATATATATTGTCTGTGTAGTCAAAAGGGTGAAAAGCTGAACTATGTAATCATATGTAGTATGAGATAAGCCGAAGAAACTGCCCTAGAAATTCTGGTATAACCTTGAATGATTAGATCAGAATATTTCAAGATTGCTGTACTTTGAAATTACTGGAATGTTTTAAGAATACTGAGTCCATTAAACTGAGAAAATTGTAAAAGGAATATAAAATAGAGAGAGAGAGAGAGAGAGAGAGAGAGAGAAACCACAGGAAGAAGCCACTCCAAATAGGAATAGTGAGATTAGATGGCAAAATTATAAAAGTAGGGCAACAATATCTTTGTTTATTTTGTTTTGTTGCATGTTTGGTGGAATAATATTGAAATGTTAAATATTTACAAAACATAAAATAAAATGTCATTTAGTAATATGAATGTCTGCCCCTATCTACCCAAACCCATACAGCATATCGTTTATTCCTTTAGTCCTCAACCCCTTCAGATAGTTAGGCTTTGCTATAGAACTTTTTAACTTCAGAGAAGGGATGTGACAATACAAGGCAGAGTGCTCTTTCTGCCTGTTTCTGGCTCTCAGTAAATAGAAAGGACTCATAGCATGGATAAAGTATTTTGGAAAAGACATCATGAGTCAGAGCAAATATTCCTCATCCCTTATGTTCCACCACACCCTGGGCCTCAGACTAACAACAAACAAAATTTTCATGTTGGAAGAAGAAAGGAACATCAGAGATAAGCCATGAGAGTTTGGTGGGTGAAAAACATGACTCTAAAATCCTTTGACACTCCTCCCATTGAAAAGAAGGGGTCTGCATCCCCTCAACCCAAATCTGTGTATTATTTTGACTTCCTCAACCAATGGCAGAAGTAATTTTGTGTGGCTTCTACGGCTATGTAATAAAAAATGATGCAGCTTCCACCTTATTTTCTAGAACACCAGCTCTTAGTGCCAGGAACTGCCAGGTAAGAATTCTGACTACACTGAGGCCACCATGCTCTGAGGAAGTCAAGCCAGATGGAAAGATCACAGCAGGAGAACTGGTCAGCAGTCATACTCTTGAACTCATCCCAACCCAGACTCCAGACATGTGAATTGACAAGTCTTCAGATGATTCCAGCACAAAGCCATTGAGTCACCTCCAGCCATTGAGTGTCCCCAGCCGAGACACCAGTCACCATCAAGCAGAGCCAGTATGCCTGTTATGCCTGTCCAAATTCTTGACCCACTAAATTCTATGAAATTAATAAATGGTTGTTTAAGTTACTAAATTTTAAACTTAATTTGTTATGCAGTAATAGGAATTGTTCCTGTCTGTGAGCAAGTCCTCATGGACAATAAACTCAGATCTGTCTGTGGAATCTGGGAGAAAAAGAGACTGTTATCCTTCCCCATGGTACAGCCCCAGAAAGATAAAAGTCTCAGAATAAAACACTGTACATGCATAGCTCATTTTATTGGGCTTTGTTTATTGCATCTCACAAACGTTACGCTTTTTACAGACTGAAGGTTTGTGGCAACCCTGTGTCTATTGAGCAAGTCTACCAGCACTATTTTTCCAACAGTATGTGCTCGCTTTGTGTCTCTGTCTCACATTTTGGTAATTCTCACAATATTTTAAACTCGTTGATTATGATTATATCTGTTATGGTGATCTGTGATCAGTGACCTTTGATGGTACATAGTAAATATTTGGGGGCACCACAAACAGTACCTATATAAGATAGCCAACTTAATTGATAAGTGTTGTGTGTATTCTGACTGCTAAACCAACTAGCTGTTTCTAGTCTCTCTCCCTCTCAGAGATTGTTCCCAGAGATACAATTATATTGAAATTAAGCTAATTAATAACCTTACAGTGGCTTCTAATTGTTCAAGTGAAAGGAAGAGTCACACGCCTCTCACTTTAAATCAAAAATAGAAATGATTCAGCTTAGTGAGGAAGGCATGTCAAAAGCTAAGACAGAAGGAAAGCTAGGCTTCTTGTGTGAAACAGCTGAGTTGTGAGCAAAAAGGAAAAGTTCTTGAAGGAAATTAAAAGTGCTATTGCAGTGAACACATAAATGGTAAGATAGGAAAATAGCCTTCTTGCTGATATGGAGAACATTTTTGGTGATCTGAATAGAAGATCAAAGCAAACACAACATGCCCTTGAGCCAAAGCCTAATCCAGAGCAAGGCTCTAACTCTCTTCAATTCTATGAAGGCAGAGAGAGGTGAGAAAGCTGCAGAAGAAATGTTTAAAGCTGGCAGAGGTTGATTCATAAGGTTTAAAAAAGCAGCTCTATCCATAACAGAAACGTGCAAGGTAAGCAGCAAGTGCTGATATAGAAACTACAAGTTATCCAGAAAATCTGGCCAAGATAATTGATGAAGGTGGATACACCAAACAAGAGATTTTTAATGTAGACAAACAAAACTGACTTCTTTTTAAAAAAATTTTACTTTAAGTTCTGGGATACATGGGCAGAACCTGCAGGTTTGTTACATAGGTATACATGTGCCATGGTGGTTTGCTGCACCCATGAACCCATCACCTAGGTTTTAAGCTCTGCATGCATTAGGAATTTGTCCTAATGCTATCCCTCTCCCTGCCCCCAACCCTGACAGGCTCTGGTGCGTGATGTTCCCCTCCCTGTGTCCATGTGTTCTCATTATTCAACTTCCACTTATGAGTAAGAAAATGCAGTGTTTGGTTTTCTGTTCCTGTGTTACTTTGCTGAGAATGATGGTTTCCAGCTTCATCCATGTCCCTTCAAAGGACATGAACTCATTCATTTTATGGCCGCATAATATTCCATGGTGTATATGTGCCACAGTTTCTTCATCCAGTCTATCACTTATGGGCATTTGAGTTAGTTCCAGGTCTTTGCTATTGTAAACAGTGTTGCAATAAACATATGTGTGCATGTGTCATTATAGTAGAATGATTTATAATCCTTTGGGTATAAACCCAGTAATGGGATTGCCAGGTCAAATGGTATTTCTGGTTCTAGATCCTTGAGGAATCACCACACTGTCTTTCACAATGCTTTAACTAATTTACAACCCCACCAACATTGTAAAAGTGTTCGTATTTCTCCACATCCTCTCTAGCATCTGTTGTTTCTTGGCTTTTGAATGATCACCATTCTAATTGGCATGAGATGGTATTTCATTGTAGTTTTGATTTGCATTTCTTTAATGACCAGTGATGATGAGCTTTTTTTCATGTTTGTTGGCCACATAAATGTCTTCTTTTAAGAAGGTCTGTTCGTATACTTTGCCCACTTTTTGATGGGGTTGTTTGTTTTTTTCTAAAATTGTTTAAGCTCCTTATAGATTTTGGATATTAGACCTTTGTTAAATGGATAGATTGCAAATATTTTCTCCCATTCTCTGGGTTGCCTGTTCACTCTGATGATGGGTTGTTTTTTGTTTTTCTTTTTGTTTGTTTGTTTGTTTGTTTGCTGTGCAGAAGCTCTTTAGTTAAATTAGGTCCCATTTGCTTTTGTTGCCATTGCTTTTGGTATTTTAATCATGAAGTCTTTGCCCATGCCTATGACCTGAATGGTATGCCTAGGTTTTCTTCTAGGGTTTTCATGGTGTTAGGTCTTACATTTAAGTCTTTAATCCATCTTGAGTTGAGTTGTGTATAAGGTGTAAGGAAGAGGTCCAGTTTCAGTGACAAAAGTACCTTCTATTGGAAGATATCATCTAGGACTATCATAGCTAGAGAGAAGTCAAAGGCTAGCTTCAAAACTTCAAAGGACAGGCTATCTTGTTAGGAGATAATGCAGCTGGTGACTTCAAGGTGAAGCCAGTGTTCATTGACCATGCTGAAAATCCTAGGATCATTAAGAATTATGCTAAATCTACTCTGCCTATTCTTTAGAAATAGAGCAACAAAGCCTGAATGACAGCACATCTGTTTACAGCATGGTTTACTAAATATTTTAGCTCACTGTTGAGACTTACTTCTCATTAAAAATATTCTTTCAAAAATTACTGCTCATTGACAATTGACCTGGTCACCCAAGAGCTCTGATAGAGATGTGCAAGGAGATTCATGTTGTTTTCATGCCTGATAACACAATATCCATTTTGCAGCCCATGCATCAAGGAGACATTTCAACTTCAAGTCTTATTATTTAAGAAATATATTTTGTGAAGTTATAGCTGCAATATATAGTGATTCTTCTGAGGGATATGGGAAAAGTCAGTTGAAAACCTCTTGGAAAGAATTCTCCATTCCAGATGTCATTAAAGACATTTGGGATTCAAGGGAGGAGTTCAAAGTATGAATAGGAGCTTGGAAAAAGTTGATTCCAACCCTCACAGATGACTTTGAGGGGTTCAAGACTTCAGTGGAGAAAGTCACTCCCAATGTGGTGGAAATAGCAAGAGAACTAAAATTAGAAGTGGAACATGAAGGTGTGACTGAATTGCTGCAATCTTATCATAAAACCTGGACAGATGAGAAGTTGATTCTTATCAATGAGCAAAGAAAATGGTCTCTTGAGATGGAATTTATGTCTGATGAAGATGCTGTGAACCCTGTTGAAATGACAACAATGGATTTCGAATATTACATAGTTGATAAAGCACCAGTAGAGTTTGAAACGATTGACATTAATTTTGAAAGAAGTTCTAATGTAGGTAAAATGCTATTAAATGTTATCACATGCCACAGGGAAATATTTCATAAAAGGAAGAGTTGACCAACGCAACAAACTTCATTGCCTTATGACCCTCCACCAGCTGAAATATTATGATTTACTGAAGGCTCAGAGGATTGTTAGCCTATTTTAGCAATAAAGTATTTAATTAATGTATGTGCATTTATTTAGACACAGTGCTATTGCACATTTAATAGACCACGGTACAGTGTAAACATAACTTTTATATACACTGGTGTATTACTCTATTCTCACATTGCTATAAAGTGCTACCTGAGACTGAGTAATTTATAAATAAAAGAGGTTTAATTGACTCACAGATTCACAAGCTGTACAGGAAGTATGGCTGCATAGGCCTCAGGAAACTTTTGATCATGGCAGAAGGTAAAGGGGAAGTAGGCACATCTTCACATGACAGAAGAGAGAGAACATGGAGGGTGCTATACACTTATAAATAACCAGATCTCATAAAAACTCACTCACTATCAAGAGAACAGCAAGTGGGAAATACACCCCCATTATCCAGTCACCTCCCACCAGACCCCTCCTCCAACAATGGGGATCACAATTCAACATGAGATTTGGGCAGAGACAAAATTCAAACCATATTATTCTGCCCCTTGCCCCTCCCAAATTTCATGTCCTTCTCACATTTCAATATACAGTCATGTCTTCCCAACAGTCCCCCAAAGTCTTAACTCATCCCAGCATTAATTCAAAGTCCACAGTCCAAAGTCTCATCAGAGACGAGGCAAGTCCCTTCCACCTATGAGCCTGTAAAATCAAAACCAGTTAGTTACTTCCAAGATACAATAAGGGTACTGGCATTGGCTAAATATTCCCATTCTAAAAGGGAGGAATTGGTTAAAACAAATGGGGTACAGTTTCCCTGCAAGTCCAAAACCCAGCAGGGCAGTTGTTATATCTTGAAGCTCCAGAATAATCTCCTTTGACTCCATGTCTCACATCTAGGCAACATTGATGCAAAGGGTGGGCTCCCACGGATTTTGGGCTGCTCTGCCTCTGTGACCCTGCCTTGTGGCTGCTTTCACAAGCTGGCATTGAGTGCCTGCAGCTTTTCTAGGTCCATGATGCAAGCTGTTGGTGGATCTACCATTCAGGGGTCTGCAGGATGGTGGCCCTCTTCTTACAGCTCCACTAGGCAGTGACCCAGTGAGGACTCTGTCTGGGGGCTCCAACCCCACATTTCCCCTCTGCACTGCCCTAAAAGAGGTTCTCCATGAGGGCTCTGCTTCTGCAGCAGACTTCTGCCTGGACATCCAGGCATTTTCATACATCTTCTAAAATCTAGGCAGAGGCTCCCAAGCCTGAACTCTTGCCCTCTGCACACCCACAGGCTTAAGATCATGGAAAGTCACCATGGCCTATGGCTTGCAGCCTCTGGAGCTGAAGCCTGAGACATATCTGGGCCCCTTATAGTCACAGCTGGAGCTGGAGCAGCTGGGATGCAGGGATCAGTGTCCTGAGGTTGTGCAGGGCAGCAGAGCCCTGCCTTCCCAGGAAACCATTCTTCCCTCCTAGGCCCCCGGCCCTCTGATGGAAGGGGCTGAAGCAAAGATCTCTAAATGTCTTTGAGGCATTTTACCCATCCTTGGCTATCAACATTCGCCTCCTCCTTACTTATGCAAATTTATTCAGTCAGCTTCAATTCCTCATCAGAAAATGGGTTCTTCTTTTCTACCGCATGGCCAGGCTGCAAATTTTCCAAACTTTTATACTGTGCTTCCCTTTTAAATATAAGTTTCAGTTTCAGATTATCACTTTGTTCATGCATAACATAAGTGATCTTGGATCTAATTCCCAAAAAGTTCCTCATTTCCATCTGAGACTTCCTTAGCCAGGATGTCATTGCCTGTATCACTATCAGCATTTTGGTCACAACAATTTAACAAGTCTCTAGGAAGTTCCAAACTTTCCCTCATCTTCCTATCTTCCTCTGAGCCCTCCAAACTGTTCCAACCTCTGCCCATTACCCAGTTCTAAAGTTGCTTCCATATTTTCAGACATCTTTATAGCAAAACCTCACCCCAGTACCAACTTTCTGTATTAGTCTGTTCTTACATTGCTGTAAAGAACTACCTGAGATGGGGTAATTTATAAAGAAAAGTTTAATTGACTCTCAGTTCTGTAGGCTGTATAGGAAGCACAGCTGGAGAGCCGTCAGAAAACTTTCAGTCATGGTGAAAGGTGAAGGGGAAGCAGGTACATCTTCACTTGCCAGAGCAGGAGAGAGGGAACAGAAGGTGCTACACACTTTTAAACAACCAGATCTCGTGAGAACTCATTCACTATCACAAGAACAGAAAGGGGGAAATCCGCTTCCAAAATTCAATCACTTCCCAACAGGCTCCTCCTCCAACACTGGGGATCACAATTCCACATGAGATTTGGGAGGGGACACAAATCCAAACTATATCTACTGGGAAACCAAAAACTTCACATGACCCACTTTATTGTGATATTCACATTATTGTGGTGGTCTGGAATGGAACCTACAGTATCTCTGAGGTATGCCTGCAGTATGTTCAGGCACCCAGAGTCAGCAATCAGCTCACAAAGTTGTCCTATTCTCTGTGGCCCTGGTTCCCCAGGGTGATCCCTACATATCCTGAGAAGCGTGAAGGTAATAGAGAAGACTAGGGTTTTCAGAGCCTGTGGATGTGCATCAGAGGTGGCCCCAGATTCTTTTGTGCCAGCTCAGCTCTACAAATCCTATATACAACTGTGAAGTGAAGAGATAGCCCTACAAATGATGGATTCAGTTTCTGTCACCCTGTGAAATGAAAATATAAGACATAAATTTTATTGAACCATAGTAAAATTAAGAAAACAACCTTTCTTGTACAACCAAGTGTATGCACTGAGATTCATTCTCACTCCTTATGCCAGCAAGTATTACTGTGTTTTTTTTACCAAAAGTATAATTCAGGTTAATCTTCCAGTGTTACCAGTAGTCTGATCACCAATATTATTAGTTACTTAATAATGTATCTTTAATCCTCCACCACTGTCAGCTTAACAAATACTGAACTCCTTGGCATAGACTTTTATCACCACCCGGTCCTACCTACATATGCAGCCCATCTCATAACACCCTCTAGTAAAACTCCCCACACCATTACACTTCTCCTCACTCCCACTCATGCAATATACTTTCTGACTTCAAGGACTTTTCTGTGCTATTTCCCTTCCTAGAATGTCCTTCTTCCTTTCCCAAAACTGCACTGTGTGATCCTAGAGCATCTAACAAACTCCTATTCATCCATCAAGAACCAGCACCAAAATTATCTCATTTGTAAAAGTTTTACTATTACGCCCAGGCAAAGAAGAGTTAGTTTAGCTATTCCTTTGTTTGTGTCTCCATAGCATATTTTTTATATTTCAGTTCTAACCCTTCTCATAAAGCATTGTAATTATTTATTTATATGTCTCTCCCTCTTAAAATTCTGGGCTCCATAAGGGCAATGCATTCATCAAGGTTGGTATGATGATTGTTAAAATACTGGCTCCCAATGAATCATGCCTTTCTGTAATCCTCTCCCACATTGACTTAAAGTTTTGCTATATGATTTGGTTTGGGACAAATTATTGCCAATAGAACACTGACAAAAACAAGAAATGGGGAAAGGATTCCCTATTTAATAAATGGTGCTAGGAAAACTGGCTAGCCATATGTAGAAAGCTGAAACTGGATCCCTTCCTTACACCTTATACAAAAATTAATTCAAGATGGATCAGACTTAAATGTTAGACCTACAACCATAAAAACCCTAGAAGAAAACCTAGGCAGTACCATTCAGGACATGGGCAAGGACTTCATGTCTAAAACACCAAAAGCAATGGCAACAAAAGCCAAAATTGACAAATGGGATCTAATTAAACTAAAGAGCTTCTGCACAGCAAAAGAAACTATCATCAGAGTGAACAGGCAACCTACAGAATGGGAGAAAATTTTTGCAATCTACACATCTGACAAAGGCTAATATCCAGAATCTACAAAGAACTCAAACAAATTTACAAGAAAAAAAAACAACCCCATCAAAAAGTGGGCAAAGGATATGAACAGACACTTCTCAAAAGAAGACATTTATGCAGCCAACAGACACATGAAAAAATGCTCATCATCACTGGTGATCAGAGAAATGCAAATCAAAACCACAATGAGATATGATCTCACACCAGTTAGAATGGCGATCATTAAAAAGTCAGGAAACAACAGGTGCTGAAGAGGATGTGGAGAAATAGGAACACTTTTACACTGTTGGTGGGACTGTAAACTAGTTCAACCATTGTGGAAGTCAGTGTGGCGATTCTTCAAGGATCTAGAACTAGAAGCACCATTTGACCCAGCCATCCCATTACTGGGTATATACCCAAAGGATTATAAATCATGCTGCTATAAAGACACATGCACACATATGTTTATTGCGGCACTATTCACAATAGCAAAGACTTGGAATCAACCCAAATGTCCATCAATGATAGACTGGATTAAGAAAATGTGGCACATATACACCATGGAATACTATGCGGCCATAAAAAAGGATGAGTTCATGTCCTTTGCAGGGACATGGATGAAGCTGGAAACCATCATTCTCAGCAAACTATCCCAAGGACAAAAAACCAAACACCGCATGTTCTCACTCATAGGTGGGAATTGAACAATGAGAACACTTGGACACAGGAAGGGAAACATCACACACTGGGGCCTGTCATGGGGTTGGGGGAGCGGGAAGGGATAGCATCAGGAGATATACCTGATGTAAATGATGAGTTAATGGGCGCAGCACAGCAACATGGCACATGTATACATATGTAACAAACCTGCACGTTGTGCACATGAACTTAAAGTACAATAAAAAAATGCTTATGAATAGAAGCTTGCCTTTCTTCTTGAAAAAGTCTTGGCTAGCATCCTGGAGACACATGGCTCTGCCAATTCTTCATCCGGGACCAGCCAGCTTCCATATGACTTGCCAACTGACCATAAACCCATGAGTGAGCCTGGCCAGTGCCTAGAGGAGAAAAGATGACCCATTTCTGTGGAGCCCTGTCTAAATTGCTAACACACAGATTAGTTTTAGTCTTATGTCACTATGTTTAAGGTTATTCATCATAGAGCTAGACTGATACAGTTGACTAAATGCTTTAACAAGCATTTAGAGCATCTTAGTGGCTTAACACAATGACATTTATGTCTTGTTAAGTCACAGTCCAATGTAAGTTCATGGTGGTTGGAAGAATCATTCAGGAACCCAGGCTCATTTCTTCTTGAGATTCCTCTCTCTTCTAAGTCCTTGGAGTCTTTTATCTTTTCTTTTCTTTTTCTTTTTTTTTTTTTTTTTTTTTTGAGATGGGGTCTCGATCTGTCACCCAGGCTGGAGTGCAGTGGCTCAACAACCTTGGCTCACTGCAACCTCTGCCTCCCAGGTTTAAGCGATTCTTCTGCTTCAGCCTCCCGAGTAGCTGGGACTACAGGCGTGTGCCACCACGCCAGTCTAATTTTTGTATTTTAAATAGAGACGGGGGTTCACCATATTGGACAGGCTGGTCTCAAACTCCAGACCTCGTGATTCACCCACCTCAGCCTCCCAAAGTGCTGGGATTACAGGCGTGAGCCACTGCGCCCATCTGGTCCCTGAAGACTTATTCATTTCTGCAGCAGATGGGAAACAGAAAGAGAATCATACACAGGATATATTTGTAGGGTGGTTCTGAAGGAGGCATGTAACATAGCCACCTTCATTCTGCTAGCCAGAACATGATAAAGGAGACTGGAAAATGCCATCCATCTGTGTGCCCTGAAAAAGGAGAACATATTAGTAAGGACTAACAGTCACTGCCAAAGGCAGAAATGTTTGATTGCACTGTGTATGTTCTCCAGTGCCTAGCAAAATGCCTGGTTTATAATAAATTCTTAGCAGATGCTTATGGAATGAGTGGGTGAAATAGTGATGTTGTAGTGTCTATTTAAGATTAGGTGTAAGAATTAAGCATGAAGGACATTTATCTCATCCAAGCTCATCTCTTAAAATCTTTGAAGCATGAACTTTATGGTAGAGTGCTCACCAATTTAAAAACCAAGGCAACAAATGGATGTTGATGTTTTGTTTTATCTGAATTCCTAATACTGAGATGATGACATAATAGTTTTTTCTTACCCTGAAATTTGTAAGAATTTAAAAATTCAAATTTAAAAGAACAAATTGAAAGTATATTTAACATTGTCTTCAATTCCTCAAATCTTCATATATGTATGTGTATACATATATATACACATTATATTTTAAATATATATAACATTAGTGCACTATCCAAGTTGCCAATAACTTCAGCACTATCACATGAAATATGAGTAACATAGTTAGAAATTCATACAGTATTATCATACAATATAATTTATACTGTAATGTATGATTTATAAGTACACTGTTGAAAAGCCAAAAAGTTCTTATTCTGTTATTAATCATTTAAATTTCAGAGCACTTTCATTCTCCTATCAGGTATAAAATTCCAGAATTCTTCAATTCTCTATTATAACATATACATTAGAAGTATCTTTCATTTTTCTCTACTTACTCATCAGTCAAATAAATTTACATCAAGCTTCCTTAATCAAACTTCCAAGAATAGTCCCTTCTTTATTTTATTTTACCTGTGAAATGGGAACGTATGTAAACAGACTGTAAGGTATAGTCTCTGAACACCAAGCATCTAGGCAGAGAAGATGCAGTGGGGTCCAGGTAGCCTTTAACCCACTGAGCCACAGGGTTGGACATGAGGGGACAACCGGAAGCCTCCCTTTATGCACTAATATCATCTTCATTGTTTGCCAATTATAGTTCATTAATATGTTTTCAGGTAAACAGTGTTTAATTTCTCCAAGCATTCTAATGTGTAATGCACACAAAAGGATTGAGTTAATTATTATCACCCTGACCTGAAAGAGTATCTTAGATTATCAAGCCTACTAGCAGGAGCTTTAGAGAAAGGGATAGCTTATAGGAATATTTTGGTGAGAAAGAGAAGAGGTGAGATGTGTCACAGGAGTGTGCATTGCAAGTCATGGCCATGAAGGGTCACCAGAGAGCAGGAGGAAGACCCTGGACACCCGAAGGGTGGCACCAGGACCCCTATGATCCTGGCTATGCCATCCTCCAGAGAAAATAAAACACTAAGAATCACAGGGGCAAGTACAAAGACCCTAGAGATCACAAGCTAATTGGGCAAGTGGAAGGCAGAATATGGGGACAGTGCTGTTGGTTGAGAACAAGGCATATGTGGAATAGAGACAAGAAGTAAAGCAAAGAGTAGGACACAGTATGAGTGGGGTTGGTTAGACTTATTCATTGACATACTTATTCTTTGGTTCAGATTGTAGACTTTTTTTTAGAGGCAGGGTTTTGCTCTGTCCCCCAGGGAAGTTAAGTGGCATGATCATGGCTTCACTGCAGCCTCAAACTCCTGGACTCAAGCATCCTCTTGCATCAGCCTCCCGAGTAGTTGGGACTACAAGTGCGCACCACAACATCCCCCTAATTTTTTAATGTTTTTAGAGACTAGGACTTACTGTGTTGCCCAGGCTGGTCTCAACCTTTATCCTCCTGTCTCAGCCTCCCAAAGTGCTGGGATTACAGGCATAAGCCACAGCACCCAGCAAATCCTAGACTTTTTCCCCCCAACATTGCCCTTAAATGTTTCCAGGGTATACTTTCTGAGCTTAAATTTAGACCATACCTATAATATTAACTTGTCAATTCAGTGAAGGGAAAGTAACCCAGTTAAATCAAGGAAAAGATTTTTTTACAGCATGTATCTGTGGCTTGTACAAAGTTTTTACTTTTGACTGGCTATTTTGATGTTGTTAGAAATAGTGAGGATCCACTTCTAGAAATACTGGATATTAGAAACTGTTTTGATGACAGTGGTATCACTCTGAAGTTAGAGATATAGCCATTCCCTGGTTTCCTCACTATTCAATTCACTTGCAAAAGGACTCTGCAGAACAGATTAACAGTACATTGTTCTGTAATTCTCTGGTTACTCTAACAGGGTCGGGGTAAATTTGTAAAGAAATGCAAACCAGCTTGAGGCAGCACTGCCCAATTTGATCAAAACTAAATGCAACCATCGTGGGTTCAAGTTTGGTGGTCCAAAACATTGGAATGTTTCAAAGACATCTAAATGCAATGCCAGTGTTGTTTTATTTGGTTTGGGGTTTGCTATCCCTTTATGTTAAACAGGAGTTCAGAAAAATTGCACAAAAGACTCACTGTCTGTTTCTATGAATGCCTACATACTCAGTAGCCAATGTTACTGATAAATGAAAACATCAAATATACATGAACAAAGTCTTTACTCACCTATCTCCTGACTAAGAGGAAGCCGAGGATGAAGCACACTTGATTTTTATTTAGCATCCTACCTAACAATAGAAATTCTCTCTTACGAAGTAGATTCTGAGCCTCATATTCACCTGTATTCTCCTGCAGTGTCCCATGTAGTACCTGTGTCAAGTCCTTCTTGTATCAAGCCTCTCTTTGAGGCTAGACCGGAAGTTGCATTTAACACTATCCAGATCTTCCTAAGGAAGATACAGGAATTATACACTCTCTTTGAACCCTGGAGAGAGATATTACACTATAATACAGGAGGAGGAGAAATTTAGCTCAGAATCCAGATCTGCAAATTATACATTTGTGATTCACCAAAACATATTCTTCTAATGAACTATTTTTAAATGTTTTGTTTGTTTAGCCCATATAGCAAAATACAGTCTTGTCAGTCAAGACAGACTTCAAACTGCTTCAGCCCGTTAGAAACGTTTCATTAATAACATGTGTTTACCACTGAGAGAAGTAGGCTTCCTGTGCTAAGATTTTGTTTGTCAGTCATTCATTGGAACCCCACTGTTAATAGCATACAATGGTTTGTGGTTATGCCACAATTTAACCCAGGTTTAAAAATACAAACTAGAGCCCTGGTGGTCTAGAAGGAACAGGGAGTAAGTGAAGGATTGGCTCAACCTGCTTTGTGGACTAGTGGCTTGGAATGCTTTACAAACTAATCAAATTTATTGACTATGATCCTGAAAAAAAAAATCACGTGCTGGGGTGTGCATCCTGGTTTGACTGCAGTTTGGTGAGGTTCTGAATGTCTGAAGGGGGAAACAAGGCAATTATTTGGCATTCCTTTCCCCAAAGACAAATTAGAAACAGATATCACAGAATATGAGACTTTTCTTCAGCAGCCTAATAAGAAAAAGAGATTTTCCTCTATAGTTGTAATTCTATTGTATGTTAAGTATAAGTAAACAGAATTAGTATTGCACTAGGCTGAATAGGTAATCATAATTCTATTACGATTCTTCAGTGTCTGACAGAGTAACATTTCGATCTCTCATTTTTACATGATTTTTAGTTTAGAATTTCTTAATGCAAAATCATGATTTTGCATGATTCTTAGAAATATTTCCTATGATACTTTTGTTTTAGTAGGACTTTGCGTATAACCAAGTTTTTCTATAACTATGATGAAAACATAAAAAGGGCACAAATGTATTTTGGGTAATTCAGCAGTTTGGGCATCTAGGGTTCTAAATACAGCAGACTGAAAAAAGGGTTTTGCATGTAATATCTGTTTACCTTAATAGAACTCTCTGAAGAGGACCTGGGATTATACATGCTAGCTGTAGTTCATGTATAGCATACATACAACCTGAGGAGAAAAATTTACATTTTACACAGGACTGTGTGTAATGTTCATTTAAAATACAATAAAACATAGTATCTACAATAATCGGTAGAATGTGCCTTTGTGTTTAATAAGCACCTCAGTTGTGCAGAAGCAAAATGAAGCACAAATAGTGGCTATATAATTTGTTTATGAAATCTCATAGTCATAGAAATAACACCAGGATCCTGAACATTTGTGAAATTGCATATCACGTGCCTAAAACCAATTTTCCAGTTGCTTACAATTTATACTTTTAAAATATTTGTAGTTCAAAATAGAATAGATCACATTTAGAGAAAATTTAACCCATAAAAAATTATGTTAGGTAGTCATTATCTCTTTACACATTCCTGGAGGCAGATTTAGTAATTTAAAACATTTTAATGGTTTAAGTTTGTTTTCCTTTCTTTACATCACTTTTTATTTAAGAACATATCTAGAGAAAAAAACTTTACTATTGAAAGAGCCATTTTCAAAGTTCCAAGTACTTAGAAAGTGAAGAGACAACATCTGTTAAACTCATATATTACATTTTCAAAAGCTAAAGTTGGCATTCACTTAGTCCACAAGTATACACTGTGCATATACTCTACGTGCAGCAATATGTCAGGGACAACGAAGGCCGTAAAGATGAATAAAAACAGACCTACCTTCGAGGAGCTAGTATACAAACAATTAACGGTTCTTAAATTCTTCAGTGTCTGACAGAGTAACATTTCAAACTCTCATTTTTACATGGTTCTTAATTTAGAATTTCTTAATACAAAATCATGATTTTGCATGATTCTTAGAAATATTTCCTATGATACTTTTGTTTTAGTAGGACTTCGCATATAACCAAGTTTTTCTATAATTAACTATGATGAAAACATAAAAAGGGCACAACTGTATTTTGGGTAATTGGACCTTTCTCCAGGAAACAGTGGAGACAACACAGCTAGATGATGAACCTGGGTGGAGGCTGCTGGAGGTGCTAAGCAGCAAAAGGACCCTTGACATCCAGGCTGAAGGAAAAGCTTCCAGAAACTGTGTCCTCTGCTTAAACTCTGACCAGACCACAAATACAGTCCACTTTAATCTTTACTTCTAGCTGGTCTACCATAAAACAGCACTTTGAGGTTGTGAAATGTTTAATAATATGACAGAAATTTATTTTGTCTTAATGAGGAAAATAATCATTTCACCAAATCACTTTAGAGCCAAGATTTTTTAAAATATGCCTCATTTACAAGATTTCACATAGTAAATTCAATTTGCCGAGGAATCTCCATTCATTCACGTTATTACACAGAGAGCTGTAATTTACTTTGTTTGCTTGTTTGCTTTTTCCAACATAAATCTTACACTAGATTTTTAATTCTAGCATTAAATATTAGATATTAAAATAATGCTCTTTCATGCTCTGATTTTCTTTAAATAAAAATATCACTGATTACAGACTCTTACAACTCAGGGCCTGAGAAAATTCTTAAAATAATACCTTTCACTGCCATCCTCACCGTGCTGTTGAAAACTGAACATTGATTTTCTGATTTATTATTTTCAGAACACTGATGGTTTCCTGAAGGAACCTGTGGCTAGTGTCAATTTTTCATGGATATTATATAGTACTCTTATTGTTCTAACCATTTTGGTAATATTTTCTCATTGTTTCAATCAACAGATGGTAATTTCTACAACACTCTGAGGGTAACTATTGTTTTTCCAACACTACAATTACAAAGGGAAAGTTGAAAAAATATATTAAGGCTTCTAGGAGTTTGATTCAAACAGCTCAATAGTGCTGGGAATCCCAATCTTTCTGTTCATGGAACTGAATCACCTTTTAAAGCTTAATCTAACATTGTTCTTACCTTATAGCTTTGCCTAAATAAACTAAAAACATCCGTTCATCAAAAGACATTAAAAGAATGAAAGGGCAAACTACAAAGTGGGAAATTTTATATATATATATATATATATATATATATATATATACACATACATATAATGTTACATGTAGAGTACCAAAAACACTCTTATCTAGCACATATAAAGAACTCCTGCAAATCAATAGGAAAAATGCAGGCAACTCAATAGAGGAATAGGTAAAATACTTGAACAGGTACTTCATAAAGAAAGACATTCAAATGGCCAATAAACATATTTCCATATTCTCAAGTTCATTAGCCATCAAGGAAATGCAAATTAAACCACAGTGAAATACCACTAAACAACCTCTAGTCTGGCTAAAACAATAAAGACAAAAAATTTCAAGTGTTGGCAAAGATACAAGGCAACTCAAATCTTTATGCACAACTGGTAGTGATGTGGATTGATACAACCATGTTGGAAAACTGGCAGTATCAACGAATCTTTCTTTAGGTATATATACATATATATTCAACAAAAATACATATTTGAGTTTACCAAAAGACTTAACTGGAATGTTTATAGCAGCACTTTTGTAATAGCTCCAAACAAAACTGGAAACTATCAAGATGTCTACCAACAGTAGAGTGTATAAATAAACTGTGCCATATTTGCTCAATAGATTTTATAATACATCTGTGAGAATGAACAGTCTACAAGCATATGCAACAATAGGATAAATCTTGCAAACAAAATATTCAACAAAAAATGTCAGGCACAAAAGAATACCTAATGTATTCATGTAAATTACACAAAGAGTAATTTGCTTAATTAATTTATAAAATTGAGCTATACTGTTAGAAATCAAAATAATGACTAATCCTTTGACTAGAAAGGAGCCTAGGAGGGTTTCTAGGGTGTTGGTTATGTTTGTTTGCTTGTTTGTTTTGTCTGTTTGTTTTATATGGTTGTCAGTTTCAGAGATCTGTTCAGTTTGTGAAAAATTCATCGAGGTGTGCAAAAGATAAATATACCTTTCAATATGTATTTTTAGATCCATTAGTTTTTATAATAACTTTGTATCTTCATATTGCTTAGGAAAATAGTTGTGATATATCTTGTATGTATCAAAGTAATAATCATGAAAGACGAGCTTGATCACTAACAAAATGAAACATACAGATGTCTAGTTCATTTCTTCTTTAGCCAGCTTGCTTCCTCCCTTTCTTGCTTTTATTTATTTACTTAGTGAAAGGGAGCCATTAAACATGCTTTGTCTAATTTTTGGAAACAACATTGTACCAACTCTCCTAGGGAGATAGTGTAGTTAGCTAGACCTTCATATACTGGCTGCTGTTTAAAACCAAGGCAGAAGTGAAAGTAGATCCTTGTGGTGAAGGATATGACAAAGGAGAAGCAGGGCTGAAATATAAATATTTTCTACCTGTTTCTACTCCTTGACCAGGAGTAGAAACCTTCCACACCTTTATTCCATAAAAAATACTGAGCATCTTAACACAGAGAATCTACCAAATTAATGCTTTCTTATTCAATGGACCTACTTAATCTACTCTGCACAAAGATAAGTAATAATGCACTGAAAGGCAAGGCATAAAAAATTAATATACTTTTTTTCAAGTTTTATAACAAAAGCAATTGTGCAGAACATCTACTACTCTATCATTATTTAACCTGACAATGGGTTTCATGAAAACCCAAATAGCTAAGTCCAATGTCACAATCACATTTCAGGGAAAGACATTCATATGTCCTTAATCCCTGGAGGCACTGACAGAATGTCGTGGTGATGAGTGTTGATTTGGCGTGATTAAAGATTTCATACTACCTTTAAATGTCTTTATCCACAAATTCCTCTCACTTGGCTCTTTTGAGTGGTTAAGGAGAGACCTGTTTGTATATCCAAAAGTCAAAATAATAGTACTGATTTTTCAAAAAAAGATCTTACTCTTTTAAGAATAAACCTAGAAATTAAAAATTAGGAAAATAAAAAGTATCTTTGACATTTCTTGTAGTCCAAAATGGCTACAAACATCCTCTTCTTCTAAAATGTTACTCAGCTATTGCATAAATGTAGGTGACACTAACACTAAGACAAACCCCAAAATTGCAGTGGCTTGACATAATAAGAGTTTATTTTTCACTTATTTGAAATGTTGGTGTTCCAGCTAGGGGTGGTGACTGATTTTCTTCCACGTTGTGATTCAGAGACCTAGGATCCTTCCATTAGATCCACCACCACAGGACCTGATCTCCATTATCCACAATAAGCTGCAGGAAAGGGAAACAGTGTAAAAGACATATCTTCTGCTTAAAAGCCACCCCTGAAATGAACCATACCTTCTGCTCATAGTCCATCATAGAGAACTAAACATATGGCTGCCTCAAGATGCAAAGATAAGGGCTTGGGAAATGTGTTTTAAGGGGCATGTGGCCATCTGTGCCATAACTGTCTTCACCCAAACATCAATAGTGAATTTTAACATCAGACAAGATGATATGGAAACTAAGCCTTGATATTCCAGCTAAATATGGAAAGGGAAGTAGCTCAAGGAAAGGTAGAGGTTAGCATAAGAAATTTGTGGCTGATTATGATTGTTCTTCTCTACTTAAGATCAGGTGAAATATTCATAGCAACATATTCATTAATATGAACCCAACAACTATTCATAGAACACCTATTAAATGCCAGGCATGGACCTTGGCTCTATGGATAGAACAGTAAACAAAATATACAAACTCCCTGTCCTTATGAAGCATACATATTAAAGCAGGAATCAAAAAATTAGCAAATACACAAATAGATATATAGTGTCACGTAGGAATACAGGCTATGATGAAAAGTAAAAGTAAGAGGATTGTGAATGACAGAAGTCATATTTTTTCAATGGGGAGGTCAGGCAGGACCACTTCAGGGAGGTGAGGGAGTAACTGGGTAGGATACCTAGGTGAAAAGCAAGGCCCTCAAGTGAAAGAAAGTTTGACCTTTCCAAGGAGCAGCAGAGTCACTGATTCCATTTTAATAGTGCTGCATGGGCCAATTCATGCAGGGCTCTAAGGAAAGAAGCATGGGAAGTGAAAGAAGGATGGATTTTAGTGCTAAAAGACATGATTCAAAAACAGAGTCTGCCACTTACCTCTGGAATTATTTTTTAGCAAATCATTTGACCTCTGATGTTTTCATTAGCAAAATGAGTATACCTACCTCACTGAATTGTGACGAGGTTTATATGAGATAACACACATAAGTCATTACTACTGCATAGCACACAGCAGACATTCATTAAATATTAATCATTCATCCTTTTACACATATTCCTGAGGTAGTGAGTTTAAGAAAAATCTCGTTTGCCTCTTTTCATTCTTTCTCAAGATGGGAAACTTTTATGCCTTATCCATCATGAATTTATGAAATTCTTTTCCTATCTCAGAGAGCTGGTCTTGCTTCACAATGATGAAGATGATGACGAGGAGAGAGTGATCAGCTATTCTAGAAGATGAAGATTAATATAGACATCCACCCATTTGTGGACTTTTCCTTTATAGTTTACGCCATGTTTATACATTTAAGAATTTGGTTGGGAAAAGTCGGAAGTTCATTGCTATGAACCACAGTTTCAAGGTCAAATTTCTAAGTCAGCCACCTCTCCCATCTCATTCCATCTGTTCTCATTATTCATTCACTTAATTTAAGGGCAGGCTGTGGTCATTTGGAGAAGCATTGGTGAAAGATAAGATAATGAGTTACTTTTTCTTCTCACACTAACCTTTATGGATTCTGTGACTTGAACATGGCCGAGAAATTTCTGCATTCCTTGGCACATCGATTTGCTTTGGTTTAGTCTAAATACATAACTAAAAGCCCTACTATGTTCCCACCGAAACAGATCTGTATTAGCCCACACACCAGAGTCTAAATCACTTGGTGATCATTGCTTCACAAGCTATTTTGAGAGAACACGACTTCCATTTTCCTTTTGTTTTCTTTCTTTTTTCTTTTTTTTTTTTTTTTGAGATGGAGTCTCACTCTGTTGCCCAGGCTGGAGTGCAGTGGCAGGATATTGACTCATCGCAACCTCCACCTCCCCAGTTCAAGCAACCTCCTGCTCAGCTTCCTGAGTAGCTGAGATTACAGGTGCCCACCACCACGCCCAGCTACTTTTTGTATATTTAGTAGAGGCGGGGTTTCACCACGTTGGCCAAGCTGGTCTCAAACTCCTGACCTCAGGTGATCCACCTGCCTCGGCCTCCCAAAGTGCGGGATTACAGGCATGAGCCACAGTGCCCGGCCACGCTTTCCCTTTAGAATCTATTTATCATCATAGTGTATGCATGTTCTAAATTTGTCTGTTTGACTCAGTCTTTTTGACAGTAATCTCCTCAAACCATTTCTCCCTCTTTTATTAAGTCCTCAGATCCTTGGGGCAGATCTCAGCATTTTCCATCTTTAAGGAAGCCCCTAGTCACTCTCAAGAGTACAATGCACCACAGGTAATTAAACATTTAAATATTTTGTTTGCACCTGTAGTCACCTACATCCTAGGGGCCTGGTTGTAAATCTCTTCACAGTAGTTTTATCATGTGAGTAGTATTTGAGATATGTTTACAGAGTTGTTTTGCCTAGATTTTATAATCACGAATTCACCTTACTTGCTTGGAGTGAAATCAGATCTTTCTTTCTCCTTGAACATACCTTTCCTATCTCCAGGTCTCCTATGTTTCAGACACTGAAAAATATGTTGGAGCCACCTCACAGGAACAAACAGACTATCCAAGAGTGTTGTCATAATGGAGACATTGAGATCTTGAAAATTTGAAAGAATTCTAGCACATTTCTGGCCTCTGTGACGGCAAGTGCCTGTTCTCAGAAAAGAAAGTGACTTTGTTTCCTAGAGAATGGCTTACATTTCAGTCATCAGGAAAGCCCTGTCCAGCTGCTTTCCTCTCTCTCTAGCAGCTCCCTTCGAGCTTTGCCCCTTCTCTCACATCTCGCTTCAAGCAAATCCACGCAAAGATGCTTTCAGGAACATCTGCACTCTCTCATGCGGTAAGACAAGCAGAGCGGACATCCTGCAGAAGGAAATACCAGTAAACATTCAAACACCAGGAAAGATCTTTGTTGGGGTATCTATAGACACTGCTCAGGACTAAATGAATTCACAAATATGCGCCACTCCATGTAGCAGGCTACTGAAACCCAATGAATGCTGCAGAAAACCGTATTGCTTTTCACATCTCCAAATGCCAACCTCCACTGTGCTTAGGCAGGGCCTAGATTTCATGGTGCAAGTGAAAAATAAACATCTGCACCAACTTCTCTTTCCAAAAACACCTTTAAATTCCTCATGAATCTTGGACTGCAGTACAGCTGACTAAGAAAGTACTGTGCTTTAAATACTTATTATTTAATAAATATCTTCTAAAAATCAATGAATTTTAGAGTTCAAATGTTACCTTAGAGAATGTTTAGCCTTGGCACATAGTACCTTTTTATAAAGTGGGCAAACTGAATAGCAAAAATATTTTAATGATCATCGACCTAGGGGTTTAGTTATTATGTTTGAATATCTATAAAATACTTATGCTAGGGAACATAAGGAACTGTTTAAAAAGAAGTCAAATTATAATCTCTTGGTCCTAAGCTTAACTAGTTATATTAAATTAGTAAAATACTTCAGTTTTTTTTTAGTAGAGGACTTGAGTTTTATTGAACATCTTCATACGCAATGTAAAAGTAATTAAAATTAATAACTCAATGTGTTTTCTAAGCTTCTTTAACATTTAGAAAGAACATAATAAAATACATTCTAATCATAAAATTCTTATGAAATATCAAAGACTATATAAAACCATTGAAACAAACTATAGTCATGCAACCAATATAAGCATAGTTAAAATTCTGGTATGCTTACATTGCCTTCTTTGCATTTTTTGAATAATTAAGCTATACATATATTCTTTATTTTGCTCACTTAACACTTTATCAAAAGCATTGACTTACTGTGGTAGCCAGAGTCCAAGATGTCCCTGAATGATTCCTGCCTCCTAGTATTCACACCCTTGTGAGAAATGGACACTGATTTAAATGTGGCTCCTCCCATGTTGCACCAGGATTGGTCTGTGAGATCAATAGGCTATAACTGACAGTGGCTTCCATAGTGGGTTCTCTGTCCCATCTCTCACTCTGAGTGAAACAGGCTGTCATGTTGTAAGGAGCACTACAACAAGGCTCTCATGGTGAGGAACTGAAGCCTCCAGCCAACAGCCATGAAGCCTGCCAAAAACCATATGCATGAGTTTGGAAATGGCTTCTCCAGCCCCAGTCAAGCCTTGAGAAAACCATAACCCTTGTCAATAGCATGACTAAAATCTCAGGAGGCATGCTGAGCCAGAACCACCCAATCCTGAGAAATTGGGTGACATAATATATGTGTGTTGTTTTAATTTAATATGTTTTGATGCAATTAGTTGTGCAGCAAGAGAAAACTGAAGCACTCACATCTTTAAAGACTGTTCATGAAAACTATTTTTAATGGTTGACTAATAGTCTGTTCCACAGATGTATCATGATTTATTTTACTATCCTATTATTGGATATCCAGGTTGATTTCAATGTTTTGCTCCTTTAATTATTGCAGTATACATGTTTTGTATACTGTCTACATCTATGATTAGCTTCATAGCATCTTAGAAGTAAAATTATTAAATAAAATAGTAATATTTTAAGGTTCTTGATATTTATTACCATATTGTTTCCCAAATGTATTGTACTAATAATGAGTAGTCCCAAAGAGTTAAATTTTATTGCTCACAAAAGGCAGATCTATGACATGACTAAATTGTATCTGTTTATATCACAAACTGTCCTTGATACATAGTGCTCTGTAGTTTATTGCCTCCATTTAAATACTAGTCTAAAAAATAACTAGATCTTTCTATCCATTTGCTTACTGGTTATATGTGATGATTCAGCCTGTTCAATACCAGCTTATATTTTTCCCTTTATATCTGTTCTCTTCCTGTTTCCTTCTTATCTCAGAAAATAGCACCAACATCCTCCCAGTCTACACTCTACTAATCCAGAAACCTGAAAGTCATCTTAGACCCGCCCCTTCATCACACTCTTACATAAACTCTACTCCATATCTTTACTCCTCCCTCTCCTCTCAGGCCCCATTGCTACTGCCTCAGTATCAGCAGTATCAGGACAAATATGCCTTGAGGGAGAAGAATCATCCCATTCCATTCCACCTCTCTCAGAACATGTCTTCTACAGTATAGCTGGGCTTTTATTTTACCTTCTACCAGGAAACCCCATACCTGCCCCCACAGATTTCATAGTAGATGTGGTACAGGCTGCAGGACTGAAAGCAAACTCAGACAGCAGCAAAGTGTAGGCTATGGGGAAGAGTGACAGATTGATGATGACACATCCTTTTCCCATGCCTTTCAGTAGTTGCATGCATTTGAGAATTTTGGTGTTTTCAGGAAGAAAGACAGTAGTTATTCCAGATAATAAAGTTAACTCTTTGTGAATTACTATACATTTTTTTCTTTGAGAGAAATGGACACTCACTTAAATGTGGCTTTGCATTAACTAGTAGGATTATCATATCAATTCCTGGCCATCTACTTTGTTAGCTGTAGTTCCTGAAAAGAACTAAATGCAGATCAAATACAGGTTTAAATGTATTTTACAGATATTTACTGAAATATAGCATGCTTAATGCAGCACCCCTAGATGACTAATGCAAAATAGAATCAAGTACATTTTAAAAGAATACCTTCTCTAGAGCTAAAAACCAATAGTATGTTTAAGTTCTATTGGCACAGAGACAATTGTCACAGTTCAAAGATGCAGCTTCTGGAGGCTGTTTCTACTTAGCCTAATGTAACGATTATTTGAAGAGACATTCAAAGAGCATATTAGAATAAGATTCCCATTTTGTTTGGTTCTTGTTATCTAAGCAGTCATTTTTCACTCCCGGTTAAAGTTAGCACAGAACATTCTTCAGGACAGCCCCTGCATTCCTAACATATTTCCACAAAAGGCCCCTTGGTTGCAGGCCCCTATCTATGTGATAGAGTATTTTTGTGAGTATTTTGTTTAAAAATATTATTCATGGTCATAGCTACTTGTTGTATCAGAGTGCTAAAATCTTTACATACAGTTTCTCATTTCAGCCTCATACCCACATTGCAAGGTATTCATGATTACTGTCCTCTTCCAGGTGAAGAAATTGAAGCTTGTCATTTGAACAAGTTGATCAAAGTCACAGAGAGACAGAAAGAGGCTGGTTTGACTTCATAGTAAGCTCTCTCAGCCTAGATGCTGTTTCTTCTCTTGTGGCTTGTTGCCTAGTAATCCTGTATCACATTGACTTATGATCTTGATTCTTCTATGATGTCTTCTAGGACTTCGAACAAGTCACTGCACATTAGGGCCCTGATTTATGAAGAAACGTCTTCACAGAGTATTAACTTGGATTTAACTAATTCTATTTGCTTCCTGCTCACAGGAGAGGACTATATATAATATAGTCTGTGCTCTAGTGGTTACACACTCAGTCCCTAGTTTTAGTGCTCCCGCAGGTGTATACAACACTGTTTTTACCAGGGAACTGAATTATTAGGGTCTAACCCTCCAGGGGTGTCGGCATTTGCCAGGATGGATGTATAACTTAGTCCACATGAGCTGAAGTTTTACTACACACATGGGAACTTCAGGAATAGCTTCCTGCTCCTTGAAAGTGTATCTTCAGCCCAAAGAGCCTTTTCCAGGCCTATTTAGTGGTATTTGTCTAATTATAGGTGTTGAATAACTGTGTCCTTCAAACTAAACTACATTTTAAAATTAGTTTTCATGCCTTAAAGTAATTAAAGTCACAGTCCATGTTCAGTCATTCCTATAGTAAACTGTCCCAGTGCCCTTGTTTTCCTTCTTTTCTTTCTTTCTCTTGCCCTCCCCACCCCCACCTGATATATTTTCTTCTGCAGCATTTTGGTGTCTAGAGGAAGCTAATTGGTAGTTATTCCAAATAATAAAGTTAGCTCTTTGTTAATTATCATAAAATTTTTCTTGGGGGAAAATGAATACTCTCTTAAATTTGACTTTGGATTATCTGGTAGGATTTCTGTATCAATTCTGGACAATCTATTTTGTTGGCTAAAGTTTCCCAAAAGAATAAGGGCATATAAAACACAAATTTAAAATAACATTAATGAAGTCTAATACTTGAGTAGCATTTTGTGGTTTTCAAAGCACTTTTATAAATGTCAAGTCATTTAATCCTACGACAACCTTCTGTGGAAGGACACAAATTTTAATTAAACATTTATTTCAAGCTAGATATTATGTCAGTGCTTTGCATTTACACTCTGACTTTATATTCATGACAGACCTTCTAGGCATGTATTATCTCCATTTCATAAATGATGAAATTGAGGCTCAAATAAGTTAAATATCTTGTCTAGTATCACACAGCTTTAGGATTTCACCTGAGAATATTGAGACCCCAAATCCAGAGTCTGCACCTGACATTCCAACCTGCTAGGGTGGTTTCCAGTGTCATTCCCAAAGAACACAGTCAAAGCCATGGGAGGCTTAGCCTGTACCATATGTCTCATTGTATAGTAACAATTTTTGTAGAGGAGGCTTACACATATCAGTCTACATCACTGTTACATCTCAAAATCCTCTTCTTTAAAGTTTATTTCCTCAACTTCTTAATTTTATACATATATATATATAATTATAGAGAAATATACAAGTAAATATTTTGGGGGCTTTCTTCCAGATGTCCATAGGAAGATAAAGAGCTGGTGCAGGAATGAGACATGTTGTCTCCAGATCCATGGAGAGTTTTTATTCTACTCCAAAATGGTTTGTAAGACCACAGTTGGTAACTCAACTGTAACAGTTCTTACATGAGTCACTGGTCAGACTGTATGTCCAAAAACAATATTAGATTTGTAATTTGACAGGGTCAGACTTACTCCAAAGAGAATTTAGCCCTTCTAGATGACTTGAAATGTAATTCAAATTTTTGCTTCTTTCTAGAATAGGGCTGAAATAGTAACGTGTACTGACTTCAGGACCCCCTGCTGTTAATCTGACATAACACAAATTTACTACTTTCTTTAATAGAGGGAAGTTCCAGTTTGCAGACTTAAGAGAAGAGAATAACTAGGGTAAGTGAGGTATCATGAAAGAGAGAAATGATACCTGGCTGGGTTGAATTTTTAAATCTCTCAAAAAAGAAGTTTTTTCTCTTAATATCCTTTACGACACATTTTATAATGATACATATATGATTCTATTTTTGTTCCAAATAATAAATTTGTACACACCCATGCACGTTTATGTGTGTGCATGTGTATATGTACTTCATTATTAAGTGAAGTTCACTTCATGATAAGAAATAGCTCCATAAATCTAAAACATGATAAGGGTGAAACAAAATTAATGAATGTTTGAGATGTGGGTCTGGATCATTTTATAAATACATATGTGAATCCTAGTTTCTAGTAGATTTTGAAATCCATAGTCTATAAAATTCCATAAGAGATCCAGCTTTCAGATATAAAATGTCATATATTGTAATTCCTATATAAATATTTCCTTTAAGTTAATGGCTATTTCATGGTAATAGTACATCATTAACTACAATCTGTAGTTTTGCATTTAACTAAACTTTTCACACAAATCATACAACAGATTCCCAACATGTTTTCAAATGTGTCTCCTAAGATACAGTGGAAAATGTGACTTATATTTAAAACTTAATAAATAACTCATTGATGTGAAGTGTTTTAAGTATGGCAATGTGCTGTTTTAAACAAAGTAGTGAAAATATATCACTGACTGTGTCTAGTTGTTTTCACTTCTTTCAAGGTTTAGATTTCCTTTGCCTGCCTGTCTGATTTAACTGGAAAAAAAAAAAAAACCCTTATGGAAAGTGGGAACCTTGCATACTTCAAAGTTAACCAAGATCAAAGTCAAATGAAGTCCACTGAATAAAGAACAAGCCTAAATGCAAAATGTGTCACGTTGATATTGGCTTGAGTCTTTTAGGTTATGGCTTGTACCAAAGCCTTAACTTTGGATTTGTCAGGTATCTAAGCACTGTGAGGTCTTATGGGAAAAAAAATGGTTTACTTAGTTTCTGCAGGAGACCATTTAAACACAAACTTATCTACATAACCAGGGAAATAATGTAGCTATTGGTAAATGAAACCTTGAAAATGTGAAAGGCTTCTTGCCTGTTGCATCTTTGTTAGCTGCATTTAACTCCTGACAAATATTCATCTTCTACAGGCTACATCTTGTCTAATTACAGAATTAGAAAGTTTTAATATGAATTATGCCTCCCTAAAATGTGAGCATGCTAAAAAAACTGAAATTAGCTATTATATCTTTCTATCTCTGCTAGAAGCATCTCTTAAATTGAGACAGTTTCATTGAGTCTTTTCAGGATTCCAATCTTGTTTGTTTTTGAATCTCCACAAATTTAGGGTCTGGGGATTTAGGCTAATGTTGAGTTCAATAAAAAAAAATGGAGAATTATTAACATGCAAAAGGTAGTGTGGTCTGTTATTTAAAAGATGCAATGGGTGTTCTTGAATGTTCTGCTTCATTGGAGCCCTCCTACACCAGACATGTTACCAGTAAAGGCACAATGTTTTTTCCTTGAAATGGTCCATGCTGTTTCACTTGAAACGGTGTGTGCTGCTGCTGGGTGTTCTGTGGTTCTGTCTCAACAACATTACTCAGAACTCACATTCAGCAGGTATCAACCAATAGGCCCTTTGGTATCAGAGAAGGAAATAAATCACATTCTCTAGAAACACCCATCTGTTTTGAATAGTCCCATAGATAGATGGCTGTCTGTTTCCTGGAATATTTAATATTAGAAAAAACTAGTCCAAACAGTTTACTCTCCTTAAGACTAAGCAGCAAAAGGTCTTCCAGTAAATGCACTGCATAATGGGAGAGGCCAGAGACATCCGCCTGTGACTCAAAAACGGAAAGAAAAAAATACTGATAATTTCTGTGACTTTGGTGACCTCTAGCGATCAAATCTTAGAACAAATCTACCAAGTTTCTTTTCTAAAATAGAGGGCTCTACAGAGTTAGATATTACATATTCGTTTTCTAATTTTTCTACTCATTATTTATTTATTGGTTATTATTTTTAATTGCCACATAATAAGTGTACATATTTGTGGAGTGCAATGTGATATTTTCATACATGTGTACAATGTGTAATGATCAAATCAGGGTAATGAGCAAGACAGTCACCTCAAACATTTATCATTTCTTTGTGTTGAGAATACTCAAAATCCTCTCTTCTAGCTATTTGAAAATATACAATAAATTGTTGTTAACTCTGGTCCACACTACAGTGCTATAGACCATTAGAACACATTCCTCCTATCTAGCTATAATTTTGTATCCCTTAACCAATCTCCCCTAGCCCCTCTTCCCCCTACTCTTCCCAGACTTTGTAACCACGGTTCTACTCTCTACTTACATGATATCAACTTTTTTAGCTTCCACATATGATTGAGCTCATGTGGTATTTGTCTTTCCGTGCCTGGCTTATTTCATTTAACGTAACGTCCTTCAGGCTCATCCGTGTTGCCACGAAGGACCAAATTTCATTCTTTTAATGGTTGAACAGTATTCCACTCTTTATACACCACATTCTCTTCATTTATTCATTTGTTGATGGACACTTATTTAGGTTGATTCCATATGTTGGCTATTGCGAATAGTGCTGGAATAAACAGAAGAGTGCAGGTATTGGCCGGGCCTGGTGGCTCACTCCTGTAATCCCGGCACTTTGGAAGGCCGAGGCTGGCTGATGACCTGCGGTTAGGAGTTCAAGACCAGCCTGGCCAATGTGGTGAAACCCCGTCTCTACTATAAATACAAAAAATAGCCAGGCATGGTCATGGGCACCTGTAATCCCAGTGACTTGGGAGGCTGAGGCAGGAGAATATCTCGAACCCGGGAGGCGGAGATTGCAGTGAGCCAAGATCACCTCGCTGCACTCCAGCCTGGGCGACAAGAGCAAGACTCCATCTCAAAACAAAAAAAGAGTGTAGGTATCTCTTTGACATACTGATTTTTGAATATACACTCAGCAGTTAGTGAATCATATGGTGTTCTATTTGTAGTTTTTAGAGGAACCTCCATACTACTTTCCATAGTGGCTGTACTATTTTACATCCCACCAACAGTGCATAGGAGTTCCCCTTTTTCCAAATCCTCACCAGCATTTCTTCTTATTATTATTATTTTGGCTTTTTGATAATGTCCATTCCAACTGGGGTGAGATGATATCTCCCTATGGTTTAGATTTGCATTTCATCGGTGATTAGTCGTGATGAGCATTTTTCCAGATCCACAAAGATACCAATGCATCGTGGTCCCCAGGTACAACCTCACTCTGAGATTCTGATTTTAGGGCTCTTTCTCTTTGATCATGAGTGCCTTCTACCGTATTTGTATTGGTTAGGGTTATATGGTTGAAAGCAAAATAATGCTGTCTAATGGAAGACAAAGTATAAACAAACAAACAAAAAGAATTGCTCAGGAGATCCAGGAAAATGGTACTGAAGAGTCATTCTCTCCAGGGTGTGTTTAGGAAAAACCAGCTTAAACCAGGTTCTGTGTTCGAATTCCTCCACTCAAGACACCATATATGTAGGTATCTCCTTCAACCCTGCTTACCAATAGGAAATATTCTACATAGAGCCAAAGTGATTTTTATTTACTATTACTATACTACTTAGTATATATTATCAAATTGTGTACTTTAAAGTTTTCCCAGATAAATAATGATGCTAATTAGGTATCTCATTGACCATCTCATGTCTTGAGGGAACAACTTATATGCTATTTCTGGGTTCTAGTAGTTTTTTTTTTTTTTCACTAGCTATGGAATTTTGCAGAATCATTAAACAAATCTATGAAATGTATACAAATAAATCCTTAAATCTCTATTGAAGTTATTTAAGTATTACATTACTAAAATCTTTTTTCTTTCTTATGACATAGCATTTCCTTGTTTATTCTTTTAAACTATATTTTGCATCAGTTACAATTTATACCAAAGGTAGTACATTAGAAACATTACTATATGACTCACTAAATCATACCAACTAATAAGATATGAGTCTAGTGACATAGAAAGTGACTGAGTACTTAAAAATGCCTTCTTCCATCATTTCTTATTCTGGGGCCTTTTGTCCAATAAAGAAAGACATCAACATTTTCAAGTACTTTCTTCTCCTTCCTCCCTATGTCCAGGATCTGAGTAGAATGCCCAAATAAAAAAGGTGTCAGCCTTCTGTACTGCCACATCCTATGAGGGAAAAAAAACAACCCTGGTGATTTAACTGAACACATAAATGAGAAACAGATTTGTGTAACATGAGTTTGCTCCAAGCCACAGAAGGCCGACACCATCCATTGGCATATTTTTAAGGTGAAGGGATAATTGAATCCCTTCTACACTAGACAGATAGTTTGTTAAAAAATGAAGCAGCAGGATTTGTCTGGAAGAGACAATTCAAGCTCACATCTCACTTATGAGAAAGCGTGGCAGGACTGAAGGGCATATTTAGCTTTGTACTAAACATCCCCACATGATTAGCCATGCACAAAAGGGCCCCTTTAGTCATTTGAAGCCAAATTATATGCAATGGCTTTAGCAAGAGCAGTCACCACAGTCTTCACTGTGTCACAGAGAGACTTGCAAAGCCGCTTATCTTGGTCCCTGGCCAGCTCAGCTCAGCCTCAGCCTTTGCTTCATTCTGTTAATGATTCCCTAATTAGACACTTCAAGGCTGTCCTAATTAAGACTCTTTTGGTTGCAAGTATCCCAAACCCACTTTAGAATATCTTCATAGAACAAGAAAATTTATCTGAGGGATACTGGGGAGCCTCACAGATTCCAGGCATCAGAAAAGGTGGGAAACCAGGCAGTTCAGTGGACCCCAGGAGATTTTTGGTGATTCTCACTCAAGAATTCTATTAATAGGGCTAAGCTTCTAGCACCCAGTCTTCTGTGTTTCTCCTGAGAAGAATTAGAAGGCCTGAAGTTGTATCCAGTGTCCATGCATGAGCTAATCAGCCATAGTCAAAATTAATGGTCACATAACAAAGTCTATGTCTTCTGAGTGCCACCACTGACAGAGAGCAAATTACTCCAATAAAAGGGATAGGTTCTGGGCAAAACAATCTCTTAGAAGGCCACAGCTGGATATTACCAAAACCTGGAATTTAATTGATTTGATATGGACTAGGTCATCTCCATTCTCCAGTTCTCACAACTAGACTTAGAGACCTTCTAGCGCCTGTTTATACAATCTGAAGATACTACAGTCCTGTCTTTCTCCTGATTGCTATCCATTAGGATAGAGTGGACACTTCTATTTGCTCCATGTACAGGCAGACAGATGACTGCCACATCTCTGTCTTCAGTCTCGATTCCCCTTCTGAGTCCCAAATTCAAGAGTCCATCTTCTTCCTTGACCTCTCCACTAGCATATTCCAGAGAAACCTTAAATTTAACAAATCTAAAATGAAGCATGTGATTTTTCTTTCATTTCCCATCTCTATAAACAGAACCACTCTTTACCTAGTCATTCAAGCTGAAAACTTTGGAAGCAACCTTTAGCCTCCCTCTTATCCTCCTCACCCAATTAAACACAAAGCCACTCAATATTAAGTTCTAAATAGTTAAAACTTAAAGATGCCAAGGTAGGAGGTTTGCTTGAGCCCAGGAGTTTGAGATCAGCCTGGGCAACATAGTGAGAGCTTGTCTCTACCAAAAAATTAGCTGGCCAAGGTGGTGCACACCTGTAGTCCCAGCTACTCAGGAGGCTGAGGTGGGAGGATCGCTTGAATCCTGCAGGTAGAGGCTGCAGTGAGCTGTGATCACACAACTGCATGCCAGCTTGGGGAACAGAGCGAGACCCTGTCTCAAAAAAAAAAAAAAAAAAGACGGTTATTGAATCAGTTTAACTAACACCCCAATAGCTGCCTTAGTTGAAATATCTGACTTTACTCTTATCTCAATTTCTGCTAAGAGCTTCTTACAGTTCTGCTTGTCAACCTTGTTACTTCCCTAATATCTGTTTATCCTGTAGACAGTATGGCTCCACCCTGCTGCACAGCCTCCAGCAGCTTACCAATTGTCTATGGGATGAAGCCCCAAACCCTAACATCATGATCTCACTGCCCATACCTTACAGCCATATCTCTTACTATGACTCTCACCTCTCACTTTATACTCCCCAGTCATACTGAATTTCACTCCTCAGAACAGTATGTAACTGTCTCTTTTGAAAGAGAGGTCTCTATTCAAAAGCCTCTTCATCTGCTCCTGCACGCAGCTTATGAATAATGCCCAAATTCTTGCATTTCACCTATCCCTGCTCCTCCAGACAATGCTAATTGACTTTTGTTGCATGTTTAATATAGCAGGAGGACGTATAGTTTATAGAGAATAAACCTGGGCCATAATGACAGACTGCCTGGGTTCAAATCCTGGCTCTACCACATGTTTAGAAAATAATACATATCTCATAAAATCATGATGAGGAATAATATATTGCCCACAAGAAGTAACTAGTACAATGCCTGATATGTAGTTAGTATTCAATAACTTATAATGTCAGAAGCAAGAGTAACATAAGCAAGGGAGTAACAATGTGATAGGCATCCCATGGTATTATAATCTAAAAATAAATGTATTATCTTTGAGGTCAGCTGGCTCTCAGGGCATGTAGAGACTCACTTATGTTTGTTGCTCCAGCAAGCCACCGAGTTTCTGTCCTCTGACCCAAGACTGCAGTCAAAACAGGGGAAAGAACAGGGATATTGGGATCTGTAGTCTTAAAATTTTATGAAATATTACCAGTCTCTTGGAACTCATTTTAAGGAAATTGGAAGTCTATCACTAAAAATTACCCTTGGCTATTTGCTCATTGATTATTTGAAACAAGCAATACAACTGCTCCTCTAACTGGGGCATATTTGGAAGAAGGGTGAGAATACCATCAGAAAATTCTGTTACTGGCATCATAATCACATTCAGGCATGAGAGATAATAGGGAGTTCCACAGTCACATGGGGGAGCTTTCATTTCCCTGGGGGAATCTGGATATTTGCTGATTTCTTCTATGGCAGCTAACTAGATTATAAGCAGGAAAATGCCATGGAAGTGGGGAGGAAGTATTAACACTTTTAGAGCTTTTAGCGGTTAGTCAGGGCTGGCATAACAGGTTAAGACTAGAGCACCAACCGCAAAGCCTGTTTTCCCCAAAAGACACTTGCTGAGTTTCAGAATGGCGCAGTAGGCTGAAAAGCTAAATTGGGAAAAACAGCAAAATCCTACCAGAGAGAAGGGACCTGCAATAAAGCATATTAATATCTTTCTCAAGACATTTCCACTGAAGCTGCACACTTAGGAAACTAAAAAGCTGAGGTCAAGATTCTGCATATGGGAAAAAATGTTTAGGCATGCAAAGTGGCAGAAAATGTGGCAAATAATCAAGATTTTTAAAAATGAAAGCTTATGGTTGTACACCTAGAGTGTGAATGCACTTAATGTTATTGAACTATACACTTAAAATGTTAAATGATAAAATTTTGTTATATATATTTTATGATAATAAAAACATAAATAAAAACTGAACTACAGATATCTATATATTGGAACCAAGAGACAAATACATTAAAATAATTATGATTAGCATATTCAAGAAAGCAGAGTGAGTTACATAGAATAAATGAAATAAGTAGAATTTCTTTTTTTGTTTTTTAAATAATTTCAACTTTTAGATTTAGAGAGGACAGGTGCAGGTTTGTTACATGGGTATATTGCATGATGCTGAGATTTGGGGTATGATTCATCCCATTATCCAGGTATTGAACATAATACTCAATAGTCTGTTTTTAAGCACTTGCCCTCTTCCCTTCTCCCCCTTCTAGTAGACTCCAGTTTCTGTTCTTGCCATCTTTATATCCATGAATATACAACGTTTAGCTCCTGCTTATAAGTGAGAACATGTAGTATTTGGTTTTCTGTCCCTGCATTAGTTCACTTAAGATAACAGCCTCTGGTTGAATCCATGTTGCTGCAAAAGACATGATTTTGTTATTTTTAAATGGCTGTGTAGTATTCCATGGTGTATATGTATCACATCTTATTTATTTAATCTATAATTGATGGGCACTTAGGTGGAGTCCATGTCTTAGTTATTGCTAATAGTGCTGTAATGAACATAAAAGTGCATGTATCTTTTTAGTAGAATGATTTATTTTCCTTTGGGTATATACCTAGTAATGGGATTGCTGGATTGAATGGTAGTTCTAAGTTCTTTGAGAAATATCCAAACTTCTTTCCACAGGACCTGAACTGTTAGGTTGATGCACAAGTATAATAATTTACATTCCCACCAACAATGTATAAGCTTTCCCTTTTCTCTGCAGTCTCGCCAGCATCTGTTGTCTTTTGACTTTTTAATAATAGCTATTCCGACTGGTGTGAGATGATATCTCATTATGGTTTTGATTTGCATTTCTCTGATGATTCCTGATAAGGAATATTTTTGTACGTGTTTGTTGGTTGCTTGTACATCTTCTTTTGACAAGCTTCTGTCTTTCACCCATTTTTAAGGGAGTTATTTGTTTTTTGCTTGTCCAATTGTTTAAGTTTCTTACAAATCTGGATAGTATACCTTTGTCAGATACATAGTTGGAAATATATTCTCTCATTCTGTAGGATGTCTCTTTACTCCATTGATAATTTATTTTGCCATACAGAAGCTCTTTGGTTTAATTAGTTCCCACTGGTCAATTTTTTTCTTGCAATTGTTTTTCAGGACTTAGTCATAAACTATTTTCCAAAGCTAATGTCCAGAATGATGTTTCCTAAATTTTCTTCTAGGATTCTTATAGTTTGAGGTCTTACATTTAAATATTAGTAGAATTTCAAATATAATTGAAACTTATAAAAATCAAATGTGTATTCTGAACTGAAAAATTTAATATCAGCATCAAAGAACTAATGATATAGGTTTGACAGCAGCCTAGACACAGCAGATAAGATTGTTAAAAGTCATTACATAGTAGCCAAGCTGAAGCACAGTAAGGAAAAAAAGAATGTAAAAAATGTGAGCAACAATAATTAAAAGGTCTAATGTATGAAAAATTGAAGTCCCAGAAGGAAAAGAGAGACAATATTTGAAATCATAATCAAGATTTTTCCAAAACTGCAAATAATATGAACCCAAAATTTAAGAAACTAAGAAAATACCAAAGAAAATGACAAGAATATACATCATAATCAAACTCCCAAAAATATAAAACAAAGAGAAAATCTTAAAAGCAATTAAAGGACTAAAACATATTATCTTCACTGAAGGATCAATAAGACCGATGACTGATTTCAACAAAAATTATGAAAGCCGGAAGATAAAAAATGGTATCTTCTAAGTGTCAAACAAACCAGCCCCTGAAAACCTGGACATCTATACACAATTAGAATACCCTCAGAAAAAAAAAAAAAAGAAAGTCATTTAAATATAAACATAAGTTGAGCAAATTTTTCATCAGTACTGCCAGAACTACCAGTACTACCAGAAATGCAAATACACACACACACACACACACACACACACACACACACACACACACACAATTCATGCTGAAAGAAAAGGATCCCAAATGGGAGCATGGGATTGGAAAGGGCACAGAGAAAGCTAGGAAGTGTAAATATATGAATAAATAGACAAGAATTTTAAACTACTACTAATAATGTCTTATGATATTTATAATATATAGAAGTAAAAATATTGTTATTTATTGTAATTACACAATCATTCCATACTTAGATCTTATCCCCTATGTTTAATCAGTTGAGGAAGTTGAAAGCTCAGAGAAATTTAGTAATCTGACAAAAGTACCTTTGGCCATAAGCAGAGTAAAAGTCTGAACCCAGGTTTACTTCACAGTCCATGCATGATATTTTAAGCACTTTGGAAAATAAGAGTTGCTTTATAAATTTTTTTTTTTTTTTGAGACTGAGTCTCGCTCTGTCGCTCAGGCTGGAGTGCAGTGGCGCAATCTCAGCTCACTGCAAGCTTCGCCTCCCGGGTTCACGCCATTCTCCTGCCTCAGTCTGCACCCAGCTAAATTTTTTTTTTTTGGATTTTGAGACGGGGTTTCACCATGGTCTTGATCTCCTGACCTCGTGATCCGCCTGTCTCGGCCCCTCCCAAAGTGCTGGGATTACAGGCCCGAGCCACCACGCCCAGCTAATATTTAACAGTCATGTTCCCTCAAGCCCTACACAAAGTAAAATGCATCACATATGCAATAATAATAAAAATAATAATGGTGCAAACAACAAAAGGGAAAAAAGAGGCAATATGTGGTATGTCTCTTGCATTATTCAGGAACTGGTAAAACTACCAACTTAAGGTATATTATAATAAATCAGTCTTAAAAATACATGACTGCTTAACTAAAGCACAAAATTATTGATTTATATAAAAGAAAGCAGGAAATTATAAATAACCGAAGAACAAAGGAAGAAATGCAAAGCAACCAGGAAAGATGGTAGACTTAAATACAACTATAAAGTTAATTCATTAAATGTAAATAGATTAAAAACTCCAATTAAAAGATAAAGTGTGCCAGACTAAATTAAAATATCTACCTTTATACTGTTTGTAAGAGACACACTTTAATTATAAAGAAACTTGTTGAGAGTAAGAGAATGAAAAATGATGTTGTATGAAAATATTAATCAAAAGAAAGCTATTACACTAAAGAGAATTTAATGCAAGAAGCAAGAGTTGAGACAAAGAGCAAAATTTCATAAAAATAAAAAGGGCAATTCAATAGTAAGATATAACAATCCTAAATGCATATGCAAATAACATACTTTAAAATATATAAAGGAAAAAATAGCAGAATTAAAAGAAATAAACAAATCTTCAGTCATGACTGAATATTTAACACACTTCTTTCAGTAACTGATAGAAAAAGCAGATGAAATATTGTTAAAAACATGATTAACTAAGTTGACATAACGACATATACAGAACATTATGGCCAACAAATTGCAAAACACACATTCCTTTTAACTGCACATGAAATATTTGAAAAGTCAACTATACACTAGAGTGTAAGTGGTATCTCAACAAATACAAAGAAGAATTAAAAAAATACAAAGCACATTCACTGACAACTATGAAATTTAATTGGAAATCAATAACAGAGAGATAAATAGAAAATCCGTAAATGATTGTCAAGTAAATAACATCCTTCTAAATAACCCATAGGTCAAAGAAAAAAATAGAAAACTATAAAATATTTTGAACTGGATTATAATGAAAATATAATAAAACATGTCAGATACAGCTAAAATATTAGTTCATGAAAAATATATAGTTTTAAATTCATATTAGCAAACAAAAAAGTAGAAAAAAATAGGATGTAATCTTCTATCTTAACAAACTAGGAAAAGTCACATCAAATTAAACCCAGAGGGAAAAAAGTAAAGAAATACTATAAAGCAAAAATAAATAAAATAGGAAGCAGATGCTCAACAGAGAAAAACATTAAAATCCAAAGTTAGTTCTTCAAAAATATTAAAAATTATTAAGGAAGCATGAGAGAAAATACCAATTACCAATGTCAGGAATGAAAAATGAGCTATCACTAGGGATTTGATAACATTAAAAATGTAACAAGGAGAGGCTAGCCAGAATGGCCAACTAGAAGCAGCTAGTGTGTGCCACTCTCACAGAGAGAAATAGAAGGGGCAAGTAAACATAGCACCTTCAACTGAAACATCCAGGTACAGTCATTTGGATTCAAGAGGAATAATTCAACCCATGGAGAACAGAGAAAAGCAAGGCAGAATGACCGCCCACCAGGGAGCAACACAGAGCCAGGGGAGCGTCCCCCATGCAAGAAAGTGGGAGTCTGAGGCAACTAAGAACTGGAGCTGTCCTTTGGCACAATGTAGCAGCTCTGTGGAGTAGCCAGACTGCTTTTTCACATGGGTCCTGGAACCCATTTCTCTTCATTGGGCAAAATCCCGCAAAGAAAGGCTACAACCACGTCCACTGGTGTGTTCAGGGTGGCAACAGATGCTTGAAAGTTGAGGTGACTAGGGACAAGAGCTGACCCCCAGCATACTGCAGTAGCCCTACAGAAAAGTGGCCAGGTGGCTCTGGAAGTCCATAGAGTCCAGGAGCTCTGCATCCACCCAGCACAGAGCACCCAACTCAGAAAAGTGGCCAGACTATTCTCCACATAGGTCCCAGACCTCACTTCTCACTAATCAGGGCCACCTGACCTGTGACACTAGCACAACCACCCTCCCCCACCTAATCACTTTAATCAGAGGCAGCTCAGCAGTTAGAGGAACATCCACATGCAGAGATGAGAAAGAACCAACACAAGAACTCTGGCACCTCAAATGGCCAGAGTATCTTATGTCCTCCAAATACACTAATTCTCCAACAAGGGTTCTTAACCAGGCTGAGTTAGCTGAAATGACAGAAGTAGAATTCAGACTATGGATAGGAATGAAGACTATTGAGATTCAGGAGAATGGCAAAAGCCAATCCAAGGAAACTAAGAATAACAATAATATGACGCAGGAGCTGACAGACAAAATAACCAGTATAAAAAAGAGCCTAACACATCTGATAGAGCTGAAAAACACACTACAAGAATTTCCCAATGCAATCACAAGTATTAACAGCAGAACAGACCAAGCTGAGGAAAGGATCTTGGAACTTGAAGACTGGCTCTCTGAAATAACACAGACAAAAATAAAGAAAAAAGAATGAAAAGGAATGAACACAACCTCTGAGAAATATGGGATTATGTAAAGAGGCCAAATATATGAATCACTGGCATCTCTGAAAGGGAGAGGGAGAAAGCAAACAACTTGGAAAACATATTTCAGGATATCATCCATGAGAACTTCCCCAACCTAGCTAGAGAGGCCAACAGTCAAATTCAGGAAATACAGAAAACCCCTGCATAATTCTATACAAGATTATCCCCAAGATACATAACCATCAGATTGTCCAAGGTCAAAATGAAATGAAAAATGTTAAAGGCAGCTAGAGAGAAAGGACAGGTCACTACAAATGAAACTCCATCCGGTTAACAGTGAACTTCTCAGCAGAAACCCTAAAAGCTAGAATGCATTGGAGACTATATTCAACATTATTTTAAAAGTCTTCAACCAAGAATTTTATATTCAGTAAAACTAAACGTTCTCAGTGAAGGAGAGATAAGATCCTTTTCAGATAAGCAAATGCTGAGGGAGTTTGTTATCACCAGACTCACCTAATAAGAGATCTTGAAAGGAGCACTAAGTATGGAAGGAAAAACCATTATCAGCCAATACAAAAACACACTGAAGTACACTGAGCAGTGACACTATAAAGCAAACACACAAACAAGCCAGCATGATAACCAGCTAAAACCATGATGACAAGATCAAATCCACATATTAATACTTGAATGTAAACAGGCTAAATGTGCCATTTAAAAGGCACAGAGTGGCAAGCTGGATAAAAATGCAAGACCCAATGGTATGCTGTCTTCAAGAGACCGATCTCACACACAGTGATACCCATAGGCTCAAAATGAAGGGATGGAAGAAAATTTACCACGCAAATGGAAAACAAACAGAAAAAAGTGGAGATTGCAATCCTAGTTTCTGACAAAACAGACTTTAAACCAACAAAGATCAAAATAGACAAAGAAGGGCATTACATAATGGTAAAGGGGTCAATTAATCAATATGCATGCACCCAACAGAGGAGCACCCAGATTCATAAAGCAAGTTCTTAGAGACCTATAAAGAGACTTAGACTCCCTCACAATAGTAATGGGAGACCTCAGTATTCCACAGACAGATTATTGAGGCAGAAAATTAACAAAGATATTCAGGACCTAAACTCAACATTGGATCAAGTGGATCTGATACACCTCTACACAACTCTCCACCCCAAAACAACACATAGACTTTCTTCTAATCACCATATGGGACAAACTCTAAAATTGACCACACAATCAATTCTCGGCTATTGCAAAAGAACCAAAATCATACCAAACACACTCTCAGATCACAATGCAATAATAGATGTCAAAACTAAAAAATCACTCAAAACTATGCCATTACATGGAAATTAAACAACCTGCTCCTGAACGACTTTTAGGTGAATAATAAAATTAAAGCAGAGATCAAGAAGTTCTTTGAAAGAAATGAGAATAAAGATGCAACATACTAGAATCTCTGAAAGATAGGTAAGACAGCATTAAGAGGGAAGTTTATGGCCGGGTGCGGTGGCTCACGCCTGTAATCCCAGTACTTTGGGAGGCTGAGGCGGGAGGATCATGAGGTCAGGAGATCGAGACCATCCTGGCTAACACAGTGAAATCCTGTCTCTACTAAAAATACAAAAAATTAGCCAGGCATGGTGGTCGGCGCCTGTAGTCTCAGCTACTCGGGAGGCTGAGGCAGGAGAATGGCGTGAACCTGGGAGGCAGAGTTTGCAGTGAGCCGAGATAGTGCCACTGCAGTCTGGCCTGGGTGAAAGAGCGAGACTCCATCTCAAAAAAAAAAAAAAAAAAAAAAGAGGGAAGTTTACAGCACTAAACGCCCATACCAAAAAGTTAGAAAGATCTCAAATTAACAACCTAACATCACAACTAAAAGAACTAGAGAACCAAAACCAAACCAGCCTCAAAGCTAGCAGAAGACAAGAAGTAACCTAAATCACAGCAGAACTGAAGGAGATAGAGATACACAAAAAAAGTTAAAAGATCAATGAATCCAGGAGCTTGTTCTATGAAAAAATTAATATAATAGATTGCTAGTTAGACTAATAAAGAAGAAAAGAGAAAGATTCAAATAAACACAATCAGAAATGATAAGGGGGATATAATCACTGACCCCAAAGAAATACAAACAATCATCAGAGACTATTATGAACACTTATATGCGCACAAACTAGAAAACCTAAAAGATGTGGGTGAACTCCTGGACATATACACCCTCCCAAGACTCAACCAGGTAGTAACTGATTCCCTGAACAGACCAATAACAAGCTTTAAAATTGAATCAGTAATAGCCTTCCAAACAAACAAACAAAAAGCCCAGACCAGCCTAATTTTACCAGATGTGCAAAGAAGAGTTGGTTCCATTTCTACTGAAACTACTCCAAAATATTGAGGAGGAAGAACACTTCCCCAACTAACTCTACAAGGCCAGCATCATCCTGATACTAAAACCTGGCAGAGACACCACACAATATGAAAACTTTAGGCCAGTATCATTGAGGAACATTGATGTAATTATCCTCAACAAAATACTTACAAACCGAATACAGGAGCACATTAAAAAGTTAATCCATCACAATTAACTAGGCTTTATCTCTGGGATGCAAAGTTCATTCAACATATGCAAATCAATAAATGCTATTCATAACAAACAGAACTAAAGACAAAAATCATGATTATCTCAATAGATACAAAAAAAGCCTTGTGATATTAAATAAAATTCAACACCCCTTCATGTTAAAAACTCTCAATATACTAGATATTGAAGAAATATACCTAAAAATAATAAGAGCCATCTATGACAAAACCACAGCCAACATCGTAATGAATGACTAAAAGCTGGAAGCATTCCCCTTGAAAACCGGCACAACATAAGTATACCCACTCTTACCACTCCTATTCGATATAGCATTGGAAGTCCTAGCCAGAGTAACTACGCAAGAGAAAGAAATAAAGTTCATCCAAATAGGAAGATAGGAAATCAAACTTCTCCGTTTGCAGATGATGTGACTCTATATTTAGAATATTCCATAGTCTTGGCTGAAAAGCTCCTAGATCTGATAAACAACTTTAGCAAATTTTCAGAATACAAAATCAATGTACAAAAATCACTAGCATTCCTTTATACCAATAACAGCCCAGCTAAGAGCCAAATCAGAAATGCAATTTCATTCACAGTTGCCACAAAAAGAATAAAATACCTAGAAATACAGGTAACCATGGACATGAAAGATCTCTATAATGAGAATTACAAAACACTGCTCAAAGGAATCAGAGATGACACAAACAAATGGAAAAAACGTTACATGTTCATGGATAGAAATAATTAATATTATTAAAATGCCCATTCTGTCTAAAGCAATGTACAGATTCAGTGCTATTCCTATCAAAAAGCCAGTGACATTCTTCCAGAACTAAAAAAAAAAAAAAAAAAAAAAATTTGAAATTCATATGAAACTAAAAAAGAGCCCAAATAGTCAAGGCAATCCTAAGCAAAATGAACAAAGCTGGAGGCATCATGCTACCTGACTTCAAACTATACTACAGGGCAACAGTAATCAAAACAGCATGGTACTGGTACAAAAACAAATGTATAGACCAATGGAACAGAAAAGGGAAGATAGTACTGGTACAAAACAAATGTATAGACCAATGGAACAGAAAAGAACAGCATGGTACTGGTACAAAAACAAATGTATAGACCACTGGAACACAGAAATAAGGCTGTACACCCACAAACATCTGATCTTTGACTAAGCTGACAAAAACGAGCAATGGGAAAAGGACACCCTATTCAATAAATGGTGCTGGGATAACTGGCTAGCCGTATGCCGAAGATTAAAACTAGACCCCTTCCTTAAACCACATGTAAAAATCAACTCAAGATGCATTAAAGACTTAAATGTTAAACCCAAAACTATAAAAACCCTGGAAGAAAACCTAGGCAATACCATTCTGAACATACGAACAGGCAAAGATTTCATGCCAAAAGCAATTGCAACAAATGCAAACATTGACAAATGGGATCTAATTACACTAAAGAGCTTCTTCACAGCAAAAGACACTATCAACATAAGGAACAGAAAACCTACAGAATGGAAGAAAATTTTGCAAACTCTGCATCTGACAAAGGTCTAATATCTAGTATCTATAAGAAACTTAAACAAATTTACAAGAAAAATACACGTAACCCCATTAACAAGTGGGCAAAGAACATGACCAGACACTCTTCAAAAGGAAACATACATGTGGCCAACAAGCACATGAAAAGAAAGCTGAACATCATTGATTATTAGAGAAATGCAAATAAAAACCACAATGAAATGCCATCTCATATCAGTCAGAATGGCTATAATTAAAAAGTCGGCCAGGTGCAGTGGCTCACTCCTGTAATACCAGCGCTTTGGGAGGCTGAGGCATGCGGATCACGAGGTCAGGAGATCGAGACTATCCTGGCTAACACAGTGAAACCCCGTCTCTACTAAAAATACAAAAAATTAGCCGGGCGCAGTGGCAGGTGCCTGTAGTCCCAGCTACTCGGGAGGCTGAGGCAGGAGACTGGCGTGAACCTGGGAGGCGGAGCTTGCAGTGAGCAGAGATTGCGCCGCTGCACTCTAGACTGGGTGACAAAGTGAGACTCTGTCTCAAAAAAAAAAAAAAGATGAACAAAAAAGTCAAAAAATAACAGATGCTGGCAAGGTTGCGGAGCAAAGGGAACACTTATACACTGTTGGTGGGAATGTAAATTAGTTCAACCATTGTGGAAGGCAGTGTGGTGATTCTTCAAAGAAATATAAAAAGAACTACCATTCAACCCAGCAATCCTATTACTGGGTACATACCCAGAGGAATATAAATCATTCTACCGTGAAGATGCATGCACATGGCTGGGCACAGTGGCTCATGCCTGTAACCCCAGCACTTTGGGAGGCCGAGGCAGGTGGATCACGAGGTCAGGAGTTCAAGACCAGCATAATAACATAGTGAAACCCCGTCTCTACTAAAAATACAAAAAAAAAAAAAAAAAAAAATTAGCCAGGTGTGCCTGTAATCCCAGCTACTCAGGAGGCTGAGGCAGGAGAATTGCTTAAACCCAGGAGGTAGAGGTTGCAATGAGCCGAGATTGTGCCATTGCACTCCAGCATGGGTGACAGATACTCCATCTCAAAAAAAAGAAAAAAAAAAAAGATGCATGCAAATGTATGTTCATTGCCGCACTATTCACAATAGCAAAGACATGGAATCAACCTAATACTCATTGATGTTGGATTGGATAAAGAAAATTCCATATACACCATGGAATACTATTCAGCCATAAAAAAGAACAAGATCACATCCTTTGCAGGGACATGGATGTAGCTGGAGGCCATTATCCTTAGCAAACTAATGCAGGAACAGAAAAACAAATACCACATGTTCTGACTTAAAAGTGGGAGTTAAATCATGAGAACTCATGAACATGAAGAGGGAACAACACACGTTGGGGTCTCCTTGTGGGTGGAGGGTGGCAGGAGGAGAGGAGCAGAAAAAGATAACTATTGGGTACTGGGCTTAGTAACTGTGTGGCAAAATACTCTGTACAGCAAACCCCTGTGACGGTGTGACATAACAAACCTGTACACGTACCCCTGAACCTAAAATAAAAGTTTTTTTTAAAAAAGAAATAGATTATTTAATCAGATCCCATTTGTCTATTTTGGACTGTAAAGTAGTTCAACCATTTGTCTATTTTGGCTTTTTTTGTCATTGCTTTTGGTGTTCTAGTCATGAAGTCTTTGCCCATGCCAGTGTCCTGAATGGTATTGCCTAGGTTTTCTTCAGAGTTTTTATGGTTTTAGGTCTTATGTTTAAGTCTTTAATACATCTTGAGTTAATTTTTGTATAAGGTGTAAGGAAGGGATCCAGTTTCAGCTTTCTGCATATGGCTAGCCAGTTTTCCCAACACCATTTATTAAATAGGGAATCCTTTCCCCATTGCTTGTTTTTGTCAGGTTTGTCAAAGATCAGATGGTTGGAGATGTGTGGTATTATTTCTGAGGCCTCTGTTCTGTTCCATTGGTCTATATATCTGATTTGGTACCAGTACCATGCTGTTTTGGTTACTGTAGCCTTGTAGTATAGTTTAAAGTCAGATAGCCTGATGCCTCCAGCTTTGTTCTTTCTGCTTAGGATTGTCTGGGCAATGTGGGCTCTTTTTTGGTTCCATATGAAATTTTAAGTACCTTTTTTCCAATTCTGTGAAAAAAGTCAATGGTAGCTTGATCAGGTTAGCATTAAATCTATAAATTACTTTGGGCAGTATGGCCATTTTCATGATATTGATTCTTCCTATCCATTAGCATGGAATGTTTCTCCATTTGTTTGTGTCCTCTCTTATTTCCTTGAGCAGTGGTTTGTAGTTCTCCTTGAAGAAGTCCTTCACATCCCTTGTAAGTTGGATTCCTAGGTATTTTATTCTCTTTGTAGCAATTGTGAATGGGAGTTCACTCATGATTTGGCTCTCTGTTTGTCCGTTATTGGTGTATAGGAATGCTTGTGATTTTTGCACATTGATTTTGTATCCTGAGACTTTGCTAAAGTTGCTGATCAGCTTAAGGAGATTTTGGGATCAGATGATGGGGTTTTTCTAAATATAAAATCATGTTATCTGCAAACAGAGACAATTTGACACTCCTCTTTTCCTACTTGAATACCCTTTATTTTTTTCTCTTGCCTGATGGTCCTGGCTAGAACTTCCAATACTATGCACAGCAAAAGAAACTATCATCAGAGTGAACAGGCAACCTACAGAATGGGAGAAAATTTTTGCAATCTATCCATCTGACAAAGGACTAATATCCAGCATCTACAAAGAACTTATACAGATTTACAAGAATAGAACAAACAACCCCATCAAAAAGTGGGCAAAGGATACGAACAGACACTTCTCAAAAGAAGACATTTATGCAGCCAATAAACATGAAAAAAAGCTCATCATCACTGGTCATTAGAGAAATGCAAATCAAAACCACAATGAGATACCATCTCATGCCAGTTAGAATGGTGATCATTAAAAAGTCAGAAAAATACAGATGCTGGAGAGAATGTGGAGAAATAGGAACACTTTTACACTATTGGTGGGAGTGTAAATTAGTTCAACCATTGTGGAAGACAGTGTGGTGATTTCTCAAGGATCTAGAACTAGAAATGCTATTTGACCCAGCAATCCCATTACTAGGTATATACCCAAAGGATTATAAATCACTCTCTTATAAAGACACATGCACATGTATGTTTATTGTGGCACTCTTCACAATAGCAAAGACTTGGAACCAACCCAAATGCCCATCATGATAGATTAGATAAAGAAAATGTGGCACATATACACCATGGAATACTATGCAGCCATATAAAAAGGATGAGTTAATGTCCTTTGCAATGACATGGATGATGCTGGAGACCATCATTCTCAGTAAACTAACACAAGAACAGAAAATCAAACACCACATGTTCTCACTCGTAAGTGGGAGTTGAACAATGAGAACACATGGATACAGGAAGGGGAACATCACACACTGGGGCCTGTCAGGGGCTAGGGTGCTAGGGAAAGGATAGCATTAGGAGAAACACCTAATGTAGATGACGGGTTGATGGGTGCAGCAAACCACCATGGCACGTGTATACCTATGAAACAAACCTGCACATTCTGCACATGTACCCCAGAACTTAAAGTATAATTTTAAAAAAAGAAATAGATAAACTGAATTGTACTTTGATAAAGAAGTTGTATCTGTGAAATCCAGTTGAATCCATAATTTAAAGAAATTAAAACATTTCTTACAAAGACAACTTCAGGCCTGGATTGTTTTATTTTAAAGTTTTTCAACGTTTAACCAGCATGGCACATGTATACATATGTAACTAACCTGCACAATGTGCACATGTACCCTAAAACTTAAAGTATAATAATAAAAGAAAAAAAACTTAAAAAAAAGAAATAATTAATCTTAATCTTACACAAACTCAGATTATTGAAAAAGCTTTCTATTTATGAATACAGTAAAAGCTTGCTAACAAAACCTGAAAAGAGAGTGTAAAAAAGAGAAATAGTCCGGGCGCGGTGGCTCACACCTGTAATCCAGCATTTTGGGAGGCCAAGGAGGGTGGATCATGAGGTCAGGAGATGGAGACTATCCTGGCTAACACGGTGAAACCCCGTCTCTACTAAAAACACAAAAACAAAATTAGCCAGGCGTGATGACGGGAGTCTGTAGTCCTAGCTACTCAGGAACCTGAGGCGGGAGAATGGCGTGAACCCAGTGGCAGAGCTTGCAGTGAGCAGAGATCGTGCCATTGCACTCCAGCCTGGGTGACAGAGTGAGACTCCGTCTCAAAATAAAAAAATAAAAATAAAATAAAAGAGAGAGAGAGAGAGAAATAACAGGGCATTAGCTCTTATACATGTAAATTTATAAGTCTTTAGAATATATGGATATTGAGTCTGACTGTATATAAAAACATACCTTATGTCTAAATTGGCTTTACTCTAGAACGAAATGTCACTTTAAAATTCAAAAATACCTCATCTTAATCTTTTCCAGAAAAAAATAAAAAACAAAAATAGATTTATGTAAATAATAAAATTTATTGATAAAAAGAGGAAAATGATATGATAATTGCAATAGCTGCAGGAAAAGCACTTGATAAAATTTAACAACATTTCATGATAAAGTTTCTCATAACTAGAAATACAACTGTCTTATTTGACAAAATGTGTCTACTACTATCACTTTATTAAACTTATTACTGGAGGTTCTAGACAGTGCAAAACAAGCAAGTGTGTGTGTGTGTTTGTGTTTGTGTGCATGCACATACATATAACGTAAACCTAGCATTATTTACAGACTAATAGGATTATGTACATTGAATATACAAAATAATACATAAAACTATTAGAATTAATGTGAATTTTAGAAAGATAACTTGATATAAAATCAAAATGAAAATATTGTATTTCTATATAAAAATAAACAATTGAAAATTTAAAGTAAACAAGCCACATACAATAGCATAAATCTAATAAATAATGAGGAAGACTTCTGCATAAATAATTACCAAACATTGATGAGAGAAACTAAAGAGAACCAAACAAATAGAGTCAGATACTGTGTTCATGGATTGGAAAATGCAATACTGTTAAGGTTTCAATTCCTCCCCAAAAGATTTAAGGATTTAATGCAATTCCAGGACATTCTTTTGGTGGAAATTAACAACCTGATTCTAAAACTAATAGGTGAAAGTGCATCTCTACATCCCGCCTCAAAGATGTAAAATATCAAAGGCTACCTTGAAAAAAGAATATGTAAGTTCATAAAAATAAGAAAGAAAGAAGTAAAACTGTCTCTATTTTCAGATTATATGATTGCTTACATAACAATTATAGAAAATACAAAAAACAACTACTAGAAGTAATACGTGAAGTTAGCAGGGCAAAAGAAAAAAGCTAATTTGCAAAAGTCAGCAAAAATATCCAGTATCTGCACAGAAATATCAATTTTATCTTATTATTAGATGGAATAGTCTGTGCCTGAATGGCAAAGCTGGGCTATCAAAGTATGTACACTCAAAAATACACTTTTAAGAAGGAACATGATCTAAAAGAGAAAGTGCATCCATTCAGCCTTGTAGAAAGTGTAGGATTGGGTGGAGCCAAGATGGCCGAACAAGAACAGCTCCAGTCTACAGCTCCCAGCGTGAGCGAGGCAGAAGACGGGTGATTTCTGCATTTCCAACTGAGGTACCAGGTTCATCTCACTGGGGAGTGCCAGACAGTGGGTGCAGGACAGTGGGTGCAGCGCACCGTGCGTGAGCTGAAGCAGGGCGAGGCATTGCCTCACCCGGGAAGCACAAGGGGTCAGGGAATTCCCTTTCCTAGTCAAAGAAAGGGGTGACAGATTGCACCTGGAAAATTGGGTCACTCCCACCCTAATACTGCGCTTTTCCAATGGGCTTAACAAACGGCACACCAGGAGATTATATCCCGCACATGGCTCAGAGGGTCCTACGCCCACAGAGCCTCGCTCATTGCTAGCACAGCAGTCTGACATCAAACTGCAAGGCGGCAGTGAGGCTGGGGGTGGGGGGGTGCCCGCCATTGCTGAGGCTTGAGTAGGTAAACAAAGTGGCCGGGAAGCTCGAACTGGGTAGAGCCCACCACAGCTCAAGGAGGCCTGACTGCCTCTGTAGACTCCACCTCTGGAGGCAGGGCACAGACAAACAAAAGGCAGCAGTAACCTCTGCAGACTTAAATGTCCCTGTCTGACAGCTTTGAAGAGAGTAGTGGTTCTCCCAGCACGCAGCTTGAGATCTGAGAACTGACAGACTGCCTCCTCAAGTGGGTCCCTGACCCCTGAGTAGCCTAACTGGGAGGCATCCCCCAGTAGAGGCGGACTGACACCTCACACGGCCGGGTACTCCTCTGAGACAAAACTTCCAGAGGAACGATCAGGCAGCAGCATTTGCAGTACACCAATATCTGCTGTTCTGCAGCCACTGCTGCTGATACCCAGGCAAACAGGGTCTGGGGTGGACCTCCAGCAAACTCCAACAGACCTGCAGCTGAGGGTCCTGACTGTTAGAAGGAAAACTAACAAACAGAAAGGACATCCACACCAAAATCCCATCTGTACATCACCATCATCAAAGACCAAAGGTAGATAAAACCACAAAGATGGGGAAAAAACAAAGCAGATAAACTGGAAACTCTAAAAATCAGAGTGTCTCTCCTCCTCCAAAGGAACGCAGCTCCTCACCAGCAACGGAACAAAGCTGGATGGAGAATGACTTTGATGAGTTGAGAGAAGAAGGCTTCAGAAGATCAAACTACTCTGAGCTAAAGGAGGAAGTTCAAACCAATGGCAAAGAAGTTAAAAACCGTGAAAAAAAATTAGACGAATGGATAACCAAAATAACCAATGCAGAGAAGTCCTTAAAGGACCTGATGGATCTGAAAACCAAGGCACGAGAACTATGTGACGAATGCACAAGCCACAGTAGCTGATGCAATCAACTGGAAGAACGGGTATCAGCAATGGAAGATGAAATGAGTGAAATGAAGTAAGAAGAGAAGTTTAGAGAAAAAAGAATAAAAAGAAACAAACAAAGCCTCCAAGAAATATGGGACTAAGTGAAAAGACCAAATCTGCGTCTGATTGGTGTACCTGAAAATGACGGGGAGAATGGAACCAAGTTGGAAAACACGCTGCAGGATATTATCCAGGAGAACTTCCCCAATCTAGCAAGGCAGGCCAACATTCAAATTCAGGAAATACAGAGAACGCCACAAAAATACTCCTTGAGAAGAGCAACTCCAAGACACATAATTGTCAGATTCACCAAAGTTGAAATGATGGAAAAAATGTTAAGGGCAGCCAGAGAGAAAGGTCAGGTTACCCACAAAGGGAAGCCCATCAGACTAACAGTGGATCTATCGGCAGAAACTCTACAAGCCAGAAAAGAGTGGGGGCCCATATTCAACATTCTTAAAGAAAAGAATTTTCAACCCAGAATTTCATATCCAGCCAAACTAAGCTTCATAAGTGGAGGAGAAATAAAATACTATACAGACAAGCAAACGCTGAAAGATTTTGTCACCACCAGGCCTGCCCTAAAAGAGATCCTGAAGGAAGCACTAAACATGGAAAGGAACAACCAGTACCAGCCACTGCAAAAACATGCCAAATTGTAAAGACCATCAAGGCTAGGAAGAAACTGCATCAACTAATGAGCAAAATAACCAGCTAACATCATAATGACAGGATCGAATTCACACATAACAATATTAACCTTAAATGTAAATGGGCTAAATGCCCCAATTAAAAGACACAGACTGGCAAAATGGATAGTCAAGACAAATCAGTGTGTTGTATTCAGGAAACCCATCTCACATGAAGAGACACACATGGGCTCAAAATAAAGGGATGGAGGAAGATCTACCAAGCAAATGGAAAACAAAAAAAGGCAGGTGTTGCAATCCTAGTCTCGGATAAAACAGACTTTAAACCAACAAAGATCAAAAGAGACAAAGAAGGCCATTACATAATGGTAAAGGGATCAATTCAATAAGAAGAGCTAACTATCCTAAATATATATGCACCCAATACAGGAGCACCCAGATTCATAAAGCAAGTCCTGAGTGACCTACAAAGAGACTTAGACTCCCACACAATAATAATGGGAGACTTCAACACCCCACTGTCAACATTAGACAGATCAACAAGACAGAAAGTTAACAAGGATATCCATGGATTGAACTCAGCTCTGCACCAAGTGGACCTAATAGACATCTACAGAAGTCTCCACCCCAAATCAACAGAATATACATTCTTTTCAGCACCACACCACACCTATTCCAAAATTGACCACATAGTTGGAAGTAAAGCTCTCCTCAGCAAATGTAAAGAACAGAAATTATAACAAACTGTCTCTCAGACCACAGTGCAATCAAACTAGAACTCAGGATTAAGAAACTCACTCAAAACTGCTCAACTACATGGAAACTGAACAACCTGCTCCTGAATGACTACTGGGTACATAACAAAATGAAGGCAGAAATAAAGATGTTCTTTGAATCCAACGAGAACAAACACACAACATACCAGAATCTCTGGGACACATTTAAAACAGTGTGTAGAGGGAAATTTATAGCTCTAAATGCCCACAAGAGAGAGCAGGAAAGATCTAAAATTGACCCCCTAACATCACAATTCAAAGAACTAGAGAAGCAAGAGCAAACACATTCAAAAGCTAGCAGAAGGCAAGAAATAACTAAGATCAGAGCAGAACTGAAGGAGACAGAGACACAAAAAACCCTTCAAAAAAATCAATGAATCCAGGAGCTGGCTCTTTGAAAAGATCAACAAAATTGATAGACTGCTAGCAAGACTAATAAAGAAGAAAAGAGAGAAGAATCAAATAGACGCAATAAAAAATGACGGGATATCACCACCGATCCCACAGAAATACAAACTACCATCAGAGAATACTATAAACACCTCTACACAAATAAACTAGAAAATCTAGAAGAAATGGATAAATTCCTCCACACATACACCGTCCCAAGACTAAACCAGGAATTTGAATCTCTGAATAGACCAATAACAGGCTCTGAAATTGAGGCAATAATTAATAGCTTACCAACCAAAAAGAGTCCAGGACCACATGGATTCACAGCCAAATTCTACCAGAGATACGAGGAGGAGCTGGTACCTTTACTTCTGAAACTATTCCAATCAATAGAAAAAGAGGGAATCCTCCCTAACTCATTTTATGAGGCCAGCATCATCCTGATACCAAAGCCTGGCAGAGACACAACAAAAAAAGAGAATTTTAGACCAATATCCTTGATGAACATTGATGCAAAAATCCTCAATAAAATACTGGCAAACCGAATCCAGCAGTACATCAAAAAGCTTATCCGCCATGATCAAGTGGGCTTCATCTCTGGGATGCAAGGCTGGTTCAACATACAAAAATCAATAAACGTAATCCAGCATATAAACAGAACCAAAGACAAAAACTACATGATTATCTCAATAGATGCAGAAAAGGCCTTTGACAAAATTCAACAACCCTTCATGCTGAAAACTCTCAATAAATTAGGTATTGATGGGACACATCTCAAAATAAGAGCTATCTATGACAAACCCACAGCCAATATCATACTGAATGGACAAAAACTGGAAGCATTCCCTTTGAAAACTGGCACAAGACAGGGATGCCCTCTCTCACCACTCCTATTCAACATAGTGTTGGAAGTTCTGGCCAGGGCAATCAGGCAGGAGAAGGAAATAAAGGGCATTGAATTAGGAAGTCAAATTGTCCCTGTTTGCAGATGACATGTGTATATATCTAGAAAACCCCATCGTCTCAGCCTAAAATCTCCTTAAGCTGATAAGCAACTTCAGCAAAGTCTCAGGATACAAAATCAATGTGCGAAAATCACAAGCATTCTTATACACGAATAACAGACAAACAGAGAGCCAAATCATGAGTGAACTCCCATTCACAATTGCTGAAAAGAGAATAAAATACCTAGGAATCCAACTTACAAGGGAGGTGAAGGACCTCTTCAAGGAGAACTACAAACCACTGCTCAAGGAAATAAAAGAGGATACAAACAAATGGAAGAACATTCCATGCTCATGGGTAGGAAGAATCAATATCATGAAAATGGCCATACTGCCCAAGGTAATTTATAGATTCAATGCCATCCCCATCAAGCTACCAATGACTTTCCTCACAGAATTGGATAAAACTACTTTAAAGTTCATATGAAACCAAAAAGAGCCTGCATTGCCAAGTCAATCCTAAGCCAAAAGAACAAAGCTGGAGGCATCACGCTACCTGACTGCAAACTATACTACAAGGCTACAGTAACCAAAACAGCATGGTACTGGTACCAAAACAGAGATATAGACCAATGGAACAGAACAGAGCCCTCAGAAATAATGCCGCATATCTACAACTATCTGATCTTTGACAAACCTGACAAAAACAAGAAATGGGGAAAGGATTCCCTATTTAATAAATGGTGCTGGGAAAACTGGCTAGCCATATGGAGAAACCTGAAACTGGATCCCTTCCTTACACCTTATACAAAAATTAATTCAAGATGGATTAAAGACTTAAATGTTAGACCTGAAACCATAAAAACCCTAGAAGAAAACCTAGGCAATACCATTCAGGACATAGGCATGGGCAAGGACTTCATGTCTAAAACACCAAAAGCAATGGCAACAAAAGCCAAAATTGACAAATGGGATCTAATTAAACTAAAGAGCTTCTGCACAGCAAAAGAAACTACCATCAGAGTGAACAGGCAACCTACAAAATGGGAGAAAATGTTTACAACCTACTCATCTGACAAAGGGCTAATATCCAGAATCTACAATGAACTCAAACAAATTTACAAGAAAAAAACAACCCCATCAAAAAGTGGGCAAAGGATATGAACAGACACTTCTCAAAAGAAGACATTTATGCAGCCAACAGACACATGAAAAAATGCTCATCATCACTGGCCATCAGAGAAATGCAAATCAAAACCACAATGAGATATGATCTCACACCAGTTAGAATGGCAATCATTAAAAAGTCAGGAAACAACAGGTGCTGGAGAGGATGTGGAGAAATAGGAACCCTTTTACACTGTTGGTGGGACTGTAAACTAGTTCAACCATTGTGAAAGTCAGTGTGGCGATTCCTCAGGGATATAGAACTAGAGATACCATATGACCCAGCCATCCCATTACTGGGTATATACCCAAACGATTACAAATCATGCTGCTATAAAGACACATGCACACGTATGTTTATTGCATCACTATTCACAATAGCAAAGACTTGGAACCAACCCAAATGTCCAACAATGATAGACTGGATTAAGAAAATGTGGCACATATACACCATGGAATACTATGCAGCCATAAAAAAATGATGAGCTCATGTCCTTTGTAGGGACATGGATAAAACTGGAAACCATCATTCTCAGCAAACTATCGCAAGGACAAAAAACCAAACACCACTTGTTCTCACTCATAGGTGGGAATTGAACAATGAGAACACATGGACACAGGAAGGGGAACATCACACACCAGGGACTGCTGTGGTGTGGGGGGAGCGGGGAGGGATAGCATTAGGAGATATACCTCATGCTAAATGATGAGTAAATGGGTGCAGCACACCAACATGGCACATGTATACATATGTAACAAACCTGCACGTTGTGCACATGTACCCTAAAATTTAAAGTACAATAATAATAAAATTAAAAAAAAATAAAAGAAAAGCTACTCCTGCTTGCTTCTGGTTGCATTTGCGTTGAATGTCTCTTTCTACCCCTTTACCTTAAGTTTATGTGAGTCCTTATGTGTCAGTTGAGTCTCATGGAGGGAGCAGATAGTTGCTTTATGAATTCTTATCCATTCTTTAATTCTGTATCTTTTAAGTGGAGCATTTAGGCCATTTATATTCAATGTTAGTATCGAGATATGAGGTACCATTCCATTCATTGTGCTATTTCTTGCCTGTATACCTTGTTTTTTAGTTGTTGTTGTTTGTTTGTTGTTGTTGTTGTATAGGTCCTGTAATATTTACTCTTTAAAGAGGCTCTGTTTTAATGTTGTTCCAGAATTTCTTTCAACATTTATAGCTCCTTTTAGCAGTTCCTGTAGTGCTGGCTTGGTAGTGCCAAATTCTCTCAGCATTTGTTTGTCTGAAAAAGACTGTATCTTTCCTCCATTTATGAAGCTTAGTTTCGGTGGATACAAATTCTTGGCTGATAATTATTTTGTTTAAGGAGGCTGAAGACAGGGCCAAAATCCCTTCTAGTCTATAGAGTTTCTGCTGAGAAATCTGCTGTTAATCTGATAGGTTTTCCTTTATAGGTTAAGTCATCCTTTTACCTCACAGCTCTTAAGATTCTTTCCCTCATCTTAACTTTAGATAACCTGATGACAATATGCCTAGGCAATGACTTTTTGCAATGTATTTCCCAGGTGTTCTTTGAACTTGTATTTGGATGTCTAGGTCTCTAGCAAGGCCGGGAAGTTTTCCTTGATTATTCCCCAAAATATGTTTTCCAAACTTAGATTTCTCTTCTTCCTCAAGAAGGCTGATAATTCTTAGTTTGGTTGTTTAACATAATCCCAGATTTCTTGCAGGCTTTGCTTGTATTTTCTTATTCTTTTTTCTTTGTCTTTGTTGGTTTGGGTTAATTTGAAAACCTCGTCTTCGAGCTCTGAAGTTCTTTCTTTTGCTTGTTGGAATCTATTGCTGAGACTTTCCAGAGCATTTTGCATTTCTATAAGTGCACCCATTTTTTCCTGAAGTTTTGATTGTTATTTATGCTATCTATTTAATTGAAAATTTCTCCCCTCATTTCTTGTATCATTTTATCTTTTTTTTTTCACTTCCTTAAATTGGGCTTTGCCTTTTTTGGTACCTCCTTGATTAGCTTAATAACTAACCTTCTGAATTCTTTTCCACGTAAATCAGGGATTTCTTCTTCATTTGGATCCATTGCTGGTGAGCTAGTGAGATTTTGGGGGGGTGTTAAAAAACCTTGTTTTGTCATATTACCAGAGTTGGCTTTCTGGTTCCTTCTCCTTTGGGTAGGCTCTGTCAGAGGGAAAGTCTAGGGCTCAAGGCTGTTGTTCAGATTCTTTTGTCCCACGGGGTGTTCCCTTGATGTAGTACTCTCCCACTTTTCCCAGGGATGTGGCTTCCTGAGGGCAGAGCTGTAGTGATTTTTATCCCTGATTTTTATCCCATGCAGGTTGTCAGGGAAGTTGAAGTCACAGGCCTCACCCAGCTCCCACATAACCCGAAGGGCTGGTCTCACTCCCACCATAGCCCCTACAACAGCACTGAGTCTGTTTCAAGGCAGTGGGTGAGCAGGGCTGAGAATTTGCCCCAGGCTACCAGCCTCCCAGCTGCAAAAGCAAGTAGGGCTTTGGTACTTCCCCACCTGTGGAGTCTGCACACTGGATTCATGCCCTCCCCCAGGTTCTGGCCAGGAGACTTCTCAATCTGTTCAAATTGTTACAAAGTTCAGCTGGAAGTTTCCTTCTCTTTGTGACCATTTCCCAGTGCCTCTGGTAGCCCTCCTCAAGGACCCCTGAGAGGCAAGGCAGAAATGGATAGCTAGGGAACCCTGTGAGCCCACAGGGCTTTTCGCGCTGCTTTCTCTAGCAGTGTATGTCACTTGGCTCTCTAAATTGACTCAGCTCCAAGTAAGGTCAAAATCTTCTCCTGTGATCTAGACCTTTAGGTTCCCCAGTGAGGATGTGTGTTCAGGAGCTGACTATTCCCCTTTCCCACTTCCACAGTTTGCAGTTTGGGCTCCCACAGCATTTGGGGTGTCTCCTGAGACCTGCAGGAGCAATTCACTTCCTTCAGAGGGTCTGTGGGTTCTCTCAGCTTTCCTGATTTATTCCTGCAGTCAAAGTTCATGATACAAGCCTCCACACGCTGCTTTGTCTGTCCAAGTGGGAGCTGCAATCCAGTCCTGCCTCCCATCCACCATGATCTCTGGAATACATCTGAAATGTTCTATGTCTTGATTTGAGTGACAGTTTCACACATATACTCATGTATGTGTGTGTGTGTATATGTGTGTGTATATATATATATGAGTTATACACTTACAGTTTGTGAGTGTTACATTTTAATAAAAATAAATCTTAGAAATGACTACATATTTGTTCCTTTTCTTTTATCAATATACTTCCGCTAGTATTCATATAGAGAAACAGGGCTAAATTCATGTTTACAAAGGTAAACGGCAGAATGAATTGATATCCTAGACATTGAAAAGAACAAATGTGAGATTAAAATTTCAAACAGTTTTGAAAACTACTACATTGTGTACTCTTGCACTATCTCTCTCTTTCTTGATATCAGACCATTGCTCATGCTGCTTTCTCTGCTTAAAATGTTCTTAATTCTCCCGTGACTTGTCTACTCATCCTTTAGGTCTCATTGCTTGCTCTGGAAAACCTTTCCAGAACCCCAAGTCTGAGTTAGGTACCCCTCTTATGTACTCTTATAACACCCTTTGCTTACTACTATCATCCACTTGACACTCCATAATGCAGTTGCCTTCTTAATTTGTTTCCCAATTAAGCTGTCAGTTCCTGAAGGGAAACTTGAGTTACTGAAGGTTGTATCTTCCACACTTGGCACAGTGCCCAGTAGGTGCTCACAAATCATGTGTTGAATTATTATTTGGATGTAGAACAAGCTGGACCTATCAATTCTCAGCAGAAAGATCATGTATGATTCCTGATTCCAGCAGTATAGCACAATGGACTTAGAGGCAACTGGGAACAGTTAATCACTGTCTACGTCACCATTGTAGTGATGAGAGTTTCTCACTTCTGGGGTTTCTTCAACACACATCACATCTCATTATAATTTTAAAGAAAGGAAACTGAAAATTGGATTAAAGAAATCTCATCACTAGAAGGTGTTGAAGAAGACTCCTAAATAAATTAGATTTCCAAACCCAAATGCCAAAAGCTTAGAAAGAGTATAAATGCATGTGATGGATTGCGTTTTTGCTCCCAATTATTAGGGCCCTTCCTGTAAGTGTTTTATATATCCTCACCATTGAACTATGACTTGCAGGACTTCCATTTGGAAGAATTATATTTACTTGTCCCATTGAGGTCAGCTTGGCCACTGATTTACTTTGGTTAATAGAATGTGAGAAAAAAAAATAACACATACCATGTCTGAGAGGAAGCATTAAAAGCCATTCCTTATTTGGCCTTTTTCCCCCAGTTTGCAACAAGAACAGCATATTCCAAACGGAGGTGGCTCCTTCAGTCTTGATCCTGGAACTTGTCACCATCATAGACCAAATGTAATGTGAGCAGGAAATGAACCAGTGTTGCTGCAAGACACTGAGATTTTGAGGCCTTACCACAGTAAAACCTAATCTAAGAAATGGAAGCAAGCATCAGGTGGAGCACTTACCAGACTCAAGAAAGCCTATTTGTCCCAAGAGACAGCCAGTCCTTAGCTCTCATGGATTGTCACAATGTAGACCTGCATGCTAACTCTTGCCAGATCTTCCTGTAAGAGGAGCCAAATTTTTAATTAAATCAATTCCTGATTTTAATTAAAATATACCTTCTTTTTAAATGTTGGCAGCTAAATCCATACGTTTAAAAAACACTTAGGGCAAATCAAATCAGGTAATACACCCATAATCTCTTTTCCATTCCATAGTTTGCTCATATATAAAATAAGAATGCTAATATCTGTTCTGTCTCTCTAACAGGGTTATTTTGAGCGTTAGATTTATCTTACCTTGTAGTTGTTTTTTTATTTAAAAAAATTTTGAAATGATAAACTAACAAAGGTCAGGGAAAGTTCTTAGATTACTCTGGCAAAGCAGGCTGGACAATTCTAAGGCAACGAGGTACCACGGAGGCTAGTAGTATAAACCACTGTGCCTCCACTTTCCTGCCCCTCCCCTGTTCTCCACTCCTCCATGCAAAACATGAAAAGCACACTTCTCCACTGGCAGATCAGACTAGCATGCAACCATCTTCAGGAATAATCTAAGCCTGAAATAGTTGAGAGGTAAGTAATTGACAAAAATGAATGGTTCTCTGTCATGAAACAAGCAAGGTATAAGTTTGTGTTGATCGATCCAAGTTGCCTTTCCTAGATTATAACATTGAACTTCATCCTTCTTAACTACGTCATAGAAATGACTCAGGCAATTCAAAAAATAGCCTAAAGACATGTAGTATCAAGAAAATTGGATAAGTTTTTTATGTTTGATCAAATGCCTCAAAAGTACTTGTTTTATTTTATGCAAAGAGTCAAAATTCTTAAAAGATGTGGATTTATCTAATAATTTGCATGATATAGCTCATAGGTAGAATTTTATGATAATTCTGAATGTGTACTTCAGTAAAAATATTTTTGAAAAAATTAAAGAAGATTAGGGAATGCCTGAAAAAGAAATATGTAATCTGACGTATATTTTTTTCTGTTGCATTTTCAGGGCTCACATTTTTTCCTTCCATTGTGCAGATACGCCACTAGAGGGCACTATATGGCTCTGCTTCCTCACACCTTGTGTGAGGTGCTGAATCTGACCTCTGATTTCCTCATTGAGAACCCTCCAGGTTTTGACTTACTTTAATAGGGCCAGGTACTCTATAGGGCATTGTGCCAGATGCTGGAAACAGAACAACAGAGACAGGACCCACAAATACAAAGCAACAGATTGTTCACAACAACCTGAGACAGGTGTTAATAAACAGGCATGTGTAAGCACTACAGGAGTTTAGAGAATTGCTAACGATGTGATTCTGCAGGAAAGGAAAGTGGGAGGTCATGGAAGAGAAAGCACTCTCAGACTCTGACCAGTCCAGGCTGAAGGAGGTATGAAAGCTGAATTTTAGGCTGAGTTTCCTTTTCGTTTTCCCCTTCCTGCCTTAGCAATGGACCTCCATACTGGAGGGAACCTGAAGCTAGGACATGACATAGGTTACCCGCAGGATATATAAAAAATGATCAGCCTATACACCCAGGACTGCCTGTGAGAAGTTGCTTTCCTCTGCACTGCAATATTTATTTGTCATTTATTGATTTGAGAAATATTTATTGTCAAGTGTGCCCCAAGCACTCATTGGTAAATAAAATAGTCATAGGGTGTGCCCACTTAAAAACTGTAGTCCAGTAGAGACACAATGATTGCAATGTAGTGTAATAAGTCCTATGATAAGAGAAGAAGATGAAACCACACAAGTATAGAGCAGGGGCACCTGACAAAGACAGGAAGTCAGGGAAGGCTTTGTGGAGGAAGTACTATTCAATTGAGACCCCAAGCAGAATTGGAGGCCACTTAAAAGAGTAGGTGTATTCCAGGTGAAGATAGCACAACCCAGGAAAAAAAGAATCCAATAGGATTTTATTTGTGTATATACAATTTTCAGATCTTGCTGTTTTCCACTTATCCATTTTATCCTGAGTCTCCATATCTTTATTTTTGAAAACATGATTTTAATAGTTGCTCTAATAGTCCATCGTAAGAATAGTGACATTTATTTACCCATTTTCAGAAATAGCATTTTTAAGACTCATGCTAATCGCTCTCCCTTTGTCAATATAAAATTGTGTGAAATAATTCTTACTGCTTATATGAATATCAACAACATTTCCTTTACTTGGCTGACTCTTGAGCACAATTCCTGCAACTCAACCTGATATCCAGCCATAACAAACACTGAATTTATAGAAGGTATTAATTTATTATGTATTGTTTAATTTTAACTTTTTAATAAAATTTGCTGCAGTTGTTTTACATGAATTGGCAGGGCCTTAAGAGGCATTCTGGATTCTTGTCCTGCTGCTCAGATTACCCCCTCTGTGTCATTCATTCTTCCATCCTCCCCAAGTCTGCATCTCCGCTGCCTCCATCCACTAGTCCCTCATTCTCAGGCTCCTCCCTCTCTGGGATGCTCTGCTGATACTTATCTCCATCTTTCTCCAGTAAATAATTTTTTTTCTCTGTCGCCCAGTTTCCTGAAGCTGCAAACATTAGCTTCATAAATGATTTTTTTAAACCACACTTTGGGTAAATATGTATGTATGTTATATGTGGCAAATTGCTCACATAGCAAATTGATTTTCTGGGTCAGGCAGGAAAGACTTTCACAAAAATCTTACAGGAAGTAAGATGATTTAGATGGAGTATCCAGTCACCTTCTGTTGAACCATTTCAGACCTAATTTATATTTTTTGTTCTGTCTGCCTTTAAAATTGAGCTTCCTCGCATTTTCATACCTTTCATTTTAACCTACTTTACTCATAAGGTTTTTGGTTTGTTGGGTTTTGTTTCTGACTGTTTGCATTTATTGTCTTGGTATTCATTTATGCTTACTTAGCAAGGTATATTTCAGACAGAAACAGCTCACTGGTTTCATAGCTGCGCAGTACTAGCTCTTCAGTTCAAACTCTCTTTTCACTGAAAGATCTGTTGCATCTCATGTCTCTTACATTGCTGTGTGGCTCACCATGAGTTTGGGAGTCTTTCAGAACCTCAGAACACTCAAATGATTTAAATTTCTCAAATACATTCATTTCACATATAGGAAGTCACTTTCATTTGGACCACTGGGTCTTGACATTAGAAATGAGAAGGTCCATGGCTCCACAACAGCTACCTCAGCCTGGCACGTGCCCTGGCCTCAGAGATTCACAGTCCAGTTCTTTGTCCAGTTGGGTGGCTCCTGTCTACCACCTTACCATGCCCACTTAACTGATGCAAAGTTAATATCACAAGTAGCAACCTGTTCCTTGCAGTGAAAATTTTACTTACCACTTTCATAGCCCCAAGATATCCATGTATCTTTATTAACAGGCGCTTAACAACTTGCATCATTTAAAATGCCTCCCCTGCCTATCAGCTGATGATGGCCGCAGGAAGGTGGGCCTGGAAGATAACAGCTAGCAGGCTAAGGTCAGACACTGACACTTGCAGTTGTCTTTGGTAGTTTTTTTGCACTAACTTCAGGAACCAGCTCATGATCTCAGGATGTATGGAAAAATAATCTTTGTATTACTATTGTCAGGTAAGTGATTTTATTTCATCTTGGTTCTGTTATATTGGGTATGAGATCATAGAATAAAATATGAACTACCCTATTTTAGTTCTATCTTATTTAAATCAATAAATGAGTAGTATTTCCTCTTCCAGTCTGGTGGATGGATTTTACTGGAACTCAGCTACCAATGTGGGGGAAATGGCACAAGGGAGCCCAGTATTTATGGCCAAATCCAGTTTTCTAGTATGAGAAGCTTACTTCAATTCTAAGTCTAGCTAGAATTAAAATAATTTTATCAAATGCTATGAGAAATACCTCTCTGTGAATAAATGTATTGCTTTGTTTGAGTTATAAGGAGATTCATTTCCAAACTAAAGAGTTATTAACGAAGATGTTGGTAGCTATATGGCTTTTAGTTTTCAAAAGGTATAATTTCCTATTTCTGCCAAATGGCGAGAAGCCAAAAGCATGAACACTGAAACCGTGGGGAGTTGTTCGCTTCTCTGTGGGTCCATTACTAAAGTGTCACATAGGAAGAAAAAAAACAAAAACAACTCTTACTGGCTTAGGTATCCTGTGAATTTTAGGAGAAATTTAAATCCATTAAAATAAAGAAATATCATAGGGTTATTATTAAATTGTATTAATTCAATAATTTGAATTTAACTTAGTTTAAATTTAATTATTAATTTAGTGTCTTAAATTAACATGATTTTGGCCTCTTTCTGAGAATATTATAGTTAAACATCCTCTCAAGTGCAGTGCTTATGTGTTAGCAATACTAGTGCCCAGCACACAGCGGGCAGGCAGTTGCTTGAAACATTCTGAGTCTATTAGACATTGCTGTATCCCAAGTGAGAGCAAGTATCAAGGAGCTACTGAGCACTCTGTAGCACACAGGGAGGAGAGATCAGCATTTTCTAAGATACCCTAGGGGAGGATAAAATAGTGCAATAGTTAAGAGCACAGGCATGAGGAACAGACAGAACTGGGTTCAAATCTACTTTTACTTCTCAAGGCTGGGGAACATTAAGGCAAATTATGTGCCCACATTTTTATGTGTCCTCGTCTTTAAAATGCAGGCAGTGTTGGTACTTACCTCATAATAATTGCATAAAGATTAAACAAAATATTTAATGGAATACACTTACTGATGCCTGAAACAAAGTAAAATGTTAAGATTACTATGCATTTTCTGTGATTAGAATTAACTATCATGATTAAAAAGTATTAATAATATATTATTAAAATAAGCAGTAGCTATCAATAGTTACAGACTAGGGAACAAACCTACGTATGTGATTGGTGATTTCTGAAAAGTCAGAGAGAAAAGAAAATTACAGAAAGAAAACAGAAAACAAACATAGCTACTCTAATTTTTTAAGCAGAAAAGTATGAAAACATTTAGTTTGAAGAAAAGAAAACAAATGAAAGGGATGTAGTGTAATATTTGTATATATATTCATATATTTGAAGTGCTATTACACAGAAAAAAAGATGTATTCTTTGTGTTGCTCCATGGGGCAAACCAAACTGGATGTAACTCAAGCAAAATTAGACACTGCATACTCTACTGGGGGTGTGCCCAGCATTTGGGAAAACTCTGTGTGACTTACAAGTGCCCCAAATTTGGAAAGGGTTCCTGGCAAAGAAATGATTTTTTTTTTAAATTTCTACAACTACACAAGCAGATAGTGTATTAAAGCCTTAAATGGCACTTGGTCACTGGGGCAAGATGACCCTGAAAGCTACAATGGTCTCCAGTACCCAAGCTGTTATCATCTTTGTAGCTTCAGAAACCCTCCAAGGAAACTCTCTTGATGTGGCTACTTTATAGTATAACAGAAAGGTGTAAGATCAAGTTTTTCCCCCATACTGATTAGCTGAAGAGTAAACATGGTGAAGTCTTTTTCTTTTTCTTTTATGTTGCTATAAAAAAAAAGATGATTGCCTTGCTTTCTCCAGGAATCTTAAGAATAAAGCCAATATTTCTAATTCTAAACTTACCAGAGATCTCCTTCCAAATGGAGAATCCATTTTTTCTAATATGACTTGATTCCCAGTCCCTGAATTCCTGCACTCATTTGATGATTCAGTCATTACATGTCAGATTGTGAACCAGACACTGAGCCCACAGCAGGAAGAAAAATGGGCTCCCATGGAGGATACACGGAGGGTAGGCGCAGTGGATGATGGGAGGGAACGCAGATAATAAATGGAACAACAACTATCTTATTAAAATAAGATAAAAACAGTCAAAACTAATACAAAGCATATAAAACCAGGTAAGATGATAAACATGAATGCCGAAAGCTGCTTAAGAAAAGGGTAGCAGGGAGTTATTTTCTGAGTAGATGACATTTATGCTAAATGTGGAACAAGGAGACGGAGCCAACCCTGAAAATTCTGGGAAAAGAGGACAGAAGGCAGAGGGAAGAGCAAGAGCAAAAATTCTGAAACAGCAGGTAAGTTAGTGTTTTCAAGGAAAAGCTGGAGCTTTTATCTGAAAATCAGATTCTGAAGCTAAGAACCAATTTGAAAATACAATACAATATCACTTCGACTAGGAAATTATGGCATAAACCAGGAGTCTCCAAAAGCTTTTTGTGTTTACTTAAAAATTCATACAAAATTTGCATTCTAGGTCATAATATACTAATTTAATTGGAGGAAACAAAGGCACTGGTATGATATCATCATGCCTACTTTATTCATCCGTGTATCCCCAGAATCTAGCACAGTTCCCGATTGGTATTTATAGTAGCATATTGGTTGAATAAGCAAGGAAGGAGGTGAAGGGAGGGAGAAGGAGAGAGAAGCAGAGAGGGAGAGGAAGGAAGAAAGAAAAGGAAAAAGGGAAGGAAAGAAGAGAGGAGGGAGAGAGGGAGGGAGGCAAGAAGGGAGAAGAGAGAAGGGAAGGGAAGAGACAGGAGGAAGGGGAGGAGGAAAGGAAAGAGGAAATATTTGTTTTCATCTGGTTAGACACAGTGAGTGCTCCGCATAGACAGATCATTATTACCCTGTGCATCTGACTCATACCCCTGCAAGTACATCAGTCTGAGAAGCACATGTTAAGTGAAGAAACAAGGCATCTCTTTTTTTTTTTTTTTTCAGGGATCCAAGAAGAGAGCCTTGCTAGCTGCTATTTAATTGGCACAGGAAAGAGTTACAGGAACTGTATGCCAGGGAATACATGACTATAAATTCTTTAAAAGCAAAACCTGTGTCTTCGCTTATGTGTCCCACACATTGTCAGCCACATAGTAGGCAGTCAATATCAACTACTCAAAATGACAAATGACAAATGACCAGAATTCTGCGGCAGACTAGTTTAGCCATGAAAAATCATTTAACACCCGTGGGCCTCAGTTTTCTTGTGCCTATTCAATAAAGCGCCGAGTAGATGGTATCTACAAGCATTTTTCAACTGTAAACCCCAATGAATCCCCAAAATTCAGCCTGAGATGAGCTGGACTAGTTGCCAAACCTATAAATATCTTTAGCATGGTGTGAAATAGGGTTTTTAGAAAGAAACAGACACCCACTGTGAACTCCTTTGCAGAAAAGGTCTGAATAGAGGGGAAAGTAGGGATGGTATCTCAAACTTACTTTGTAGTGATTTTAAATTAGGAAATTTAGCTTCACATTCTTGTGATAAATTTCTTTTCACCTTGGTTTCTAGAAGATTATTCAAAACATCTGTGAGACTATTTGAGAAGTATACTTTTGGGGAATTTCCCCAAGTTATCTTTATAGATTATATTTTGACATCAACTGCAAATGTAATATCTTTTACTCAAAAAAAACCCAATCCTACTTACATGGTGCTGACAAAATCAGGCTGGACCTACATTTTTACATCATAGATTTCCAGCCATTATTATCATATCCACATCTTTAGTAAGTACCTATCTGTGTAGTTTTCTGTGATAAATGAACTAAACTAAAACTAAAGCAAAAATGTTGAAAAAAAATTCCAGGTTTATCTCTGAGTGTTGGGATTGCAAGGTTTTTTTTTCTCATTTTAAATACTTTCTAAATTTTCTGCAAAGAGAACCATATAATCTAATCAGGACAAGTTTTAATATATTTTAAAAAGTAAACCGAACAAACACAATCTCTGCTTTCTAAGAAGTCTTTAATTTTTGTACGTTGGTCATAGACTATGACTATACAATTTATTTGTGATATGTATTAAGAATTTCTGTCTAACCCAAATTATTATATGTAAGCACGGGAAAAATGATGTCATCTTTGTTTGTAGTGTACAAAGTTCTATAAACAGCTATTTGATCAACTTTGGTATTTCCATCCCTAGATTTATATACAGCAGGTTAGGTTCCATACAGAGGCAGGTTCTGAATAATAATAACCAACACTGATAATAGCACTTACTTTGTGCCGTGCACTGTTCTAAGCAATTTACATACACTTAATTTTTAAAATTGTAGTAAAATACACATAATATAAATTTACCATTTGAACCATTTTAAAGTGTACAATGGGTAGCATTTAATGCAGTCAAAATGATGCACACCCATCACCATTATGTAGCTCCAGAACATTTTCATCACTCCAAAAGGAAACCTCTTACCCATTAGCAGCCACTTCCAATTCCTCCAGCCCCTGGAAACCACTAATTTGTTTTCTACATCTACAGATATACCCATTGTAGATATTTCATATAAATGGAATCATATAATAGGTAGCCTTTTGTGTATGTCCTCTTTCACTTAAAATAATGTGTTTAAAGTTCATCCATATTGTAGCATGTATCAGTATTTCATTCCTTTTATAATTGTGTTGGTATATCTCATTTTGTTTATCCACCCATCATTTGATTAAAATTTGGGTTGGCATATCACATTTTGCTTATCGATCCATCATTTGATTAAAATTTGTGTTGTTTCCACCTTTTGGCTATTGTGAATAGTGCTGCTATAAATATTCCTGTACTAGTTTTGTTTGAACCCACTTTTAATACTCAAAGATGTATAGGGGTAGAATTGCTGGGTCATAGTAATTTTATGTTTAACTTACTAAGGAACTGCTCAACTCTTTTCCACAGGAGCTGCACCTTTTGACCTTTTCACCAGGGTGTATGAGGTGCCAATTTCTCCACAATCTTGCCAGAAATTGTACTTTTTCATTTTTTTAATTATAGCCATTTCAGAGGGTATGAAATGGTTTTTCACTGTGGTTTCTTGCATTTTCCTAATAACTAATGACGCTGAGAATCTTCTCATGTAATTGTTGGTAACTGCATTTTGCATATCTTTGGAGAAATGTTGGTACTAGTCCTTCACCCATTTTTCAATCTATTTTTCTTTTTGTGTTGCTAAGTTGTAAGAGTTCTTTCTATGTTCTGGATAAAGAGTCTTATCAGATATACTATTTGCAAATCTTTTCCTTCATTCTGTAGATTTTTGTTTTTACTTTTGATAGTGTCCTTTGATGCACAAATGTTTTTCATTTTCAAGTCCAATTTATTTTTTTTTCTTTTGCTGCTTACGCTTTTGATATCATATCTAAAAATAATTGCCAAATTTAAAGTCATAAAAATTTCTCCCTATGTTTTCTTCTAAGAGTTTTGTATTTCTTCTCTTATATTTAGATCTTTGGTTTATTATCAGTTAATTTTTCTATATGATGTATGATAAGAGTCCACCTTTATTATTTTGCAGCTGTCCCAGCACCATTTGTTGAAGAGACTATCCTTTGCCCATTGAATGGTCTTGACACCCTTCTTGAAAGTTAATTGGCCATGGATATATGAGTTTATTTCTGGAGTCTCAATTCTATCCTAAGAATATGTCTGTTCTTGGGGCAAAATCACACAGTTTTTATTGCTGTTACTTGGTTATACGTTTTTAATTCATGAAGTGTGATTCACCAAACTTTGTTCTTCAAGATTGTTTTGCCTATTTAGATCCCTAACAATTTCATAGAAATTTTAGGATTAGGTTTTCCATTCTTGCAAAAAAATAATTATGTGCATTTTAACTTAACCTGTTCAATAACTCTATAAGGTAGAGACTAATCCATGTATAATGATGGAACAAAAATATAGAGATTAAGTAAATTTTGCAAGGTCTCAGGTAGTTGCTAGAGGAATTAGTTTGAGCCTAGGCAGTTCCACTGCAGAATCTGTGCACTTAGAGAATATGTCATGTTGCCTGTACCATACCTAGTGATGTTCCAGGATTGGCTCCTTTACTCTTACAACATTGTCACTCAGTGTTCTGCCTGTGCTTTCACCAAGCTGAAGACTTTAATGAAGGTTGACGGTCTGTCTTCCTCACGTGGTGCAGCTAAGGAACTCTAACTGTGTGGCTGTTATGTTAGCCTTTTGCTCCTTTTTATATGGGCTATAGAAAATGTTTTTAAATCCTGGAGGCCTCCTTTTGATGTTATCACTTATTTCCCAGTCATCACTATATTTTTAAAAGCCAAAATAGAAGGAAATAAATACAAAACATAAAACATGAATAGTACAGCTATTTGAGGCAACTGAGAATAGAGATCATGGCACTGAAATTGCATTTTGCTAGGAAAAAGACCACAAAAGTTCTCCCCTTGCTACCTTTCCTGAACTATTCTGCTAGATTCAGACTTCAAAAACATTGTATCAGGAAATACAGAAATGTTCTTTCAAAATGAGTGTATGGGAATGTGGGAATGCCTAATAAAATCTGTCCTCATTGATTCGTTAGCAAAAATCATATAAATCAATACCTTGTGATTGCAAGCAGATATATTTCAGATCCTTTCTGTGTTTGTTTTTTTGCTTTCTTGATCTATCACAATTGGAGAAAACTTAAAATTTCTCAATGGTATTGTATTTTTGCCAATTTCTTATTCTGCTTTATGTTTCTCGTTGCTATATTATTGGGCTATAATGGTCCATAATTACTTAAGAATCACTGTGAAATATATTGCTTAATGACACAAGTAAATCTTTTTCATTGTTTGTAATGTCTTTGCTCTTAATTCTACTTTGCCTAAGATTAATACGGTTATTCCTGTTTAGTTTTATATGTATTTATTTATTTATTTTGAAGATGGAGTCTCGTTCTGTCGCCCAGGCTGGAGTGCAGTTGCATGATCTCGGCTCACTGCAACCTCTGCCTCCCGGGTTCAAGCAATTCTCCTGCCTCAGCCTCCCAAGTAGCTGAGAATACAGGCGCACACCATCGCGCCCAGTTAATTTTTTGTATTTTAGTAGAGACGGGGTTTCACTGTGTTGCCCATGCTGGTCTCCAACTCCTGAGCTCAGGCAATCCACCTGCCTCGGCCTCCCAAAGTGTTGGGATTACAGGCATGAGCCATTGCACCAGTCCTAACCTATCTCTTTTGACTCAATCTAAAAGTTTCTGTCTTTTAATACAAAACCACAATCCATATGCATTCATTAATTCACAACTGACATTTAGTATCTTATTTCTGTTATCCTATTTCATATTTTATGATTCCTTGTTTCTGCTCTTTTGATATATAAATTATGTTTTATTTGCCCTTATCCTTTCATGTGTTTCTAAAGTATATAGCCTACGTGTAATTGTCCCATTAGCTAACTTTATGTTTTTGAAAGCATTCTCTCTCAGAATTCCCATTTTAGTGGTGCAGCACACATAGAAAGTCTAAGTGCTTTCTGGAGCTAGATAAGCTGGATAAAGGTGTGCATGAGCCACTGGTCAATGGCTTGTGCAGGCGGTGAGTGCATTTCTGGTATTTCATATGCTATTGATCTGGCAGCCAGGTATTCAGATAGGGTATAACCAGGTTCATCAGGCTCAAAACATAATCAAGTATTATTGAGACATAGTTAATGTGCACTACAACTCACAGCACACAGGCTCACACACACACTTGTCTGAAATAAAATTCCACAAAATAATACCTTCCCTTATTCTGTGTGATGTACTTTGATATATTCTCTCCTGTTTTATACAACTTAATTTTTTTTAGAGAAAAGATTTTGCTCTGTGGCCTAAGCTGGACTGCAACGGCACAGTCATAGCTTACTTCAGTCTTGAACTGCTGGATTCAAGTGATTCTCCAGCTTCTGCCTCTCAAGTAGCTGAGACTTCAGGTGTGCTCAACCACACCTGACTAATTTTTTGGTTATTTAATTTGTAAATATGGGGTCTTGCTATGTTGCCCAGGCTGGTCTCGAGCTCCTGGCCTCAAGCGATCCTCCTGCCTTGGCCTCCCAAAGCACTGGGGTTACAGGCATGAGCCACCACACCTAGAATACAACTTAATTTTTTAGTGCCAGTGACAACCCACTGGACTGATTTCATAACCCATTAGTAGAGGAATGCACCATCTTGACTGAAGGTTGGAATTTTCTCAGGGAATCTATGTAGCACTGATGATTGGGTTTCATATCCAGAGATTCTAGTTATGCTAATACAGAGGCCAAGCAAACTATAGCCTGTGAATGGCCGGCCCCCTGGTTTTGTATACCTTACAAGTTACAAATGATTTTTACTTTTTTAAGTGCTTAAAAAAACCAAAATAGGCCGGGTGCAGTGGTTCAAGCCTGTAATCCCATCACTTTGGGAGGCTGAGGCAGGCGGATCACGAGGTCAGAGGATCGAGATCGTCCTGGCTAACACAGTGAAACCCCATCTCTCCTAAAAATACAAAAAATTAGCCAGGCTTGGTGGTGGGCGCCTGTAGTCCTAGCTACTTGGGAGGCTGAGGCAGGAGAATGGAGTGAACCCGGGAGGCAGAGCTTGCAGTGAGCCAAGATCATGCCACTTCACTCTAGCCTGGGCAACAGAGCAAGCCTCTGTCTCAAAGAAAAAAAAAAAGAAAGACACAAAAAAAATCAAAATAATAATAATAATATGTGAATATTATATGAAATTCAAATTCTACTGCCCACAAATCATTATTGGAACATAGTCATACTCATTTATTTATGCTTTGGTTTACATATTGTCTGTAGCTGCTTTTGCACAGTGACAGAGTTGAATATTTGTAATAGATGGTCCACAAAGCCTAAAGTAGTTGTGGCCCACAAATCCTAAAGTAGTTACTCTCTCTCCCTTTACATAGGAAGTTTACTAATACTTGTGCTAAGGGATCTCAACAGACAATCTGAAAAACTTAAGTTTTAGACTAAAGATTTCCAATCTAAATTCCTGTGGAGCTTTCTGAAGCTGCCAGGTGGAGATGGGAACAGGTTGTGAGGCTGCAGGCCAAACACTCAGGCCAGCTTCCACCAAGCAGTTCAACTCTGTCTGTTTCACACACTGATGAGCTTATCCTTGGAAAGTGATTAAAGTAAAATTAAATGCGAATTGAGGGAGGAAGTGAGGGAGACTGTGGCTCTAAAACAAAACCCTAAGAAACACCAACATTTAAGATGGCAAATGATGTTATTTCTAAAGTCGTTCAGGCTAATATCACATACTATAGCTGTTCACTTTATAGATAAAGGTGACACTACAACCATAGAAAATGTAAGAGTGGACCTCGAAACTCAGGAAGATGAAGTTTACATATATTAATCTATATTACCAACTGGAGCAGTTGTTCTCACTGCTGGCCGCACATCAGAATCCAATTCCTGGGATATCACAGATGATTCTACCATGCAGTCAAGGATGAGAACAAACTAGGTTCATTTCTGCAATTTTTTTATTGTTCAACCAGTGAAAAGGAAGTACCAGTGGTGTGAGAACTTTGGGATAAAGTTTTTGTTTTCAATTAAAATTATTTTCATCCAGCCCAACTTCCTTAAGCCCAAATTTAATGTGTGTGAAGTTCAGCTACAGAAATACCAAACCTTAGACTAAAGCGGACACAGGTAAAATATGTGAAATCCTCTTTTGTTCTGAGGATTCTTTAGTAGGCAGGAGTGACCAGATAGGAATATGCTTGGCTGGAAAAATTAAGATTCAAGTTAACAAACTGTTAATAACCAGGACCATCTGCTCTTCCGTAATGTGGATTTGCCACTGCAGGTCACCCTACAATGCTATGTTAGAGGTACAACACTCTTACCCTCAGGCTATAAACAAGGTGAATTATTATCTTTATATCTCTTCATTTAGCCCTGATTTGCTGAAGTGAAGGCTCGCTTGAGAGTTGGTTGCATTATAATTTGGTGAGAATTTAATCTCTCAATGACAACTTACTTGATTCCCTCATTCTCTTTCTGCTACATAGATCACAGTAGACCTTGGCAGACAGTTCTGTAGTTACATAGGTCTGAATTCAAAATCCAGGTCTGCCACTTGGTGGCTGTGTGAACTTAAGCAAGTCAGGCAATGCTTCTGATGTTTTTTTCCTCCTCCACAAAGAATAATTAACATATAACAATAGGGTCTCAGCTAGTTGTTTTAAAAATGGTTAGAGAGATGTGTGGAATGAAGTAAGTGTGCAGTAAGTGTTAACTACAAATATTATTATCTTAGACATACAGATTTCCATGATTCATGAATGGTGAAGCATCTTAGAAGACATCCATTCCAGGCCAGGCATGGTGGTGTGCACCTATAGTCCAAGTTGCTCAGTAGAATGAGGCAGGAGAATTGCTTGAGCCTAGGAGTTTGAGGCTAGTATGGGCAATATGGTGAAACCCTATCTCAAGAAAAAAGCAAAACATTTTTTAAAGTTTAAAAAGAGAGACATCTGTTCCACTACTCTCATCTTAGAGGCCATAAAACTGAGGCTCAGATAATTTCAGAGACTTGCACAGATCCCCCAACCATTTGGTGGCAAAGCCAGGAAGAGAACTCTGCTCTCCTTTCCCACTGGGACAGTGGAAGAAATTCGTCTTGATTTCCATCTGTCCAGGCTGAAGAATGTGCACTGGCTGGAATGACAGACTGACCGACTTTTTTTCTCCACCTCTGCTGTCTCAGCAATGGTTTGGGACAGTGTGGATGACCAGAAGCTGGATAGTACAGAGCCAGGCTAAAGAGTTCAGGCTTCCTGAAGGGAAGCTGCAGTCCTCCTAGGCCACAACACCTTCGAGATAGAATACATAAAGCACCCTTCTCTACCAAGTTAGGAAAGGAAGAAGTGTGACCAATTAGCTGTATGGGGACTGCCAAAGCATGCCAGTCTGAAGATGAGCAGAAACTGGCTCATTCCATTTGGCACCTAGCACACTAACTGCATCCGTTAATAGGCCATGCTTTTCTCCAGAGCCATTGGCTGAAGAGATCAAATAAAAAGTATTGAGAATAGGCTACCCAAAACAGTAGGCTCAGATGCTATCACACAAAGCACTTTATCCTTAAGTTCAATTTTTCTAAATTGTAGTTGGCTGCTTTGGCTTAATAAAAACTTCCAAAAAAGAAAAACGAATGGCCACAGACAGTATGGGTATCTAACTATATTATCACAACTTGACCAAGATTGAACTTGCCAATCCTTTGGTTCAAGAGCCAAACAAAATCGTTCCCTTAAAATATTGCTTCATGGGAACAGTCTTCTTCAAACATCTTTTAGCACAGGCAAGATTCCCATTTATACATTAATTCTGTTCAAGACAATGAGATTGGGCAGAAAAGGCATTGAGTTGGAAGTCAATGGATATGAGTTTTTATCCCAGTTTTACCACAAATTAGCTGAGCATAACTTCCACAGATGCATTTATCAAGTAGTTTTCATGGTCATTGCAATGCCAAAAAACTGTAGCATTTAGAAAATTTAGTTTTCAGACTTGGAAACTATTTAAGGCATTTCATATGAAGGGTGTGTCCTTGTGAGAGTTTGCTTATGCAAGATAAGGCTTCTTTCAGCTGCAAGTCAGGAGCGAACCAAAACTCAAAGCAGCAGCTGCATGAGCTGACTTTATCACATCTTGACAAGAGCTCAGCCACTGGAAGTTTTGGCATACAGCGAAACTGAAGCGTACTTATACAATATCACATTTTATTTTTATTGTTTCTAATAGCATTCCAGGTTAGAAATGTCAATTATTTGGGAAAGCTGAGGGTCTGGTAGATAAAGCATGCAGCAGAGAGCTAGGAGGCTGGCTATTTCCAGTCGTTATCCTAACATGTCTTGGGCCCCCAAGTCACCCCACCTCCATGGTACAATGGGAACTGTGGCAGAAGTCCACGCTCTCTCCCCCAACACATGGGGATAAGAGACAAGAGAGGTGAAATGTTCTGGAACATATCCGATGTTATACAAGTATAAGCTGTGAGATGATCCAAACGCAAATATTGAATATTTCATTTTCTAGAAAGTATACCAATTCATTCCACCCTTCTCAAACCTAAATTACAGAATTCAATTCAGGTCACACAGATTTACTTTGTACTAAGTACCATAGCAAATGCCATTTCAGTGCCTGAAAACTGAAAAACATAAATTTAAAGTAGGAGTTTGAGGCCTCACTAATATGACAAAACATACCTTTATATTTTATTTTGCAGTAATTTGCCACTTAATCATTAAACTCTTATCAATCTGAGAGATTTGCCAACACTTGCCTGCTAGGTGACCTAAGCCTCCACATCAATGCATGTTATACTCCCCTTTCTCCATATGTTAGGCCCATGCTATTTCTTTATCCCTCCTCCTCTGCATCTTCACCTAAAACTCTGCCCATCCTTCAGGGTTCATCCAGTGATTCATTTGCAAGCAGGCATGGGGTAAGGTCTTCAGAGTATGTTTCTCAGAGGCCCATGCAGCTAAGAAAATGTGCAGTGTTGGCACAAGGTCTGTCTATTCCTGGGTAGCCAGATGCTGGACACATCTTTCATAACACCACAAGGTAAATATACTTCACTTGGAGAGAGAGGTGAAATTTTGCAGGTATAGACTGGATGTGTTCCTGCCAGAAGATGTGAAGGGATTAAGAAACTGACTCTCATCTCCGTATTGCTAGAGCAAAACATAATTTCTCATAGTGGCTATAGTATAAGGACACTGAGGGGTAAGAGATATAATCTAAGTAATACAATAAATTAGTGTGGAAAAATCATCAAAATGAAGACTACATGGTTTTTACTAAAATTCTAGCTTTTAGGATGTCCAGGGAGCTCAGGAATTTAGCTGTCCTTTTTTGTATGTACAATATGCCCCAATGCTTGCTGACTAATGTACTAAAACATTAGAGAAATCTTGCTGACAAGATCTCAACCAGTCAGCGAGATCCGGAAGGTGAGACTAATATTGAGGGTCAGCAGAATTAAGTCTCAGTTCTGCTGCTTACCAGATATGCTGATCTGAGCTAGTCATTTAATTTTTATGAGACCAAATGTCTATCTGTAAAGTCGGCAATTTGGATTAGATGTGCTGCAAGTGGTTTTCTAGCTTAAATGTACCTTCTGAATTCAACAGGACAATACTTAAACTGACCTTTAATCTAGGAATGACACAAGTAGATTTTTGAAAGCTACTTTAGCTACAGAAAGCTGAGAGCACCAAAGGCAAAGAGATAAAAATAACAGGAGAGCCTTCCCTTAATCCAGTCCCTAAGCAGTTTTGGCAAACTAAAGTTTGTTGTTCAATGGTTACGAGTTTGCTTCAATGCTTTCTACCCAGTTTACTGAACTAAATAGTATATAGCTATAGTAAAAAGTCCTATTCAAAAACCAGCTTCTCACAGATATTTTGCAGCTTTGCAGAATTGAATATGTCCACAGACGTCTATTAGCTGGTTAGGGTCTTAGGAATCTAGGAGAGCCAAGTAGTTGTGTGAGCTGTTGTTATCAAATGTAGTTTTGAACATTCTTGGTGATTTTAAGGGATCATATTGTGGAAATTTGGTTTCCTTACCTTGAATTTTGAATGAAGCTTTAGAATTTGAGGATGTTTCTTTGGTTTCTCCTTCCAGGTAAGTGATTTTTTTTTTTTTCAACCAGATGCTGGTTTATTTAATTTGAAGGTATTGATGAAATTCTTTAAATTGCCCCCATGTGATTCTACTCTGGAATAACTACGAAATTATTTAAAAGTTAATTAATACAAGAAAATATGAAAACTCATTTTTATGGGAGCTATTGTTCCTTCAAGATGACACTGTTTTGTAAACTATAGACTTCCAGTAACAAGCCTCTGTGCCTTCTTCTTACCACTAAGCATGCATGGGTATTAATTCCTACTGAAAGACTTATGCTATCTTTTTTCCAGAAATGGAAGAAAAATGAACTATGAAAAAGGTCATTTTATAGGTCAGCTACCACTATGAGATTGTTGAGGAAATGATATAAAAAACAATTTTTATCAAATTATCTTTAGGGCATTTATATGTTTATTTTCTTACTATGTTGACTTAGGTGACTATAAGAAGTTGTATCAGAGCAACTGATTCTGGTGAATTAAAGCAAGTATTTCTAAGAACATAAGTGGCAACTTTCAGTCTCAAATCAATTTGGCCACCAATCAGTTTTTGTAAGGGTACAAATAGGACATAACATGCTCAGATGGGACTTGGATAAAGTGTATACAATTTTACATCGAGGAAATTGTGTCAATGTGTTACCTTCAATGTTAGAAATTCCCAAGTTCTGACAATAGTTCAGAGCCTTGTTAAAAGCCAGAGTGGAGGCATGTAGATCCAGCTGGAAAGAGAGGCATTATGGTCTAACTTAGGACAAATTTTAAAGCCAGTGTTAGGGTCTGAGTCCAGCTTTGTAAACTTGAGTACAGTGTTTGATCTCTGGGGTTTCAGCCTTCACTTCAGAACAAAATTTCCACCAAGTGCTCTTTTACTGTGAGGAGTAGCTGTTGAAGAAGAAAGAAGTCTACTTATTTGCTAGAGTGTTACAATTGTTTTGATAAAGCTCAAAACTTATCTAAATAAGCTCTCTCTCCCTAAGCATGTTTTCATTTTTATAAAAAAGTTACATATACTTTGCTTATAAATTTAAAATACTTTTCACCTCCTCTGACTTCATTTAAAATTAAAATAATTAAAGTGCCAATTTTAAGAGATGTTAGCTCCCATTATTGGTTCTTTGCCATATTCTTTTGACAACCTGCTGTAATTTTCTGCCCCCTTTAAAGCCTCAGGCTATAGGCCTTCTCCACCAAAGGAATATTAAGAAGTGATAAGGACCTTCTGTGAGCAGAAGTGGCTTGTTTGCAAAGGGACTGCTTATCTTGGCCACTCTTGAACACAAGATGGGACCCTCTACTGCAAAGCTCTGGCATGTTTTTTTTTCCCCTAAGTTATCCTCCATACTACTGACAGTGATTTTCCCTAAATAAAAAACTGCTTCAAACCATTCATTGTCTTTCCACTGCCTTAAAGATAAAGTCCAAATTCTAGAACATGGCCCACAGCATTTGGTGCCTCACCACCTCTTCAGCCTCTCAGTTGCTGTTCACCCATTTCTCTATTCCTCTCCTTCTCACACCTTGTGCTGCAGCCACATAGATAACCTGCAGTTTTTGTAACGTGCAATGATGTCTCAAATTCCAAGGCATTGCTGGTACCACACAGCCTGCCTGGTAAAATCCTAGACTTCTTTCAAGATAAATTCAAAGACACCTCCATGAGGTCTTTCTACCTCTCCAAGTAGAGTTGACCGCTGTCTCCTTTGTGTCCCCACTTCCACCACCATCCTAAAATACTTATTATACTTAGATTAATAATTGTCGCTCTTACTGCACTGGAATTACCCTGAAAGGAAAGGCCATGTATTATTTATCATTGTCTTCCTAGTACATAGCCCACAGCCTATACCTCCCACCCCAAAAAAAACCTTTTGTAAATAATTGAACAAATTAAGAAACACCCAAGGCCCCCAGTAAACATCAAGGCCTAAGGAATGCATATCTGGATTCTAAATAATCATAAGGTTTTACAACACCATGTTAAGCACCAGGGACTTCAGAGAGCTTTTAGTCTAAATCTTATTAGAGAGGCCAGCGAAGACCTCCCAAAGGAAGTGGCATTGAACTGAGACTTGAAAAGCCAGTAGTTAGGCAAAGATAGGGAGGGAAATATTTCAGACGAAGGGAGGAGATGGCACAAGATTTAGGACACGGAAAAGGGTATGGTGCAGTCATAGAGAAAACAGATGTGCAGAATGGCTGGAGCCCCAAGAGGGAAGGGAAGGGCGAAGCAATGAAGATGTGAGGCAAGCAGGACTGGACCATGCAGAGTCTTGCAGATGTTCACAAAGAAAATTGCAGCAGGTAGTCCCTAACATCGTGCTGAACAGTTAGGCAACTTGGAGGAATATGTATATTTGTACTCATAGTCAAAACCACTAGATGGCATTTACAGACTACGTTTTGTGTATTTTTATTTTTTACTTTTTGTTTTTTTTTTCTTATGTTAGCAAAAGTATGCTCGCTATTGAAATGTTGAAAATATTTCATTGGTCTTAAAATGATGCTTATTTTTCCAGATGCTTGCATTCATTCTGCATGTGCTATTTTGTCATGTGGTTTGCTTAATTTATTAAACAATTGTATTAATTAAATATATTAATTATAAATTGATTAATTTATAATTAATTATGTGTTATAATTAAGTTAAATTTATTAATTACTTAAATTATTATATTCACATTCAGATGCAATCTGAAAACCCATTTGTTCTCACACTGCTATAAAGAAATAACTGATACTGGGTAATTTATAAAGAAAAGAGGTTCCATTTGACCCAGCCATCCCATTACTGGGTATATACCCAAAGGACTATAAATCATGCTGCTATAAAGACACATGGACGTGTATGTTTATTGCGGCACTATTCATAATATCAAAGACTTGGAACCAATCCAAATGTCCAACAATGATAGACTGGATTAAGAAAATGTGGCAAATATACACCATGGAATACTATGCAGCCATAAAAAATGATGAGTTCATGTCCTTTGTAGGAACAGGGATGAAATTGGAAATCATCATTCTCAGTAAACTGTCGCAAGAACAAAAAACCAAACACCGCATATTCTCACTCATAGGTGGGAATTGAACAGTGAGAACACATGGACACAGGAAGGGGAACATCACACTCTGGAGACTGTTGTGGGGTGGGGGGAGGGGGGAGGGATAGCATTAGGAGATATACCTAATGCTAAATGACGAGTTAATGGGTGCAGCACACCAGCATGGCACATGTATACATATGTAACTAACCTGCACATTGTGCACAGGTACCCAAAAACTTAAAGTATAATAATAATAAAATAAAATAAAATAAAATAAAATAAAATAAAATAAAATAAAATAAAATAAAAGAGGTTTAATTGCCTCATGGTTCTGCAGGCTATACAAGAAGCATAGTGCTTCTGCTTCTGGGGAGGCCTCAGGAAACAATCATGGCAAAAGACGAAGGGAAAGTAGGCACGTCTTACATGGTTGGAACAAGAGCAAGAGAGAGAGTGGGGAGAGAGAGCCTTGGAGCAGGAGCAAGAGAGAGTGGGGAGGTGCCACACACTTTTAAACAACCAGATCTTATGAGAAATCACTATCTCCCAGACAGCATCAAGGGGGATGATGTTAAGCAATGAGAAACCAGCCCCATGATTCAATTACCACCCACCAGTCCCCACTTCCAACATTGGGGATTACATTTCCCCATGAGATTTGGATGATGCCACAGATCCAAACCATACCACTCACCTAATTCTTTCTACGTAAGAATTTGTCCAAGCATTTATAACAATTAGCATTTCATTTAACATCTTTTATGAATAAAGCACTATTCTCATGCTGAGAAGATTCAAAATAATGGGAAATTGAAGTCCTAGGAACAAGTTTTATGTTTCAGAAGAGCCCATTTGGTATCCACAGGGCTAAGAAATGTGCACCCTAAATGTAAGTGGATTACACTGAACTGAAAGGTGTAAAGAAGGAGTGGAAGATTAAAGGGAGAAGCTTGGAGAGGATGAAAGTTAGAAATGGAAGTGACGAGCACACCTGAGTGAAGGATGAGAGCTCCAGCTGCATTTTCCAGTTGTATTCCCATGTTGCTGAGCCAAAGGCTGATCTCAAGTTTATTGTTACATGCCCATTTAAGGCTTCTGGCCATTAACACTTTTGATTTTTTTTGGCTTGTTGTTTTACTAGCTATTTTCACAACACTTTCATAGCTAAACCTATTTTACTCAGATTGTATGCCTTTTCAAAAATACAATAGAAGGTCCATATTCCATTATCTAGAAATAAGCCAAAGCTCATATCTAACATTTATTAAGAGAGATGGATTATTTTTGTTCATTAGTTATCTTTATAAATAATTTTTACGTACTTTAGTTGACTCATAAAGATGTTTCTTTCTGTAATTTTAATCTTAATATTTGTTGAACTTCAAAATCCCTATCACCAGGTTATTGTTTAAAAGCATTGGTTTTTATATTATCTTAAAAGCCATTATACCTGAGTGCTGAACAACTTAGAAACATTCAGTAATTGTTTTGCATGCTATTTAGTGAATTCATATGGCAATCGTTTATACATACATGATGGAATCAGGTGGCAGGCCAAGTTAAAGAGCAAGGCCAGAAAAGAACTTAAAAGAGAAGAGAAAAAATAGACAGTTTAGGAACAATAGATCATGTCTTCTCCATGATTTGGAGGTAAACTGATTACCTATCAGCTGATAAATAGAGGAAGGTTTTAGAAGTCTTCAGTTGGGTAGACTAATGAGAGGTGTCAGAGAAGATGTTTTCTGTTGTTTGTGGGTTCTCCAGGAAACTTTGAGCATTCAGCTGAGGGGCCAAGTTGGCTGCCTCTGAGAAGAAGCCCTTCCACCTCCACTCCATTGCACTTGGGTGCCATTCCCCTCAGTTGAATATCTCCAAGAGATGAGCAAATGTACATCTACAGAGTTCAGGGTACTGACTTTTATCATAATGATTTATAACTCTCAGAAGAGTGAAAAACACATGAATGCACAGAATAGGAGATTGAAATATAAACCACAGAACATTCATACAATGGAATACTCTGCAGTCATAAAAATCTTCTCATAGAAGAATATTTGACAGCATAGGGATATCTGTGGCATATTAAGTAGAAAGTCAGACTTGTAAACATTATATACATATTCACGTATATTTAAACACCATGATCCCATATTTAGATATAACAACTAAAAGTTCAGATGGCTATATATCAAAATGTGTCAAATGTTCAACCTTGCATAGGCTGACTGTAGATGAATTTTATATTATTCTTTGTGCTTTCTTGTAGTTCCCAAATTTTCTTTACTGAATCTATATTACTTTTGCAATTTAAAGAATTTAATTTATAAAATTTTATAAAATAACTTATAAATTTGAAATGTATTGCATTTAAGAATAAAAAGTGTTTAATTACAAAAATAATTCACAATTTATTTAATGAGATTTTAAAAGGATATATGTGAGTCTACATTCTGATTTCATGTTTGCATGCATGGTTTTTTTTTTCTTTTGAGACAGAGTCTCGCTCTGTCGCCCAGGCTGGAGTGCAGTGGCGTGATCTCGGCTCACTGCAAGCTTTGCCTCCTGGGTTCACACAATGTAATAGTGTTTTATTATTGTTTCCATTTTTATTGAAGAAGTAAGATTGTCCCTAGCAGATGGAGACACTGAGATATGGGACAGAAGTTTTGTTCTATATAATTATTATGCGCTTCCACCTTTCTTAGCATAGACAGTTTCCAAAATGCAACTTCAAGTTACCCCTTTATAAGCATAATAACAATAATACCCAACATATATGTAATGCTCTTTATGTGCCAAGTACTATACTAACACATGCACATTACATACACACACACCACATACACACACATATTTAAACTAATTTCGTTCTCACAATGACATTTTGAGGCAAGTATTATTATTGTACAGATGAGAAAACCAAGGCACGCTTTATCTGTAAACCTCTGCTATGCAGAAATTCTGGAGGGGCTTCTGGCCCCTTAATTTTAAAATAAGGCCAATAATACAATACTTACCACATAGCAATTCTCTAAACATTATGTAAGATATATACCAAAGCGCTTAGCTCAGGGACTGGAGGGATGTGAGGGAATTTGTCTTTTGCAATATGCTTTATGGTCCGCTCAGTCACCTCGTTCTTAATCCCTTTCTCAACTTCTATTTTATACAGAAATTGTGAGCATATCAGCATTAAGTACCACTGAGGTGGCAATGCACACTTCAACTTCTTCTTCAGTCACAAAGAGTTACATCTCATCACAGACAAATGGTTTGTTTTCATTTTTATTTTTAAATTGTGGCTCCGAAATCATTTTTGTGATGTAACCCATTTTAGGGGACCTGTCACTGCAGAGAAACTGACAAACACTGAGAAATGCGAGCTAAGTAGACACAGCCTACTAAGTAGACACAATTCCTACTATGGAGGAATTCTTGCCTCTGAAATATCTCACAGAAATAATACTGTGAGTTAAAGAAATTAAAACAATGTGGCAAAGCACAGAAATGATGCACGTGACCATGAAATAGTGGGCCAGATAAAGGGGACCTAATAGTGCGGTGGTGCGGAGGGTCTGTGGGCAAACTGAGTTCAGCTCAGACCCGGGCTCAGCTCTATGCCAGCTGCTGACCCAGGGTGAGTTGCCCTGCAGGGTTTCTATCCCATTAATTTTAAAATGGGGCCAATAACACAGTACTTATCTCACAGCATTTCTCTAAAGGCTAAATAAGAAGATGTATCTAAAAGTTATTAGCTCAGAGCCTCACACATTCTCAGTGACTGATAAACAATAAGCAAAGCTGGGTGCTGAGATAAGAGTAATCTGGTGGCAGTCTCTCTTGTTAGTTTTCAGGGGAGAAGAAGAAATTCTGGAGCCGCTGCTGGGAGGGATGTGGGAGAGTTTGTCTTTCATAATACGCTCTATGTCCACGCAGTCACCTCATTCTTGTGCCCTTTCTCAACTTCTCTTATATGCAGATACGCACAAACGGGACACATATGCAGCCACTCCTAGAGCTCATGAAGTTTCAGAAATTTCTGTTAGAACTGTTTACCCTCCAGAAGAGGAAACCGGTATGTTCTTAGTTTTAAATAGTTGCTCTGGAGTCATTGTTGTGATTGAACTCTATTTACACGAGCTGTAACTCATGACAGTTCTCAAGCTTTCGTGACAGAAAACCCATCTCTTTTACTCCAAAGCCCATATAGCACCCACAACTATTAACTGTGACCAAGAAAGAGAAGGCAAGCCCCAATTAACCTTTGTACGTAAAGCCTAAAGAATGAAAAAATATACCTGAATCCTCAATCATCAAACAGCATAGTATATACTAAGTAATTTGTAATAATTAAACTCTAGAAAATTGTGTGGCTTCGGTAGTAAGAGAGCTTCATGATGTAAAATGGCAAGTGGAGACAGAGACAAAAGTAGGATGTGGACTGAGAGGGAAGGTTAGCACAGGTGGAACAGTAAGGCAACCATACTATCAATTGCTGCTGACATAGAATCCAGAGAGACTATTGGCAAAAGCTCAAATGAGACACAGTAACAGTTTAGATTCAGACAGTGGCTGTGGCATAAATCAGAAAATTGATAGTCGCATGATCCCTCTTTGCATGGGACTGGCATCTGTGTGGAGTAATGGTTCCATATGCCTCCTTTCTTCTCCTTATTTTTAAATTTTTTAAAAATGCATTGCTTCTTGTGGAAGTCAATAAGTGATTCTTCCAATACTTTCTCATTCCTTCCCCCTCAGTTATGAGACAATTTGCTTATTTCTCATCCATGAATACTTGTTGGGTCATTAAAAGTAGATACTGAAATTACTAATGGTACGACTGACATATTACCTCATAAATGTTACTAGCTAGATGTTGAAAGTTGACCAACAACTCTCAAAATATGATTAAGAAAAGGAAACCCACAGAACAGTTTGATTCCAAAATGATTTTTTTCTTTGCACATGCCTTACTTATTTGGACTTACATTGAAATTTTGCTTTATAGGAGAAAGGGTACAACTTGCCCATCATTTCTCTGAACCAGGTATGTTAATATTTGACAAAGAATAAAAGTCATTCCATTTTAAACTATCCATTGCTTGTTTCAAATGCCTAAGAAAATGTGTCTATCTTAGAAGAGCATATGTTGTTAACTTTATTCACACAAAATTGTAAAGGCAAAGAAAATATTCTCTTTTTAAAATTAAAATAGGCATTTCTTATTTTTAAAAACATTTTGGGGGCCAGGGGCCGTGGCTCATGCCTATAATCCCAGAACTTTGGGAGGCTGAGCCTGGCTAATCGCTTGAGCCCAGGAATTTGAGAACAGCCTGGGCAATATGGCGAAATCCATCTCTACAAAAAATACAAAAATTAGCTGGCATGGGGCACGCACCTGTAGTCTCAGCTACTTGGGAGGCTGGCTGAGGTGGGAGGATCGGATCCATTGCCTGAGTCTGGGAGTTTAAGGCTGCAGTGAGCTATGACTGTGCCACTGTACTCTAGCCTTGGTAAGACCCTGTCTCAAAAACAAATACATAAGTAAATAAAAATAAATAAAAACATTTTGGAAATAGAAATACATAATTTGGTAATAGTTTTTCTCTTAAGTTAGATGTTTTACCTTTCTAACCAAGCCTGAGTACTTGAAAAAAGCCTCATAAGAGCTTATAAAACAAATGAACTTCCCTCATATAAAAAGCAAGGCATTTAAAATCATCTAATTAACTGGTACTGTATTTCAAGGGTAAATCTCAGCCTTGATTCATTTTTGGCCCAATGCAACCACTTAGGGACCATCTTGACAACCTCTGCTGAAGGGACATCCCTTCCCCTCACTTGAGTATCACTGTGTGTGCTCATTTGCTATTCTGCATTCCAACCCTCCCTTCACACTTGGCTGTGTCCACGGCTCACAGGGTAAAAAGCACATCATAGAACTTCATCACTATCGCATACATTCAAGCTAAGTGGTCAAGAAGGCTGGGCAACACCAGCAAGAGGAAATGCTACTTTTACTTTTTATCAACAATAGGGCTTTTAAATATTAATTAGGCAAATAAATGAGCCATTTTACCTTTATGTCTAGCCTTCCATTCTATTTACTTCAACTGGAAGCACTACAAATATGCTATAAATATGGAAATATCTCTTAATTGATTTCAATTGTTTCATTCCCAACATATAAATGACTCAACAAGCATTTTTAGTGACTACATTGGAGACTATGCATAAGAATACTATGGAAGGAATAAAGCTTAGAACATAGATGACCTGCATTATAATTATAATTCTACTTTTAACTAGTTGTCTGACCAAGGCTAAGTTAACCTTATTCAGCTTCTTTTCTTCATTTGTAAACTGTTTATACCAGTTTCTTTCCAAAATTATGATTCTATGATCTGTTCAATGCTCTTTTATACATTAAGACATTATTTTCTCTCATAACTTCCAAACTATGGGAGAATTTGTGGTTTTTTCCCCATATCTGAGGAGAACGTCCACTGAGTTCTTATCTACAGTTACACTAGTGAAGAACGCTGGGTCTGGAATCAGAAGCTTCAGGTCTTAGTTCTGTCATCAACTATTTTGCGACCTTGGACAAAAGACTTGATCACTCACAGTCCCAGTTTCCCACAAGGTTACTGTAAAGCACACAATTTAAAAAAAGACAAAATCTACATAATAGTATATTAATTGTGCTTTCTATTAAAAGGCAAGGTGATGGTATGCTGATGTTATCTGTCTTATTTTTCAGTTGCTATATGGTCATTTATTTCAGACTTTCATAATTTTGCTGCTCTCTTTATCTCCTGTAGAGATAACACTCATTATTTTTGGGGTGATGGCTGGTGTTATTGGAACGATCCTCTTAATTTCTTACGGTATTCGCCGACTGATAAAGGTGAGAATTCAGTTTTTAATTTTGCTGTAAATACCAATGTGAACAGCTCTAAGAGGGTTTATTCCTCTGAGTTCAGTTAAACTCAAAAGAGAAACAGAACTGCATAAAATTCCATATTTTTCAACTGGACACATAGAAGTCACTGTGTTTCTCTAGCAGAATTTTTCTTTGCATTTGCCCAATTAAAGGGAACCTCTAAATATAAATCTGTCCCCCATTTTCCCAATGAAAGATCTCCCTAAGTTTTTGTCTAACTTGCTGTCACATATTTTGATGGATATTGAGGAAATATTAAGATTCTACTTATAGTATTTACCCTATTAGTGTATAAAATATTTAAAATAATATATTTACATATGTTTAAAACTTTGAGGGAAGCCAAGGCAGGAGGATTGCTTGAGCTCAGGAGTTTGAGACCAGCCTGAGCAAAAAGGTGAAACCTAGTCTATACAAAAAATATGAAAATTAGAAAGGCGTGGTGGTGCACATGTGTAGTATCAGCTACTCAGGGGGCTGAAGTGGGAGGATTGCTTGAGCCTGGGAAATCAAGGCTGCAGTGAGCTGTGATCATGCTACTGCACTCCAGCCTGGGCAACAGAGTGAGACCCTGTCTCAATAATTATATAAATAAATAAATAAAAATAAACAAAATAAAACTTTTGCCTTTCTTAATTCTCACATATTCTGAAACAGATTTTTCAAATTTCCACCCATGAATTCTTAACATCAGTGATTTTTTTTGAATCATTAATGCTTTTTTTAATTTTTTTTTTTTTTTTTGAGACAAGAGTTTCCCTCTGTCACCCAGGCTCGAGTGCAAAGTGGTGCAATCTCTGCTCACTGCAGCCTCTGCCTCCCTGGTTTAAGTGATTCTCGTGCTTCAGCCTCCGCAGTAGTTGGGACTACAGGTGCGGGACACCATGCCTGACTAATTTTTGTATTTTTTTAATAGCAGAGATGGGGTTTCGCTGTGTTGGCCAGGCTGGTTTCAAACTCCTGACCTCAAGTGATCCATCTGCCCTTGGCCTCCAAAGTGCTGGGATTACAAGCATGAGCCACCACGCCCAGCCCACTAATGCTATTTTTACATCCATACAACACAGCTTATCGAAGTGCATAACTTTTGCTATCACTTTCTATTCACGATATTTAAGACATAATATGTGTGTGTGTATTTATGATGCTGTCACTGTCTCTGTAATCCTAGATCAGAAGTACTTAGTCACATGAGATTGGTACAGTTGTGTTTTCATTCATCCTCTATTCTTAATCTCTCTTTGTGATTTTTGAGACCATAACCACTATATAATTCTTTTAAAAAGGCTGAGAGGTGTGACAGCACTGCAATTGTGGGGCCATCAGAAGATATGATAGTAATATCTACATTAAGTTCCTTTGCCTCTTTTCTTTTTTAACTACTTCTAACAGTTAACTTCTACCATCATCCAATCCTATAATTGATTTTCAGTATTCCATGTAAATATATCTTCCTTAAATAATACTTTTTGTTAATCAAAGAAAAGTAACTGAAAATGCCTACTCTTGTGTGAGATATTTTGTAAGGACTTTAATATAAGATAGCTTTTTTTGCCTGGAGTATAAAAGAGAAAAGTCATCTTCTTACATGGGCATATATGGCAAAGTGGGTTGTCTTCTCTCTTCGTCAATGTTCTAAAACCTGAAAAAGCCAAGGAAATATTTAGTTGGCAAAGTTCAGAGAATTTTCTAAGTGTATATGGATGAATTTTGTCCTGGTCAACATGATGCAGAGATCACACACTTTATTTTTATTTTTATTTTCACTTTCACTATTTATTACAGCAGGGAAATATGTAAGTATCAGTGTTTGAGGTGATATTTCTCCTACTGAAATACCAAATACTATAGAGGAACACAAATACAAGTTTAAATCAATGCTTATACCAGTAACTAGTAACAACAACAATAACAAAATCTCTGCAAAGGGGATTTCAACCAAAAGAAAAAAAATTTTAGAAAAAAATATTTTTAAGCTGAAGCATTTTACTTTTTACTGTCTTAAGACTAGAAAATTGTGTTATTAATATTTTATGGTATTTCTTCATAGAAAAGCCCATCTGATGTAAAACCTCTCCCCTCACCTGACACAGACGTGCCTTTAAGTTCTGTTGAAATAGAAAATCCAGGTTGGTGTTAATATTTGCAGTTCCTTTTGCCTTTTAGGAAAAAAAAATCAAACCAGTGAGTTACTTCTTTCTGATTTGAGGGAGGAGGGAACCAGTTATGATTCATTTCTATTCTATCTCATTAATTCTACTTCTTTGACTTTTTAGAAATGTCTGCAGCATAGTGAGATTCTCCTTTGGACACAAAGTGTTTTGTTTTGTTTTGTTTTTTTAACAAAAAAAAAAAAACTCAATCAAATAGTAAAAGCAAAAGAGAAAACCAAGTGTACTTCGTATTTCCCAAACTGCAAAGTTATGTGTATAGGAGACTCTATGGTCAGTATGGTGTAGCATAGTGAATTAGCCCCAGATCTGAAATCAGACTTGGATTTGAATCCATGCTCCAACACCTATTAGCTGTGTAACCCTGAGCAAGCTACTAAACCTCTTTTAATATGGGGATAATGATAGTATCAACCTCACAAAGTTTAATGAGAATTAAATGAGCTACAACCGGTAAAGCATTTAAAACCATTTGTGGCCATCATAAGTCCTCATGCCTGTTAGCTGTTATCAATATAGCACTGACATCAATGCTATATCAATATAGCATGTTATCAATATAGTGTCATTCCCAAATGACCTCCTGTGCACACTGGCAAGCCATCTGGCACATGCTTTCATCTCCACTCCCAGGTGCTAAGCAGATACAAAACATGTGAAAGGCCATGGATATATTTTGTTTATCCAGAACAGTATTAAACCACATAGTGCTTTTTGAAAAGAATATTTATTGTCAACCTTTAAAAGTCGGAAATTGTTACATTTTAAAAATCAAGTATTGCTATTCCTCTGGGGAAAAATGTAAACTCCCAAAATGCTGAGAGCCTTCATACCAGCATGAGACCAATTCCTAAGAGCTGAGTAGTGGCTGCTACCTGTACTGTCTGTCTAAATCCCTAGCCAATTGCATTTGTTTTATTCACCGTGGCCCCTGGTATGAACTCACTAAGAAAGCATATAGTTTCTATTAAACTTTGCCTGAAGCATAAACCCAAATGACATCTATTTTGGGAGATAGTTACTAAGAACAAGTCTCTGGAATGAGCTTTATTTCTCAAGCAAAAGAGATTTCATTCTGCCTTCTACAAAATCAACTGATTTTACTCCCATAATTTTCAGAAATCATGACAGATCAGAGGTCCTGTATGCTTCTGGATTTCGATTTTAACCCTGGGCCAGTCTAGGTTTTCTAGACTTTAGAGTCACAGAACACAGAGTTTTCAAGATCCATCACAGCTACACAGGTTATATGCAGGATTTGCCACATCACATTATCATGTGAATTCTTAAAGCTTAAGAGTAATTGTTACATAAGTTTATAATCCTAAGACATTCCTGCTATGTGGAAATGAATGGCATAGATATGATTCTCAGCTAAAAGGATTAATAAAATCCAATCTGCAGATACTTGAAACAACGGAAGTTTTTGAGTCATATGCCAGATTCACTTCATTTACTAAGGTTATCTTGTTATTGGACTGGCAGCTGGAACAAGTATCTGTAAAATATTCATTTTATCTGCATTCTGCCTTGTTCCACAAAAAAGTCTTGATGTAGTTTTTCAAGTGGAGCAATTACAACCTAAAGCCTATTTTTCGAACTGAAATTTATATACATTTTTAGCTACTTATTTATTCTAGAGACAAATTTATTGTTTAGAGTTTCCCCTGCCATTTTTTTCATACAATTTTAAGCATCTCAAATGTTTGGCACAATTTAATACGCCACAGTGCATCAAGATGTCCTTGTAGTTTAATTCAGTTAAGTGCAACAAACATTTGCTAAATGCATACAGTGGGGTAGGCACCACACTCACATTAGATATACCAATATGAGTCTTCGTCCTTTAGAAGCTGAGAGACTAATGGAAAAAACAGAATGTCATTGCAGTGAACAAGTTCTACAGTAGTGGAGGCAATAGCTCCACTTGTCCCAGAGACTGAGACAGGTATCAAAGGCTTCTGAAGATGAAATCACCTGGGATTAGCCTTAAAAGACAGATAGATATTAGCTAGGGCAGGGTAGTTTTAGCAGAAGGGCAGCCTGAGTGAGTAAAAGCATGGAAGACAGAATATGTTTACTTAAAGAATTGTATGCATTTCCACATTAGCAGGATTGCTGCTTTGGTTCTCTGTTCACATCTCAAATATGTGTAATGGCAGTGGAAAGTCAGAAGAACCAAACTTTAGGCTCACTTTATTTCCCCACATTTGTGCAAGTGAAGTTATTAAATGTCTTAGTATGTTAGTGAGACAAGTTATGAATTCTGACTGCACCTCACAGAAAACATAGGAAAACACATTATTAAAGATTATTTAAAATGCTTTATTTCTACTTTTATAGAATATGGCTCTAAATTAGTTTATAAGCCAAAGGCATAAGAGGTTAAAATGACAGTACCATCTCAACAAGAACTAATGATGTAAAGGAGTAATTAGAGTATAAATTGTTTTAACCTTCTAAAAGTGCACATGATCTGTGATTGGTGAAAAATGAGAATAAGCGAATCTGAGTCAGCTGGCCACTGTGGCATGCATATGTGACCCACTAGCCTATTTCCCACAGGAGAATGTTTGAGATGCACAGTTCCTGTGGTGCCCAAATAGAAGAAGGCTGGAAAAGCTCTGCTTCTGGAAGAGCAAGGGCTCCCCTCTCCCTTTCATGCAGTTTCTAGGAGCAACATAAATTCAACCTTCCAACCAGGAAAAGTGGAGCATCGGGTTTACTGGAGAAAACTAGCCCAGTGCCCTTCTTTTACACCCTAGAACCAGAGAGGAACTTGGCCATAAGCTTTTGTGCAGACTTCTCCTTGGGGGAAAAAAAAAGTCATTATTTAAAAAGACATGACAGACTTAGACACATGCCTTAAATTTTAACATGCATATGTGATTCAACTTATCATTTACTGGCTTCACATTATATTTTGCCTCTATACAAGTTTGGCTGTTTGTTTCTTATCTCTGTAGAAACTAGGAGCAGAGCAATTATATTTATTCTTTACCTAAGGCTTTTAGAATAGATATTCTAAGAAATTCTGTATTTTTCTTTACACAAAACTTGACAATAGAGCTAATATGTAAGGAGAGTCCTTTCGTTTCCTACTAATTACATTCAAGAACAACTCTGCAAGAATGTAGAATCCTAAAATGTATACTGTGCATTAATTTCCTGTTGTGTTTAAACATAACTATGTCTCATATTTCGGTCTTGTATTTTTTTTACTATAATCCTTCTAGAGACAAGTGATCAATGAGAATCTGTTCACCAAACCAAATGTGGAAAGAACACAAAGAAGACATAAGACTTCAGTCAAGTGAAAAATTAACATGTGGACTGGACACTCCAATAAATTATATACCTGCCTAAGTTGTACAATTTCAGAATGCAATTTTCATTATAATGAGTTCCAGTGACTCAATGATGGGGAAAAAAATCTCTGCTCATTAATATTTCAAGATAAAGAACAAATGTTTCCTTGAATGCTTGCTTTTGTGTGTTAGCATAATTTTTAGAATTGTTTGAGAATTCTGATCCAAAACTTTAGTTGAATTCATCTACGTTTGTTTAATATTAACTTAACCTATTCTATTGTATTATAATGATGATTCTGTCAAATGAAAGGCTTGAAATACCTAGATGAAGTTTAGATTTTCTTCCTATTGTAAACTTTTGAGTCTGGTTTCATTGTTTTAAATAAATTAAGGGGACACTAAAGTCCTATCATTCATTTCCTTCATTGCTGAACAGGCAAGATATAATATTACATGAATGATTACTATATTTTGTTCACACTAATAAAGCTTATGCTCAGAAATGCCATACACACACACACACACACACACAAACACACACATTTATCATTTAATGCATAAATCAACACAAAAGGTTTTCCCATTAATATGAAATATTACATATATATAAGTGCCATATTTAAAATAATTTGTCTAACAGTAGAACTGTGTCGGAGCACTCACTGAAGCTTGCATTCCACTGAAAGAGTTATTTGTGTAAGTAGAGTATCCGGAGAAGGAAAAGAACTTACGACCTTTCTTTATAACAGAAACTCAACTCTAAATTCAACAAGATGTGCAAACCGGACATGCAGGTGAATATTTTAATAGGTTACTATAAGGTTCTCAATTAAATTCTTTAATCTGTCCAGTCCCAGTTTCTCTTATTAATAAAACTTTGGAAATTGCTTTAAACCATTTAAAGGAAATTTCTAGATATAGAAACTAAGGACTGTGACTATACAGCTGTCACTCATTTGTAGTAAAACTTAAAAAGCAAAAACAAAAAACAAAAAAGACCTTCCTGTGATACTTTATTTCCGAACTAATAAAAATCTATATGACTTTTTATTATTGTGTGATAACCAAGTAAATGTTTTCTATTTTGCATATTTTCAGGCATGGTAACAGAAATTTACCTTTTAATAAATTAAAAAATCTAAATTTTAACCTACTTGTATGTTCGGAGAGTGTTTTTGTACTATATTGACTACTTAAAATAGAGAATGAGACTAAGAAGGGAACATTTCTGTTGATACATGTTTTTTAAAAGTAATTTTAAGAGCATTATTAGGTTAATTAATCCAATTAATGACCCAAATGCCAAGGTAATTTTAAATTTACATTTTTAATAAAAGCAACATGTTGAAACAAGAGAGGGTGAGATTAACCTTTTTGCTAAAGTAATTTACAAGTCAAAGACAGGAAGAGATCAGAGTGAATGTGCCTTCTTAACCAGAGCTACAGAATTTAGTGAATAATTAAAGTACAAACTGCTTTGACCTCCTTGAACTTTTCCAAGCAATTTCTCTGTACTTCTATATATGAATGTCTTAGCCAATTTTCTGCTACTATAACAGAATACGACAGACTGGGTAATTTAAAAAGAAAAGAAATTTATTTTCTTCCTAGTTCTGGAGGCTGGGAAGGCGAAGGGCATGGCACTGACATCTGCCTTGTAACTGATGAGAACCTTCTTACTGCATGATAACAAAGCAGCAAGGCAAGCAAAAGCGTAAGATGAAGAGAGAGGAAATGAAGCCAAACACATCCTTTCATCAGAAGCCCATTCCCTCTATAAGGCGTTATTACATTTATGAGAATGGAGTCCTCATGACCTAATCGTGACCTTAAAGGCCCCTCCCAACACTGTTACAATGGCAATTAAATTTCAACAAAGGTTCCAGAGGTGACATTCGAATCAGCAATGAAATTTTCATAGTTAAATTTGGTATTCGTGGGGGAAGAAATGACCATTTCCCTTGTATTTTTATAATTAAATCAGCAAAATATTGTAATAAAGAAATCTTTCCTGTGAAGATACCATGACCCCATGGATGGCTCATGTTGGATTTCTTAAAATTGGGGATGGGATGGGAAGGTTTGGTGATGCTGATTATGGAATTGTACTCTTCAGCCCTGGTTGTTTGCTTGTGTCGTTATGAGCAAAAGATCTAAATGAGGGAAAAAATGAATGGAGAAGGCTGAGAGGCATTGTGAAGAAAGAATGACCTTTTCTTGCAATAGAAATTTAACTCCAAAAACAACTCTGAACGGAGAGCCAAAGAACAGCATGGACAAAGGCGTATTTTGGTGATATTGATATATAGTGATTGAAGAATAGCCTTCTGGTTTATTCTAAACATATATCCTATCAAATGTAGCAAATTTCTTAGAAGAAATTCCTAAAAGCCAAATGTTATTTAAATAAAAATAAATAAATACTTTGACCCAAAGTGATGCATAGGCCTCTCACTGTGTCAACCAGTTCTAATGCATTTATGCCCTCAGCTGTATTTAGGGGGCATGTGCATTGCCAACTGCTAACCCACTTTCAGCATCTAGATGTAAACATCTCCTCTGAATCCTCACAGCACTTATGCATATTTTGTAGCATTACTACGATCTGAATTCCATACCCTTCTTAACTATGATTCATTAAAAGCAAGAACTTTAATTCATTTTTGTAACTCCTGAGAGGCTTAACAAAATTTGCTTCTTATTTCATGAAGCCTTTATTAATATTTAAAATGGCATGATACACAGTGACCTCTTAAAGGTTTGGTCTGGCGTGATGTGGACAGAGAATCAGATTTGGAGCCAGGATTTGAATCCTCACTATTTATTCACATAACTTTGGTTTCTTTATCTGAAATATGAAGATTAGAATAACTGCCTGGCAGAAATGTCACAAGAGTTATATATTTATACAGAAAAATGAAAAACAAGAAGAAACTATTAATATCAGTCCAAAAGGAAAAAAATTTACTCTCATGTAGTGAGAGATAATCCTCATGGCAGTCATGTGCAACTTTTGCAATTCTCTCCCGTATCTTCTTAAACCTGAAAAGTGTCTAGTTTATTTACATGTTGATATAATGTGTAGAGTGATATTCTCCACAACTGTTTCCCTCAGACTAAAGCCCCTGGATTTTTTTAAATTTTGCATAGAAACTAAACCAAGGTTAAACCATAAGGAGGAAGCGCACAAATGCTTTTTGATGGAAAGAGGTATATTACAGCAAAAGATGACTCAAACATGATTCTATACAAAATCTGCTTTTGTATGGGAAAATAAGCAGCTTTTCAGAACTAGCCCTAATTTATCTTTAAAGAATGTAAAAGTGCTTATATTGAATTTGTATATAGCTGTAGAGCTTAGTGTTAAGCCATAATTAATACAAGAGAAAGAAAAATAAAAGGATAAGCACAGTTATGTTTTATAAGTTTACCTGCAAGATACTATATTACTTGTCTGCAAAAGACACAACAGGTGGGTTCTCAAAATAGAAAATAAATCCAGCTGAGCGCAGTGGCTCACACCTGTAATCCCAGCACCCTGGGAAGCTGAGGTGGGTAGATCACCTAAGTTCCAGACCAGCCTGGCCAACATGGTGAAATCCCATCTCTACTAAAAATACAAAAATTAGCTGGCCATGGTGGTGCACACCTGTAATCCTAGCTGCTCAGGAGGCTGAGGCAGGAGAATCGTTTGAACCTGGAAGGCGGAGGTTGCAGTGAGCCAAGATCGTGCCACTGCACTCCAGCCTGTGTGCCAGAGCAAGACTCCGACTCAAAAAAAAAAAAAAAGAAAAAGAAAATAAAAAAAAAATCCAATTATGGAAAAAATACAGTCATAGTTTTGTACCCTGAGTTGTGATTATTCATTTTTTAAAATACACTTATTATTTCCTAATACCTTATTTACCCATGAAAAGAAATTAATTATTAAGAGGTATGATAATATTTGTTCTTAAACCTACACTTAAAATGTCAAAAGTGTGACCATAGAATGAGGGATCTTAAAATTGACAACTGGCTGAGCAGCCTGGAGTAAGAATGGTGTAAAATACTTGTGTATAGGTATCACAGCCAGGCCAGGAAATCATGAGAAAGGGAAGGTGAGAGTGCTCATCATCTGACTGATTATCAAATTTAGTATGCGTATGGTTCCAAATTTGAACACTGGAAAGTGATATAGACCACCTGGGATCATTTTTAACATGGAAAGCAGACTAGGCTGGATACATCAGCATAACCTGTCTGAACATAAAGTCATCACATGAAGGACAGCTGGAGGAGAGAGGGAGAGGAATGGAGGAAGAATGAGAAAGTGAGCTAGGTCCCGAAGAGCTGTGCATCCAGATGTGCCTAAGCAGACAAAACCTCTTCTCAGTTATGGGAGTCAATAAATCCCCTCTTTGCTTAAGCTGGTTTTTTTAAATTAGGCTTTTTGTCATTTATAATAGAAAGAGTCTTAGCTAAAGTAATAGAAAACCAAAATAGATGATCGGGCTGACACCTTATATCCAATAAAGACTGCATTCCAGGTTGACATATAAGACTTAATACAGAATTTCCAAAGGAAATGTCTAAAGATTGTACAATTCTAAAACTCTCACCAACAGTAAAAGAATAAAAGTGTAAGGAGTTGGTGACTGAACAAAAGGGAGTGTAGAGAGCTGTTTGTGTGTCTTCAAGGTCTCTCCTAAGGAGGAGAGGTGAGGAGGTTCTCTCTTCACTTTGTCAAGAGCTCTAGAGGGTCTTGGGAGAACTTGAATGTGTCCTTGGAATGTCAGAGAATTATGACTCTTACTTGAGATATCTAAAGGGCAAAAAAATGGCCCCAGTCCTGCCCTGAAAGTATATTAAGGAGATACTGGAAAGCTAGGGATGACAAGCATTCCTACAGTTTTAAGAGGCAGTGAAAAAATGAGTTTCCTGTGGGCTCTATACACACCAACTGCAAAAAAAAAAATGTTCCTGTGAGTTATCTTTTGTCATGTTGGAAATGACTTCCTAGAGAGGCCAATAACTTTTAAGAGAAAGAAAACAGAAGTGTTGCCAGACATCTAATACTTTGTTTACCCATGAGGGACTGAAGAAGGATGCAGGCAAACAACTGAAACAGACATGGATTTATACAAGCCAAGAGAATATCAGATGAAAAGTCCCAAGTGATGGGAAAATTCTGAAGAACTCTCAAGAATACCTATAAGAGGAAGGTTCAAATGTAAAACTCTGCCAAGAGAAAATGTGGGACCACTGTGAAATATTGGTCTAGTCGGACTTTCCTACTCCTTTACCTAGTTTTTTCCTTCCTGTGTTCCAGTGCTGGAGGGTTTAGAAACTTTGAGTGGCAAGATGGAAGAAAAGGAATAAATGCTCCAGTTTGGGGTTGGGGAGAAGTTGACTAGATCATTCCTTTCCTGAATCCAGGGAAGAGAAGAAATACAAACATTAATTTTAAATCAGAATGGAAATGTTGATTATTGCATTGGTATAGACATTTTAATTACAAACTGGAGAGCCATTTGTATTACCTAATGGTGACCAGAAGAGTAATGGGATGTTTGGGCAGAGGAACAATGCAAGGACCAGTTCTACAGAAGACATTTAAAAGGACACAGGAGCCATGACTCAAATTATTTCTAATTGAATTCTATGAGTCTTGTTTACTTAATACAACCATTATACAGATAGAAGTATTAATGTAGCAAAAGCATTTGTTGATGACTTAGATAAGGCATAATGGGAAAAAATACTTATACATTATTAGTAACTGTAAATTGACTCAGAAACAATAGAGCAATATATTCCAAAATTCACAAATTTGTCTATATATTTTTGGCCCAGTATTTCCATTTTGAAGAATGTGCTCCAGTAAAATTACAAAAAAGTGTAAATTATTATTTTGTAATTGACTTTACATATTAATTGCATCAACAAATAGCAAAAAGAAAATAACCCAAATGTTCACTAACTTAGTAATGTCTATGTGTCAGTTATAATTTACATATTAGCATATTAACAAAATAGACTATTATGTAGCCAATTAAAAAGTGCGTGTACACTTTGTCTACAAGTGAAAATATGTGTAGAAATGAATTTTTAATGAAAAAATAGAAAACATAGTATGATTATTCTGAACTAAAAAAATATGTAGTGCATAAATTTTAAAGCTCAAAAAGAAAAACTTCAACACTCAGTAGTTTCTTTCTTCTTGTATTTGTTCAAGAAATAGTGCCACGGACTTACAATGCAGTACTAACATTCCTGGTTGCTGTTGAATATTTCTAAGCTAGAGCTCTACTTCAAAACTGAAGACCAGAGACATCTTGGTATTGCCCCATGTTCATATCTCATGAAACATGCTTTTTGGGGTGTGTTTAAACTGTGCTGTGACTCTGCAGAAATAAGCCTTGAAAGCTGAAGGAGAAATGTTTCAAAGGGAAGGAAAGCCAGAAATATCTGTTTCCTAACTCAACAATAAGACAACTTAGTTCGTATACCTTGGAAGGAATGTGATTCCACTTTTTAAATGTGAAGTGTTTCTAAAACTTTTTTTAATATTAACACATATTAGAAAGACAAATATCACGTGTTCTCACTCATATGTAGGAGCTAAACATGTGGACTTCATGAAGACAGAAAGTAGATTGGGTAGATTGGTAATCACCAGAGGACGGGAAGGAGAGCAGGGAGGGGATGATGAAGGCAAAATAAAGAACACAATTGTGTTTATTACCACTGAAGTGTATATGCAAAATGGTAAAGATGGCAAATTATATATGTATATTTTACCTCAATAAAAATATAAACGGGGCTTAAAACCTAGATGACGGGTTGATATGGGCAGCAAACCGCCATGGCACATGTATACCTATGTAACAAACCTGCACATTCTGCACATGTATCCTGGAACTTAAGGTAAATAAATAAATTAATAATTAAATTTAAAAAACATATATATGTCAAATATATCAGTTTGACATAATATTAAGAGCAAGTGTGTATATAATCCTTCATCAGATTAATACGTTTTAATTCATAATTCAAATCCTAGTTTGAAAAATCGGGCTACTTCTCCATTTTAGCACCTGAGGAAGCAACAAGAGAGTGCACTCCCAGCAACAGAAGGCAGAAAAATGTGCCTCTGTTGTTTCTCCCTCAAAATAAGTCTGCTCTAGGAAAGAGTTTATTTCTAGAACTGTAATAGTCATCCTATATAGCAATGACCACGGTTCCCACCAGGACTTACCATGTGGTTTGGCTGTGTCCTCACTCAAATCTCATCTTGAATTGCAGTTCCCATAATCCCCATATGTAGTGGAAGGGACCCTGTGGGAGGTAATTTAATCATGAAGGTGGTTACCCTCATGCTGCTCATGCTGTTCTCACAATAGTGAGTGAGTTCTCACAAGATCTGATGCTTTTATAAGTGGCTTACCCCTTCGCTTGGCACTCATTCTCTCTCCTGCCACCCTGTGAAGAGGTGACTTCTGCCTTGACTGCAAGTTTTCTGAAGCCTCCCCAGCCATGGGGAACAGTAAGTCAATTACACCTATTTCCTTTATAAACTACCCAGTCTCAGGCAGTTCTTTATGGCAGCGTGAGAATGGACTAAGACAACTTATAAAGAAAACCTAAAAGAAAAGCAAATGAAGCCCTCATCTCTCACTGGGACCATCTGAGCAAAAGATATAGAACTTATAAGTTGCCACATTCTCTGACCCATATAGCTCTTCACTTCTAAAGCTAAACAGAATCCTCTAAAACATGATAACCATGTAATCAATTGTTTTTTGAAAAACCTTTAAGAATTTGTTTTTATTTACTCACCTCAAGGTTTTTACAAAACTTCCAATATATGGGAGATCCAGGTTCCCAGCTTTCTTCCCTTATTCTTGTTCAATACAGGTACACAGCATGACCTCAAGTATCATGCAATTTGTTCACGCTTCTCTTTCTTCCAATGTACCATGAAAGTCTTGACTGAGGCAATGACAGAGCACCTTCACATCTCACTCCTTCACTGTGTCTAGAATAGAGTCCACCGAAGTGATTATGTCATAGACCAGTTTACTCCTTTTGAAATCAAAACTACAACAGACCTAGAGTTTTTTTCTCAAGGATTCTGCAGACAGGGAAGTAAAAATAGTTTTCTTGATGATTTGAAGTTTCTTAAAGCAAAGTGACCAATGTTGGTTTTTGTATTTCTAGGAATGACTTTCCCCACAATTCCTCCACCAGGATTAAAAACTGGACTTGAAACCTAACTCTTCTGTCTGGTTTCTGCCCACTTGGCTAGCCCTATTCTTGTAAGCAGATACTTTGCTGTATCCTCAAGCCTTGATGTGCTCCCGATTCCACACCTACCCAGCCTATTTGCTGCTACCCACTTGACTTTGAGTATTTTCACAGCCTGAGATTATTGTTACTTTATCCCACCTAATTGATTGTATACAGTATTAACTAGGGCAATTTAAGTCCCAAAGCATAATTTTGTTTACACACAAGAAGTTTATTTCTTTCTCAGGTAATGGTACAGGAATATTACTCTAGGCCTGTGGGGAAAGTGATTATTCTTTCTATCATCATTTATGGATCTAAGCTGATAGCATGTAGCTCAAAGCCAAGAATTTTGGGGCATGTACTGTTTTCTCACTAGATTGAAATGCAGTTTCCCATGGCCAGAAAACCAATAAACTAAGAAAAGTAAAGTAATCTGCCCACTACCATACCCAAAACACATTGGTAGAGCTGGGCTAAGATATGGGCAATAAAAATTACCATTCAAAAGAGAGATTAATGTGAAACACACATCAGTCATAGGTCCGTGGCAATGATAGAATCCACTGGGCAAACATTGTGAAGACTCCTTCCCAGGAAGTAGAAGAAATGTCATTGTTCACCATGGCTCTTGGCTTTGCACTTTGAAAGTTACTTCCTTGGTCATTTAATTCTATGGCCACATTTAAGTGAGTGTTAGGCAGTGTGCCCTCACTGCAAGCTGTTCAGATTTTGCAACACATTGTCTTACGATGCTAGGTTTGTTTTAGAGAGGAAATAGGCAAAGGCTTTTCAAGTCAGTCTCATGATTACTTTGGCAATACGATTCCCTTAGAAACCTGTGATTTCTAATCAATTTGCTGATTTCTAATCAATTTCACTGAGCTCCATTTGCCTGACTACACCCAAAGTTATTTCAGAGACATAGTTTTAAATCTCTTTATTTTTTGAGCACTTGCCTTTAACTTAATGGCAGCTTCTTTGATGCTAGTGAAATAATGGGCGAAGATGAAAACTATATTCTCGTTGTGATCTTAGCCATAGGGCTGAGTTCCTTCAGTTAATGACAAGCATTGATATGTATTTTGCCTCTAAGTCTTTTTCAGTCTTATCTCCTACAGTTTTAGGACTAGATGTATTTGGCTTTTCTAACACTTTGATAGCTTTAATTTCTTCTGGAAAATCAGCCAATACCTTCCTGAACTCATTTTTTCTTACAATATTGCTAAAAGCAGTAACAGTCAACAAACACTAAAATGTGAGCTCTTTCTAAGCTCTCCTAAACTACAGATGCAGAAGATACGTAGTATTTTTTCAAAGTTATTGTAGACAAAACTTACTAAATAGCTTACCTCAGCATAGCATAAATAGGCTGCTTTCTAGCATTTATTATCTAATTCTTTATCTCCTGACACCCATATACTAACCTAATGCCATATAGGTCACGATTTTGTTACAGCACCTGATTTCAAACTGAATGTTCTTTTTCCACGGCAAAAGGATCTGCTAATACTCATAAGAAGCTTCTTGGGAGGCCGAAGCAGGAGGATCGATTGAGCCAAGGAGTTCGAGACCAGGCTGGGCAACACGGCAAAACCCCATCTCTACTACAAATACAAAAATTAGCAAGGTGTTGTGGTGCATGCCCGTAGTCCCAGCTATGTGGGAGGCTGAGGTGGGAAAGATCACCTGAGCTGGGGAAGTAGAGGTTGCAGTAAGGTGAGATTACACCACTGAACTCCAGCCTGGACCACCCAGTGGGACCCTGTCTCAAAAAAAAAAAACAGAAATTATTATAATAAAAGAGAAAACATGATACGCACCACTGGTTAGGTACTACCAGTCCTCTAGCAGTTGAGCTGAGGAAGAGAGATCATATTCAGCTATGGCTTTCAGGAGGACTTAAAGCGTTAGAGATTAGAGGGAGGCACTCAGACTCAGGGAAATGTGAAGCATATACTAGAAACATACATTAAAACATATGGGGCTCAAAAGTCGGAGACAAGGTTGGGAAAGCAGGCTTAAGTCTGGTCACAAGTCACACCTGATGGACTCTAGTGTAAATCATACTCCTCTACGTCTGGAGTATCCCCCTTTTAGATCAAGATGGCAGATGATCATTTGAGTTTATATTCTCTCTTTTCTAAGACTCCGTCTAAATTATAAAAACAAAATGAAAATAACAGAAGGGAAAATAACAAGAGATGAGTAAATTCAATAAATATTTGGAAAGCTGAAAGCAAATGAAAGAATTCTGACTGATGAAGTAGAAAGGGCCAAAAAGATGATTTGTACAATAAGGTTTCCCCCCAAGATTGAATGAGCTACCTGGAAAACACCAAGACTGCCAGTGTGAGTGTTAGCTTCTAGAGCATAAGATGAACAGCGGGGAGAGGTTGGAAGAGAAAATTGTTGCAGAATATCATAGTGGTTAAAAACATAGTTTTTATGGCCAGAGAACATGGGTGTGAATCCAAGTTTTGCCACTTACTAGTTGTGAGGTCTTAGACAAGTTAATTAATCTCTCTGAGACTTTTCTTATTTGTAAAATGTACTGACGATAACACTACCACCTTCTGAAAGAGCAATAGTGAGGATTGAGTTAATACTTACCAATCATTTAGAATGGTGCTTGGTGCACTGTTAGTGATTAATTAATGTTCATTAATAATTTTTATTATAATTCCTTATAATTTTGATTTCAAAAATATTTACAAGTTTCCTTTCCCCATCTCCCCTACCCCAGCAGCCTCTGGTAACCACTGTTACCCAACAGAGTTGTCCAGGTTCTTGGCATGTTGAACAAAGAATTGAACAAAATGCACAAAGTAACAAAAGAACAAAGCAATGAAAGACAAAGCAACAGAAGAATGGAGTAAGGAAAGCACAGACTTATTGAAGACCATTCACAGACTGGGAGTGGGCTTAAGCAAGGGGTTCAAAGCCTCTCCAATTGGGGTTTTCTGTTTTTGGGGATTTTTTTTTTTTTGAGACAGCCTCACTCTGTCACCCAGGCTAGAGTGCAATGGCATGATCTCTGCTCACTGCAACCTCTGCCTCTGGGGTTCAAGCAGTTCTCCTGTCTCAGCCTCCCAAGTAGCTGGGATTAGAGGCGCCCACCACCACGCCTGACTAATATTTTTGTTTGTTTTTGGTTTTTGTTTTTTTTTTTTTTTTTTTTTTTTTTTTGTATTTTTAATAGAGACGGGGTTTCGCCATGTTGGCCAGGCTGGTCTCAAACTCCCGACCTCAAGTGATTCACCTGCCTCAGCCTCCCAGAGTGCTGGGATTACAGGTGTGAGCCACTGTGCCCGGCCCCAATTAGGGTCTTTATAAAGCCAAAAGAACTTGGCAACACCCCTTAGGTACCCTTTAGAAGCCTCCAATTGGCTACACCCTATGAAGGATTGGCCTGTGACCAATCAGAGGCTGAAGTGGAGGCTTAGCTCATGGTCAAGCAGAGGCTGAAGTGGAAACTTCTGTCTTTTTATCACAGGAATGAGGATGTGGCCTGCATGCTGCCTGATCTTGCCTAGAACCAGCTGCACCTGCTGTTCTCTTGCTTATGCAGACTGGCTGCACCTGCTATTCCTTTGCTTATGCTCCAACCCTTGGCTATCCTAATTCCCTGTTTTCCTCCCTATTACTGTATTCTCTACTTCTCAATAAAAATAAAACAAAATACAAACCATTTGCAGGTATTATAGTCATGATTTGTTATTTCAAGTTATGTTTAAAATGTAAAGCCCATTACAGTAGGATAGATGAGAAGAAAGAAGGGTCTGAACAAAGCCAACAGCAGAGCACATGCAGAAGGGGAATGAAGACTTCAGCCTAGACTCTCATTAGGTGGTTGTCCAGGATAACATGAAGTCTCATGTGAAATATATTGGAAAAGAACAAGATTCAGTCAAGTACCCAAGGTGCCTGACTGCTGAAACGGCACTGTAATTTAAAAAGCAAAGACAAGTTTATCATACTGTGAGATCCTTGAGGGCAAGGACCAAGTTCTATTCAAATCTTTGTCAAAAACCAGATTTCTGATAGGCTTACTTTAGTACCCATTGATCTTAATTATAGTTCGCCTGCCAGGAGTTAAGGTCCCTCCTCAACAGTAAAGAGAATGACAGGCACAGGGGTAGGAGCACATAGAGAAGGGCCTGACTTTCAAATGAACTCTGGAGAGCACTCATCACCTCCAGGACACAGCAGATCTTACTGAGATGGCTGGGTCAGAAATCTCTGAGGGACCCCAGGATGCCCACACCTCAGAAAGGACAGGTAAAACCAAAGGACCTGGGGTCCCAATGTGCAGCATGTTTCCTCTTCTAGTACACACCAGATACATTCTGACTGCCTTATCCTTGGAGTCAGAAGGAGGAGTGTCTGAGGTCTCTTTTCTCCCATCCTAAAAACAGGACATAGAGCAGGCCATGGCCATATGCTGTATGCCTCCCCTAAGTGAGCAGTAAGAGATTGTCACAAATCTGCTATGTTCAGCATCTGCATTTGAATAAATGAATGTTATTACCTCTCAAGGTGACTGCTTTGAATGTATAAATTCTAAAGTATTTCAGAAACCTCAGACATTACAGTCACACCATGATAAAATCTGGTAGGTCTGATGACAAGGAATGGTGTTTGTTGCATATTTAAAAGATTGCAGACAGTTCTACATTAAAAGTTCTTTCTGTGGGTGAGGGGTTTGTGGGATGGGGGAGATGCCAGGATATGTATAGAGCTTAATTTCACTTGTTGGGATTATAGCTAATTTTCATCTTTTTCTTTATACTTTTTTTCTAGCTTCTTAATTTTCTGTAACAAAACTATATTACATTTTTAAAGAGACAATAACAAAAGCCATTAACTTTTTCAAAACTAGATATATATATACATATATATACATATATACATATAGCAACAATACAGTTGCTAGTACACATCTCCCTAACAGATAGAGTTACATTAGTCTACAGGGGTTTTACTTATAATTGACATAGTTACCCTAATCTATGCATTCTTTGACTATGTTGCGTGTCTAACATGTTCCAGTGACCATTCAATTGTGGATTACAGAGAACTGTCATTGTCCAAATTAGAGGCAAGAATTTCAGTCCTGTGCGAAGCATCCAAAAAGCTCTTCAGCACAGATAGGTTTAGGAATAAAACTGGAGATCTTTTGAGTGGTTCTCATTTTTATAAGCTTGGTCATGAACTTATCTGCCCCTTAGTTATTTTTAGAATTGATTTCATGCTCAGGTCAATCATTTCACAGTGAAGAATATACCATTTCTCAAACTGCCTTCTTTCCAAATTTTATGACTAGAGTTCAGCCTGAGTTCACACAATCAGCTGATGAACATCACTCAATGGAGCATATTAACTAGAATTGTTGTCTCCATCTGGGTCTCTTCCAAATGGTCTTGTCAAATGCTATCAGGGCATCATATATTAGAGAATATGTTATATCAGCCTCCACTTAAGTTACTCATAGATTGTCCTTGACACTTCTCATGGCTCTTCTCTCTTGTAGGTGGTATTATTGGTAACATAACTTGCTCTGACAAAAGCAAATGAAGGAAATTTTAGACCTTTATTATTCAACTGGATAAAACTGAAGGTTCAGAAGTGATTGCAAATATTGCCAACCAGGTGAAAATTATTTCCATTCTCAGCTGAACGCTATTACCTTTAAATCAAAAGTAATCACTTTAATGTAAGTCTTACCTAAGTCTATTAAACTTTTTCTAGGTCTACCAAAGCATAAAAATGCTGTATATTTTAATGTCCTCAGATTAAAGTATCCCCATCTCTGAATATTTTGAAATTTTAAAAAGTAATCACTAAAAGGTGACCAGCAGCATTTATTCTTACTAAAAAGAATGGATGAGATGGCATGGAATATAGTAACAGCCCCACAGCTTGTCTCCTTGTCTCTACTCTTGTTTTTTATATTCCCTCCTTCACAGAGCAATTTTTTCAAACTATCAATTAGATCATGTATTTCTCCTACTTAAAATCTCCAGTAGGTTTTTCACTGCACCAGAATAAAATCACCACTTGTTAGCATGCTCTCTGAAGTTCTGACTTGTCCACATGCTCAGCTCACCTGGCCTGCCCCCTTCAACCCTCTCCCACTCTCTCCTGTCATTAGGTTGCAGCCACTGAACTTTTCCCCAAAACTCCAACATACTAAGCTTGCTCCTTTCTTAGGAACTTTGTTCTAATTTTTTCTCCTTTTTTTGCTTCATATCTTTGTTTGACTGCCTCCATATTATTCCTGTCTCACACCTTCAAAGAAAATTCTGATGACTGTATTTTTCATCTGCTTTGTTTACTATGTATCCTCAGAGCCCAGAATAATGGCTAGAACACAGGAAAACTCAGGAAAATTTCATTGAATGAAATAGGTCTTCCCTGCCTACCCAACGCAAAGCAGCTTGTAGTCTTCTTCCCTCCTTCCCATTAATTTCTCTTTCATTTTCTTCCTGTATTTTTTTCATAGCACTCAGCTCCCAGGACTACCCTCTTTATTTGTATAACTGGTTATTGGCAAGTCTCAATTCAGTAGGGTAAAAAATCAATTTTTTAAATTTGCTTATACTGTATGGAATATACTTTTCCTATTTCTTATTCCTATTCACTAGAAACATTCTGGGGAGATAGGCAACTTTCTAGTCTTTTTTGTTATTAAAATTTCAAAACACCAATCTTACACATAAATGAAAGCTATACAGCTACTTTCTTTTTTCTAGGTTTTCATGCCTCTGGGATGGTGATTAGAGGAAGAAAGCAAAGAAAGGACATTTTTTTACTTCACTGTTCACGGTGTAATCGTGTGCCTGACGGCTGTAGCTACTAACTTGACTTACGTTGACTGGCCACTAAGGGACTCTAGGAGTCAGAATCTAAATGGTGAGTCTCTCAAAGGCATAGAGAGAATTTCAGAGGGCCTTACCATGACATGGGGATTAAACTCCAGTTCTGCCCAACTCTCATCTTGAAATCCTTATCCCATGCCTCTTTGTGTTTGGTGTCCCCTTGCCTAGGGGACAGTCTTCCTGGGTAAGATCGGCAAGATAACTCTTCAGTCACATTCCATTTGATCCTTTGAATACTCTGGGGTCCTTACCCACCAAATGGATGGAGTTCAGCTGCTCAATCACTGCCTTTCTCAGAACTCGGTTGTCCAACCACAATTCCCTTTCCCCTACTCACGTAGGGATAGGGCTAATATTGGCAAAATGCCGCCCAAACAGCCTGCTGACAGTAAACCAAATATTAGTTTCTCTCACCTTCTTGAAGACATTTAGTCTTTGTAAGCTTTTCTCCTAGATTTTCCCTTTCCTGTTCCTGCTTAGATTCTAAGAATGAAGTGCATCCTTCTCCTTTTCTTCATCAGGTGAAGTGGGATTTACCCATTACCATATATTCACCACCAGGTCACTGACGAGAGACTCCAGTGAATCTCTTTCCCTCTGCATTCCTCTCCTTGTACAGACTAGAGGGTCACATTGTGTAAAGCCAAACATAGCCCTGCAAAGAGATCTGGCCCCAGCAGTGAGCACAAACTCAGTAATTCTCTTTAGAGTGAGGCGGTAATCAGTGCCTCTTGGTTTCAGCCGTGGTCCTAGTGGCTAATTATGGAAGAACAGGAATAGTCTCACAACATCCTGTAACATTGGCTTACCTGTATATTATATGCCACCCATAACCATAAAGACACCAGGATTTAGGTTCCTTGAAGGTAATGACTACAGGTCCCTCTCTGTGGAAGAATAGTGAATAGAAGAGAGAAATCACTCAATATGTGGAATGACTGATATGGTTTGGCTGTGTTCCCACTCAAATCTCATCTTGAATTGTAGTTCCAATAATCCCCACGTGTCATGGGAGGAACCCAGTGGGAGGTACTTGAATCATTGCGGTGGTTTCCCCTATGCTATTCTCATGAGAGTGAATAAATTCTCACATAATCTGATAGTTTTATAAAGGAGCTTCCCCCTTCACTCAGCTCTCATTCTTCTCCTTCCTGCCACTATGTAAGAAAGATGTGTTTGTTTCCCCTTTGGTCATGATTGTAAGTATCCTGAGACCTTCCCAGCCATGCAAAACTGTAGATCAATTAAACCTCTTTATAAATTACACAGTCTTGGGAAGTTTTTTATAGCAGCATGAGACAGACTAATACAGTAAGTTGGTACTAGAGGTGGGGTGCTGCTATAAGGATACCTAAAAATGCAGAAGTGACTTTGGAATTGGATAACAGCCCGTGAAAGCAGCCGAGAGGGGGGTTGTACCATGCAAAGCCACAGGAGCAGAGCTTCCCAAGACTGTGGGAACCCACCTCTTGCATCAGCATTACATGGATGTGAGACATGGAGTTAAAAGAGATTATTAAGGTGCTTTAAGATTTAATTACTGCCCCACTGGATTTCAGACTTGCATGGGCCTGTAGCTCCTGTTTTTGGCCAATTTATCCTATTTAGAATGGGTGCATTTACCCATTGCCTATACCCTCATTGTATCTAGGAAGTAATTAACTTGCTTTTGATTTTACAGGCTCATAGGTGGAAGGTACTTGCCTTGTCTCAGATGAGACTTTGGACTTGGGCTTTTGAGTTAATGCTAGAATGAGTTAAGACTTTGGGGGACCGTTTGGAAGGCATGATTGTGTTTTGAAATGTGAGGACATGAGATTTGCGAGGGGTCAGGGGCATAGTGATGTGGTTTGGCTGTGTCCCCACCCAAATCTCATCTTGAATTGTAGTTCCCACAATCCCCACGTGTTGTGGGAGGAATGTAGTGGGAGGTAATTGAATCATTGTGGCTGTTTCCCCCATGCTATTTTCATGATAGTGAGCAAATTCTCATGAGATCTGATGGTTTTATAAGGCTCTTCCCCATTTACTTCTGTCATCATGTGAAAAAGGATGTGTTTGCTTCCCCTTCTGCCACGATTGTAAGTTTCCTGAAACCTTCTCAGCCACGCAGAATTGTGAGTCAATTAAACTTCTTTCCTTTATAAATTACCCAGTCTCAGGCACTTCTTTATAGCAGCATGGGAATGAACTAATACAATGACTGACTGACTGGAAAAATTCAAACATTTTCTTATGACCAATACAATTTGCTAGAGCAATTAGAAGATCACACCTCAAAAGTATTCAGTACATTCATACTGTTTTTCAAAACAATTAACTTGTTCAAAACTCATTCCACCTTCTGACTAATAAACTTCTATTCAACTTCTTATGCACATGCATTTCAAATAGCGTCACTTTCAACTTCACTACTTTCAAAATGTAAATTAAAACAACAGAAAATTTATCCATTATCTATGAAACCTACTAAGTGGTATTTCTTATATAATATCCAACGTGCTAAGGTTGCAGTAAATTCTTATTGTTGTTATGGCAATGTAAGTTGGTGCAATCTTTTAGAAGGAAATTTGCATATATATTCCAGTACCTCCAAGATACTCATAGAAACTAAAACTCTAACAAGTATTAAAAGCGTAGCAGGCAGACATATGTTGTTACATACCGATTGCTTCTTCCTATATCACACACTCCCACACACACTCATCTGAACGTCTTTATTGTATAAGACTGATACATTTTTCCCTATTACTTATACTAGCAACTACAAGAAAACTGAACCTACAGACAAGCTGAAAATAAAGTTACTTTTATAAAACCATGTTAAACATTTGGATGGGTCAAATAGAATGAAATGAAATAAATAACTGCTGCCAAAAATATTAAAAAAAAGTGACTAAAAGCAAAATGGTCTTGAAGGAAAACTTTGAAAGAGATGTATAGCAAGACCTCAGCTTTTGCCTGTATCGTCCTACCATGTGAAGATTGATTAAAGCAATGCTTCATAAACAAAGTTTTATGGCAGATAGAGGGGACTCTATGGTGCACATATTGGCCCCAGGCAAGAAAACATCATCTGGAGAGATCCATTCTCCTCAGATACTATGAAATTTTTAGTGGTTTATTCTACAAACTTCAGGTGTGAAAAAAAGGGGCAATAGTGTGTTGATATATCAAGTACTTGAGACTGCTTGCTAGAGGCAATCACAGTTCTTATAAAAAGAGTTGTTTGCAGTTTAACTGCAAGGAGAGAAATGGCAGTTATTTTACTTTAGTTGTTTGTGTTAAACACTAAGGAAAGTGTCATGAGCCTGTAAGAAGCCAAAACAATTGAATAAAAGGTAAAAATCACAGTCCATTCTTGCAACAGTTCCTCATTTATTTCTAATAAAATAGCTCCTATCAATCTCAAACTCACCATTAACATCTCTTACCTAATAAAAAGGATAAAATAATAAATCACTTGTAAATACCAAACAATAGCAGAGCAATTAAAAAACAGATAAGTGAAAATGGTAATTTAAATATTTCTTTAAGAAAGTTAAAATGAGAAGATGGAGGCTTGAGAAAATATTTAAAAATTCCATCTATTTGAAATCTGCTTGAATGAAGAAAAGTATAGAATAAACAATAATCTACTCTGAAATTTAAGAAACAACCCAACCTCATACAAGAAACTCTGCAGAATATCTGCTTTGGGCCAAAAAGAAAGAAGGTACTGGAGAGTTGACATAGCATTCCCACCTGAGGGCACCAAACAGAGCTACAAAAAGAAAGTAGAGGAAATTAGAAGGATCCCACTACTGATGTTTATTTATCCAGTCCACAATATCAATAGTGCCAAGGTAGAACAGCCTCCATCTAGAAGAATAAATGTGTTAATAGTCAGAAAAATTATGAAAATGAAGAACAATGAGTGGGAACTTCTTCAGCCAGGAATTATAATATAGAGTTATATTAAGCATTAATTAAAAGAACATTCTGGGTAAAGAAATATATATTCAGATAAGTGAAATATAACAATTCATTTGTAAATTCAAATACATGTAATAATTTAGTGTCACGAAGAAAGCAGCTTTCAAATCAATATAAAAAGATAGATTTTCACTGTATTCAGAAAACTTGTCAGATACTGAAGAAAAAATAAATGGATCTCTACTACTCATTCTTTACAACATAAAATTTTTCACATAATTAAGGTTAATTTACTAAAATAAAAACAGGAAAGCACTAAAAGCAAATATAGATAGAGTCTTTTAGTTTTAGCAATTAAAGACTCCCTTGGCAGACACAGAAATTCTAAACAAATATGGTAAGTCTACTTTTATTTGAGGGGAAAATAGGAACAGAGGATGTTGTTGATACTTAGTGGCTTGGGTTTTAAGGTAACAATCAATCAATCAATGTACTGTAACTTTACTAAAAGTCACGTACTGTTTGAAAGTAAAATCTTTAAAACATAAATAGATAAGTTGAAAGTAATGGATGGAAAAAAAAGATGTCTGAGGAAAATACCAACTGAAATAAAGCTAGTGACTTCCTTTGATGCTGGCAATATTCTCTATCTCGATCTGGGTGGTGGGTACATGGCTGTATACATTAGAAAAAAATCATCAAACTCTATTCTTAAGATCAGTGCCTTACATGCTCTTTATTGTATGGGTATTACATGTCAATAAATAGGTAAAAATACAGAAATTTCATGTTGCTATATTAATATCAAATAAAATAGATGATAGATAAAGCATTTTCAAAGATAAAGGGGCCACTACGTAATGACAAAAAGGAATCATCTTGGAAGTAATGTCAGAGGCATTTGAACCAGAGTGCCTCCATCTTGGATAGGGGCCGGGTAAAATAAGGCTGAGACCTGCTGGGCTGCATTCCCAGGCAGTTAGGCATTCTAAGTCACAAGATGAGATGGGAGGTTGGCACAAGATACAGGTTATAAAGACCTTGCTGATAAAACAAGTTGCAGTAAAGAAGCTGGCCAAAACCCACCAAAACCAAGATGGTGATCTGACCTCTGGTTGTCCTAACTGCTACACTCCCAACAGCACCATGACAGTTTACAAATGCCATGGCAACGTCCAGAAGTTACCCTTTATGGTCTAAAAAGGGGAGGCATTAATAATCCACCCCTTGTTTAACATGTTGAAACAGGGGAGTTCCCTGACCCCCAACTTGCAGGACATGCAACAGAGGTGTGGTTTCTCTGTTTGGCCACCAGGAGCTCAAACACCTTACGGGAGGGAGAGCATGCAGATAGGCAGGTGCAAGAGCTGGAGAAAGTGCTTTTGGGCTCCAGACCCGTGGTAGGATCTAAGGGTGAGTGCCTGCAACTCCCAAAGCCCCAATGCGCATGTTACAGTGCCTCTTAGCTCTGCTGTTCACAGATGGCTTAAGTGTTAATCAGCTCAGTGACCTCTTGGTATCCGGGTCCTTATCCGGTGTCCAGGAAGAATCAGGTCACACACAGACTTGAAAGATGGTGAATGCGGGGGTTTTACTGAGTGGTGGAGGTGGCTGTCAGTGGGATGGATGGAGAGTTGGAAAGGGGATGGAGTGGAAAGATGATCTTCTCCTAGAGTTTGGCCGTCCCATGGCCTATCTTCTCTCTGACTATCCCCAGCTGAACTCCTCTTGACATTTAGACATTCCTTCTCTTCTCTCCTTCTCTGCTGCACCACTCTTCTGCTCCTCTGATCTTCTGCTCCTCTGATCTTCTGCTCTTGGAGGCTGAGGTTTAGGGTTTATTTGGGTATAGGACTGGGGGGTGTGGCAGGCCAAAAGGCAACATTAAGGTGTGAAAACAGGAATGCCTGCTCAAATTTAGGGCCATGGATTTCCAAGCTTGAGGGTGGTGTCTTTGCCAGGGAACTGCCCCCTTCTACCCAATATTTCCTTGCCTCCTCTTTGTACCAATATAATCAAGAAATAACCATAAAAATGGGCAACCAGTAGCCCTCGGGGCTTCCCTGCCTATGAAGTAGCCATTCTTTATCCTTTACTTTCTTAATAAACATGCTTTCACTTTACTTTATGGACTTACCCTTTCTTTCTTGTGCAAGATCCAAGAATCCTCTTTTGGGGTCTGGATCGGGACTGGTTTCCAGTAGCAGTAACAGTTCAGAACGTGGTTTAGTTTAATAAGTAGCCTAAAAAATATAAAGTAACACAAAGTGAAAACTTCAAAACATTCAGTAATTGACTTAGAAGGACTAAAAGCTAACTAACTTAATATGAACTCAAGAAGTTAGAAAAAGAACAAGAAGAATAACCAAAACAAAAAAAAAAGTAGACAAAAGGCGTAATAAAGAACAGAAGTCATTAAAATTGAAAATGAAGTGAAGTGAGCTGCCTGTATGGGAAGCTGCTGGAGGACAGATGGAACAACAGGAGCCAGATTTACCCTCCTGCAGGAAATGACACCAAGCAAACAACAAAAGATATGAAAAAAATGAATTTCAGACACCGGACATCAGTAGCACAGAAGAGTGATTGCCGAGAGAGAGGAATCAAACAAAATGGAGGTGAGCTCCATTGTCCAGCTCAGAGCCTGGAGGGTTCCCAGGCCCCACTGTAGGGTCTCTCTGAGATGAGGAGGCAGAGCTGAGTCTAAGAAAAGCCTGGCGGTTTGAGTTTGCAAGTCAGAGAACCCAAGAGGAAAAGCTGCACAAAGAACTCTAGAAACTTGCAGAGGGCTCCCGTGAAGTCTTTGGCTGAGGTCTAATCAGCTCATAGATGTGAGAAAGCTAGCCATATATTTCAAAACTTCTTTAATATCGTAACGACCAATGAAAAACTCTTGATCTTTTTCTGGGTCTTAACTTTCTCTTTTACAATGTAAGGTGTGCAGAGAGAGTGATTTTAGTTGTCATTTAGCACTAAAATGCTCTGACCTTTCTACAACCTAGCCCTTTCATTGGATCCTTTTTTGTCCTTTTGGGGAATATACATGAATATTTTTTTGTTCCTGACTCAGGTAAAAGAAAAAGGAACTCAGGCTGTTGCAAGATGGCTTTCATTGTAATGCTGCAGCTCTTCCATCTTCCATGAGAAATTCTGGATAACATCAAACCTTCCAATCATGACAGAAAAGTGAGGCTTGGCAGAGCATTAGCAAAGTTTTCTTCCTTCTGGAATCAAAAGAATTTAAAGTGAAGAGCAAACAGTACAAAGAAAAGGGAAAGTAAATGTAGATACCATTTTCAATGACTTAACTTTCCTTTCAGCCTACTTTTTACTTGGAGCAGTAAGTCCTGAGGTCTCAGTCAGACTTCCTTTTAACTATTTTCTAGAAATGTAAGAAGGTTCAGGAAAAAGGGGGAAATTTTAGATGATAAAATACTAACTCATTTGTCTTTAATTATTTTATGACTGTCATTAGTGACAAATGTGAGAATCTCAGGTTTACATAAGAATATGGATAAACCACAAATCGGTCTTACTTAATTTTCCTGACTGACTTTCAGCCTGTTCTAGAAGTGACTATTAAAAAACAAAGCTGTACATGTAGACACAATATTTTACATACGAACACTTTAAAATTGCTATGAACATAGAGGACAAACAATATTTTGAAGGGACTTGTAAAGCAAGTTGACTTTGAAAATGTTCTATAATATTTTTATATTTTTAGTATCACCCCCAAGTCAAAGAATGTTAAATGAAACAAGAAAGCCAGTGGAATTTCCACCTTCTGACCATGCTGATATTACTGTTTATATCCAAGTGTTCTTGGGTCAGTGTTGAAAAAAAAAAAAAAGAATTGCCTTTACAGAATACATAGAGTCAACTCTGCTTTAGAGAGGTAATCTTTAAGTAGACAGTCCTGTGACATCTTTGCAGCATGAATGGGGCAGTAGAAGGGGAGAGAGACGGATTGCGAGAACTGAAGAGGTTGTTTAGCTCAGCTCAGGATCTGTGAGGGGGCAGTAAGAAGTTATTCTCTCCTGGGTGTTGGGTGGTAGGAGTTGGCACTTTTGGAGATCTCACCATTGTCACTACTCAAGCTTGCAGCCAGCTCTGATCAGAGATACCAGCCCACTCCTCGAGGCAGGCTTTACCTGAATCTCTTCATGCTAGGAGCCCATCGTTAGCAATGAAAACCTCTCCCACAACTGAGTTGCCATTGAAACATGTGTTTTCTACATAGCAGGCCAATGTTTATAGACCCTTATGGATTTAACCCCATCTGACAATGTAAGAGGTCACTAAACAAAACTTGGTTTCATTTCCAAAGCCACTTATCTCACCTACTTTGCCCACCTCTGTTCCATACACCCCATCCCACCCCAATTCAAAGAAAGCTTCGCCATTCCCTATTTATTCATACACCTGGTTTCTTCTTTGTTTGGCTTATTGTTTCCCTGCTGCACCTTCCTTACCTCGTTTAACTACACTGGACCACTGTTTACACTGCATTTTTAATTGCCTGTTTCATTTGTCAGTCTCCCCACCTTAACAGTTTCGAACACAGGGACTAACTCGTCCTGCTCACCTGGTGTTCATTGCACCTCGCATAGTAACTGACATACAGTGGGCATTTATAAACACTCACTGTGTGACTGAATGAATAAGTAAATTAACTAATTAGCTAATTAATACTCTAGTAAGATCTTATGAAAGATTTACATCAGTTCCTAAAGCAAAGCTTGCAATGACATGGTAAAAATGACTTTATTGTTGTTATTACTATTATTACTACTACCATGATAAGCACGACTGGAAAAGCAATAGATGAGCATAGACATTACTCATATAGACAATCCATATGAAAAATCCAAAGAAGTTCAAAATTATCTTCCTCAGAAATATTTTCCCCAGATATCTACTTGCTATCCCCCAGATTTCATGAGGTTCCTCCCTCATGTCCTTCACATTTACTCCCAAAATGTTTTCAGAGACGCTCCCTTGATTATCCTTTAAAAAAGCAATCTCACCTCCTGCCTCCCAGACACACACACACACACACACACACACACACACACACACCCCTGTAATGAACACAGTGCTACTGGCTGGAAGCTCACTACTGTCAGCCCTCTCTGGGAATTGCCCTCAGCAGAGGAAGTCATGTCACCAAGGTCACATTCCCCTTCCCAGGGGACAACTTGCATCCAATTTCTGGCCATTGCAGGAATATAAAGGCCTGGCCTCCATACCCCAAGACAAGGCAATCAGAAGGCCCATCCCTGCTTTCCAGTTCCCCATGGAGTCGGCAGAGGCCCAACTGTGCCTGCTTCGGAGCCCATCTTCTCTCTCTACCCAACCCTGCTTCCTTCCTCAGAAGACTTTGAATGAACTTCCTGCACTTCAGTCTCCATCTCAGATTCTGCTGCCTGCACATCTGACCTACAGAACTTTTCCTTTATTCTGCTTTGTTTTTTCTCCATAGCACTTACTACATTTATTGCTGTATCACATATTCACATATCACATATTCATTACGGACCTATCATATATTCATTTTCTACTGTATTATTGGCCCTCTCCCTCCTCCCATTAGATTGTAAGCTCCAGTGGGGTAGGAATTTTGTTTTACTTGCTGCTGTAACCACAGGCCTTGGAACACTGAAAGCACTATATAGATTTTCATGACAAATATCAAATAAATGAAAGTTGGAACTTGCAAACTTAGAGCCTGTTTACATTGCTGTTCCTGAACTCCAGGTTTTACTGTCTGCCAAAAATACAAAGTACCTACATTGGTATCCATTAATTAAGATCAGACCAGAAATTAAGAATATTTAAAGGGATTTGCACTAGCATAATTAGGACTACAGCATCAAGAGTTAACATTTTCAGGGGAACAACTTCTGTCACATTTCTTTAATTTATATAACTTCGATTATAATAGTCATCTTCAGAATAATGATGGCTAGCATTAGCATAGAGTGCTCTGGGTCACAAAGCTTTGCACTTATTATTTCATTTAGTTTGATGCTGATGAAACCATGTAAAGGACACAGAATTGTTATGCTAGTTTCACTAATGAGGAGACTAAAGCTCTGAGAGCTTAAATGACTTTTTCAGTGACACACCTGGTAGATGAGTTCCATCCAGGTCTACTGACTCCAAATCCACTGTTCTATATCTCAGTACATCACCCTAATAATTCCCTGGAGAGGGACTCCACAAAACTAAAGCTCTTCTACAATACCGATCAGAAAAGCAAAATGGGGGCCCCTCAGCAACCCAACTAAAAGACATCTTGTATGTAGCTTATTTAAATTTATTCCAAATAATATATTTACTTATGCAACATTCATGAGAATTCTGAGTTGTTTTGGTTTCATTTGTGGGGTTTTTTTGCATATATATGTGCAACTGAGAATGAATACCATAGATCAGGACACTTCTTACCTGTTACTTATATAATATCTCTGAACATTCATCAACTCTTTACTATTCTGTTAAAGATGTATACTTACTCACCTATGAAAATAGAGTGAATTTTGATTTTGTCAATGACTTTATTCTCTTTTATATATTTCAAAGGTAAAAATATTAAAAATTCATATAAACAAAAACAAAGAAAATTACATATAGCATTCTCACAAAGACATCACATTATCACATTGTATTTATATATATTCTTCCAACACTCTCTCTCTCAATATAATACATATTGTTTTATAAATTTATCTTTTTGAATTATTTTATGTTCTGATGGTATATAAATGCTATCTTGTCATTTGAACATCTAGAAATCAATTAGAATTTTTAAAAAATTTTAAGTAAGTTCTCATCAACAATATAATTATATTGTACATACAGTGTGATTGTTCTCAGCAAGTAAATAAATAAAAACCCAAGGCTTACACATTAAAAATAAAAATAAAGGAAAATATATATTTACTCCTTTTGCATACCTGATTTCTGTTTACTAGGGCCCAAGAGAAGGTCCAAAACGTTCACGTCTTTTGATGGCCTGTCTTAGTCTCACTGGGCTGCCATAATAAACAGATACCACAGACCTGTGTGGGTTAAACAACAGAAATTTATGTCTTCACAGTTTTAGAGGCTGGGAAGTCCAAGACCAAAGTCCAGCAGGGTTTGGTTCTGGTGAGGACTCTTTTCCTGGCTTGTAGACAGCCATCTTCTCGCTGTGTCCTTGCATGGTAGAAAGAGAGGGGGTGAGCTCTCTGGTGTTCTTCTTATAATGACATTATCCTGTTGGATGAGGGCTCTACACTTATCACCTCATTCAACTTCAATTACTTCCTTAGAGGCTGCATCTCCAAATACAGCCACATCATGGGTTAGGGCTTCAATATACACATTCTGCGGGGGGAACCACAGACACTTAGTCCACAACAAGGCCCAAGCCTAAAAATAAGAATAGGTCTAAATAATATGCTCTCAGGGAAGGATCTTGGGGACAACCGAATGTACAGAGTTTAGTACCCCAAATCCATGCTAGGCAAGGCATGCTACTATCCAGATAGCAACTAAGGTGTGACACAGGTTCACACAGTATAGTCAACTTAGCTGCTACTAGTAATATTGCTATGAGTGAGGCACTTTATTGCTTAAGTCTCAAATTTCTTATCTGAAAAATAGGAATAATATGTTCCTCAAAGGACTAGTGTGAGGATTAAATGAAGTTATGAGTGCCAACTCTAGAGCTTACACATAAGCTTAATAAATGTTAGTAGAAATGAAGAATGAGAAACTATTCCAGATCACCCCAAAGGATATCCAGCTGTTTCCAGATTCGCTAAGTCCGTAAATGTATGCTCCCAGAGTTCTAACCCAGTAGCAAGGAAAGATCTGGATTTACTCAATAAACCATGAGCATATATTGAATGCACACTTCCTCTCTGCCAGGCTCTGCACCAGGTAATATACTTTCTTAGGTAGGAATTCTCACATTTAAAGTGTTAATTATAGTTAACATATAATTAGACAAGCAAACTAGAGGGCAGTGGCAGTGTCTATGGGTAATGGTTAGTCTTTTGGGGCATTAGAGCTGCAGGTCAGGGTTCTAAGACGTGAATCACTCTCTTTGATAATTATCAAACCTAACAACGACCATACCTCCTAAGCACATCTCAGTACTAAAGTTCATTGACGGTCACATTTTTCTCACTGATTGCTCAGACAAAAGGAAGAGGAGCTTTGAAAGCTGTGATGGGACTTGAGACACTCCTTTATATGCTATCAGCATATAAACAAAAACATCACAAAAAATTTTGGCTTTCCACTGAGCATCATCCCAGGTAACAGACCCTAAGCTAGGTTCACCACTTAGGCTATATCATTCAAATAACATAACTCAGTGAGGCTGGCACTTTCATTATCCCCATTCTTAAGATGACAAATAATAAAATAAAATAAAATAAAATAAAATAAAATAAAATAAAATAAAATAAGATGTGGCTTTAAAATTAACCCGGCCAGGTCAAAAGCCAAGAGCTGAGAAAAAGTTCCAAACACAAATTTTTCTAACTCAAAAGCCCATGCGTGAGTTTACAACATGTCCAGGAGGGACAACCTGAAATTAAGAAAGGCTGGTAATTTAGAATTCTGAATTGCAGGCAAAGGCCTCCTCTTTCATGTAACTTTCAGTAAAGACTGAGAGCTAGGATATAATGGACTATTCCAACTTGGTATCAGAGCTCTCAAAGGAAATGACACAAAACAGCTGTTAGAAGGCCAAATGTAAAAGAAAATAGGAAGAATTGACTTTTCAGAGGTATTTATTTTCACTCAGAGATGGAGTTGATATTAAACCCTTATTTATACTGGGTATGGAATCATACACATTGTTGAGATCTGTATCTGATTACACCTACGGCACTGTGCAGTGTATTTCAGTGTAAACAGAGTAAGTCTGAGTTTGATTTAGAGAAAAACAAAAAATAGGCTAAAAAAATAAAAACTACATGTGAGGGGGAAATACCTCAACTTTGGCCCCTTTGCTCCTGATCGGTGAGCATTTTTGCATTTTTCAAAGACATCAAAGGGTTGCTACAAGGCTTACCTTGCTCACAGGACTTTGGATGTATCTTCTAGTGCTGCTGAGAAGATGCGTCATGAAAGGCACATCCACCGTGGTGTGGTGTGTCAAACTTGAATCACTGGACTTGAGAAAAGAAGGCAGAGTTTGTGTTCTGTGCTGAAGATAGCCCATGTATTTCTCTCAGGGAGGAAAAAGTTTTCGAGGTTAAAAAAATTGAGAAAATGGGTAAAGAAAAAAATAGGCTTTTTAAAAATATATAAACATCTGTAAAAATCCTATCTTAAAATATCAGTAATACAAGTAAATTAATGTACTAGTAGCAAGATTACCAATCTAATGCAAAGTCTATTCATTGCTCATTCATATGCCTATTCCTTTCCACAAAGTTTTTGCAAGGTGGAATGACATGAAGAATATTGCTTGGAAAAATAGATGATCTAACTTTATAAGCACTTTTCAAGTACTCCTCTGCTGCCAATATTTATAATAAATCTGCTTACTACCCTGGCCTCAGCCAAATTAATGAATAATTTCCTTTCTCCTTCCGGTGAGACTCACAGATTACTACACCTTTTTTACCCAAGAAGTCCTATCCTATTGTATCCTATTGTATCTGCCTGAAGGAACCAGATTCGGCTCCATCAAAGGTATACCTTTCAAGAAAATAATCTTAAAAGTGAATTGTTTTAAAGATAAAAATGTATGCATTTTCTTTTTCTTCTGATCTTCTACCTTATGGTCTTCAGGTCCATTAAAATATAGGTTTTAGGGTAATGAGTACATTACACCAATAGATTTGCTCACATATTTAAAGAAAAAGCATAGCCTAAACATGCATAATATTAAAAGAAACAAAGTAAAGACAGGCTATAAAAGTAAACAGATCAGAGTAAATTTTATGCATAACTACAGAAGCCACCAGCAGAGGATGCAGTCAAAGCGCTATCCTTGCTTGTCTCTGGTAACTGCTTCCCAGTCATGTCTTACCACGACCTTGTACTCGGTGTAGCACAGCAAAGCAGCATTTGTCACTGACACAAGTGTATTCCAGGGCATCTAGAAAAAGGGATATGGAATTAGCTCTTTCTTCAGCAGTCATAGGTCTGAGTCTCTCTGCCTAACACTTTTCATCTATTCTACTGAAATTCAGTTTTCTGAGCAATTAAATTCTGGCTGAGAGAAATGTTTCTGCAATCCTTTTCAATATACTCACTTTCCAATGTAATCCCAAACTCTGACTGGGTTCCACATTATAAACCTAATTCCTTAAGATTTATAGTGTCTTAAACTTTCTTTAATTAGACTTTCAAGTTGTAAAGGACTGAGATAATTACATTTGGAATGTTTATAACTCTCATAACTATGTGCAAAGAGATACTCTGTTATCAAAAAATGGCTAGATTAACGCCCAGTAGCTGTCAACTCATCTTTTGCGGGGTGGGGCAGCAATGCACCATAGTAGTTAATTTTGAGTGGCAAGCTAATTTATTTCTTCTGAATGATTTACCAGGAATAACAGTAACACAAAAATAAAAAGGCTATACAAGTGCCAAGTAATTAAGCATGGTAATGGAATTACATCAGGCTGCCGTGTGGGGTCTAGGCTTCAGCAAAAGAATAGAAAATTGATTTATATTATCTAGGTGATCATGTCTTGTCTTTACACATCTTCTGCTACCAATTTATAATACTTTAGTCTGCTTTTTTCCTAAGATTATGCCAGCTAGAAGGCATTTGCTTTAACTTCTATATTTGTAGTCTGTAAATGTACAGAAACTTTCTTGTCTTTCAGAGATACATAGATAATATAAAGTATTAACTTTTCTCCACCCTGAACAAGTACTTATGTATTTGATTGATAAGTGTTTAAATTGAAAATCAGGCAATCAAGTTCTATTATCTGCCAATATTCTAAACAGAAGTTATAAAATATATTATTATAGGGATAAAAAATAGAATAAGGTCCCAGTTTATAAAAGAACAGTGATTTACTATATCTCTGTTTATATATATTTTGAAGAACAGTGATTTACTATATTACTGTTCATATTTACTGTATCACTGTTCTACATATATATATATATATATATATATATATATATATCCTTCATGCCCTTTAGGACATTAGTACATTTGTGAGTAGAAACTTGGAAACAGAAATGAGTTATTTAAGGAAATCAGTTCTCTAGAACATGGATCTCTTAAAAAGGCAATCATATCTTGGTGTACAAGTGGCCCCAATTTAAAAATAATAGTTACTTACATGTTTTGTATTCTAATGGGCCTGCTACTCTCCCATTCTCCCACCTACCTTATCCCACAAAAGAATAGTCCATAGAGAGGTATTATGTATATGTGGGATATTTTTTCTCTTTTAATTTTTATCTTGTCTTCTAAATAAAAGGCATAAAGATTTATGTAAAATGGTAAGTGTAAACAGAATATAAAGTCTGCTCAACTGTAAGTATTAGAAGCTTCAGGATATTATTTTTCTAATTTTGAAGTTCAGAAATGTAGCAACAAACCTCACTTGCAAGAACAGATGATCAAGTTTCAACAGATCATAGATCAGATCAAGTGAGAAAAAACATAAGATGACAATGATATCTCTATTTCCTATTCTAGAGAAATAAAGTTGAGATTTGGTCCTTAAAATCATGAAACTAAATTGCAAAAATCCATCTTCTCCTTTCTTCTGGTTTATTTCTCACAGGAGGGGGAAAAAAAAAAAAACCCTCATCTGGGAGGAATTTCTAGTGCAGGATCTGGAACCCTAGCAAGTTCTGATAGTTTCATGTGACATGATAGCATGTCACATCGTCAGGCACTCAGTGTGTTCTCTGCTTATTCACTTAGAAACCGGAATCTGTACCAATCAAGATGTACTTCCAGCTAACCTAGTGGTCAGTCACCTTGAGTTGTTGACTGCCTGCAGCAAGAATGACAAAACCATTTTCCAGTATTTTACAATTATAATGTTAGACAACGTCATTTTTAAGGCAAGAACTAAATTGGAAAACTTAGCAATACACTAGAAAAAGAACGAGTTAAGAAAAAACAGAAATATGCCCTATTAGGGTTAAGAAAACTGGCTCATATTATCCTGAATAAGATAAAGCTAATGGAAAAGTGTAAATTAGTCCAGTTAACCCTATGCTCTAGGCAAAAACAAAACAAAAACCTCTGTAAAGAGAAAACTCAGATTATATTTCTCAAAATCCATTTGGCTCATAATGATTTTTTTCTCTTTTTATAGTAAACCAAAGAATTGTTGTAACTCAGTGAAAACTCAAAAAATAAGCAAAGACAACAATCACACATGCAAAATATTTGAATGTTAAATACATGGAGAAGATGTTTGACTTCATTTGAAGTGAGTCAAAACCTTCTTGAGAGGCAGATAACAATATGTCTTAAGACCCACTAGACTCAGTAATTCCAGCTTTGAAATTTAAGAATGTGTCTCAAGATTTAGCAAAAATTAGACGCTGCCACAGTGTCCAAATAAATAAATAAATAAATAGGAACTTATTGAGTTCTGAAATATCCATAAAATGAAACACTCTGAAACTATTAAAAAATCATGTGAGAGAAGTTTATTTATTGTAAAAGAAAGACATTCAAGATTAAAATAAAAATTTGACACAGCTATTTTATGTGTCATTTTTGGGTATGGCAACTTTTTCCCAGCTTAACTGAGGGAAAATTGAAACACAAAACTCTGTATTTAAGGTGTACAGCAAGGGTGTCCAATCTTTTGGCTTCCCTGGGCCACATAGGAAGAATTGTTTTGGATCACACATAAAATACACTAACACTAATGACAGCTGATGAGCTTAAAAAAAAAAAACCGCAAAATAATCTCATAATGTTTAAAGAAAGTTTACAAACTTTCTTTGAATGTGTTGAGCCACAGTCAAAGCCTTCCTGGGCTTCTTGCAGCTCATGGGCCGTGGGTTAGACAAGTTTTGTGTACAATGGGATGCTGTAACCCAGAACTGCCATTTCCCTAAGAGAAAGAGAACGAGTTATTTTTTAAATTTTTTTTCTTTTTTTCTCTTTCCTCCTCTGCCCCTGTTCCCCACTTCCCACTTAACTCTTTAGAAATGCAATTAGAACCTCTACCTTCCCTTCACCAGACACTACAGGACAAGCTCATCTAACTGTGTGCATACCTAGAAGCCCCAGAGCTGGAAATCTCTCCCACCAGAAGATTGTCTCTAGAGACAAGAGTCAATTTACAACCTAAAGTTTGCCCACAGGAAACTCTCTCCCATCTGGAGAGTATCTCCAGACCACAGCCACCTTACAGTCTAGCACTAGCTCAACCCCTGGGTAGATAAGGCAACAAAGCAAGTCGCCTAGACCCCCAACTGCTCCTTCCCTGCCTGCCATTCACGCCAAGTTCCCCTTTAAAAGCTCTGGCTTTCTGCCCCAAAAGTGAAGCAGTGCCTTTAAAGGCAAGAGCCTGGACTTCTTTCCATAAGCTAAACTTTCGATTAAAAAGTCACTTTCTTTATATCAGACCTCACCCTTGTAAACTGGACTCGGCAAGCATCGAGTGACTGAATCTGCAATTGAGTTACAATGCTTTGATATATGTAAACATTGTGAAGTGATATCAAGTTAGTCGACACCTCCATCACTTCACATAGTTACCTGGGTGTGTAGTGAGAACTTTTAAGGCCTGCTCTTTTAGCAGATTTCAAGAATACAATACAGACAGTTCTCTACTTAAAATTTTTCAATTTTAAGATGGTGTAAAAGTCAGTCAGTAGAAACTGCATTTTAAGTACTCATATAACCATTCCGTTTTTCACTTTCAGTACAGTATTCAATAAATTACATGAGATATTCAGCACTTTATTACTAAATAGGCTTTGTGTTAGGTGATTTTGCCCAAGTACACTAATATAAGTGTTCTGGGCGTATTTAAAGTAGGCTAGGCTAACCTATGATATTCTGTAGCCTAGGTGTATTAAATACATTTCTAAGTTACAACAAGCTTGTCAAACCCATGGCCCATGGGCAACAGGCAGCCCAGTATGGCTTTGAATGAGGCCCAACATAAATTTGTAAATTTTCTTAAAACATTATGAGATTTTTTTGTGTGATTTTTCTTAGCTCATCATCTTTCGATAGTGCTAGTGTATTTTATGTGTGACCCAAGACAATCCTTCCAGCGTGGCCCAGGGAAGCCAAAAGATGGGACACCCCTGAGTTAAAATATTTTCAGCTTACATTGAATCTGTTGGAACATAACTCCATTGTAAGTCAAGGAACATCTGTACAGTATTATTAACTATTGTCATCACGCTGCATATTAGATTCCCAGAACTTACTCATCTTGTAAGTGAAAGTTTGTACTCTGACCAACATGATTTGGGTGATATTACATGGCCCTAAAGAAATAATTTTAATTTCATCTTTGTAAAAAATCAGTCATATATATGACCAAAATTTTACCTCATCCCTGGCATTCACCCCTTGAGCCTACAGAGTAAGCAAAATGGTGGGCAGAAGTAAGTCCAGACAATAGAGTAAGGGAATCTGCAATATAAAGCTAAAGTGACAAAGTACATGAGGTTTTAAATGCACACAGCATCAAAATAGGTGTGTGTATATTCATTCAATTTATTAAGAAAGAAAAAAATATCAAATGGCTAAAAATCATATTTCACATTAAAACTGCAAATTTGTACAAATGGTGAAACCCTTATCTCTGCATACCAGTCACATAGAAATAAGAGAATGAAGCCAGTATCACCCTAATCCCCAAACCAGGAAAGGACATAACAAAAAAAGAAAACTACAGACCAATATCCCCAATGAACATAGATGCAAAAATCCCCAGAAAGTATTTACTAAGCAAATACAGCAGCACATCATAAAGATAATACACCACGATCAAGCGGGTTTCACCCTAGGGATGCACGGAGGGTCTAACATATGCAAATCAATAAATTTGTGATACACTGCATAACCAGAATTAAAAACAAAACCATATGATCATCTCAATAGATGCAGAAAAAGCACTTGATAAAATTTAGCATCGCTTTATGATAAAAACTCTCAAGAAACTAGGCATAGAAGCTACTTACCTCAAGTTAATAAAAGCCATATATGACAAACCCACAGGCAACATCATACTAAATGGGGAAAAGTTGAAAGCATTTCCCCTGAGAACTGAAACAAGCCCAGGATGCCCACTTTCACTCCTTCTATTCAACTTAAGACTGGAAGTCCTGGCCAGAGCCATCAGGCCAGAGAAATAAATAAAGGGCATCCAAATCAGAAAAGAAGAATTACAACCTCTATGGAAAACAGTATGGTGATTTCTTAAAAAACTAAAAGTAAATCTATCCTTCAATCCAGCAGTTCTACTACTGGGCATCTACCCAAAGGAAAAGATACCACCTTACTCCTTGCAAGAATGGCCATAATTAAAAAGTCAGAAAACAGTAGATGTTGACCTGGATCTGGTGAAAGTGGCATGTTTATACACTGCTGGTGGGAATGTAAATTAGTACAACGTTGGAAAACGGTATGGAGATTCCTTAAAGAACTGAAAGTAGATCTAACCATTTGATCCAGAAATCCCACTACTGGGTATCTACCCAAAGGAAAAGAAATCATGATATGAAAAAGACACATGAACACATATGTCTATTGCAACCCAATTCACAATTGCAAAGATATAGAACCAATCTAAGTGTCCATCAACCAATGAGTGGATAAAGAAAATGTGGTATATACGCACCATGGAATACTACTCAGCCATAAAAGGAATGAAATAATGTCTTCTGCAGCAACTTGGATGGAGCTGGAGGCCATTATTCTAGGTGAAGTAACTCAGGAATGAAAAACCAAACACTGTATGTTCTCACTTATAAGTGGAAGCAAAGCTATTAAGTACACAAAGGCAAATTGAGTTATATAATGGACTTTGGAGACTCAGAAGCGGGTGGGTGGAAGAGGGGTGAGGGACAAAAAACTACATATTGGGTACAATGTACACAACTCGGGTGAGGAGTGCACTAAAATTTCACAATTCACCACTATGTATTTCATCCATGTAACCAAAAACCACTTGTACCCCAAAAGCTATCGAAATAAGAAAAAAATAAAAACAAAAAAAATACAAAATGTATTAATAAGTGCATAATTCTCTAACACAAAAGAGTGGAAGTTCTGTACACCACTAGCAGAGGTGTCCTAAAAGAAACAGGCAACTAGGATACATAGCAGTATTTGGGTGTGTGAGAGTCAAAATATCCTCATCCATAAAAGAACACCATGAATTTGAAACGAGTTACATAACTGGTTTTATATGAAGGTCCAAGTTGTCATATATAACGTATGTTACATGATTATACATATAATACTAAATTGTCAATATAAATTACCAGAATTGGCCCAAGAAAAAGTGGACAAAAATTAAAAGCCTAATTATGAAAAAAGAAATTGTTAAAGGCTAACTACCAAAACTTTATAACAAACATCACACTTAACAGAGAAACTGTAGATGTATTTTTAAGACTAAGAAAAAATAATATTAGCTATGACATATGTACAATTCCTACTTAGAAGGATAAAGTCGAGACAAAGAAATAAAAATTTTAAATTATTAATATTATTTTTGATTGACAAATTGCAATTATATACATTTATGGGATACAATGTGATGTTTTGCTACATGAATACAATGTGGAATGATTAAACCAAACTAATTAATATATTCATCCCCTTGATTACCCATTATTTTTTATGGTGAGATATTTCAAATTTGTTCTTAGTTATTTTGAGACATAAATACATTATTATTGGCTATAGTCACCCTGCTGTGCAATAGATCTCAAAACCTATTCTTCCTCTTTAGGTGAAACTTTGTACCCTTTGATCAACAGCTCCCCATTCCCTCCCTCCCCCACACCCTACCCTCTGGAGACAACCATCCTACCTCCTACTTGAAGTAAAACATATATATGAAGTATTCCATTAAAATAAGAAATACACAAAATTCCAGCAAAATCAAAGGCAACTTCTATTAGCATTTAATTGGGGCCTTCAATTAAGGTATAAAGTGTCAGATAGGTTGCTAACTAGTGAGCATTATGAGTACAGCACCTGAGCACCCAACATATTTTTAGGACATGTTCTAATTTGTATAAAACAAGAATAGTTTATTTTTAAAACTACAGTAGGAGAGAGCTTGAGAGCCCATCTTTTTGGCAATGTCAATATGATGCCTCTACTTCTGATCAGAGGCCATCTATTCTGAAAAACACCATCTGTCTTCTTCCTACTTTTCTTGTCACCCAGCCTGAACTTTCCCAGCTGCCTCATCTTCCCATCCCCTCCCTTAAGCACCCAATTTCAGGTGAAGTAAGAAAGGAAATATTTTGTTAGAGAGTTAGTGATAAGAAACCAATTCTTTTTCTGCCCCTCTTCCTATCATATAATATATAATGATATATAGATATCTAATATATATTCTAAAAAGTATTTCACAAAGCAACAGAACATCAAACCACAGAATTTTATAAAGCAAGGTCGTTTTCTGTTTTCAAAACTATGTAGAGTGACATTTGTCAATTTGTGGAAGCCCCTCTCCAGCCTGAGCCAGAGTCCTCTCCCCATTTCCACCTCTGCCTCTGCCAAAATTGAAGAGGGCACCTGAGATGCTAGACAGATCTCAATCATCCTAAGTTCCACAAAGTCTTGTCCAAATCCAACATTGGTTTGCCATTTCTAGAATTTGCTTTTTGTTTTTATTTGGAATAATATTGATTTATCACACGAATTACTGTCTCTTCTTTTCTCAAGTGAAGAAAAAGGGCCCTAATCATATTTTTACCTAAGTACTAGTTTAAGATGAAATGAAGAATCAATACACCAAGGATTTCTTAGCAGGGGTAAGCTTAAGGTAGGGAGCTTGTACAGAAATGAGAGAGTATATAATCGCGTTTTGACACACGCTCATGAATCCAGAATCAATACATTGAAATAAAGCCAGATCATTAGTTTCCTTTGTAAACTTAGACTTAACTAAATGATTTGGATGAAATTCAATACACAGTTTTGGTTCTGAAACCACATGATGTAAACACTTTCACGTAGCAATAGAACATCAAACCAGATAATTATACAAAGTAAAGCCTTTTCTTGTGTTCAGAAAGTCTTTGCATTAGTCTCAACATTTCCTACATTCCCACAAAGAAATGAAAATTTGGAAATGGCATAAAATTATTTAGTATTAATTGAAATCAAGCCCCATTTTGTTAGCACTTGAAAATGAAGTGTGTAGCTATTTGGGAAAATGAGTTGCATTTATGTTGATGTTTATGTTATGTAGACCACATGATGAGTTTTGACTAATGACCCAATATGTTGTTCCTTGTCAATTTACTTAACCTATTTACACCTTTCTCCTGGCCAAAATTTCTCATATATATAACTCCGGGTTACTCAACTGACTGTGGAGCCGACTTGATCATAGATTTGGCAGGCAACCAGCCCTTCTCCCCTTCCCTGAGATCACCTTATACTTCCTCCAATGAGAGTTGAAACAACTTCTTTCCTAGGAACTGGAAGTTAAAAGCATATCAGAATTACATAACTAGCAAGAAAATGTTTCACCATCTAAAGTGATCATTCCAATTTACAGAACACTCCCCCTTTGAGCCAGAATCCTCTCCTATTTTTACCTTCTCCCCCTTCCAGAATTGCAGAGGATATTTGAGATACAAGAAAGTGGCCATGACCCACAATGAGCACTCAGATCTACATGGGGACTCTGGCTAAGCCAGTCATCCAAGATCGTTCTAGTTATTACTTTTCTTTTAGAATAGCTCTGACTTGATTAAATATATTTTATAATGCTTAAAAGAAAATGTGATGCCATTTTTGGAATGTTACTGGGTAACTTGGTCACTGGCTATAATTTTATCATTGATTATAAGTAACTATAATTACTAGGAATCGGAGAACCGAATGATATATGGTAAAGCACTGGACTGGCAAATTTGGGTTCTCATACCATCCTTCCAAGATATTTGCTCGGTTTCCTTAGTTAACTATGTTAACCTCTCTGTACCTCAGTACACTCATTGGTAAATAAGGGACGATGTTAACTCTTCCACCTACTATATGGTTCTTGTGAGGGTCAAATGACAGACTCCAAAGTAATTTGAAATCTACAAAGCACTTTGCAAATTCAACAAGTTACTTTGTATACCCTTAGAGATATAACGTATCAAAAATTTTAAGCCAACAATAATTAAAGAAAAAACTTTGCTACAGAGAAGCAGCCACAAATTTCTAGTTTACCATCCTTACAGTTTATGACTTAAATATGTTTTTATATGTGGATTGGATATGTAAAAGGAAAAGTTGTTTCTACATCAATCATATCTTTCCATGGGTTAAAAGCATCATAAATCATTTAAATAACTTCACATTTATCTGTCTCCTCTTTCTCCCACACGCTCCATCTTCAGCCAATCAAATCAGCGAGTTCTATTGAGATGTCACTTCATCTGTCTCCCCTCCCTCACACCTACTGGTACTCTCCACATAGTCAGGCCTATTTTAGCGATAAGTGGCTTATGGAGAAGAAAAATAATTTATTTATAAATTTTTAAATTTCAGAAGTAACTTATAGCTTCAGGCATGTTTGGATTTAGGAGACTTAAATAATATTGTCCTGACTCTGTTGTCTCCATCAAAGGGTTCTGCTTCCCCTGCTTTCTCTCACAGGTCCTACACATACAAAGGCAAAAAAGACCATTAGCAGCTCTGGCCTTAAATCTACCAGCTGAGAAACCTCAGTGGAAACAATACCTCTTTCCCACTAACTTTCGTAGAAGTCCAGTGCTGACACTCTTTGGGCTGACTAGGGTCCCATATCTTTCCTGGAGTCAAGCCCTCTGATAGGAGAGATGGAACATAGTCATGGGCCAGCCTGAATAGCATGCCTGTCACACCTACCCACCCACCTCCCATTCTTAGACCCCAGAAATTGGGTTTATCCCACCGAAAAACACAAGGACTGAAAGTGGCTTTCCACTTCTCAGTAGTGGCTTTCCAAATAATAATAATAAATAATATTAGGAAGAAGGAGAAATAGAGGCTGATCAAGCAAGGCATCTCTGTCCATTATACCCTCCTTGCCTAGGTCCTCATAATCTACTATCTCCCTCCAGATTTAATAAAATTGACCTAAGAGTAAGTAGAAGAAACTATATGTACATGTAAGAGGTATGCAAGAGGGGGCTGTTTAACCAATTAACAATAAGAAAAGCAAAGTAAAATTTAAAAAGAAAAAAAATCATTTGTTTGAAGGCATGGGAGAGCTTCCAAAGTGATAAGAATCTGAGGTGTCAAGATCCTGGAGAGAAGAGAAATGTAGAAAGGTGAGACAAATTCTGAATGTCACTTACCCTTAATGGCATTTGCCAATTCTAAATATGGACTGGAATATTAATAATCCTCAGCCCCTGCTAAAAGGCAGATAATCTAAGAGAGCTCTTGATAATTCATAAGTCGAGGTGGACAAAAAATTATAGGTTGATGCTGTGAAGGCAGCCAGGATTTATGAGTACAAGCCTGGAGAGAAGAGAGGTGCGAAAAAGTAAGCACAATACTAAGGTCGTTTTCCTATAAAGGCATTTTCTGAAGTAAGCTGATTAGAGTGAGAGGCTAGGAAGCCAAGCATACAGCTGTTGAAAATCAAATCAGAGTTTTTAAACATCTTTTAGTGCTGAGAAGACAAAACTGGAGGCCATGACTCACTAAGGGAGAGGGGCAACAGAGAACACTTCATACTCTCATTCCAGACCTTTAGGGGCTATAGCACTGCAGGAAACCAATCTTAAGAAGACTGAAACCCAGCATTTGGTCTTCTCGTTTACTTGATTAAGGTGATTTGCCTCCACTATAGCTTCCAACCAGAGGACAGGGCAAACTCTCTCAGGAAAACTATAACACAATCCACATCATCCCTGGTTTTTTATATTCAGTATCTGGCATTCAACAAAAATCTACCAGGTATACAAAATATAGCAACAACACAACAAACAGGAACAACACAAAAAATCGACAATGGGAAAAGACTCACAGATGATGCAGATATTGTCATTAGCAACACAGAATTAAAATAAGTGCTTAAAATGTTTAGGAAATAGAGGGTAAGATGGGGAGTTTCATCAAAGGAATAGACTTAATAATCATATAGAAATTTGAGAACTGCAAAATAAAGTAACAAAAATTAAGAATTTGATATATGGATTTAATAGCAGTTTGGATATAGCAGATTAAAGAGTTAATGGACTACAACATCAACTGGAAATCTAGGCAGATGTAGACAGATTTTAAAGTATGTTTTGTGGCCAGGCACAGGGACTCACGTCTGTAATCCCAGCCCTTTGGGAGGCTAAGGTAGGAGGATTGCTTGAGCCCGGGAGTTCAAGACAAGCCCAGGCAACAAAGCAAGACCCATTTCTTAACTAAATAATTAGCTGGGTGTGATGGGATGTGCCTGTAGTCCCAGCTACTCAGAGGGCTGAGGTGGGAAGATCGCTTGAGCTCAGGAGTTCTAGATTGCAGTGAGCCGTGGTTGTGCCACTGCACTCCAGACTAGGCAACAGAGTAAGACCCTGTTTCCAAAACACAAAAAAATGGGGTTTTTAAAATTATAATTAAAAGTCAATAATGTTCTTTATTGGTGGAAGAAAGGAAAAGTCCAAATGAGTTTTATTCAAACAAAAAAAAAATGGGAAACAAAAAGAAATATGATATGAGTGGAAGAAATATTCCTCTAAGCAAGGACCCATTACCTGGGTCCAGACTGGGGATGGAAAGGTTCTCTACATGACTGTGTTTTCTTTGCAGAAGATATATTTTTCTGTATGCTGTACTCTTCTATAAGCTGGAAAACCAAAGTAAAATTGATGCTTAGATCATACTAAAGCTAATAATTAGGAAAGCTTATGACAATTAAAGGACTCTGCTATGCTTTGAATGGTTGTCCCCTCCAAAACTCATGTTGAAACTTAATGTCCAATGTGGCAGTCTTGAGAAATAGCGCCTTTAAGAAGTGATTGGGTCCTAACAGCTCTACCCTCATGAACGTATGAATCTATTAATGGATTAGTGGGTTCTCATGGGAGTGAGACTTGTGGCTTTATAAGAAGAGAAAGAGAGACTTAAGCTACCACACTCAGCCACCTCACCATGTGATACCCTGTACCACCTCAGGACTCTACAGAATCCCCACCAGCAACAAGGCCCTCACCAGATAAGGCCCCTCAACCTTGGGTTTCTCAGCCTTCATAACTGTAAGAAATAAATTCCTCTCCTTTATAAATTACCCAGTTTCAGGTATTGTGTTATAAGCTACAGAAAACAGAAAAACACAGACTCCTACTAATGAACCTGAAGAGTATAAGCACTGAAAAGACCTTAGTGTTAAAACTCCTGAAAATTAGGAAGGGGATACATACTGAGAACTGGTTTTTGTGCACAGTGTAAATACGCAACATGAACTCAGAATCAGAAGAAAAATGAGAGTTCAGTTATGTAGTCTATTAATTTAGGTTCCCAGCAAACCATACGAAAAGATTTCAAAGGCTGGGTTTGGTGGCTCATGCCTGTAATCCCAGCACTTTTTGAGGCTGAGGTGAGCGAGATCACCTGAGGTCGGGAGTTCAAGACCAGCCTGACCAACAGGAGAAACCCCCTCTCTACTAAAAATACAAAATTAGCTGGGCATGGTGGCACACGCCTTTAATCCCAGCTACTTGGGAGGCTGAGACAGAAGAATTGCTTGAACTGGGGAGGTGGAGGTTGAGGTGAGCCAAGATGGTGCCATTGCACTCCAGCCTGGGCAACAAGAGCGAAATTCCATCTCAAAAAAAAAAAAGAAAAAGAAAAAAGAAAAGATTTCAAGTGTAAGCAATTTATTTTTAGAGAAATAAGCATTAGGAGAGTACATAAGTGAAACTGGCCAAGGATAAAAGTTGTATTACGAAGCCAGCTACCATTGTGCACTACCAGTGCCTAATACGTTAGAGCTCTGGAAAATTGTATAAAATATACGCCTACAAATTATCCAACTAGAGGGATAATAAGAAAGCTGGCATTTTCATAAACCAACTCCTATCATTTACTGTTTGAGGATTGGATTGAATATGTCAAGTGGAGACAGGGCTAATTCCCTAGAACCTCCAGCCTGGAGTTTGCATGGGCAGACTGGTCCTTTATTTAGTAGAAGGAAACCCTTGGGAAGAGGATACAAATACTGCCAGTTGGAAGTCACTGTCTCCTTGGAGCATGCTGAAATAATGAAGTCCAAAGAATATGGGTGAAGTACTGTCCCATATTAAATACGGGTGAGATAATTTGGCAGGCTGATGGCAGTAATGGCCCAACTCTCAACTTCTTCCTGTATCTATGCCCTTTTGCCATGTGACTTTGCATTTCCTCTCACTATAGAGGAGTGTACTTCTTTGTGCTTTGATTCTGAGTTTGGCCATCTTACATGCTTTGGCCGACAGGACAAGAGCAGATGCATGCAGAGGCTTGAAAAAATCTTTCACACTAACAGTCTCTTAATCCTCTGACTTTGCTGTGACACATACCTGGACTAACCTACTAACCTACTAAAGGTAAAACAGAACCAGGTTATCTCAATCATCCCAGATGAGTTATACTAGATCAGCTAATATGCAACCCATCTCCATGCATGTGAGACCAGAAGAACCAAGTTGCTGGCCCACAGACTCATGCACTAAATAAATTTTTATTGTTTCAAGAGGCATATTGTGTTGTTTATTATGCAGCATTATTATGGCGATAGGTCATTAGTACCTATAAGGAATGTGCTACCGTAGCATAAAACAGACATACGTGGAATTAGCTTTGGATGAGGTAGGTAGCAAACAGAAGCTGGAAAAGTGTCAATGATACTACTAACAAAGCCTGGAAAAATGATGAGCAACTGTTAGAACAAAGAGAAAAAATGATCACCCATGCTACGTCGGCATGAAACATCTGTTAGAACTGGTCACTTAAGATAACTTGAAGATACAAAATATGTACCTTATGAATTTTTGGACTTGATCTCCAGGCAGAATGTTGAAAATATCAGCTGACTCTTACTAGTTATATGTAAAGTACTACAAGAAAGAAACAAATGTCGACAAAAACACACACACAATTTACAAGGAGAATATGGGGAATTAAGAGATGCTAGAATTTATTAGAATAGAAACTAAAGTTGTTTTTCATCTTTGCTGTCTCATGCCAGAAAAATATTTTCACATTAAGATTGCCCTCAAGGTAAAGATAAAAATCAAGGGTGTGGCCATGAGACTTTGAAAGAATTAAGCCAGTGCCTAGAGATGCTCTCAGCTGGAAAGAACTTCCAGGAAAATTTAGGGTATTGTTCCTCAATAGCCAGTACCCAAAAGAGCAGGGGTTAAGTGTAAAAGCAGAACTGTAATCAGGCTAGGGAGGCTATTATACTATGGATCAGGATCAGGCACTCTCCTTCTCTCCCTGTTTCTCTTCTTCTCTCTTCCTCTTTCTTTCCCTTCCTCTACCTTTTCCTCCCTCTTCCTTTCCCCCTCAGTTTTCCTCCCTCTCAGGTTTATAAACATCCCCAAGGCACGGGCTAGAATCAGACTCAAGTTGGAATCAGAAATTTCACACCTCCTATCCACTTCCACTGCAACCTCTTAAAACCAAATCAAAGATGTATTGGTAGATCAGCTTTGTCATATTGTTAGTTGGAGGCTTCATTTCTGATTCCTTATGCCCTTTGATGTTAATATAACTCAGTATCTAACAGTTAACAAAGCAACAACAGTAAGGGCGTGCTGCCCAGGCGATATGATGCAAGGGAAGGACATTGAAATAGTCAAGACTTTCAACTTCAGGGGTGGGAGTTGTTCAGAGAGAACCCTGGAACAATGCCCTTTTCAGAAATATATTTGAGAGGCTGAAGAATGGAGGCTGAAAGTTTCATTTGTTTATCACTTTTGACCAGAGAAGTTGTCCGCATGTGTGTAAACAGCAAACAGCTCCAGGTCTTACAGTTGGCCCTCCACACCATACTATTTTAAAATAATGAGTACTTTCATTTTCCAAGAGTAACACCTGGCTTACAATTACTAGCAACACTGCAGGTCAGAAAAACAGACTGCTTTTCTGAATGCAACTTGAAAAACTCCTTTTTGATTTCTGTAGCCAGAGGCAACAGAGCTAATAAGTTTCAAACACTACAGGCTCCAGAGAGCTGTAGTTTTTTTCTTTCTTAGTTGGAAGAGCACATATGAAATAAAAATAAGTATAAAATTCTGCCACGAAGAAAGTTACATTTCTAGCCCAGAATTTTTTTTAAATCCTAATAATAACAATGTTAATGATAATAATGAAAATCTAAATGTCACATTGATTGACAAAAGAGAAAAGGCCATGCCTTCTGACTCTAAGTCCAGTGCTCCTTCCACTGCCAGCTCATTTGACTGGACAGACTAGATATAATAAAGATAATTTCTACTCTAAAAGTTTTCAAATAGGTTTTTTCAATATATATACTTTTTTACTTTAGAAGTGGAGTCTCATTCTGTCACCCAGCCTGGAGTGCAGTGGTATGATCATAATTCACTGTAACCTTGTACTCCTGGGTTCAAGTGATCCTCCCTCTCAGGCTCCTAAGTAGCTAGGAGTACAGACATGTACCACCACACTCAGCTAATTTTTTAATTTTTTGTAGAGATGGGGTCTTGCTATGTTGCCCAACTTTGTCTCAAACTTCTGGCCACAAGCAATCCTCCCATCTTGGCTCCCAAAGCACTGGGATTACAGGCAGAGCCTATAATCTCTATGTAATCTCTTCTGGCCTCAATATTGAGATCCTGTAAATTGTTATTTGGGGGTGAAAAAAAAGCATGTTACAAATAGTACATAATATGATGACATATTCAGAACAGTCTTTTAAAAGTCTAACATAATTGACAACTGAACTACTTATATTCATATTAAGGTGAAGACACTTCATCAATTAATTTATCAAAAGCAAGACCTAAATGGAAGGGACAGCTAGTATTCCATGATTCTCTGAAGAATACAGATGAAGGAAAACTACTGCTTTTTCACCAAATGTCAGTCAGACTAGTCATTAAAAGAGGCTTCTGGGGAGGAGTCATCAAATAATATCCCAAAATTGAATAAGTGAGAATACAGTCTGACAAACTATTATTGAAAATATTATAAACTACGTCTCTAAGGTAGCCTTATAAGGAACTGAGAAATTCTACAATGCTTGAAATAAACACACTTGGAAAAAACTCCCAATGTACAGGTAAACCCATATCTAAATCATGCTAGTAAGAAGTGTTGTTTATTAATTTGGGGCAGAAATAATATTCAAAAACTTTAACCACTTTGACCACATGGTACCAATCAATCAGAATGAATACTTGGTAATGCAATGTAACAGTGCAAGCCAGTTAAATATCAACCATGGTTTTAGGTAGCAGTAGTAAACTGAGTTAAGCAATAACCATATTCTACCTGACCCCCACTAAACCCTTAAAATAAGTGCTTAAAAGGGTGAAAGTATATAATCCACAACTGATCATATTGAGAGATGTTCCAGTGTTGAAGCTATAAACCCATAGAGCATTTCTGGTCCGAGGGCTAGTTTTGTTTGGCCTGCACGGCATTTGTTTAATGTCAATTAATTGACAATATTTTGTAAACAGTAGACTTCATATAAAATATTTTTACTTCTCTTGAAATATCAGAAGGTCCACGAATAATGGCCCACAACTCCTCATGACAACAAAATAGTTAGCAGCGTTTTTTCTCGTTTTTGTTTTTTCAGAAAGAGCATGCTCCCTGTGTTAATGCAGTTGTGCAGAAGTGCAGTTAATGCAGAAGTGCAGGAGGATGGAGGGATCTGGGAAGCATGCAGCAAAAGAGCCACTGTAATAGAATGGTGATCCTTCTACGGGCTTCACTTCAGAAATTCTTTCTAGGGACTTCACTTCAGAAATTCAGATCTCTAAAGAAGAAAGCCTCTTCCCAGTATATCTGGGGGTGAAATATCAACAAATCACCTTCAATGTCTTTTCTAAAATACCTAGCAATGTGTGAATTCCAATGGAATGTTGACATTAGGTAATATCAGAAAGGAAAGTTCACTAATGGTCACATAGCATGAAGAAATGCAGCTATTAATCTGTTCTCCACTCTGTTAGTTCTCTTAATAAGTCTCCCTGGAATCTTCAAAGCATAATAACTCTCATTTGCACCTCTTCTGAAAATGGCTAAGTATGTTTTGAAATTGTATGGTTCATTTCGTGGTCATTCTAACAGCAATTACAATATTCTGTAGTTAACACAGCATAATGATCACTGAAACTCTATAATAATTATGCCAGCCAGTTATAAGTGAATCACTCTGGTAGAAGTCCTGAAATATAATACCACCAAATAACCTTTCTTGGCCACCCACACAAGAAAGCCTTCCCTCTCAGAGCAAAAGGTAAGTTAAGTATCTCTCGCAGTATCCTGCGAGAGATACTGGAAGAGACTGCACATAGCAATCTGAAAGAATATCTTTTGATTGTATCATTTGTTTTCAATATTGATAACCTGAAGAAGTTGTAAAATATCAGTCTCCAAACCACATTTTTCCCTGTGTGGGATTATATCTAGTGTCCTGCAGGGATTTCTTTTTGCTAATGAATCATTTTACCAACTATTCTCCTTGCAGCTCAGAGCTGGCTGCTGCGGTGCTTTCAAGTCATCTATTGTTTCATTGTAGGTGGGCTCTTATGATTATTTACAACTGAATGGTATTTAAAATATAATATGTTTTGAATAGAGTTCAAATCCCACACAGGATTTGAAAATTTTCATTTCTGCCTTGTTCCTCTTGACCGCATTAGGTATCCTGAATAGATGCAGGAGAAGGAAGAGGGAGAAAGCAGAAGTAGAAGCCACAGTTCTTGGGAGCCAAACAAGCCATGGTAGAAAGAGCATCCGGCTTTAATTCTCTGCCAGAGCAAGCTGCCTGACATAATCACTCTTGCTCTCATTTTCTGCCTTATGACTGTGTTCCATAGTTTCTGTTCTCTCTAGGAAAAACTGCACACAAAAATTCCACCAAGCTTTGCATACTTTTGATGTCCATGGACTTTTATAAGCTGTAGTTCTGTGCTTAAAGGCACCACTAAAAGTTTCCTTTCAGAAACTCCTTCAGTCCCGCCAAGGACAGGGACTGCATTTGTTTCATTTTTTACTGTCTTCCACTTCTTATTTAAATGTAGACATGAATATTTCCAAAATTAAAATTCCTATTCAATATTCAACATACTTTTTAACTTTAATTTCTACTATTTGTTATTCAATTCAAGTGGAATGGGAATCCAGTGGCCAAAAAATAATAATAAAATAGCATTTAAAAATGTTAAAAGTCAGAAAAAGAAAGTATTAACAATTAACATTGTATTAGTTCGTTCTCACACTGCCATGAAGAAATACCCGAGTCTAGGTAATTTACAAAGAAAAGAGGTTTAATTAACTCACAGTTCTGCATGGCTGGGGAGGCCTCAGGAAACTTACAATCCTGGCAGAAGGCATCTCTTCCCAGGGTGGCAAGAGAGAGAATGAGAGTCAGCAGGGGAAATGCCAGACACATAAAACCATCAGATATCATGAGAACTCACTCACCATCATGAGAACAGCTTGGGGGAGACTGCCCCCATGATTCAATTACCTCCCACCTAGTCCCTCCCGTGACATGTAGGGATTATGGGAACTACAATTCAAGATGAAATTTGGGTGAGGACAAAGGCAAACCACATCATTACATTCCTGGCCCTTCCCAAATTTCATGTCCTCACATTTCAAAACACAATCATGCCCTTCCAACTGTCCCCCAATGTCTTAACTTATTCTAGCATTAACCCAAAAGTCCAAGTCCAAAGGCTCATCTGAGACAAGACCAGGTTCTTCCACCTATGAGCCTGTAAAATCAAAAGTAAGTTAGTTACTTCCTAGATACAATTATAAGCATTGGGTGAATACACCTGTTCCAAATGGGAAAAATTTGGTTAAAACGAAGGGGCTACAGGCCCATGCAAGTCTGAAATCCAGCAGGGCAGTCATTAAATATTGAAGTTCCAAAATGATCTATTTTGACTCCATGTCCTACATCCAGGTCATGCTGTTGCAAGAGGTGGGCTCCCATGGCCTTGGGAAGCTCCACACCTGTGGCTTTGCAGGGAACATCCCCCAACCTGGCTTCTTTCACAGGCTGGCATTGAGTGTCTGCGACTTTTCCAGGTGCACAGTACAAGCTGTCGGTGTGGATCTACCATTCTGGGGTCTAGAGGATGGTGGCCCACTTCTTACAGCTCTACTAGGCAGTGCCCCAGTGGGAACTCTGTGTGGGGGCACCCACCACATATTTCCCTTCTACACTGCCCTACCAGAGGTTCTCAATGAGGCCTCTGCCCCTGCAGCAAACTTCTGCCTGGACAATCAGGCATTTCCACACATCCTCTGAAATCTAGGCAGAGGTTCCCAAACCCCAATCAATTCTTGACTTCTGTGCACCCACAGGCTCAACACCACGTGGAAGTTGCCAAGACTTATGGCTTGCACCCTCTGAAGCAATAACCTGAACAGAACCTTGGACCCTTTTAGCCACAACTGGAGCTGGAGTGGCTGGGATGCAGGGTACCATGACCTGAGGCTGCACAGAGCAGGGGAGCCCTGGACCCAGACCATGAAACCATTTTTCTCTTCTAGGTCTCTGGGCCTGTGTTAGGAGGGGCTGCTGTGAAAGTCTCTGACATGCCCTGGAGACATTTTCCCCATTGTCTTGGTGATTAACATTTGGCTTCTCATTACTTATGCCAATTTCTGTAGCCAGCTTGAATTTCTCTCCAGAAAATGGGTTTTTCTTTTCTATTGCATTGTCAGGCTGCAAGTTTTTCTAACTTTTATGCTCTGCTTCCTCTTGAATGCTTTGCCACTTAGAAATTTTTGCTGCCAGATATTCTAAATCATCTCTCTCAAGTTCAAAGATACACAGATCTCAAGCAGAGGCACAGTGCTGCAAGTCTCTTTGCTAAAGCATAACAAGAGTCACCTTCGCTCCAGTTCCCAACGAGTTGCTCATCTCCATCTGAGACCACCTCAGCCTGGACTTCATTGTCCAAATCACTATCAGCATTTTAGTCAAAGCCATTCAACAAGTCTCTAGGAAGTTCCAAACTTTCCCACACCTTCCTGTCTTCTGGGCCCTCCAATCTCTAGAAATTTCCAAACTTTCTGACATTTTCCTGTCTTCTGAGTCCTCCAAACTTTTCCAACCTCTGCCTGTTACCCAGTTCCAAATTTGTGTCCACATTTTGGGGTATCCTTATAGTAGCACCCCACTCCTGGTACCAATTTACTATGAAGAAACATCCAAGACTGAGTAATTTATTTAAAAAGAGGTTTAACTGACTCACAATTGCATGTGGCTGGGGAGGCCTCAGGAAACTTACAGTCATGGCAGAAGGCACCTCTTCACAGGGCAGCAAGAGAGAGAATGAGAGCCAGCAGGGGTAATGCCAGATGCTTCTAAAACCATCAACTCTCATGATAACTCACTCACCATCACAAGAACAACACAGGGAAAACCACCCCCATGATTCAATTACCTCCCACTGGGTCCCTCCCATGACACATGGGGATTATGAGAACTACAATTCAAGATGAGATTTGGCTGGGGACACAGCCAAACTATATCAAACATCAAGTAATATTTCTTAAGCATCTCTTTGTGCCAGGAATTCTTAAAACGGTGTGTATACGCAAATGCCTGTATCACTAACAAGAAGTCACAAGAGCAACAAAACCAAGAAATTGGCCAGTGAGTGAAATGGTGAGAAGTGGTGGTTGCCTGCTCAGTCTCATGCACTGAAATTTTTAAGAACTACACTGGGTCCTCTCTCATCTGCATGGTATATATCTGTCCTGGACAGAGGCTACAGCATTAGAAAGCTGGCTTCTGCATTTTGAGAACTCTGACACAACTGTGACTCACTAACATTTTTCTTTGAGACGAAGTTTCACTCTTGTTGCACAGGCTGGTGTGCAATGGTGCAATCTCGGCTCACTGCAACCTCTGCTCCTGGGTTCAAGTGATTCTCCTGCCTCAGTCTCCCAAGTAGCTGGGCTTACAGGCACCCACCACCACGCTGAGCTAATTTTTTATATTTTAAGTAGAGACAGGGTTTCACCATGTTGGCCAGGCTGGTCTCGAACTCCTGACTTTCAGGTGACCCACCCTCCTCAGCCTCCCAAAGTGATTGGATTACAGATGTGAGCCACCATGCCCAGCCAACTCAATAACATTTTTAAAATTCAACCTGTTTCTTTTACTCTCCCCTCCTAAATCGAGCAAGTATTCAATCATGCATTTCTTGCCTCTTGCCTCTTGCTTCTGAGTAGTAACCTAACAGAAAAAAAAAAAAAAAAAAGCAGAACTAAGTTTTCTGGGCCGGGGAATCCTGAATACACCAGTTCCAGAGAAGGAGGAGAATATGGTGTCAACAAAATATTTGTAAGAAGCAAGGAGACAACTAAAAGCCCCACCACAAGGATTCTCCAAACCTGCAGGAAATGAGAAGGTGAGTAGCTGCTGTGTGCTTTCTGTGTAGTGCAAACAAGGAAGTGGCAAGATCCCAGGAGGAGAAGTGGCTCTGTGTGCAGCTCAGAAACTGAGACCACACCATGGTATCACAAAGCCACCGGACCTCCAGGGCTGTGCTAAAATACAGAATGAGTGTCTTACTGCTAAAGTGGGTAAGTGACTCAATCACCAAATGCCATGTCCTGAATTTTTAGCACTGGGCAAATTTTTATGTCATAGTCATGATATAAATTCCAGGGAGATAGCAGAGCTCTTTTAAAGCTGAAGTTTCCTCCCTTTCTGAAGGCACAGGGGCTCAAAGTCCTCCCTTTTTGAAGGCATAGGGGTTCAAAGTAAGGCAGGATGATTTACAGAAACATAAAAAGAGGAGGTTCTTCCTCCCCACCTGTAGTGTTCCCGTTCACCAGGGAAGACCGGGATTCATGTTTTTGTTTTAACTGGCACATGTAAGGGTACACCATAGTTCCTGAGTTTTTAAGAGCCATTTTTCTCCCCATCTGCAAACTCATTCCAGCAGCTAATCTTTCTTCTCACCTCAGCAAAGAATGGAGGAAATTCTTTAGTTCTTAGCTATTTGATCATTAAGTTTTTTTTTGTTTTGCCTTTGTTTTTGTTTTGAGACAGAGTCTCGCTCTGTCGCCCAGGCTGGAGTACAGTGGCGCGATCTTGGTTCACTGCAACCTTTGTCTCCCTGGTTCAAGCAATTCCCCTGCCTCAGCCTCCTGAGTAGCTAACATTATAGGCGCACGCCACTACGCCTAATTGTTTTGTATTTTTAGTAGAGACAGGGTTTCACCATGTTGGTCAGACTGGTCTCAAACTCCTAAACTCAGGCAATCTGCCTGCCTCAGTCTCCCAAAATGCTGGGATTATAGGCATGAGCCACTGTGCCTGGCCGATCATTAAGATTTAATAGCTAATGGCAACTATTGTAATTGGGATTTGCAAACACTTAACCTGTTTTAATGAGACCTTATGGATCCCAGTTCTCTTCTTGGCTGCAGGATCTTGATTCTTTCTCAGGATGCAGTTCCTGCTAAACACACAGCAAACTTCCTTATATTATTCTCTAATTTATACTCTTCACACTCCTACACCACTCACAAGTCACAAAGACAACTACCTCTGCAACCTTGAATAGGTGAGGAAAAATGTCTTCCACAGGAGCTTCTTTGTAGACATTTTTGTGCAGCAATCAGAGATTAAATCTTCTTTGTGACTCAGCCACCTGAGTGATTGGCTACTACACAAAGCAAATTCATCTCACTCTTTTTCCACTGTTTGAGAGCAATGATGGGTCAATACCTACGGCATCGTTTCACAGTATGGATTCAATCAATGTCTCTGTTTTTTCCCTCTCTCTCTTACAAAGGGACCTGAATCTTCCCTTTATCAATATTGAGCAAATGCTGATGGCAAGGAATTTTATTTCAAACAACCGAAAATCCACTTTAGTTTTTTTCCCACTTGCAGATTCAGATCATTGTCTTTTGTATGTGTTGTCCCCTTTGTGATGGCATTTTCTAAACAGAAAGTAATCTACTTGCCTGACACATGGTATGTGTTCAATAAATTTTAATTAATAATAATAGCCCTTGTTGTTGCTATAGTAATAAAAAGGAAAAGTGAGCATAGAGGGGTTGATCCCAGGGCTGGGTCAGGAATGCAGTGCCTCCATGCGACCAGAGGACAGGACAAGGAGGTGTAGATGTTGTAGAAGGAAATGATAGGCTGGGTGCGGTGACTCACACCTGTAACCCTAGCACTTTGGGAGATGAAGGCAGGAGGGCCACTTGAGTCCAGGAGTTGGAGACAAGCCTGGGCAACATAGTGAGACCTTGTCTCAATAAATAAACAAAGAAGTAAACAAATAAATAAATAAACAAAATTAGCCAGCCGTGGTGGAGCACATCTGTAGTTCCAGCTACTCAGGAGCTAGACGTAGAAGGATTGCTTCAGCCTGGATGGTTGAGGCTGCAGTGAGCCATGATCATGCCACTGCTCTCCAACCTGGGCAACAGAGTGAAGCCCCTGAAAAAGAAGAAAGAAAGAAAAAGAAAGAAAAGAGAGAGAGAGAGAGAAAGAAGAAAGAAAGAAGGAAAGAAAGAAAGAAAGAAAGAAAGAAAGAAAGAAAGAAAGAAAGAAAGAAAGAAAGGAAGGAAGGAAGGAAAGAAAGAAAGAAGGAAGGAAAAAATGAAAGAAAGAAAGAGAAAGAAAGAAAGAAAAAGAAAGAGAGAAAGAAAGGAAGGAAGGAAGGAAGGAAGGAAGGGAGGAAGGAAGGAAGGAAGGAAGGGAAGGAATGAAGGAAGGGGGAAATTAGAAAAAAAATCTTGTTCCCAACTGGTTCAGAAATTTAAAAAAAAACGGAAATGGTAAAGTAAAAAAAGGGAAAGCAGGAAAAAGAAAAGGTGGAAAATCAGAAGGTGAAGAAAAAAGAGCCAGGTATGTAAGAAGAGTGGCACCAATGAAGAGAACTTGAGGGGAGTAAAAATCCCCTGTATACAGAGAAATAAGAAGAGAGAAATCCAAAGAGAAGAAGAGGGAGGGATGAAAGGAAATAAGAAACAGAGGAGAGAAGGGCCCTCAGGAAGCTTGGAATGGCTTTAGTTGGCTTGTGAATTTCAGAGGAAACTACTATTATTTTTCCCCTTTGAAATTCTAATCTGATAATTAACCATTATTAACAATTTTTATTTTTATACTCCTAAATGAGTTCACACTGAAGGGGGTAATAATAGCTCCCCATTGACAGAAAATGGAACAGAAATAATTATTTCCCGGCTTTCAGACATGGCCAGAGCAATATTATCTCAAAGGCCAGATATTACAGCTAAAAACTGCATCTGATAGCCAAACATCCTCACCCTCTGTGTTAATCTTTTGATCATGTATGTTCAACTCAAAGACTCTAGGAGTGTTAAAAAGAGTAATGACCTTCGTATGTGTAAAGTTCTTTGAAGGTTAAAAAGTACAAGTACTGTGTTTTTAAAAGTCAACATTTAATTTGTTCACTAAAATAAATTGTAAGGTTTTATTTAGGCTAAGTCTTTGAGAAAGAAAGAAACATGCATTAATTACATTGATTTATGTCATGTGCTTCTCCTGATTGGGAAAGTGAACTCTTAACATGACCTTGAAAAGACACAAGATGCCAAGTAGGCGATGGAGAGAAGACAGAGTAAAGTAAGGAAAGGAAGTGACCTATTTTGAAATCGCAGCTAACACAGGAGCACAGCCAAGGACTATGAGACTGGGAAATTGACAGTTTGCCTTCACCTTCATCTCTTTATCTCCTTATCCTGTCCCCTGGCTGTATGGAAGCATTCCCTTCCCTGCACCCCAAACCCCAGATCAACCACCTGGAACTGCACCAGGTCCAACTTCTCAGATCCCCAAATACCACTTTCTTAGCAACACCTTTCCTCCTATTTCTCTTATCGCCTTTCAGCTGCCATATCTGTTCTTCCACCATGGAGATACCTGTTTTTCCTGTATCAGCACATCCTGCTTTCAATTCCTTCCCTCCTGCCTGGTTAGTCGGTGACTTCACCCACATCATCAGCTCCCTCACTCCTTCTCCTCTCTCTGCCTCAATCCAGGCCGGGGTGGACGCCATCAGTCACTTCTTAGCTTGTGCCCATATGATGTTCAGATTTGCCTCAACTGATTACATCAAATAAAATAAAATAAAATAAAATAGGACAACATTTAAATAGAATAGAAATAATAAAGGAGAGTAAAATAAAACAACAGTTTTTACTGGCTTCAGTTACAAAATGACGGCTTCAACTAGACCTTCTGTTCAATTGGACTCAGTACTGACTCCATTCAGCTCACATTTGTATTCTTGGGGGGAGTACTTCCAACACTTTACCCCTCTCAAATACTCTACTCCACTCCCATCTTTAATTTCCCACCAATGATCTTGCCCCATACTTCATACAGAAAAGGCAGACCATCAGAGGAACCTTCTCCAACTTCCTTTTCCTTCTCCTTTAGAGCCGATGTATCCAGATACATTATTATAGTCTAACCTTTTCTCTTAAAACTGAAGTGGCCCCATACTTCCTAGGCTAACTATCTAAGTGACTTGATTATGTTTACATTTCTAACTTCTTTACTACACCATGAGCTCTTTTTTGGGTGGCACCAACCCTTCTCTTTCTTGAAGAAAAAATGGCATAGGAGCATTTTTCTTGAAGAAAAAATGGCATGGTATCACCAAAAAGGGAAAACACTTCACGAAGCTTCTTAAAAATGCAGCACCTTCTATACTCTAATAATAACAGTTAACATTTATTGAGCAGTTACTCTGTCCCAGGCACTCTAGTAAGTGATTTACATTTGTTATCTTATTTGACCCCCACATTAACTCTTTCAGAAAAATGCTATTAGTACTATTACTAACGATGAAATAGTGACAAACAATCACAACAACCCCTGGGGAAAAGTGCTATACAGTGCTGATGGTAGGTTGATAGCATTATATGAAATATACAAAATCATTATTAATATTTTTATTTGGTCATTGGCTAAATCTCAAGACCCCAATGCAAACCTTAGAACATTTAAAATATTTATTTTCATTATTTTGAAGACATTAAATATATTACTTATTCTAAATATTATGTGCTCAGATGTATAACATTACACAAGAAAATACTTAGAGACTTTAAGAAGTTTTTTTAAAGCAATGTTGTAAGTCCTAGGAGTTTGCAGTAGAGAAGCTTCCTATCTTCCTATCTTACCATGGGGCATGTCTTGCCTCTTAATGGTGTCTTTTTTGTACATAGCCTGAAAGCCTAAAAGTTATCTGAAATGCCTCTCTTTCTTATTTATTTGAAGTGTTCTATTTTGGCATAGAATGAGGATGTTGGAAGATTTCTGTGTTTCTATCATTCTAATAAGACTGAAAAATTCTAAAACTTGTTAATTTATATTTGGGTGTTGCGATGGATTGAATTATGACTCGTTTCCCAAAAATTAATGTGTTGAAATCCTAACTCCCAAGTATCTCAGAATGTGACCTTAATTGCAAACAGGATCACTGCAGATGTAACAAGTTAAAATGAGATTATACAGGAGTAGGGTGGGCCTCAAATCCAACAGGACTGGTATCTTCATAAAAAAAAGAAATTTTGACACACTCGGGAGAATACCTTGGGAAGATGAAGGCAGGCATCAGGGTGATACCATAGAAGCCAAGGAACACCAAAGATTTCTAGCAAACTACCAGAAGTTAGGGCACAGACATGAAACAGATTCTCCCTCACAGCTCTCAAAGAAACCAACTCTGCAAACCCTTTGATCTGGGACTTCTGGCACCCCAATCTGTAGTGCTTTATTACGGCAGTCCTGGCAAACTAATACAGGTGTCTTCAAAGGGACAACGATATCTGTTAATGCATAGGACTTAGAAATCTGGGGTGGGTGAGGGAAATTTCTGAAGAATGAAGCATAGAAAGCTACCACATAAACATTTTTTTCCTAATGTTCCTTTTCCTATTATTTTGTTTTTTTTCAACATACTTATAGCTACTTTCAGATCGCTTAATTGTCTGCAGTCTTTAGAGGGCTTTTTTAAGAGAAAATGTTGTGTTTTCTGATTCTTCATGATGCTCTTTTTCCTGTCTGGTTTATAATGTTTTATTATGAGTTCATTTTCAGTGGATTTCCATTGTTCTTCAGGAATGCTGTTTGTCCTGAGATGTGGAAGTTTTCTGACAAAACATCACTCCCAGAGCCTGCCTGGCAGGTCTCTCCCTCACCTGCCTGGCCAAAATGGTGAAACCCCATCTCTACTAAAAATACAAAGATTATCCAGGCATGGTTGTGGGTGCCTGTAATCCCAGCTACTTGGGAAGCTGAGGCATGAGAATTGCTTCAACCCAGGAGGCGGAGGTTCCAGTGAGCTGAGGTTCTGCCTCTGCACTCCAGCCTGGCTGACAGAGCGAGACTCTGAAAAAAAAAAAAAAGAAAAGAAAAGAAAAAGAAAAAGAAAGAAGCCAACAGGAGATCCAGATGTTGAAAGTTTTAGATATGGATTTTTAAATTACTGCGGTTAATATGCTCAAGAAATTTGCTGGTAGTATGAATAATTTCAAAAAAGGACTGGAAATTTTAGAACAGAATCAAGTGGAAATTCTAGAACTGAAAATTAGAAAAACTGCAATCAGACATCAAAAATGGGACTAATGCCATGTATGGAATATGGTCTGAAAGGTCTAAAATATATGTAACTGGAGTTCCAGAGAAGAGGTAACAGAGACTAGAACAGAGGTAATATCTGAAGAAGAAGTAGCTGAAGAATTTCCAAGTGATAAAAGTCACAGTTCACAAAATACTACTGTGCCCAATTGGGAAAAATTCAAAACAACCGCCTAACCACATAAAAAGAAAGATATCTAAAAACAGAGAGAGGAAAATCTTCGCAGATAGAAAAAAAAACACATAATACTTTTAAAAGGAATAATCATCAGTCTGACAGTTAATTTCACAATTGAAATATTGGAAGCCAGATGACAACAAGCACTTTCAAAACGCTAAAAGAAAATAACTGCAGCCTAGAATCTTGTATCTAACAAAAAGAGTCCCCCAAATAAATGTTAAATAAAAACATTTTTATACAAGCACAAAACAAAAAGAAAATGTTACCAGTAGGGCTGCAGCAAAACAAATTCTAAAGGGAGCCCTTCAAGTAAAAAAAAAATAATTTCAAGAGAAAGCACAGAAATAAAAAAGAATAAATAAATACATAAATAGCAATGAAAAAAACTAAATGAATATTAAACATGTAAAATAACAATCACATATTGAGGAGTTTATAGAATAATATACAAATGGCACTAAAATAAATGACAATAGAAGAAAATGGGAGAAGTAGAAAAGTAAGTGAAATCATTTTAAATCCTTAGATTGTCCAAAAAGGGGAAAAATTACTAATTTTTATTAGAATTAAATAAGCCAGGAATTCATGTATAATCTCTAGGGTAACACCTTAAAAAAATTAACAGTAAAAGAATGGTTAAGAGGCAAAAAAGAAAAACTCATTTTTAAGAAAGGAGAGGACAATAAAAGGTAAGAACAAAGAAAAAAACACACATTGACAAATTTTGAAGGATTGAAGTTATACAGTGTGTAGTCACTGGAAATGAGGTAGAAATCAGTAATAGAATGTAACCAAAAAATGTATCAAATATTGAAAAATTAAGCAATACTCTCCTAAAAAGTCCCATAGCTAAAGGGAGAAATCCCAATGAAGTTAGAAAATACACTGAGCTGGATGATAATAAAAATATTACATATCAAAACTTATAAAATGCAGCTATGGATGTGCTTTAAGAAAAAATGATCATCTTTAATACATCTATTCTAGAAAACAGAAGGGCTAACAATCAATGATTGAAGTAGTCACCTAAAGAAGATAGAAAAATAATAGTACATTAGACACCGATAAGTTAGATAGAAAGAGTAACAAAGATTCAAACAGAAATTGAGTCAGGATGAAAAATGCAATGAAGGTAAATAAAACCCAAAGTTGTTCCTTGAAAAGGCCAATAAATGTATAACCTTTGAAAAAACTAACAAAGAATAAAAACAGTAAAGTTACTGATTACCAATAGAAAGACTAAAAAGGAATGTCACCATAAAGTCAACATTTATTAGACAGATAAAGAGAATTTTAAGAACAATTTTGTGCTAACAAATTTGAAAACTTACATTAAAACACATTTTATCAAAATTGATATAACAGAAAATAATTGGAATAATTCTATACTAACAATAATTTTGAATCTGAAATTAAAACCTTGCCACAAAGAAAATTCAGACCCATATGTGTTTATTAATGAATTTCTCTAAACATTTAACAAATAAATAACACCACTTACACAATCTATTGTGTAGAATAGAAGAGAGAACACTTTTCATCTCATGTTGTGAATCCAAGACACCCCGATGGGTATATTATAAAAAAGGAAACTTCTAACTCAAACATTCTGAAGCAATATCAGCAATCTAATCTGGTGATTTCTAAAAAGAATAACATATCACAACCAAGTAGGTTTTATTTAGGAACAGACCCTTGAATTTCAATCATGATAACTCAGTACAATAATAAAGGAGAAATTATCCTGTCACTATCTCAATAGATGCAGCAACAAACAGATGTTGAATTTTTTGATAAAATCCAATGCCCATTTATGACAAAAACTTCCTAACTAGCAATAGAAAGAAATTTATTTAATACGATAAGAGTATTTATAAGATAATCTTAAGAAAGTTTGCAGAATTAACATCAAGAGAAAGAAAACTACAGCCAAACTGAAAAAAAAAAATTCTCAGATGAAATTACGAAGTTTACAAGGCCCAGTTTTCAGAGCCTTCATTTTCACAGGCCCCTGTAAGTGTTAGGAATTGCTGGGGATTGTAGAGAATTCTGGAGAGAGAGCAAAGTGGGTTGCAACCAAGAAACATTTATATGTTAACATGTCTGGAAAACTGTGTAAAGTTGTCTCAGAAGAAATGAACTCAAATCTCTAAGTTTCCAATACTTTGTGGTACATATTTCTTAATCTAAATAAATATTCATTTTCATACTGTATATTAGTGCCTTCTCACACTGCTATAAAGAACTATCTTAGAAGGGGTAATACATGAAGAAAGGAGGCTACATTGGCTCACAGTTCTGCAGGCTTAACAGGAAGCATGGGTGGGAAGCCTCAGGAAAATTACAATCATGGCAGAAGGCAAAGGGAAAGTAAGCATGTCTTGTCATGGCAGACCAGTAGTGAGAGAGAAGGCGGAAGGGCCACACTCTTTTAAGCTGTCAGATCTTGTGAGAACTCACTCACTATCATGAGAACAGCAAGGAGGAAATCCATCCCCATGCTCCAATCATCTCCCACCAGGCCCCTCCTCCTGTTTGACATGAGATTTGGGTAAGGACACAGATCCAAATGATATCACATACCTTTAAAAAGCATTTTCAAAAACCTGTGATAAATATCATATTTAATGGAGAAATATTGAAAACCTTTTATCTGACATTGCAAAGGAGACAGGTTCCCCTTATTAACAACAGTTTTATTTAACATTGGTAGGAAAAAGATCCTAGCATGTATAATAATGCAAGAAAAATAACACATATAAAGATTAGAAAGAAAAACTGTCATTACTTATAGATTGTATTATATCCAAGCTGCAAGATAATCCATAGGAAAATTATTGTGATTAAATGAATTTAGAAAAATCACAGAGTTCAAGGTCAAGATGAAAAATCTATGTTTATATACCAATAAGTGATTAAAATGATATTTTAAAAATTATATCATTAACAATTATATCAAAAGACCAAATATCTAGAAATAAATTAACAAATGTGCAAAGCTCTACACAAAAAATATGAAACATTATTTCAAAAAATTTCAAAAGACCTAAATAAAAGGAAGACATTCAATACCATAAACATGTATATTATTTTTAAATTATTCTATAAAGAGTATCTCCAATACTGAAGGAAATAATGTATACAATGGCCCATGGTCCATTTCCAAGACAAAGTGCCTTAAATAGACTTACGTTAGCAAACTACAGAAAAAACAGAACATACTAGGCCCCAGCTTGGATAGCCGATGCCTGCTTGTTGGCCTCCCCCTCCCCCACTCCACCCCCACAACTCTGTTTCCTTGCCTTCACCAGAACCAAAGAAGTTTAGTCTAAGATAAAAGTTTACTAGCCTGCAAAATAGTTCATTTTGTCTGTTTTTATTAGCCTGCCCAGCTACTTAGGTCATAAGTTAAATACTTGAAGAGCCCCTGAGCTAACTAGGATTGCAATGCATTGTGGGCTGCAACAAAATGCAGCAAAACAACCCTAAAAACAAACAGACAAACAAACAAACACCTAAAGTCCCTGCCCAACAATCAATAGGTGACATCCAGGAAGATTGTGACCCCCTTGTATTCAGCCTATGAAAAACCGGGAGAGGGACCTGCACACTAGGGGTTAAATTGCTTGTTAAAACTGTGCTGTGTGTGCCTGCACATCAGACACCCAATTCTTGAAAGAGCATCATTACAAGTTTCACTTTATCTGTACTCCAGGTCTCTGAGTCCATTCTTCGGGTTTGGACAGGTAGGTTTGTTTCTCACAATACCAAGTATAATACCAGTAGAATGTTTCATATAATTTAACAAGCTCATTATAAAATTATTTGAAATTGCAAAGAGCCACATAAAACCCAGACAATATTGACAAAGAAAAGAGGAAGTCAGAGGACTTTTACTACAAGATAGCAATATAAATTATAAAGTTACTATAATTAAAACTGTGGAACTGGAGTACACATGGACAAGTAGACCAATGTAGTAAAAAACAATTCTGAAAAAGACCCACACATATATAGATGCTTGATTTATTACCATGTTGCTGCTATAAACAAGGGAAAACCGTTTTTTAAAATAAATTATGCTGAGTCAGGCCAGGCACAGTGGCTCGCGCCTGTAATCCCACCACTTTGGGAGGCCAAAGCTGATCACTTGAGGCCAGGAGTTCAAGACCAGCCTAGCAAACATGGCAAAACCCCTATCTCTACTAAAATTACAAACATTAGACTGGCTCGGTGGCACACACCTGTAATCCCAGCTATGTTGGGTGGCTGAGGCATGAGAATTACTTGAACCCAGGAGGCAGAGGTTGCAATGAGCCAAGATCGTGCCAATGCACTCCAGCCTGAGTGATAGAGTGAGATTCTGTCTCTAAAAAAAAAAAAAAGAAAAAGAAAAGAAAAGAAAAAAGAAATTATGCTGAGTCAGTAGAATATCCATAGTGAAAAGTATTAACCCTTCCTTCATACTATATACCATTTTAGGTGAATTGAAGATTAGTATGAAAGAAAAAATAGACTTTCTAAAAAAAAAATGTTAGAAAGTATTTTTATGGCTTTTGGGTAGGCAAAAGTTTCTTAAGCAGAGCACAAAAAGCACTAGCCATAAAAGAAAAGACTGAGAAATTGAGAAATTGGACCACGTTAAAATTAAGAACTCCTGTTTATCACAAGACACAAGAAAGTGAAAGGCAAGTCTCAGAGCTATTATTTGCAATAAATATAACAAAGAAAGAATTCATATTGAGAGTATATCAAGAACTTAGAAAAATCAATTTTTTCAAAAAGACAGAAAACTTGATTTTAAGATAGGCAAATTTAGTCTTGCTAACTTTCAGGGAGACAGAAATTAAAGCTAAAATGACATACCACTGCATATCAAACAAAATGGTCAAAATACAAAAGGACTCATATGTCAAGTATTGTAAAGGATATGGACAGAGCAACTGGAACTCGAAGTCACTGCTAATGGGAGTGTAAATTGGTATAATCCCTTTGGAAAACTGTTTGCCAGTATCTACTAAAGCTGTATGTTTGCATATCATATCACCCAGCAATTCCATCTGTAGATCTGCGCCTGACAGAAGTGTGTACAAATGTGAACTGAAAGACATTTACAAAGTGCTTATGACACCGTTATTCTTAATAGCCTCAAACTGGAGAAAATTCATGTGTCTGTCAACAGTAGAACAAATATATTCTAGTATATTTATTCAGTGTAACACCATGTAGCCATGAAATAAACATGTGTAGCAACATACCACATAGATGAATCTCTCAACAGCATTGAGTGAAAGAAGCCAGACACAAAAGAGTATGTACTATGAGATTCCATTTATATATTTATATAATGTACAAGGAGAGTCAAAGCTAATCTACAGAGCTTAAACCTCAAGGTATTATCTGTGGCCTGTTAGAAACTGGGCTACACAGCAGGAAGTGAGTGGCAGGCGAGTGAGCATTACCGCCGGAGCTCCATCTCCTGTCAGATCAGCGGTGGCATCAGATTCTCATAGGAGTGTGAACCCTATTGTGAAACGTCCATGCGAGCTTTCATGCTCCTTAGGAGAATGATGATCTGGGCCAGGCGCGGTGGCTCACGCCTGTAATCCCAGCACTTTGGGAGGCCGAGGAGGGCAGATCACGACATCAGGAGATCAAGACTATCCTGGCCAACACGGTGAAACCCCATCTCTACTAAAAATACAAAGAATTAGCCGGGCATGGTGGCGGGTGCCTGTAGTCCCAGCTACTCGGGAGGCTGAGGCAGGAGAATGGCATGAACCCAGGAGGCAGAACTTGCAGTGAGCCGAGATTGCGTCAGTGCACTCTAGCCTGCGTGACAGAGCGAGACTCTGTCTAAAAAAAAAAAAAAGAAAGAAAAAAAATTGATGATCTGATGATGATCTGAGGTAGAACAGTCTCATCCCCAAATCATCTTCCTCCTGCCCCGGTCCACAGAAAAATTGTCTTCCACGAAACCAGTCTCTGATGCCATAAAGCTTGGGGACCGCTGCTCTAGTGATGATAAGAAGATGCTGCCCACTGTGATAATGGTCAGTAATGGTAATTACATTCATTTACATTTTGCATTCAATTATATTCTTTTTAAAAAATGTGCTACAGAAATATATACTTTTTTGAAAAAACAAGCCAATATTAAGGAAGTTATGTTAGTCCATTTTCTGTGGCTACAAGAGAATACCTGAGACTGAGTAATTTATAAAGAATAGAGATTTATTTAGCTCACATTTCTGGAGGCTGTGAAGTCCAAGATCAGGTGGCTGTATCTGGTGAGGGCCTCATGCTGCATCACAACATAGTGATGGCATCACACGACAGGAACACATGCAAGAACAGCAAGCAGGCACATGCAATGAAGACAAAACATGAAGGATGACCTTGATTTATAGCAACTCACTCTCGGGTAGCTATTCCAGACCTACACTCACTCAAAAGAGATGGGATTAATCTCTTCATAATGGCAGATCCCTTATGACCCAAACACCTCTTAAGGATCCCACCATCTCTCAACACTATTACACTGGGGATCAAGCCTCAATATGAATTTTGGTGTGGATGAAGAACATTAAATAATAGCAAAAGTAAATTTTTTCAAAAAAAAATTTTGGAAAGACACTATGCATAAATTTTCTAAGCCTTTAAGGATTTTTTTTTAAGTTTGAGTGAGAAATCTACATAAATTCTAAATTATTTCCTAGAGCAAACATGGATGAATTCTTGGTGGAAAAAAAAACACGAAGACAAAAATAACCATGTCTTCTCACAGCTTTATTTTATATCTACTTTTCTTTTCATTCATTTTTAAATTAAACAGATTGTAATATTCATTTTCTATTATTTGTTTAGCAATTGCAGAATCAGATATGACAAAATCAACTAACAGCATAGTAAATGTATTTCCTTTATGCTTGTACACAAAAATCTGTTAGTTTTCTACTTTACTAGGTTTTTTTGGCATATTATTTAAATGTACCCTCACTCACAGGAGTCCTCTAGAGCTAAAACACATAATGATGTATGGTCTTTTCAGTTGATCCATTGAACATGATTACCATAGTCAACCAGAATTTTTTGGCAACGTAAGTCAATTCCGTGTCAGAAGTGTATAACAAATTTCATTCCTTCCACTATTATAATTACAATGGAGTAAAGTTGAGAGAGTAGCAACATGGATGTCTCCCTGACATGAATGAGAGAAAGCTCTCTTTGACTTCTCCCTGTCGTCTTCCCTCAAAAGAGCCTTCAACTTTACATAAATCTTGCCAGAAGCAGTACTCTAGGGACAGTAATCCCTTCTGGGGTCTTTTTTTCCCCCAAGAACTTCAGAGAAGCTCTATTAGTAAAGATGGTAACATTTATACAATGGCCCATATTCACCTCTTTATCCTTTGAAGATTGTGCCCCCAAATTTGCCCTCGAATCTAAGGCTTCTCTGTGACAGCACCTGTCACATAATTCTCCTCCAATTATTTCAAGTTGCCTAGATGTCACATCTATTGAAGTTCATGATAACCACAGATATTATCTTGGTAATAAGAGTTTATTACTATGTTTACACATGAAACCCAGCTCATGTGGCCTTGGAAGAATTGCTTAACATCCCTAAGCTTGTTTCCTTCTGTAAAATAAGGAAAATGATACACATTTCATCGAGCTGGAAGATTGAAGGTGATAATGCATAAAAAATACTGAGCATAAAGTATAGTAAGTATTCAATTTATATATTGAATATATCTTATTATAATTAATGGGGATCTACTTAGGAAGATTTTTCTCTCTTATGTATGTAATATCCACACTATTTTATATTTTAAGGACACAGCTATATTGGTTGTTGCACCTATTTGTCTCCTGTAGTTCAATAAAGTAAACATTTGAAGAATTAAAAACAATTTCCCTGAGAGACCACAATTCTCACACTTTGGAATTTATTCTCAATGACTCCTCATGACACTGCCAATTAGTGTGTCCTTTATTACATTACCATTTTCTTTTGAATTCTCTAGAGGTTGTCCACACAAAATACTATGAAAACTTTAGGAAAGTAAGTGTTGCAATGGTCAGAGTGATTGTGGAAAAAGGGCTACAGGGTCACTAATGAAAAGTTCAAGATAAATAGCTAGAATTTTTCTTTCCCTTTTTCTTTCAACCTCAACTTATAAACATTTTCTTCAAATTTTCATTCTGTTAATAAAGTGAACTTTCAGACAATCAAACAGTTTACCTCATTCTATAAGAGTAAGTAAAATTTAATAAAATGGCAATTAAACCTTTTTGCTGCTTAGAGTAATTTACATATTGACAATTATTATATTCACGTTTTTGCCATTATTGATGCTACAAAATATTCTTTAACTCAAAACAAACAAGAATTACAACACTTTACAATAACTACTCAGTTTTAATTGGGAATAAATGATGTTTATGTTCCTGAACTTGTGCTTTTAAAGAAAAGCCTTATCAATAGCCAAACTATACAAGAGTTGACTCAGCTCAGTTTCAAACCACAAATATTGCGTTAACTGACATTGATGATTTTAAAGAGGTTCCAGATAAGTGCGCTCATTTTACTCTTCACTCCAGTGTCATTTGATTGGTCCCACATTTACCTAATTAACAAGGTAATTCACATTGAATCCCATAATTGATTCAGGCCCTCAAATTAACCTCAATCCCCTATTCAACCCCATGGCCTTGGGTTTTCTCCACATAATTTCTCCAACACCTACTTTCCTAGTCCCTCTCTCATTTTGTCATCTGCTGCCCACTCCCTTTGGCTTCCTTTTCTCTTGCATTTGAATATCCTTCAAAAGTCCAAATGAACTAGTATCCCCTGCCTCATCATGAATGTTTTGTATAGATCACTGGACAACAGAACTCAGAGACTGAAGTATTTATGATCAGATTGTTCTGGTGGAGTGACTAAAGCATGGAATATTTGAGGAATTTCAGAAAGGACCTCACAGCAATATCAGTATCAAGTTGCTATTTTTGAATTTTGTGGTTGAAATATAAGTATTTCCACTGCCAGAGACCCAAGTTTCAATTCTTACTTGGTTGTTGACTATTTTATTTTTCTGACCTTTACTTTTCTCATTTGTAAACTAAGGAAAATAGACTATATGGTTTCTTTCAGCTTTAAAATACCATGCCAAACGGTTAGAATTTCTGGATCTGCTATAAATCAAAATAATTTAAGGTTTTAAATATTATTCAAACTCTGTTAAATTTCTAGGAGGTTTTATTCTTTTATTAATCTCATCTCTACCCACATCAATTATGAAAAAGTCATGCCTACAATGAATATATTATTTCATTATGAGTTTTTAGAAGCATATATCTCCTATGCAAATCAGCACACACTTCACTGTCCGAACGCTTAGTTCTCAGAGCACATCTTGTAGCCATTTCATGATCTTTATAAAATAATTGTGCTCTAACACAAAAAGGCACAGCTATCTCAAGGTTAATCTAAAACTTTAGAGCAAGAGATCTCATTTCCTTTGTAAATAAGTCTATTTTTCGTGGAGTTGTTAGTCAATTTAAGCAGGAAAGTGTGAAGATTGATTTAGGTGTACCTCAGGCCAGTGCTTTGCTGAGTATGATCAATAATCATGGAGCCTATACTTCTAAATGTTCTTTTCTTTTTGAGTTTTTTTTTTTATTGAAGTTCTAGGGTACATGTGCACAACGTGCAGGTTTGTTACGTATATATACATGTGCCATGTTGGTGTGCTGCACTCATTAACTCATCATTTACATTAGGTATATCTACTAATGCTATACCTCCGCCCTCCCCCACCCCACAACAGACCCCGGTGTGTAATGTTCACCTTCCTGTGTCCAAGTGTTCTCATTGTTCAATTCCCACCTATGAATGAGAACATGTGGTGTGGTTTTTTGTCTTTGCTATAGTTTCCTGAGAATGATGGTTTCCAGTTTCATCCATGTCCCTACAAAGGACATGAACTCATCAATTTTTATGGCTGCATAGTATTCCATGGTGTATATGTGCCAAATTTTCTTAATCCAGTCTATCATTGATGGACATTTGGGTTGGTTCCAAGTCTTCGCTATTGTGAGTAGTGCTGCAATAAACATATGTGTGCATGTGTCTTTATGGCAGCATGATTTATATTCCTTTGGGTATATACCCAGTAATTGGATGGCTGGGTCAAATGATATTTCTAGTTCTAGATCCCTGAGGAATCGCCACACTGTCTTCCACAATGGTTGAACTAGTTTACAGTCCCACCAACATTGTAAAAGTGTTCCTATTTCTCCACATCCTCTCCAGCACCTGTTGTTTCCTGACTTTTTAATGATCGCCATTCTAACTGGTGTGAGATGGTATCATTGTGGTTTTGATTTGCATTTCTCTGATGGCCAGTGATGATGAGCATTTTTTCATGTGTCTTTTGGCTGCATAAATGTCTTCTTTTGAGAAGTGTCTGTTCATATCCTTTGCCCACTTTTTGATGGGGTTGTTTTTTTCTTGTAAATTTGTTTGAGTTCATTGTAGATTCTGGATATTAGCCCTTTGTCAGATGAGTAGGTTGCAAAAATTTTCTCCCATTCTGTAGGTTGCCTGTTCACTCTGATGGTAGTGTCTTTTGCTGTGCAGAAGCTCTTTAGTATAATTAGATCCCATTTGTCAATTTTGTCTTTTGTTGCCATTGCTTTTGGTGTTTTAGACATGAAGTCCTTGCCCATGCCTATGTCCTGAATGGTATTGCCTAGGTTTTCTTCTAGGGTTTTTATGGTTTCAGGTCTAACATTTAAGTCTTTAATCCATCTTGAATTAGTTTTTGTATAAGGTGTAAGGAAGGGATCCAGTTTCAGCTTTCTACATGTGGCAAGCCAGTTTTCCCAGCACCATTTATTAAATAGGGAATCCTTTCCCGATTTCTTGTTTTTGTCAGGTTTGTCAAAGATCAGATGGTTGTAGATGTGTGGTATTATTTCTGAGGGCCCTGTTCTGTTCTATTGGTCTATATCTATGTTTTGGTCCCAGTACCATGCTGTTTTGTAGACTTGTATAGTTTGAAGTCAGGTAGCATGATGCCTCCAGCTTTGTACTTTTGGCTTAGGATTGACTTGGCAATGCGGGCTCTTTTTTCATTCTATATGAACTTTAGTTTTTTAGAATGCTGTGAAGAAAGTCATTGGTAGCTTGATGGGGATGGCATCAAATCTATTAATTACCTTGGGCAGTATGGCCATTTTCACAATATTGATTCTTCCTATCCATGAGCATGGAATGTTCTTCCATTTGTTTGTGTCCTCTTTTACTTCATTGAGCAGTGGTTTGTAGGTCTCCTTGAAGAGGTCCTTCACAGCCCTTATAAGTTGGATGTTCTTTAAGCAGTAAGTTGACAGGCAAGAGCCAGTAGGTAAAACTGAGGTTAAATAATATCTTCTATCAAAGATGTAAAAACCAAAGCCTCACAGTAATATCTGACTTGTAGTCTGCAATCAACAATATGGGAAAATTATATTTGCTATACGATGAAATAAGACTGTTGACTGGGTAAAAAGATAATTAGCATAAAGAGAAGAAAATACACATTAGAAATGATACTTATTTTTTGTTTGGGATGGTGAGACCTTATGGGTCTTAGGTGATATTAAAAATTCATAATTACCATGCTAACTAGGAGTCTGTCTGTTTCCTAGACTGTCCTAACATTAACACCATCTCTTGCTTCAAAGAAACAGATTTGTTATACCTACTATTGCTTGTTTTGCAGAGTCAACCTTGAATTACCTTAGAGAAACAACTGCACTTCTTTATCTCATTCTCTGAAGCTATTAAGTGATTTCATAGCATGAAACAATACTTTAAAGACTGAAAGTGTATGTTGTAGCCATCAATAGAGTTATTTAAAGAATGTGCTTTCTTAATTGGTCTATATTCCTTAATGTGATATTATTACTGTAAACAAAGAAATCTTTAGATATAAGTAAAATCTTAATAATGATTAAAATAGCAAATATGAAGAGAAAAATAAAATAAATTTTGCCGATTCAAAGTTTCTATTTTAAGTTACTATTTTATTTTTTCTTAGTGAGTGACCTAAAATATTCAAATTAATTTCAAATACACCCAATACTTGAGTATTATAATATATTTGACAATTTATTCGAAAGAAGTCAAGGTCTTGAACTTTAATTTCTTTAGTCCATTTACATATGGTCTGAAATGGCCTTTTAGAATAAAATGTTGATTAAAAATAACCAAAGCATAAAGATTCAATTCCATCCATTCATATCAAGGGCTACACTTTTTTCATTTATAAAATTGAGTCAGATGGTCAACAAGATCTATTTGGCCTACATTTCATGTAACATCTTGAGAACAATGTAAGAATGTGTTCATTAACTTGTTCTTTCAAATATTTAATTCTCTGAGCAGGGAAGGAGTCTGTGTCATGTCCTCCAGGGACACAGGATTAAATAATAGAAAGATCTCGGATACACACAAAAATTAAATACAGAGAAAGAAAAAGCTTTCTGAACAAGTAGAGGATTGCTAAAGATTGTAATCTGGCCATAGCAAATGAAGAGTAGCCCCCATTAGTTAAAATGCTATGGTATTAGCCCTTTGGGAATCCTCCTCACTTGTGTTGCTCTTTGAATCAGAGATGCCAGCTTCTTTTGAGAAATTCACCTCCTGGCATCACAGCACAAAAGTAGCTCAGATTAGTCACATAGGGAGTCTAGTCATAAAAGAAAATGAGGGATTAAAAACTTATAAAAATCAAGTCATAAAAGAAGGTAATATGCTTTGGCTCTATGTCTCCCACCCAAATCTCATGTCAAATTGTAATTCCCCATGATGGTGGAGGGACCTGGTGGAAGGTGATGGGAGCATGGGGGTGGATTTTCTCCTTGCTGTTCTTGTGATAGTGAATGAGCTCTCACAAGATCTGTTTTTTTAAAAATACGTGGCACTTTCCCCATCACTCTCTCTCTCCTGCTCTGCCATGGTAAGATGTGCTTGCTTCCCCCTTGTCTTCTACCATGATTTTAAGTTTCCTGAGGCCTCCCAGCTGTGCTTCCTATACAGCCTGTGGAATTACTCAGTCTCAGGTAGTTCTTTACAGCAGTGTGAGAATAAACTAATAAAGATAATTGTTACCAGAGAAGTGAGGCAGTGCTATAAAGATACCTGAAACTGTGGAAATGACTTTGGAACTGGGTAATGGGTAGAGGCTGGAACAGATTGGAAGGATCAGAAGAAGACAGGAAGGTGAAAAAAAAGTTTGGAACTTCCTAGAGACTTGTTGAATTGTTGTGACCAAAATGCTGATAGTGATATGGACAGTGAAGTCCAGGCTGAGGTAGTTTCAGATGGAGATGAGGAACTTATTGGGAACTGGAGTAAAGGTCAATCTTGCTATGCTTTAGCAAAAAGACTTGTGGTATTGTGTTCCTGCTCCAGCAATCTGTGGAACTTTGAATTTGTGAAAGATGATTTAGTGTATCTGGTGGAAGAAATTTCTAAGCAGCAGAGCATTCAAGACGTGGCCTGGCTGCTTTTAAAAACTTACACTTATTTGCGTAAGCAAATGTTTAAAAGGGAAGCAAAGGGTAAAAGCTTGAAAAATGTATAGCCTGAATATGTGGTAGAAAAGAAAAACCCATTCTGGGGAGAAATTCAAGCTGGCTTCAGAAATTTGCATAAATAAAGAGGCGCTGAATGTTAATTGCCAAGACAATGGGGAAAATTACTCCAGGACAGTTCAGAGACTTTCACAGCAGCCACTCCCATCACAGGCCTGGAGGCCTAGGAGGGAAAAATGCTTCTGTGGGCAGGGCTCAGGGTCCTGCTGCTCTGTGCAGCCTCAGGTTATGGAACCCTGCATCCCAGTCACTCCAGCTCCAGCTGTGGCTAAAAGGGGCCAAGGTACAGTTTGGGCCATTGCTTCAGAGGGTGCAAGCCTCAAGCCTTGGCAGATTCCACATGGTGTTGAACCTGCAGGTGCACAGAAGGGAAGAGTTGAGGTTTGGGGGCCTCGGCCTAGATTTCAGAGGATGTATTAAAATGCCTGTTGCAGGCAGACTTCTCCTCATGGAGAAACTCTACTAGGGCAGTGCAGAGGAGAAATGTGGGGTTGGAGCCACCACACAGAGTCCCCAGTGGGGCACTCCCTAGTGCAGCTGTAAGAAGAAGGCCACCATCCTCCAGACCCCAGAATAGTAGGTCCACTGACAGCTTACACCATGCTCCTGGAAAAGCTGCAGGCAGTCAACATCAGCCTGTGAAAGCAGCCACAGGGGCTGTACCCTGCAGAGCCATAAAGGCAGAGCTTCACAAGGCTTTGGGAGTCTACCCCTTGCATGAGTGTGCCCTTGATGTGAGACATGGAGTTAAAGGAGATTATTTTGGAGCTTTAAGATTTATGACTGCCCTGCTGGGTTTGGGACTTGCGTGGGGCCTGTAGCCCCTTTGTTTTGTCCAATTTCTCCCTTTTGGAATGGGAGCATTTACCCAATGCCTGTATCCCCATTGTAACTTGGAAGTAACTAACTTGTTTTTATTTTACAAGCTCATAGGCAGAAGGGATTTGCCTTGTCTAAGATAACCCTTTGGACTTGGTCTTTTGAGTTAAAACTCAAATGAGCTAAGACTTGGGGGACTGTTGAGAAGTCATGTTGCTTTTGTTTTGAAATGTGAGAAGAACATGAGATTTAGGTGGGGCCAGGAACAGAATTATACAGTTTGGTTCTGTATCCTTACCCAAATCTCAAGCCAATTTATAGTTCCCAGTTTTGGGGGAGGGACCTGGTGGGATGTGATTGGATCATGGGAGTGGATTTTCTGGAGTGGATTTTCCCCATGCTGTTCTTATGATGGTGAGTGAGTTCTCATGAGATCTGGTGGCTTACAAGTGTGTAGCACTTTCCCCTTCACTCTCTCTCTCTCCTGCTCCACTATGGTAAGATGTATTTGCTTCCCCTTCACCTTCTGCCATGATCGTAAGTTTCCTGAGGCCTCTCAGCCATGCTATCTTTACAGCCTGTGGAACTGAGTCAATTAAACCTCTTTTCTTCATAAATTACCCAGTCTCAGGTAGATCTTTATAGCAATGTGAGAACGGACTAATACAGAAGGCTTGTTTTGAGATCTAATTATGTGATGTTACAAACTACTACATTGTTTAAATCTTCTAAGAGGAATTAATGTCTAAAATTACTCTCCTGGGCCATTGCAAAAGGGCATCTGAGTGAATGGGTATGGGGATGCTGAGTTCAGTCCCACATTCTGCTTACTAAGACATGGCCCATGAGGGTGAGTTTTTCCAAATAGGCCATCTTTTTCTACTTTTCACAAAAGAACAATATGAGCTAGGTAGACCTTTGTTTATTATAAACTAAGCAACAGATCCTACAAGCCTAGAAGATTCTATGAACTATGATGCTAATCAAAAAAGGAAAACAATATATGTCAATAACTCTTTCAAGGACATAAAGAATCCAGGGCTGAGACTACTTTCTTGTTCCAACCTAAAGACCAGAAAAGTAATAAGACAACCATGCTGAGTACAGAATTTGTGAAGGTGCTGCAGAACTATGTTGAGCTTCTGTTATTGGTTCTGGGCTTCCTCTTGCCCAGTGAATGAGAGGCCATGACCAGAGGTCATCAAACAATAACTGGAGCACATTTTTATTTGCATGACATTATAAATTCATAGAATGCTTTATTTTAGTGTATCAAACCAATGAAAAACTGATGAATGTTAAAATATATAAGCACACATGTTATTTTCTGATTTTCTTATGTTAATAGAAATTCTAATCGGTGTGAGGTGATATCTCATTGTGGTTTTGCTTAGCATTTTCTTAATGATTAACAATATTGAGCATCTTCTTATATACTTTTGGCCATATGTATGTCATCTTTGGCGAAATCTCTATTCAAGTTCCTTTCCATTATTTAATTGCTTTTTTTTTGGCTGTTGTGAGTTACTGGAGTTTTTCATCTAATCTGGGTATTAACTACTTATTAGATATATGAGTGTCAAGAAGATATTGTACACCCATGTTCATAACAGCATTATTCACAAAAACCAAGAGGCAGAAACAACCCAAGTGCCCATCAATAGATAAATGGATAAAAGCTGGTATATATGAGATACCATTCAGGCTACAACATGAATGAACCTTGAGGATCTTGTGCTAAGTGAAGTAAGTCCATCACAAAAGAAATGAATTTGTATGATTCCACTGATATGAGGGATCTAAAACAGTCCCCTTAATAGAAATAGAAAGTAGAATGGTTGTTGCCGGGGGGGTAGGAGAAGGAAGAAATGGGCATTACTATAGACTTAAGAATGGTTAATGAGGCAAATTTCATATGTGCTTTTTACTACAATTAAAAGTTTTAAAAACATATAAATAATAGAATGCTGAACAATTGTTTGCATTTAGTCAAGATCAGTGCTTAGATGTTTCAGAGAGGGGGACTTCACCATATTGTGACAGAGTGAGCACTGTGTGTGACCAACTCTCAATCAGAGGCCTCCTATTTGCTCTCCTACTAATAAAATACAGAGAAGACTTCAGGGCATAAATCTTACTAAATGAATACTTATTCCTCAGACCATTTTCCCAAGTGTGGATTGTGACCCTCCAAAGAAGGATTTAAAGAGCAAGTAGAGGCCAGGTGTCCTGGGAAAACTATCACCTTCTCTCCTCACTTCCCCTGGTCCCAGCCTCCCTGAGAGATGCACTAGGACACAGCACATGTGGTGGGTGTAGCTTGGACGCATGCCTCAGAGCCTGTGAGAATCCCCACTCTGCCATTTCTAGCAGTATGACTTTAGGTGTATTCACTTTGCTTAGCCTCATTTTCATTACCTGTAAAATGGGGATAGGTTCTCAATATTGAAGTAAGATGAGGCATGGGAAGCTCTAATTTAGACTAAAAAGATTAATGTGGAAAATAAGAAATTGCTGCCAGAATTGACAGATTTCTGATGTATACTTGCATGAACATGAGATGACAAGTGTCCACAAATACAGCAGTATGATGTGAATTAGAAATCTATTTTCAGGGGCATGGCTTTCAACTGTGCCTTAAAACTTGGAAGCCATCCACAATAGTGCTATCTCAAAAGAAAACTTGACAAATAAGAACTCTCATGACTGAGATTATAATGAAGAAGAAATGTGAGATTATAAATTCCAAATGAGATTATTACTATTCCTGATTTGGTCATTTTTGTCATGTAGATGTAGCAGGCATCAGGATGCAAAACTGTCTTGTGGGTTTGATTTGGGAAAACTGGTCCAAGGTGCATTTTGACATGAGAGAATGTCATATTCTAGATGCTATTAGTAACTCTTTTGAAATCTCAGTAGGTAACTGTACATGCCCTTCAGATTGGAGTCAAACAGTTTGTGTTTCTGTAGAGTTTTATTTCTTTGATGGGAAAAAGGTATAAAAACTGGATTACTTTGTGGGGTGAAATGGATTCTAGGTTGATGGGGGTGGATAATCAGTTAAGTGCTTATATTGATTATGAAAGTGTCAGTCAACGAGGTTATTGGTAGAAAGAACAGAGTTCATTGTTGTATGTCACAGAAATTTTTTAAATGAAATTTTAGCATAGATCTTTAAGCATGATTCCCAGCAGAATAATGATGAAACACTGTAGTTCATTTGGCTTGCTCCAGCAGAGGATCTGTATCCAAAGTTGATAGGAAATAACATGTCTGAGATTTGGGGCATTCCCTCAGTCCATATTAATTATTTTATGATGATCAGCAGGCCAGTTATAAAATAAAAACAATGGTTTCAAGCCTTTGCATAGCTGGGTTTCTTTCTTCTGGTAAAAGTGCTTGGTTCTATATCTACAGAATATAGATCTAAATAGTCTATGAAATCAATTGTTTTTGATCTTCCATTATCATTGAAATTTATTATTTTTAAAGTCATGAGATATTTAATCAACTTTTTAAGGTGATGGATACAATCTTCCAGTATATTGGTTTATTTTGAAGTTTTAGGTCTTTGTACATTATCAAATTCAAAATCATTGTTTGAATCAAAAAAACATAGATGATTAGGCAAAGCTTATTTTTTCCATTTTGTTCATTCAGTCAATATGATAGGCAGAGTAATGTCCTACCCCAAGAGGTCTGCATCCCAACCCCCAGAACCTGTGAATATGTTGTTACATGGCAGAGGGGAAGTAAGGCTGAAGATGAAATTGAGGTTGCTAATCAGCTGACCTTGAGAAGGGTGGATTATCCTGGATTATCTAGGTGGGCCCAATGTAAACACAGGGTCCCTAATGTGGAAGAGGGAGGCCAAAGGAGAGAATCATAGAGATGACAGCATGAAAAGACTCAGTCTGATGTTGCTGACTGTGAAGATGGAGAAAGAGGCCATAAGCCAAGAAATGTGAGTGACCTATAGAATTTGGAAAAGGCAAGAAACAGAACCTCCCCTGGAGTCTCTAGAAAGAACCCAGCCATACCAACACTTTTATTTTTGCCCAGTGAGACCCATTTTGGACTTCTGACCTCCAGAAATTTAAGATAAATTCTTGTTTTATTCCACTAAGTTCATGGTAATTTGTTACAGCAACAACAAAAAAAAACTAATACAGTCAATTCATTGTTTTGGTTTTTAATCTTCATAGGTACTTGACAGTTGTACATATTTATGGGATACATGCGATATTTTGACCAAGCATGCCATGTGTAAGGATCAAATCTTGGTAATTAGGATTTTCATTACCTCAAACATTTATGATCATTTCTTTGTGTTGAGAACATTCCAAATCTACTTTTATAGTTATTTATTTTGAAATATACAAAATAAATTATTGTTAAGTATACTCACCCTATCTACTCTGGGCCCAAGGAGATGGGGTTCCTTGGGGTCTCAGAAAAAACTTTAAGAGCGGGATCTGATCGCTAAGAAAAGGCTGTGGAGCCCAAAAAGAAATTTGAGGTCTCTTGGAGATGCCATGTAGTTCTATGGCCTACTGTCCTTAAAAATCCTTCTCATCTCTATTCACCTTTTTAATGCTTTCAGGAATCAATTTCCTCCTTCAGGAAACTGGCATTTTCTGTAGAGAAATTTTTCTATGCAAATACTTGTCTTTACAGAAGTAAATGAAGTTAAAAATATGGAACTTTAGGTATCTAAGTAATTAGACTTGGTCTTTTGTTCTTTAGCATCTTTTAAATGAATATAAAACTGATTCTGTGTCATTCAATAGCATTTATTTTACTTTGAAGAATCAGATAAAGTATGCTCCATAGAATTTCAATCATCCCGCTTTTTTTTTACTGTGTGACCTGGAAATATGAGATAACCTCCTCTCCACCAAACACCTCACAGGTACTCCAGTGCATAAGGAGTCCTCTGCCTCTTAGTCAAGGAAAATGTTAACTTGCAGTAATGACTACATTATTGGGAAGCTCACTGAAAGAGGATCTTACGAACCATTAAATGTAGCACAATAAAGGTGAAAACTACCTTATACTCATCATGTAACAGTCCTACCATAAACATGGCTTAATGTACCTTTACTTATAATTGTGTTTGCCTAAAACTTCATCAAGTTTTTTGGTTTATTTTTCTTGTATTGTTTTTCCCTTTTTTCTTTTTGCTTTTATTTTTAAAGGATAGAAATATTTTAAGAAATGTGTTCAGACAGCAGGATGTAGTAGAAAGAACACTTGCTTTGGAAACAGAAATCCACAGTGACAGTATGACACCTGGCACTGACTGAGAAACCCTAGACAAGTTCATGAAATGATTTCTACCTCAATTATTTCCCCTATAAAGTGGGCACTTTGCAGGGTTATCATAAAAACTATATGAAATATATAAATACCCATGTCCAATTGGAGAAGATATTTACTAATCATGTCTGCTAAGGGGTTAATATCAGAATATATAAAGAATTCCTACAACTCAGCAACACATTCAGTCAAAAGATGGTCAAAGAACTTGCATAAACCTTCTCCAAAAATGAAATACAGGTAGCCAAGAAACAAGAAAAGATGCTCAACATCACTAGTCATTAGGAAATGCAAATCCAAACCACATTAGGGTGGCTACTGGGCCAGGCACGGTGGCTCACGCCTGTAATCCCAGCACTTTGGGAGGCTGAGGCGGGCGGATCACTTGAGGTCAGGAGTTCAAGACCAGCCTGGCCAAAATGGTGGAACCCCCGTCTCTACTAATAATACAAAAATTGGCGGGGTGTGGTGACATCTGTGTGTAATCCCAGCTACTCAGGAGGCTAAGGCAGGAGAATTGCTGGAACCTGGGAGGCAGAGGTTACAGTGAGCTGGAGATAGTGCCACTGTACTCTGGCCAGGGAGACAGAGCGAGACTCCGTCTCAAAAAAAAAAAAAAAAAAAAACAAGGCCGGGGGGGATGTCTACTGTATTAATCCATTAGTGCTGCTATAACAAAATACCACAAATAGGATAATTTATGAAGAATTATATATATATATATATATATATAAATATGAAACATATTTATTTCTTACAGTTCTGGAGGCTGGAAATTCCAACATCAAGGCACTGATACTCAGTGTCTGGTGAGTGCTCATTCTCTATGCTGCTAAGATGACCCCTCATTGCTGCATCTTCCAGAGGGGATGAATACTGTGTCCTCACATGGCAGAAGGAGGAAGGGCAACAGGGCCTAAGTAGTTTTCTCCTACCCTTTATAAGGCACTAATCCATTCATGAAGGTGAAGCCCTCATGACTTAATCACTTTCAAAAAGGCCCCACCTCTTAATATCATCACACTGGGGATTAAGTTTTAACCTTAATTTTGGAAGGGACACATTCAAATAAGAGCAGATACTAGCAGAAAAAAAATATATATATACAAATAAAAACTATACACAAACCAGAAAATAAATATTGGCAAAGATGTAAGGAAATTCAAATCCTTGTGTCTTGCTAGTGGGAACACAAAATGATGCAGCCACTATGGAACAGTATGGCAGTTTCTTTAAGATTAAGTATAGAATTACCATGCAATCCAGCAATTCCACTTCTGGTATATATCCAAAAGAATTAAAAGCAGAGTTTCAAGAAGGTATTGCACATCCATGTTCATTATAGCATTATTCACAATAGCCAAAAAGTGGAAGCAACCCACCTGTCCATTAATGGAAGAATGAATAAACAAAATGTTGTAAATTCTTCTTTATAAAGGAAAGAAATTCTAACATACACTGCAACATGGATGAATCTTGAGGTCATTATGTGAAATGAAATAAGTCAGTCACAGACAAATTCTGTATGATTCCACTCTATGAGGTATCTACAAGAGTCAGATTCACAGAAACAGAAAGTAAAACGGTGGTTGCCAGGGGCTTGGGGAGGGAGAAATGGGAAGTTGTTTAATGGCTATAGAGTTTTATTTTAGGAAGATGAAAAAGTTCTGGAGATTGCTTGCATAATGATGTAAGTATACTTAACAGTACTGAACTATACATATAAAAATGGTTAAGATATTTAATTTTGTTATGTATATTTTGTCACCATTTTTAAAAACTCATAACATGTAGGAAGTTCTGATTTAATGCTGAGTGGATGGATGGGTGGGTGAAATCTTATGGGGCAGTGAAAAGGTCATTGCATTCAGGTGACCTTGTGCTATCCTACTAGTTGTGTGACTCTCAGCCTCTCAGAACTCAGCTCTCTTCTCTTCAAAAGAGAAATAATAACACCCTCGTCCCCATAGGCTTATTGTGAGGCTTGCCTTCAGTAAGCCATGTATGTGAAAGCATGACACCTTGCATAATTGAATAAGAGTCTAGGTAGTAAAATATTATAATTATTTGGTCAACATACACGTGCACGCACGCACACACACACACACACCCCCGACACAGAGAGAGAGAGAGAGAGAGCCTTTCACCCAAGGTTACATTTTTCCATAAGTATCACATCTGCTATCAATATCACTTAACTAATTAGGGCCCAAGGTTATAAATCACAATTTCAGAATGGGTTATAAATACAGAGAAGTGTCTTAGTATGCTCAGTAGTTTTTAATCTCTCACAAGAGATTATGAAACAACCTTGTGTACAATGGAAAAAGACATAAATCTCCTGTTCTGCTGTAAAATTATTTATAATATTCTTTCTTGTTTTTTTTTCTTCCTATTAGTCTTTCCCTATCTTCTGTTGAATTCTGAAATAAATGTGTCCTCCAATTTGTTGGGGGAGCATAAACTCAGATTTCATCTCTGATGGTTCTGGGAAGGAAGTGGGTTTTAATTTAAAGCAAAGCTCATGTATCTAGCAATATATCGACTTTGTTTTTTTTCACCTTTATTAAAGGAAATATAGGAAATTAAGTGTATCCTGGTAGAGCAACTTGGTTGATAAAGTAACACTTTTTCTCATTAAGAGGAAGTTTGGGGCTCACTTCATTTTACTCACTGACCACTGCTGATGCAAAAGAGGGTAAGTGCTGTCACTTCCTTAGGCTGCCATTTGGTTCACACAAGCTGGAAATCTGGCTGCTTCTTAGATGCCTTGGGAAGAAAACCCAAGGGCGCGCGATGCACTTCATCACTGATTGAGAATGTTTCAAGTCCAGCCTGTAACTGCCAGCTTGTTTTGTTGTTTTAAATCAAATACTCAGCCTTGGGAAAAACACTTAGCCTTGAAATATCTGCCTGAAGAATTGTCAGTGTTGTTTTAACAGCCAGATCAACTTTTTGGTGTGTATTGGGAAGACTGAGTCTGTGTCTAAAGTCAATATCTGCTTTCAGAGAAAAAAGAGAGAGAGAGAGAGACTCCACTGAACGGATTTAAAAAACACAGCTCAATTGGGTCAAAATGTTGTTTTAGAAACAGTTGTCCTTATAACAAAATTCAAAAAACTCTTACTCAAACCACTGCATTCAATCCCAAAAAGGAAGCATGTCCTGCTGATCTCTCATATGTAAAGTATAGATAGATGAACTCATCTCAGTTCATCTCCTTTGCAGGGACATAAATGAATCTGGAAACCATCATTCTTAGCAAACTAACACAGGAACTGAAAATCAAACACCGCATGTTCTCACTCATAAGTGGGAGTTGAACAATGAGAACACGTGGACACATGGAGGGGAACATCATACACCCCGGGCCTGTCGAGGGTGGGGAGCTAGGGGAGGGATAGCATTAGGAGAAATATCTAATGCAGATGATGGGATGATGGGTGCAGCAAACCACCATAGCATGTGTATACCTAGGTAACAAACCTGCATGTTCTGCTCATGTATCCCAGAATGTAAAGTATAATAATAAAAAAAAGAAACTCATCTCAGCTACTGACTTGCACAAAAGATAAGCTTCCTGTGGTTTGTCTGCATGTTCTACTTCAACAACCAAGCTGACAGCAGAAAGTGGCAACACAGGGCAGTAGCATTTTTTAAAGAAAAGTTTGAAATTTGAAAGAAAGATAGGATAAGTGAAGGGTAAAAGCAGAGCCAAAGGAACTGAGGGAAAAGTTGCAGTATCAACTCTACTGGACCGGAGCCCTCGGTACCCTTCAAATTGCCCTTCTTGAAACAAATCCTTACACCTATGAATAAATATTTGTTTACTTGCTTTAATCTCCAATTTTGCAGCCAATAGAACCTGACTGAGCTCTCCCCAACTCTTCCCACTTTGAAATCTTCCTCTGTGTTCTCTCCTACATCCCACCTTTCATGCCCCACTACCACTCTCCCATCCCCTACTAGTCAGATGGTCTTAGGATGACTGTAGGTCCCCAGGGCCACAGAAGCCCCTAGTTAGGTGGAGAGGAGTTATTAGCAGGTGGGGATACCTGCAGGGATGACCGAGCAGGTGGAGAGGAGTGACCAGCTTATTATTCATTCGTTCATTTATTCAACAAATATTTATTTAGAGTCTATTTTCTGCCAGGAATTATTATAGATTCTGAAGATACAGAAATAAAAACATAATCAAAAATCCTTCTCTCCTGGAGCTTACATCTAGTGAGATAAAGAGTATATAGTATGTTAAATGGTCATGAGTACTACAGAAAAAATTAAAGCTGGGAAGTAAGAAAAAGATTGTTATGGACTGGTTGCAATTTAGGTTAGTCAAGGGAGCTATCTTTAAAGGGTGACATTTGAGTAAAGATCTTAAAAGAGACATGAGCCAAGAAATTATATAGCAAAGGAGTATTCCAGAAGGATACATCAAAGCGAAAAGGTCCTGAGGTCTGACTTGTGGAAGTAGCAGCCCAAAAGACAGAATTACTAAAGGGGAGAGTTGAAGGAGACGAGGTCAAAGAGGTAGGAAGGACTGACCCTGTAAGGCCCTTGGCTGATTTTCTTAGTACAGTGGGGAACTATTAGAGGATTCTGAGCAAATAACTATTGTGACTTGACTTATATTTTTAATAGATCTGGAATGGACACTCATTTCATTTATGACTTGCCTATTCCCCTTAAGTTCCTAATAAAGGTAAAGGGGAAAACAACTGAGGACTAGACTAGTAGGAAGGAGTTACTAGGTGGAGAGACACTCGTATTGTTGTGAGATAACAAAGGCAACAGGAGTCAGTGCTATAAATGTCCTATTGCTCAAGAAAGAAACTTCAAAGAGAAATGTATTGCTCTTCCATGACCAGGTTTGGAACTTCAGAATGAATGTCTGAGTGTACAACATTGTAAGCAGAAATCTGAGTCTCAAGAGAAGAAAAATCTCAGTTTGAGCACCTGGCTGCCAAGCTCTGACCCATCTTAGGAGAACTTCATCATGTAAGAGCCTGGATGACATTGCCGGTGTTAAACCCTGTGGATGATCTTAATCATTCTTACTTGATCCCTCTGCAGTATTGAAGACTGTTTTTCCATTCTTAAAATCCTCTTTCCTTGTCCTTCTGTGACTTTAGGAACACCTCCCTTCTCTGGTATTTCTCCTTTCTCCAACACCACTCCTTCTCTGGACCTGTTATGGCCACTCTTCTTCCTATGCTTTGTTCAGTTCTCCAGTGTACATTTTAGCCCTATTTCCTCTCACTTTTGCTAAACTTACTCTTTCCAGTGATTTCAATTATCATAGATATTTGGACATTTACTCCACTTGAATATTCCACAGTCTTTCAAAGCCAGCACATTCCACATTTAGTCACCATATTTACTCCTTCCACTATTCCCTTCTCTTTTTATTTGTTGACTCTTACTTATCCTTCATAATTCATATTACATTATGCAGAAAATCTTTGCTGGGGGCTCATCTCCAGCTGTTTACAGCCTGGTCTCGGATCCTATATTCCAGCTCTAACAGCTTTCACTTTGCACTTACCTCCACCATAGTATTTGTTACACTGAGAGGCAATTATCTGAGTAGGTGAAAAAATATTATATTTTAAAAACTATTTGATGGGGCTGTAGAATTTATCAGGAGTACAGAGACAACTGATTTTTCATTAAAAAAGACTTTTGTTATAAAACATAGTCAATAAAGAGATGTATTACCCTGCTTAATAAAGTAGGAGAGTACCTTTCTGAATCAGAAATTTGGGATTAAAAAGAAAAACTAAGGAATATTCTGCTTTTCCTCAACAACTGAGGAAGAATACAGGAAAAGCCAGGAGTATGGAATCCTGAGGAAGTAAAGAAAAAAAGGAGAAGGAATTCAATTCTGAGGAATGAATCATAGCAATACAGTGACAGGCCAGGACCAAGAAGACAGCTGACCGAGAGGGGATTCCCTATGAAGATGGCTTGCAGGCTTCAGACACAGTGTTGTTTTCTCCTCTCTGCTGGAATTCCTCTCTATTGTCTCTAAACCCTTAGTAAAATTATTTCATATATGATAGTCTTGTGTTAGCTGTCCCTGGGAAGGAATGAGAAGAGGCTCTGTCCATGAATTCCATGTAGGGCAAAGTGGTGGGCAGTGCACACCCTGGACCAGGGCTCTGATAAAAGAGGTGATTGAGGAGAGGTCTTGAAACAGCTTTTGGAAGAAGATAATGTGACTCCCCCAGTATGTTAGTCCATTTTGCATTACTACAAAGGAATACCTGAGGCTGGGAAATTTATAAAGAAAAGAGGTTTAGTTTGACTTATGTTTCTACAGGCTGTACAGGGAACATGGTGCTGACATCTGCTTCTGTTGAAAGCCTCACAAAGCTTCCCAATCATGGTAGAAGGCAAAGGGAGAGCTGGTGTATCACATAGCAAGAGGGAGCAAGTGGGTGGGGAGGAGGCATCACATTCTTTTAAACACACGGGGAAAGGATTCCCTATTTAATAAATGGTGCTGGGAAAATTGGCTAGCCATATGTAGAAAGCTGAAACTGGATCCCTTCCTTACACCTTATACAAAAATTAATTCAAGATGGATTAAAGACTTAAATGTTAGACCTGAAACCATAAAAAGCCTAGAAGAAAACCTAGGCAATAGCATTCAGGACATAGGCATGGGCAAGGACTTCATGTCTAAAACACCAAAAGCAATGGCAACAAAAGCCAAAATGGACAAATGGGATCTAATTATACTAAAGAACTTTGGCACAGCAAAAGACACTACCATCAGAGTGAACAGGCAACCTACAGAATGGGAGAACATTTTTGCAACCTACTCATCTGACAAATGGCTAATATCCAGAATCTACAATGAACTCAAACAAATTTACAAGAAAAAAACAAACAACCCCATCAAAAAGCGGGCAAAGGATATGAACAGACACTTCTCAAAAGAAGACATTTATGCAGCCAAAAAACACATGAAAAAATGCTCATCATCACTGACCATCAGAGAAATGCAAATCAAAACCACAATGAGATATCATCTCACACCAATTAGAATGGCGATCATTAAAAAGTCAGGAAACAACAGGTGCTGGAGAGGATGTGGAGAAATAGGAACACTTTTTCACTGTTGGTGGGACTGTAAACTAGTTCAACCATTGTGGAAGTCAGCGTGGCGATTCCTCAGGGATCTAGAACTAGAAATACCATTTGACCCAGCCATCTCATTACTGGGCATATACCCAAAGGATTATAAATCATGCTGCTATAAAGACATATGCACACGTATGTTTATAGCAGCACTATTCACAATAGCAAAGACTTGGAACCAACCTAAATGTCCAACAATGATAGACTGGATTAAGAAAATGTGGCATATATACACCATGGAATACTATGCAGCCATAAAAAATGATGAGTTCATGTCGTTTGTAGGGACATGGATAAAACTGGAAACCATCATTCTCAGCAAACTACCGCAAGGACAAAAAACCAAACACCACATGTTCTCACTCATAGGCAGGAATTGAACAATGAGAACACATGGACACAGGAAGGGGAACATCGCACACCAGGGACTGTTGTGGTGTGGGGGGAGTGGGGAGGGATAGCATTAGGAGATATGCCTAATGCTAAATGATGAGTAAATGGGTGCAGCACACCAACATGGCACATGTATACATATGTAACAAACCTGCACGTTGTGCACATGTACCCTCAAACTTAAAGTATAATAATAATAAAATTAAAAAAAAAAAAGAAAAGCTACTCCTGCTTGCTTCTGGTTGCATTTGCATGGAATGTCTTTTTCTACCCCTTTACCTTAAGTTTATGTGAGTCCTTATGTGTCAGTTGAGTCTCATGGAGGGAGCAGATAGTTGCTTTATGAATTCTTATCCATTCTTTAATTCTGTATCTTTTAAGTGGAGCATTTAGGCCATTTATATTCAATGTTAGTATCGAGATATGAGGTACCATTCCATTCATTGTGCTATTTCTTGCCTGTATACCTTGTTTTTTAGTTGTTGTTGTTTGTTTGTTGTTGTTGTTGTATAGGTCCTGTAATATTTACTCTTTAAAGAGGCTCTGTTTTAATGTTGTTCCAGAATTTCTTTCAACATTTATAGCTCCTTTTAGCAGTTCCTGTAGTGCTGGCTTCGTAGTGCCAAATTCTCTCAGCATTTGTTTGTCTGAAAAAGACTGTATCTTTCCTCCATTTATGAAGCTTAGTTTCGGTGGATACAAATTCTTGCCTGATAATTATTTTGTTTAAAGAGGCTGAAGACAGGGCCGAAATCCCTTCTAGTCTATAGAGTTTCTGCTGAGAAATCTGCTGTTAATCTGATAGGTTTTCCTTTATAGGTTAACTCGTCCTTTTACCTCAAAGCTCTTAAGATTCTTTCCCTCATCTTAACTTTAGATAACCTGATGACAACGTGCCTAGGCAATGATTTTTTGCAATGTATTTCCCAGGTGTTCTTTGAACTTGTATTTGGATGTCTAGGTCTCCAGCAAGGCTGGGAAGTTTTCCTTGATTATTCCCCAAAATATGTTTTCCAAACTTAGATTTCTCTTCTTCCTCAAGAAGGCTGATAATTCTTAGTTTGGTTGTTTAACATAATCCCAGATTTCTTGCAGGCTTTGCTTGTATTTTCTTATTCTTTTTTCTTTGTCTTTGTTGGTTTGGGTTAATTTGAAAACCTCGTCTTCGAGCTCTGAAGTTCTTTCTTTTACTTGTTGGAATCTATTGCTGAGACTTTCCAGAGCATTTTGCATTTCTATAAGTGCATCCATTTTTTCCTGAAGTTTTGATTGTTTGTTATTTATCCTATCTATTTAATTGAAAATTTCTCCCCTCATTTCTTCTATCATTTTTTTTTCACTTCCTTAAATTGGGCTTTGCCTTTTCTGGTACCTCCTTGATTAGCTTAATAACTAATCTTCTGAATTCTTTTCCAGGTAAATCAGGGATTCCTTCTTCATTTGGATCCATTGCTGGTGAGCTAGTGAGATTTTGGGGGGGTGTTAAAAAACCTTGTTTTGTCATATTACCACAGTGGGCTTTCTGGTTCCTTCTCCTTTGGGTAGGCTCTGTCAGAGGGAAAGTCTAGGGCTCAAGGCTGTTGTTCAGATTCTTTTGTCCCACAGGGTGTTCCCTTGATATAGTACTCTCCCACTTTTCCTAGGGATGTGGCTTCCTGAGGACAGAGCTGTAGTGATTTTTATCCCTGATTTTTATCCCATGCAGGTTGTCAGGGAAGTTGAAGTCATAGGCCTCACCCAGCTCCCACATAACCCGAAGGGCTGGTCTCACTCCCACCATAGCCCCTACAACAGCACCGAGTCTGTTTCAAGGCAGTGGGTGAGCAGGGCTGAGATTCTGCCCCAGGCTACCTGCCTCCCAGCTGCAAAAGCAAGTAGGGCTTTGGTACTTCCCCACCTGTGGAGTCTGCACACTGGATTCATGCCCTCCCCCAGGTTCTGGCCAGGAGATTTCTCAATCTGTTCAAATTGTTACAAAGTTCAGCTGGAAGTTTCCTTCTCTTTGTGACCATTTCCCAGTGCCTCTGGTAGCCCTCCTCAAGGACCCCTGTGAGGCAAGGCAGAAATGGATGGCTAGGGAACCCAGTGAGCCCACAGGGCTTTTCGCGCTGCTTTCTCTAGCAGTGTATGTCACTTGGCTCTCTAAATTGACTCAGCTCCAAGTAAGGTCAAAATCTTCTCCTGTGATCTAGACCTTTAGGTTCCCCAGTGAGGATGTGTGTTCAGGAGCTGACTATTCCCCTTTCCCACTTCCACAGTTTGCAGTTTGGGCTCCCACAGCATTTGGGGTGTCTCCTGAGACCTGCAGGAACAATCCACTTCCTTCAGAGGGTCTGTGGGTTCTCTCAGCTTTCCTGATTTATTCCTGCAGTCAAAGTTCATGATACAAGCCTCCACACGCTGCTTTGTCTGTTCAAGTGGGAGCTGCAATCCAGTCCTGCCTCCCATCCACCATGATCTCTGGAATACATCTGAAATGTTCTATGTCTTGATTTGAGTGACAGTTTCACACATATACTCATGTATGTGTGTGTGTGTGTGTATGTGTGTATATATACATATGAGTTATACACTTAGTTTGTGAGTGTTACATTTTAATAAAAATAAATCTTAGAAATGACTACATATTTGTTCCTTTTCTTTTATCAGTATACTTCCTCTAGTATTCATATAGAGAACCAGGGCTAAATTCATCTTTACAAAGGTAAACGGCAGAATGAATTGATATACTAGACATTGAAAAGAACCAATGTGAGATTAAAATTTCAAACAGTTTTGAAAACTACTACATTGTGTATTCTTGCACTATCTCTCTCTTTCTTGGTATCAGACCATTGCTCATGCTGTTTTCTCTGCTTAAAATGTTCTTACTTCTCCCGTGACTTGTCTACTCATCCTTTAGGTCTTGCTTGCTCTGGAAAACCTTTCCAGAACCCCAAGTCTGAGTTAGGTACCCCTCTTATGTACTCTTATAACACCCTTTGCTTACTACTATCATCCACTTGACACTCCATAATGCAATTGCCTTCTTACTTTATTTGTTTCCCAATTAAGCTGTCAGTTCCTGAAGGGAAACTTGAGTTACTGAAGGTTGTGTCTTCCACACTTGGCACAGTGCCCGGTAGGTGCTCACAAATCATTTGTTGAATTATTATTTGGATGTAGAACAAGCTGGACCTATCAATTCTCAGCAGAAAGATCATGTATGATTCCTGATTCCAGCAGTATAGCACAATGGACTTAGAGGCAACTGGGAACAGTTTTTCACTGTCTACATCACCATTGTAGTAATGAGAGTTTCTCACTTCTGGGGTTTCTTCAACGCACATCACATCTCATTATAATCTTAAAGAAAGGAAACTGAAAACTGGGTTAAAGAAATCTCATCACTAGAAGGTGTTGAAGGAGACTCCTAAATAAATTAGATTTCCAAACCCAAATGCCAAAAGCTTAGAAAGAGTATAAATGAATGTGATGGATTGTGTTTTCGCTCCCAATTATTAGGGCCCTTCCTGTAAGTGTTTTATATATCCTCACCATTGACCTATGACTTGGAGGACTTCCATTTGGAAGAATTATATTTACTTGTCCCGTTGAGGTCAGCTTGGCCACTGATTTACTTTGGCTAATAGAATATGAGAAAAAAAAATAACACATACCATGTCTGAGAGGAAGCATTAAAAGCCATTCCTTATTTGGCCTTTTTCCCCCAGTTTGCAACAAGAACAGCATATTCCAAATGGGGGTGGCTCCTTCAGTCTGGATCCTGGAACTTGTCACCGTCATAGACCAAATGTAATGTGAGCAGGAAATGAACCAGTGTTGCTGCAAGACACTGAGATTTTGAGGCCTTACCACAGTAGAACCTAATCTAAGAAATGGAAGCAAGCATCAGGTGGAGCACTTACCAGACTCAAGAAAGCCTATTTGTCCCAAGAGACAGCCAGTCCTTAGCTCTCATGGATTGTCACAATGTAGAACTGCATGCTAACTCTTGCCAGATCTTCCGGTAACAGGAGCCAAATTTTTAATTAAATCAATTCCTGATTTTTAATTAAAATATACCTTCTTTTTAAATGTTAGCAGCTAAATCCATACGTTTAAAAAACACTTAGGGCAAATCAAATCAAGTAATACACTCATAGTCTCTTTTCCATTCCATAGTTTGCTCATATTTAAAATAAGAATGCTAATATCTGTTCTGCCTCTCTAACAGGGTTATTTTGAGCGTTACATTTATCTTACCTTGTAGTTGTTTTTTTATTTAAAAAAAATTTCAAATGATAAACAAACAAAGGTCAGGGAAAGTTCTTAGACTACTCTGGCAAAGGAGGCTGGAAAATTCTAAGGCGATGAGGTGCCAAGGAGGATAGTAGTATAAACCACTGTGCCTCCACTTTCCTGCCCCTCCCCTGTTCTCCACTCCTCCATGCAAAACATGAAAAGCACACTTCTCCACTGGCAGATCAGACTAGCATGCAACCATCTTCAGGAATAATCTAAGCCTGAAATAGTTGAGAGGTAAGTAATTGACAAAAATGAATGGTTCTCTGTCATGAAACAAGCAAGGTATAAGTTTGTGTTGATCGATCCAAGTTGCCTTTCCTAGATTATAACATTGAACTTCATCCTTCTTAACTACGTCATAGAAATGACTCAGGCAATTCAAAAAATAGCCTAAAGACATGTAGTATCAGGAAAATTGGATAAGTTTTTTATGTTTGATCAAATGCCTCAAAAGTACTTCTTTTATTTTATGCAGAGTCAAAATTCTTAAAAGATGTGGATTTGTCTAATAATTTGCATGATATAGCTCTTAGGCAGAATTTTATGATAATTCTGAATGTGTATTTCAGTAAAAATATTTTTGAAAAATTTAAAGAAGATTAGGGAATGCCTGAAAGAGAAAAATGTAATCTGACGTATATTTTTTTCTGTTGCATTTACGGGGCTCACATTTTTTCCTTCCATTGTGCAGATACGCCACTAGAGGGAACTATATGGCTCTGCTTCCTCACACCCTGTATGAGGTGCTGAATCTGACCTCTGATTTCCTCATTGAGAACCCTCCAGGTTTTGACTTACTTTAATAGGGCCAGGTACTCTACAGGGCATTGTGCCAGATGCTGGAAACAGAACAACAGAGACAGGACCCACAAATACAAAGCAACAGATTGTTCACAACAACCTGAGACAGGTGTTAATAAACAGGCATGTGTGAGCACTACAGGAGTTTAGAAAATTGCTAAGGATGTGATTCTGCAGGAAAGGAGAGTGGGAGGTCATGGAAAAGAAAGCACTCTCAGACTCTGACCAGTCCAGGCTGAAGGAGGTATGAAAGCTGAATTTTAGGCTGAGTTTCCTTTTCGTTTTCCCCTTCCTGCCTTAGCAATGGACCTCCATACTGGAGGGAACCTGAAGCTAGGATATGACATAGGTTACCCGTAGGATATATAAAAAATGATCAGCCTATACACCCAGGACTGCCCGTGAGAAGTTGCTTTCCTTTGCACTGCAATATTCATTTGTCATTTATTGATTTGAGAAATATTTATTGTCAAGTGTGCCCTAAGCACTCATTGGTAAATAAGATAGACATAGTCAGGGTGTGTCCACTTAAAAATTGTAGTCCAGTGGAGACACAATGATTGCAATGTAGTGTAATAAGTCCTATGATAAGGGAAGAAGATGGAACCACACAAGTATAGAGCAGGGGCACCTGAGAAAGACAGGAAGTCAGGGAAGGCTTTGTGGAGGAAGTACTATTCAATTAAGAGCCTAAGCAGAATTGGAGGCCACCTAAAAAGGAGTAGGTGTATTCCAGGTGAAGACAGCACAACCCAGAGGAAAAAAGAATCAAATAGGATTTTATTTGTGTATATACAATTTTGAGATCTTGCTGTTTTCCACGTATCCATTTTATCCTGAGTCTCTATATCTTTATTTTTGAAAACATGATTTTAATAGTTGCTCTAATAGTCCATTGTAAGAATAGTGACAGTTATTTATCCATTTTCAGAAATAGCATTTTTAAGACTCATGCTAATCGCTCTCCCTTTGTCAATATAAAATCATGTGAATTAATTCTTACTGCTTATATGAATATCAACAACATTTCCTTTACTTGGTTGACTCTTGAGCACAATTCCTGCAACTCAACCTGATATCCAGCCATAACAAACACTGACTTTATGGAAGGTGTTAAATTATTATGTATTGTTTAATTTTAACTTTTTAGTAAAATTTGCTGCAGTTGTTTTACATGAATTGGCAGGGCCTTAAGAGGCACTCTGGATTCTTTTCTTGCTGCTCAGATTACCCCGTCTGTGTCATTCATTCTTCCGTCTCTCCCAAGTCTGCATCTCCACTCCCTCCATCCATTAGAGGAGCCTCAATCTCAGGCTCCTCCCTCTCTGGGATGCTCTGCTGATACTTATCTCCATCTTTTATCCAGTAAATACTTTTTTTTCTCTGTGGTCCAGTTTCCTGAAGCTGCAAACATTAACTTCATAAATGATTTTTTTAAACCACACTTTGGGTAAATATGTAAGTATGATATATGTGGCAAATTGCTTACATAGCAAATTGATTTTCTGGGTCAGGCAGGAAAGACTTTCACAAAAATCTTACAGGAAGTAAGATGATTTAGATGGAGTATCCAGTCACCTTCTGTTGAACCATTTCAGATCTAATTTATATTTTTTGTTCTGTCTCCCTTTAATGTCCTCACATTTCCATACCTTTCATTTTAACCTACTTTAATGATAAGGTTTTTGGTTTGTTGGGTTTTGTTTCTGACTGTTTGCATTTATTGTCTTGGTATTCATTTATGCTTACTTAGCAAGGTATATTTCAGACAGAAACAGCTCACTGGTTTCATAGCTGCACAGCACTAGCTCTTCAGTTCAAACTCTATTTTCACTGAAAGATTTGTTGCATCTCATGTCTCTTACATTGCTGTGTGACTCACCATGAGTTTGGGAGTCTTGCAGAACCTCAGAACACTCAAATGATTTAAATTTCTCAAATATGTTCATTTCACATATAGGAAGTCACTTTCATTTGGACCACCGGGTCTTGACATTAGAAATGAGAAGGTCTATGGCTCCACAACAGCTACCTCAGCCTGGCACGTGCCCTGGCCTCAGAGATTCACAGTCCAGTTCTTTGTCCAGTTGGGTGGCTCCTGTCTACCACCTTACCATGCCCATTTAACTTATGCAAAGTTAATATCACAAGTAGCCACCTGTTCCTTGCAGTGAAAATTGTACTTACCACTTTCACAGCCCCAAGATATCCATGTATCTTTATTAACAGGCGCTTAACAACTTGCATCATTTAAAATGCCTCCCCTGCCTATCAGCTGATGATGGCCGCAGGAAGGTGGGCCTGGAAGATAACAGCTAGTAGGCTAAGGCCAGACACTGACACTTGCAGTTGTCTTTGGTAGTTTTTTTGCACTAACTTCAGGAACCAGCTCATGATCTCAGGATGTATGGAAAAATAATCTTTGTATTACTATTGTCAGGTAAGTGATTTTATTTCATCTTGGTTCTGTTATATTGGGTATGAGATCATAGAATAAAATATGAACTACCCTATTTCAGTTCTATCTTATTTAAATCAATAAATGAGTAGTATTTCCTCTTCCAGTCTGGTGGATGGATTTTACTGGAACTCAGCTACCAATGTGGGGGAAATGACACAAGGGAGCCCAGTATTTATGGCCGAATCCAGTTTTCTAGTATGAGAAGCTTACTTCAATTCTAAGTCTAGCTAGAATTAAAATAATTTTATCAAATGCTATGAGAAATAGCTCTCTGTGAATAAATGTATTGCTTTGTTTGAGTTATAAGGAGATTCATTTCCAAACTAAAGAGTTATTAACAAAGGTGTTGGTAGCTATATGGCTTTTAGTTTTCAAAAGGTGTAATTTCCTATTTCTGCCAAATGGTGAGAAGCCAAAAGGATGAACACTGAAACCGTGGGGAGTTGTTTGCTTCTCTGTGGGTCCATTACTAAAGTGTCACATAGGAAGAAAAAAAACAAAAACAACTCTTACTGGCTTAGGTGTCGTGTGAATTTTAGGAGAAATTTAAATCCATTAAAATAAATATCATAGGGTCATTATTAAATTGTATTAATTCAATAATTTGAATTTAACTTAGTTTAAATTTAATTATTAATTTAGTGTCTTAAATTAACATGATTTTGGCCTCTTTCTGAGAATATTATAGTTAAACATCCTCTCAAGTGCAGTGCTTATGTGTTAGCAATACTAGTGCCCAGCACACAGGGGGCAGGCAGTTGCTTGAAACATTCTGAGTCTATTAGACATTGCTGTAACCCAAGTGAGCGCAAGTATCAAGGATCTACTGAGCACTCTGTAGCATACAGGGAAGAGAGATCAGCATTTTCTAAGATACCCTAGGGGAGGATAAAATAGTGCAATAGTTAAGAGCACAGGCATGAGGAACAGACAGAACTGGGTTCAAATCTAGTTTTACTTCTCAAGGCTGGGGAACATTAAGGCAAATTAAGGGCCCACATTTTTATGTGTCCTCGTCTTTAAAATGCAGGCAATGTTGGTACTTACCTCATAATAATTGCATAAAGATTAAACAAAATATTTAATGGAATACACTTAGCGATGCCAGAAACAAAGTAAAATGTTAAGCGTACTACGCATTTTCTATGATTAGAATTAACTATCATGATTAATAAGTATTAATAATATAAGTAATATTAAAATAATTAGTAGCTATCAATAATTATAGACTAGGGAACAAACCTACGTATGTGATTGGTGATTTCTGAGAGTCAGAGAGACAAGAAAATTACAGAAAGAAAACAGAAAACAAACATAGCTACTCTAATTTTTTAAGCAGAAAAGTATGAAAACATTTAGTTTGAAGAAAACAAATGAAAGGGATGTAGTGTAATATTTGTATATGTATTCATATATTTGAAGTGCTATTACACAGAAAAAAAGATGTATTCTTTGTGTTGCTCCATGGGGCAAACCAAACTGGATGTAGCTCAAACAAAATTAGACACTGCGTACTCTACTGGGGGTGTGCCCAGCATTTGGGAAAACTCTGTGTGACTTACAAGTGCCCCAAATTTGGAAAGGGTTCCTGGCAAAGAAATGATTTTTTTTTTAAATTTCTACAACTACACAAGCAGATAGTGAATTAAAGCCTTAAATGGCACTTGATAAAGAGGTCACTGGGGCAAGATGACCCTGAAAGCTACAATGGTCTCCAGTACCCAAGCTGTTATCATCTTCGTAGCAGAAACCCTCCAAGGAAACTCTCTGGATGTGGCCACTTTATAGTATAACAGAAAGGTGGAAGATCAAGTTTTTCCCCCATACTGATTAGCCGAAGACTAAACATGGTGAAGTCTTTTTCTTTTTTTTTCTTTTTCTTTTTTTTTTTTGCTATGAAAAAAAGACGATTGCCTTGCTTTCTCCAGGAATCTTAAGAATAAAGCCGATATTTCTAATTCTAAACTTACCAGAGATCTTCTTCCAAATGGAGAACCCATTTTTTCTAATATGACTTGATTCCCAGTCCCTGAATTCCTGCACTCATTTGATGATTCAGTCATTACATGTCAGATTGTGAACCAGACACTGAGCCCAGGGCAGGAAGAAAAATGGGCTCCCATGGAGGATACACGGAGGGTGGGAGCAGTGGATGGTGGGAGGGAATGCAGATAATAAATGGAACAACAACTATCTTATTAAAATAAGATAAAAACAGTCAAAACTAATACAAAGCATATAAAACCAGGTAAGATGATAAACATGAATGCCGAAAACTGCTTAAGAAAAGGGTAGCAGGGAGTTATTTTCTGAGTAGATGACATTTATGCTAAACGTGGAACAAGGAGATGGAGCCAACCCTGAAAATTCTGGGAGAAGAGGACAGAAGGCAGAGGGAAGAGCAAGAGCAAAAATTCTGAAACAGGAGGTAAGTTAGTGTTTTCAAGGAAAAGCTGGAGCTTTTATCTGAAAATCAGATTCTGAAGCTAAGAACCAATTTGAAAATACAGTACTATATCACTTCAACTAGGAAATTATGGCATAAACCAGGAGTCTCCAAAAGCTTTTTGTGTTTACTTAAAAATTCATATAAAATTTGCATTCTAGGTCATAACATACTAATTTAATGGGAGGAAACAAAGGGACTGGTATGATATCATCATGCCTACTTTATTCATCCATGTATTCCCAGAATCTAGCACAGTTCCCGATTGGTATTTATAGTAGCATATTGGTTGAATAAGCAAGGAAGGAGGTGAAGGGAGGGAGAAGGAGAGAGAAGCAGAGAGGGAGAGGAAGGAAGAAAGAAAAGAAGGAAAAAAGAAGGAAGGAAAGAAGAGAGGAGGGAGAGAGAGAGGGAGGCAAGAAGGGAGAAGAGAGAAGGGAAGGGAAGAGACAGGAGGAAGGGGAGGAGGAAAGAGGAAATATTTGTTTTCATCTGGTTAGACACAGTGAGTGCTCCGCATAGACAGATCATTATTACCCTGTGCATCTGACTCATACCCCTGCAGGTACATCAGTCTGAGAAGCACATGTTAAGTGAAGAAACAAGGCATCTCTTTTTTTTTTTTTTTTTTTTTTTTTTTTTTCAGGGATCCAAGAAGAGAGCCTTGCTAGCTGTCTATTTAATTGGTACAGGAAAGAGTTACAGGAACTGTATGCCAGGGAATACATGACTATAAATTCTTGAAAAGCCAAACCTGTGTCTTCGCTTATGTGTCCCACACATTGTCAGCCACATAGTAGGCAGTCAATATCAACTACTCAAAATGACAAATGACAAATGACCAGAATTTTGTGGCAGACTAGTTTAGCCATGAAAAATCATTTAACACCTGTGGGCCTCAGTTTTCCTGTGTCTATTCAATCAAGCACCGAGTAGATGGTATCTACAATCATTTTTCATCTGTAAACCCCAATAAATCCCCAAAATTCAGCCTGAGATGAGCTGGACTAGCTGCCAAACCTGTAAATATATTTAGCATGGTGTGAAATAGGGTTTTTAGAAAGAAACAGACACCCACTGTGAACTCCTTTGCAGAAAAGGTCTGAATAGAGGGGAAAGTAGGGATGGTATCTCAAACTTACTTCGTAGTGATTTTAAATTAGGAAATTTAGCTTCACATTCTTGTGATAAATTTCTTTTCACCTTGGTTTCTAGAAGATTATTCAAAACATCTATGAGACTATTTGAGAAGTATACTTTTGGGGAATTTCCCCCAAGTTATCTTTATAGATTATATTTTGACACCAACTGCAAATGTAATATCTTTTGCTCAAAAAAACCCCAATCATACTTATATGGTGCTGACAAAATCAGGCTGGACCTACATTTTTACATCATAGATTTCCAGCCATTATTATCATATCCACATCTTTAGTAAGTACCTATCTGTGTAGTTTTCTGTGATAAATGAACTAAACTAAAACTAAAGCAAAAATCTTGAAAAAAAATTCCGGGCTTATCTCTGAGTGTTGGGATTGTAAGGTTTTATTTATTTTTTCTCATTTTGAATACTTTCTAAATTTTCTGCAAAGAGAACCATATAATATAATCAGGACAAGTTTTAATATATTTTAAAAAGTAAACCAAACAAACACAATCTCTGCTTTCTAAGAAGTCTTTAATTTTTGTACGTTGGTCATAGACTATGACTATACAATCTATTTGTGACATTTATTAAGAATTTCTGTCTAACCGAAATTATTATATGTAAGCACTGGAAAAATGATGTCATCTTTCTTTGTAGTGTACAAAGTTCTATAAACAGCTATTTAATCAACTTTGGTATTTCCATCCCTAGATTTATATACAGCAGGTTAGGTTCCATATATAGGCAGGTTCTGAATAATAATAACCAACACTGATATAGCACTTACTTTGTGCCATGCACTTTTCTAAGCAATTTACATACACTTAATTTTTAAAATTGTAGTAAAATACACGTAATATAAATTTACCATTTGAACCATTTTAAAGTGTACAATTGGTAGCATTTAATGCATTCAAAATGATGCACACCCATCACCATTATCTAGTTCCAGAACATTTTCATCACTCCAGAAGGAACCCTCTTACCCAGTAGCAGCCACTTCCAATTCCTCCAGCCCCTGGAAACCACTAATTTGTTTTCTACCTCTACAGATTTACCCATTTTAGATATTTCATATAAATGGAATCATATAATAGGTAGCCTTTTGTGTATGGCTTCTTTCACCTAAAATAAAGTTCATCCATATTGTAGCGTGTATCAGTATTTCATTCCTTTTATAATAAATGTTATTCCATTGTGTTGGTATATCACATTTTGTTTATCCATCCATCATTTGATGAAAATTTGGGTTGGTATATCACATTTTGCTTATCGATCCATCATTTGATTAAAATTTGTGTTGTTTCCACCTTTTGGCTAATGTGAATAGTGCTGCTATAAATATTCCTGTACTAGTTTTGTTTGAACCCACTTTTAATACTCAAAGATGTATAGGGGTAGAATTGCTGGGTCATAGTAATTTTATGTTTAACTTACTAAGGAACTGCTCAACTCTTTTCCACAGGAGCTGCACCTTTTTACCTTTTCACCAGAGTGTATGAGGTGCCAATTTCTCCACAGTCTTGCCAGAAATTGTACTTTTTCATTTTTTTAATTATAGCCATTTCAGAGGGTATGAAGTGGTTTTTCACTGTGGTTTCTTGCATTTTCCTAATAACTAATGATGCTGAGAATCTTCTCATGTAATTGTTGGTAACTGCATTTTGCATATCTTTGGAGAAATGTTGGTTCTAGTCCTTCACCCATTATTTTTTTTTTACTATACTTTAAGTTTTAGGGTACATGTGCACAATGTGCAGGTTACATATGTATACATGTGCCATGCTGGTGCACTGCACCCACTAACTCATCATCTAGCATTAGGTATATCTCCCGATGCTATCCCTTCCCCCTCCCCCCCAACCCCACAGCAGTCCCCAGAGTGTAATATTCCCCTTCCTGTGTCCATGTGATCTCATTGTTCAATTCCCACCTATGAGTGAGAATATGCGGTGTCTGGTTTTTTGTTCTTGCGATAGTTTACTGAGAATGATGATTTCCAATTTCATCCATGTCCCTACAAAGGACATGAACTCATCATTTTTTATGGCTGCATAGTATTCCATGGTGTAAATGTGCCACATTTTCTTAATCCAGTCTATCATTGATGGACATTTGGGTTGGTTCCAAGTCTCTGCTATTGTGAATAATGCCACAATAAACATACGTGTGCATGTGTTTTTATAGCAGCATGATTTATGGTCCTTTGGGTATATACCCAGTAATTGGATGGCTGGGTCAAATGGTATTTCCAGTTCTAGATCCCTAAGGAATCGCCACACTGACTTCCACAATGGTTGAACTAGTTTACAGTCCCACCAACAGTGTAAAAGTGTTCCTATTTCTCCACATCCTCTCCAGCACCTGTTGTTTCCTGACTTTTTAATGATTGCCATTCTAACTGGTGTGAGATGGTATCTCATTGTGGTTTTGATTTGCATTTCTCTGATGGCCAGTGATGATGAGCATTTTTTCATGTGTTTTTTGGCTGCATAAATGTCCTTCACCCATTTTTAAATTTATTTTTGTCTTTCTGTTGCTAAGTTGTAAGAGTTCTTTCTATGTTCTGGATAAAGAGTCTTATCAGATATACTATTTGCAAATCTTTTCCTTCATTCTGTAGATTTTTGTTTTTACTTTTGATAGTGTCCTTTGATGCACAAATGTTTTTCATTTTCAAGTCCAATTTATTTTTTTCTTTTGTTGCTTACGCTTTTGATATCATATCTAAAAATAATTGCCAAATTTAAAGTCATAAAAATTTCTCCCTATGTTTTCTTCTAAGAGTTTTGTATTTCTTCTCTTATATTTAGATCTTTGGTTTATTATCAGTTAATTTTTCTATATGATGTATGACAAGAGTCCACCTTTATTATTTTGCAGTTGTCCCAGCACCATTTGTTGAAGAGACTATCCTTTGCCCATTGAATGGTCTTGACACCCTTCTTGAAAGTTAATTGGCCATGGATATATGAGTTTATTTCTGGAGTCTCAATTCTATCCGAAGAATATGTCTGTTCTTGGGGCAAAATCACACAGATTTTATTGCTGTTACTTGGTTATAAGTTTTGCATTCATGAAGTATGATTCACCAAACTGTGTTCTTCTTCAAGATTGTTTTGGCTATTTAGATCCCTAATAATTTCACAGAAATTTTAGGATTAGGTTTTCCATTCTTGCAAAAAAATTATGCGCATTTTAACTTAATCTGTTCAATAATTCTATAAGGTAGAGACTAATCCATGTATAATGATGGAACAAAAATATAGAGATTAAGTAAATTTTGCAAGGTCTCAGGTAGTTGCTAGAGGAATTAGTTTGAGCCTAGGCAGTTCCACTGCAGAATCTGTGCACTTGGAGAATATGTTATGTTGCCTGTACCATACCTAGTGATGTTCCAGGATTGGCTCCGTTACTCTTACAACATTGTCACTCAGTGTTCTGCTTGTGCTTTCACCAAGCTGAAGACTTTAATGAAGGTTGACGGTCTGTCTTCCTCACGTGGTGCAGCTAAGGAACTCTAACTGTGTGGCTGTTATGTTAGCCTTTTGCTCCTTTTTATATGGGCTATAGAAAATGTTTTTAAATTCTGGAGGCCTCCTTTTGATGTTATCACTTATTTCCCAGTCATCATTATATTTTTAAAAACCAAAATAGAAGGAAATAAATACAAAACATAAAACATGAATAGTACAGCTATTTGAGGCAACTGAGAATAGAGATCATGGCACTGAAATTGCATTTTGCTAGGAAAAAGACCACAAAAGTTCTCCCCTTGCTACCTTTCCTGAACTATTCTGCTAGATTCAGACTTCAAAAACATTGTATCAGGAAATACAGAAATGTTCTTTCAAAATGAGTGTATGGGAATGTGGGAATGCCTAATAAAATCTGTCCTTATTGATTCGTTAGCAAAAAATCATATAAATCAATAGCTTGTGATTGCAAGCAGATATATTTCAGATCCTTTCTGTGTTTGTTTTTTGCTTTCTTGATCTATCACAATTGGAGAAAACTTAAAATTTCTCAATGGTATTGTATTTTTGCCAATTTCTTATTCTGCTTTATGTTTCTCGTTGCTATATTATTGGGCTATAATGGTCCATAATTACTTAAGAATCATTGTGAAATATATTGCTTAATGACACAAGTAAATCTTTTTCACTGTTTGTAATGTCTTTTCTCTTAATTCTACTTTGCCTAAGATTAATATGGTTATTCCTGTTTGGTTTTATATGTATTTATTGCTTTATTTTGAAGATGGAGTCTCGTTCTGTCGCCCAGGCTGGAGTGCAGTGGCACGATCTCGGCTCACTGCAACCTCTGCCTCCCGGGTTCAAGCAATTCTCCTGCCTCAGCCTCCCAAGTAGCTGACAATACAGGCGCACACCACCACGCCCAGTTAATTTTTTGTATTTCAGTAGACACGGGGTTTCACCGTGTTGCCCAGGCTGGTCTCCAACTCTGAGCTCAGGCAATCCACCTGCCTCAGCCTCCCAAAATGTTGGGATTACAGGCATGAGCCATTGCACCAGTCCTAACCTATCTCTTTTGACTCAATCTAAAAGTTTCTGTCTTTTAACACAAAACCATAATCCATATGCATTCATTAATTCACAACTGACATTTAGTATCTTATTTCTGTTATCCTATTTCATATTTTATTATATGATTCCTTGTTTCTGCTCTTTTGATATATATACTATGTTTTATTTGCCCTTATCCTTTCATGTGTTTCTAAAGTATACAGCCTACTTGTAATTGTCCCATTAGCTAACTTTATGTTTTTGAAAGCATTCTCTCTCAGAATTCCCATTTTAGTGGTGCAGCACACATAGAAAGTCTTAGACTTTCTGGAGCTAGATAAGCTGGATAAAGGTGTGCATGAGCCACTGGTCAATGGCTTGTGCGGGCCGTGAGTGCATTTCAGGTATGTCATACGCTATTGATCTGGCAGCCAGGTATTCAGATAGGGTATAACCAGGTTCATCAGGCTCAAAACATAATCAAGTATTATTGAGACATAGTTAATGTGCACTACAAATCACAGCACACAGACTCACACACACACTTGTCTGAAATAAAATTCCACAAAATAATACCTTCCCTAATTCTGTGTGATGTACTTTGATATATTCTCTCCATTTTATACAACTTAATTTTTTTTAGAGACAAGATTTTGCTCTGTGGCCTAAGCTGGACTGCAACGGCACAGTCATAGCTTACTTCAGTCTTGAACTGCTGGATTCAAGTGATTCTCCAGCTTCTGCCTCTCAAGTAGCTGAGACTTCAGGTGTGCTCAACCACACCTGACTAATTTTTTTGTTATTTAATTTGTAAATATGGGGTCTTGCTATATTGCCCAGGCTGGTCTCAAGCTCCTGGCCTCAAGGGATCCTCTTGCCTTGGCCTCCCAAAGCACTGGGTTTACAGGCATGAGCCACCACACCTAGACTACAACTTAATTTTTTAGTGCCAGTGACAACCCACTGGACTGATTTCATAGCCCATTAGTAGAGGAATGCGCCATCCTGACTGCAGGTTAGAATTTTCTCAGAGAATCTATGTAGCACTGATGATTGGGTTTCACATCCAGACATTCTAGTTATGCTAATACAGGGGCCAAGCAAACTATAGCCTGTGAACGGCTGGCCCCCTAGTTTTGTATACCTTACAAGTTACAAATGATTTTTACTTTTTTAAGTGCTTAAAAAAATCAAAATAGGCCGGGTACAGTGGTCCAAGCCTGTAATCCCATCACTTTGGGAGGCTGAGGTGGGCGGATCACGAGGTCAGGAGATCGAGATCGTCCTGGCTAACACAGTGAAACCCCATCTCTACTAAAAATACAAAAAATTAGCCGGGCTTGGTGGCGGGTGCCTGTAGTCCCAGCTACTTGGGAGGCTGAGGCAGGAGAATGGAGTGAACCCGGGAGGCGGAGTTTGCAGTGAGCGGAGATCGGGCCACTGCACTCCAGCCTGGGTGACAGAACAAGCCTCCATCTCAAAAAAAAAAAAAAAAAAAAAAAAAAAAAAGAAAGAAAAAAAATCAAAATAATAATAATAATGTGAATATTATATGAAATTCAAATTCTACTGCCCACAAATCATTATTGGAACATAGTCATACTCATTTATTTATGCTTTGGTTTACATATTGTCTGTAGCTGCTTTTGCACAGTGACAGAGTTGAATATTTGTAATAGATGGTCCACAAAGCCTAAAGTAGTTGTGGCCCACAAATCCTAAAGTAGTTACTCTCTCTCCCTTTACATAGGAAGTTTACTAATACTTGTGCTAAGGGATCTCAACAGACAATTTGAAAAACTTAAGTTTTAGACTAAAGATTTGCAATCTAAATTCCTGTGGAGCTTTCTGAAGCTGCCAGGTGGAGATGGGAACAGGTTGTGAGGCTGCAGGCCAAACACTCAGGCCAGCTTCCACCAAGCAGTTCAACTCTGTCTGTTTCACACACTGATGAGCTTATCCTTGGAAAGTGATTAAAGTAAAATTAAATGTGAATTGAGGGAGGAAGTGAGGGAGACTGGAAGTGAGGGAAACAAAACCCTAAGAAACACCAACATTTAAGATGGCAAATGATGTTATTTCTAAAGTTGTTCAGGCTAATATCCCATACTGTAGCTGTTCACTTTATAGATAAAGGTGACGCTAGAACCATAGAAAATGTAAGAATTGACCTCGAAACTCAGGAAGATGAAGTTTACATATATTAATCTATATTACCAACTGGAGCAGTTGTTCTCACTGCTGGCCGCACATCAGAATCCAATGCCTGGATATCACAGATGATTCTACCATGCAGTCAAGGATGAGAACAAACTAGTTTCATTTCTGCAATTTTGTATTGTTCAACCAGTGAAAGGAAGTACCAGTGGTGTGAGAACTTTGGGATAAAGTTTTTCTTTTCAATTGAAATTATTTTCATCCAGCCCAACTTCCTTAAGCCCAAATTTAATGTGTGTGAAGTTCAGCTACAGAAATACCAATATCTTAGACTAAAGTGGACACAGGTAAAATATGTGAAATCCCCTTTTGTTCTGAGGATTCTTTAGTAGGCAGGAGTGACCAGATTGGAATATGCTTGGCTGGAAAAATTAAGATTCAACTTAACAGACTGTTAATAACCAGAACCATCTTCTCTTCCGTAATGTGGATTTGCCACTGCAGGTCACCCTACAATGCTATGTTAGAGGTACAACACTCCTACCCTCAGGCTATAAACAAGGTGAATTATTATCTTTATATCTCTTCATTTAGCCCTGATTTGCTGAAGTGAAGGCTTGCTTGAGAGTTGGTTGCATTATAATTTGGTGAGAATTTAATCTCTCAATGACAACTTACTTGATTCCCTCATTCTCTTTCTGCTACATAGATCACAGTAGACCTTGGCAGACAGTTCTGTAGTTACATAGGTCTGAATTCAAAATCCAGTTCTGCCACTTGGCGGCTGTGTGAACTTAAGCAAGTCAGGCAATGTTTCTGATGTTTTCTTTTCCTCCTCCACAAAGAATAATTAACATCTAACAATAGGGTCTCAGCTAGTTGTTTTAAAAATGGTTAGAGAGATGTGTGGAATGAAGTAAGTGTGCAGTAAGTGTTAACTACAAATATTATTATCTTAGACATACAGATTTCCATGATTCATGAATGGTGAAGCATCTTAGAAGACATCCATTCTAAGCCAGGCATGGTGGTGTGCACCTATAGTACCAGTTGCTCAGTAGAATGAGGCAGGAGAATTGCTTGAGCCTAGGAGTTTGAGGCTAGTATGGGCAATATGGTGAGACCCTATCTCAAGAAAAAAGCAAAACTTTTTTTAAAGCTTAAAAAGAGAGACATCTGTTCCACTACTCTCATCTTAGAGGCCAGAAAACTGAGGCTCAGATAATTTCAGAGACTTTCACAGATCCCCCAACCATTTGATGGCAAAGCCAGGAATAGAACTCTGCTCTCCTTTCCCACTGGGACAGTGGACAGAAATTCATCTTGATTTCCATCTGTCCAGGCTGAAGAATGTGCACTGGCTGGAATGACAGACTGACCGATTTTTTTCTCCACCTCTGCTGTCTCAGCAATGGTTTGGGACAGTGTGGATGACCAGAAGCTGGATAGTACAGAGCCAGGATAAAAAGTTCAGGCTTCCTGAAGGGAAGCTGCAGTCCTCCTAGGCCACAACACCTTCGAGATAGAATAAATACAGCACCCTTCTCTACCAAGTTAGGAAAGGAAGAAGTGTTACCAATTAGTTGTATGGGGACTGCCAAAGCACGCCAGTCTGAAGATGAGCAGAAACTGGCTCATTCCATTTGGCACCTAGCACACTAACTGCACCAGTTAATAGGCCACGCTTTTCTCCAGAGCCATTGGCTGAAGAGTTCAAATAAAAAGTATTGAGAATAGGCTATCCAAAACAGTAGGCTCAGATGCTATCACACAAAGCACTTTATCCTTAAGTTCAATTTTTCTAAATTGTAGTTGGCTGCTTTGGCTTAATAAAAACCTTCCAAAAAAGAAAAATGAATGGCCACAGACAGTATGGGTATCTAACTATATTATCACAACTTGACCAAGATTGAACGTGCCAATCCTTTGGTTCAAGAGCCAAACAAAATCGTTCCCTTAAAATATTGCTTCATGGGAACAGTCTTCTTCAAACATCTTTTAGCACAGGCAAGATTCCCATTTATACGTTAATTCTGTCCAAGACAATGAGATTGAGCAGAAAAGGCATTGAGTTGGAAGTCAATGGATATGAGTTTTTGTCCCAGTTTTACCACAAATTAGCTGAGCATAACTTCCACAGATGCATTTATCAAGTAGTTTTCATGGTCATTGCAATGTCAAAAAACTGTAGCATTTAGAAAATTTAGTTTTCAGACTTGGAAACTATTTAAGGCATTTCATATGAAGGGTGTGTCCTTGTAAGAGTTTGCTTATGCAAGATAAGGCTTCTTTCAGCTGCAAGTCAGGAGCGAACCAAAACTCAAACCAGCAGCTTATCACATCTTGATGAGAGCTCAGCCACTGGAAGTTTTGGCATACAGCAAAACTGAAGGGTACTTATACAATATCACATTTTATTTTTATTGTTTCTAATAGCATTCCAGGTTAGAAATGTCAATTATTTGGGAAAGCTGAGTGGTCTGGTAGATAAAGCATATAGCAGAGAGCTAGGAGGCTGGCTATTTCCAGTTGTTATCCTAACATGTCTTGGGCCCCCAAGTCACCCCACCTCCTTGGTACAATGGGAACAGTGGCAGAAGTCCATGCTCTCTCCCCCAACACATGGGGATAAGAGACAAGAGAGGTGAAATGTTCTGGAACATATCCGATGTTATACAAGTATAAGCTGTGAGATGAGCCAAACACAAATTTTGAATATTTCATTTTCTAGAAAGTATACCAATTCATTCCACCCTTCTCAAACCTAAATTATACAATTCAATTCAGGTCACACAGATTTACTTTGTACTAAGTACCATAGCAAATGCCATTTCAGTGCCTGAAAACTGAAAAACATAAATTTAAAGTAGGAGTTTGAGGCCTCACTAATATGACAAAACATACCTTTGTATTTTATTTTGCACTAATTTGCCACTTAATCATTAAACTCTTATCAATCTGAGAGATTTGCCAACACTTGCCTGCTAGGTGACCTAAGCCTCCACATCAATGCATGTTATACTCCCCTTTCTCCATATGTTAGCCCATGCTATTTCTTTATCCCTCCTCCTCTGCATCTTCACCTAAAACTCTGCCCATCCTTCAGGGTTCATCCAGTGATACATTTGCAAGTAGGCATGGGGTAAGGTCTTGAGAGTATGTTTCTCAGAGGCCCATGCAGCTAAGAAAATGTGCAGTGTTGGCACAAGGTCTGTCTATTCCTGGGTAGCCAGATGCTGGACACATCTTTCATAACACCACAAGGTAAATATACTTCACTTGGAGAGAGAAGTGAAATTTTTCAGGTAGAGACTGGATGTGTTCCTGCCAGAAGATGTGAAGGGGTTAAGAAACTGACTCTCATCTCAGCATTGCTAGAGCAAAATATAATTTCTCATAGCGGCTATGGTATAAGGACACTGAGGGGTAAGAGATATAATCTAAGTAATACAATAAATTAGTGTGGAAAAAAATCATCAAAATGAAGACCACATGGTTTTTATTAAAATTCTAGCTTTTAGGATGTCCAGGGAGCTCAGGAATTTAGTTGTCCTTTTTTGTATGTACAATATGCCCCAATGCTTGCTGACTAATATACTAAAACATTAGAGAAATCTTGCTGACAACATCTCAACCAGGCAGCGAGATCTGGAAGGTGAGACTAATATTGGGGGTCAGCAGAATTAAGTCTCAGTTCTGCTGCTTACCAGATATGCTAATCTGAGCTAGTCATTTAATTTTTATGAGACCAAATGTCTATCTGTAAAGTCGGCAATTTGGATTAGATGTGCTGCAAGTGGTTTTCTAGCTTAAATGTACCTTCTGAATTCAACAGGGCAATACTTAAACTGACCTTTAATCTAGGAATGACACAAGTAGATTTTTGAAAGCTAATTTAGCTACAGAAAGCTGAGAGCTCCAAAGGCAAAGAGATAAAAATAACAGGAGAGCCTTCCCTTAATCCAGTCCCTAAGCAGTTTTGGCAAACTAAAGTTTGTTGTTCAATGGTTACGAGTTTGCTTAAATGCTTTCTACCCAGTTTACTGAACTAAATAGTATATAGCTATAGTAAAAAGTCCTATTCAAAAACCAGCTTCTCACAGATATTTTGCAGCTTTGCAGAATTGAATATGTCCACAGATGTCTATTAGCTGGTTAGGGTCTTAGGAATCTAGGAGAGCCAAGTAGTTGTGTGAGCTGTTGTTATCAAATGTAGTTTTGAACATTCTTGGTGATTTTAAGGGATCATATTGTGGAAATTTGGTTTCCTTACCTTGAATTTTGAATGAAGCTTTAGCATTTAAGGATGTTTCTTTGGTTTCTCCTTCCAGATAAGTGTTTTTTTTTTTTCAACCAGATGCTGGTTTATTTAATTTGAAGGTATTGATGAAATTCTTTAAATTGCCCCCATGTGATTCTATTCTGGAATAACTACCAAATTATTTAAAAGTTAATTAATACTAGAAAATACGAAAACTCATTTTTATGGGAACTATTGTTCCTTCAAGATGACACTGTTTTGTAAACTATAGACTTCCAATAGCAAGCCTCTGTGCCTTCCTCTTACCACTAAGCAAGCATGGGTATTAATTCCTACTGAAAGGCTTATGCTATCTTTTTTCCAGAAATGGAAGAAAAATGAACTATGAAAAAGATCATTTTATAGGTCAGCTACCATTATGAGATTGTTGAGGAAATGATATAAAAAACAATTTTTATCAAATTATCTTTAGGGCATTTATATGTTTATTTTCTTACTGTGTTGATTTAGGTGACTATAAGAAGTTGTATCAGAGCAACTGATTCTGGTGAATTAAAGCAAGTATTTCTAAGAACATAAGTGGCAACTTTCAGTCTCAAATCAATTTGGCCACCAACCAGTTTTTGTAAGGGTACAAATAGGACATAACATGCCCAGATGGGACTTGGATAAAGTGTATACAATTTTACATTGAGGAAATTGTGTCAATGTGTTACCTTCAATGTTAGAAATTCCCAAGTTCTGACAATAGTTCAGAGCCTTGTTAAAAGCCAGAGTGGAGGCATGTAGATCCAGCTGGAAAGAGAGGCATTATGGTCTAACTTAGGACACATTTTAAAGCCAGTGTTAGGGTCTGAGTCCAGCTTTGTAAACTTGAGTACAGTGTTTGATCTCTGGGGTTTCAGCCTTCATTTCGGTACAAAATTTCCACCAAGTGCTCTTTTACTGTGAGGAGTAGCTGTTGAAGAACAAAGAAGTCTACCTATTTGCTAGAGTGTTAACAATTGTTTTGATAAAGCTCAAAACTTATCTAAATAAGCTCTCTCTCCCTAAGCATGTTTTCATTTTCTTAAGTTACATATACTTTGCTTAAAAATTTAAAATACTTTTCACCTTCTCTGACTTCATTTAAAATTAAAATAATGAAAGTGCCAATTTTAAGAGATGTTAGCTCCCATTGTTGGTTCTTTGCCATATTCTTTTGACAACCTGCTGTAATTTTCTGCCCCCTTTAAAGCCTCAGGCTATAGGGCTTCTCCACCAAAGGAATGTTAAGAAGTGATAAGGACCTTCTGTGAGCAGAAGTGGCTTGTTTGCAAAGGGACTGCTTATCTTGGCCACTCTTGAACACAAGATGGGACCCTCTACTGCAAAGCTCCCGCATGTTTTTTTTCCCCTAAGTTATCCTCCATACTACTGACAGTGATTTTCCCTAAATAAAAAACTGCTTCAAACCCTTCATCTATCTAGAAATAAGCCAAAGCTCATATCTAACATTTATTAAGAGAGATGGATTATTTTTGTTCATTAGTTATCTTTGTAAATAATTTTTACATACTTTAATTGACTCATAAAAATGTCTTTCTGTAATTTTAATCCTAAAATTTGTTAAACTTCAAAATCCCTATCACCAGATTATTGTTTAAAAGCATTCATTTTTATATTATCTTAAAAGCCATTATACCTGAGTGCTGAACAACTTAGAAACATTCAGTAATTGTTTTGCATGCTATTTGGAGAATTCATATGGCAATCGTTTATAAACACATGATGGAATCAGGTGGCAGGCCAAGTTAAAGAGCAAGGCCAGAAAAGAACTTAAAAGAGAAGAGAAAACATAGACAGTTTAGGAACAATAGATCATGTCTTCTCCATGATTTGGAGGTAAACTGATTACCTATCAGCTGATAAATAGAGAAAGGTTTTAGAACTCTTCCCTTGAGTAGACTAATGAGAGGTGTCAGAGAAGATGTTTTCTGTTATTTGTGTGCTCTCCAGGAAACTTTGAGCATTCAGCTGAGGGGCCAAGTTGGCTGCCTCTGAGAAGAAGCCCTTCCACCTCCACTCCACTGCACTTGGGTGCCATTCCCCTCATTTGAATGTCTCCAAGAGATGAGCAAAGGTACATCTACAGAGTTCAGGGTACTGATGTTTATCATAATGATTTATAACTCTCAGAAGAGTGAAAAACACATGAATGCACAGAATAGGAGACTGAAATATAAACCACAGAACATTCATACAATGGAATACTCTGCAGTCATAAAAATCTTCTCATAGAAGAATATTTGACAGCATAGGGATATCTGTGGCATATTAAGTAGAAAGTCAGACTTGTAAACATTATATACATATTCACACATATTTAAACACCATGATCCCATATTTACATATAACAACTAAAAGTTCAGATGGCTATATATCAAAATGTGTCAAATGTTCAACATTGCATCAGCTGACTGTAGATGAATTTTATATTATACTTTGTGCTTTCTTGTAGTTCCCAAATATTCTTTATTGAATCTATATTACTTTTGCAATTTAAAGAATTTATAAAATTTTATAAAATAACTTATAAATTTGAAATGTATTGCATTTAAGAATAAAAAGTGTTTAATTACAAAAATAATTCACAATTTATTTAATGAGATTTTAAAAGGATATTTGTGAATCTACATTCTGATTTCCTGTTTGCGTGTGTGGTTTTTTTTTTTTTTTTTTTTTGAAACGGAATCTCGTTCTGTCGCCCAGGCTGGAGTGCAGTGGCGTGATCTCGGCTCACTGCAAGCTCGGCCTCCTGGGTTCATGCAATGTAATAGTGTTTTCTTATTGTTTCCACTTTTATTGAAGAAGTAAGATTGTCCCTAGCAGATGGAGACACTGAGATATGGGACAGAACTTTTGTTCTGTATAATTATTATGAGCTTCCACCTTTCTTAGCATAGACAGTTTCCAAAATGCAACTTCAAGTTACCCCTTTATAAGCATAATAACAATAATACCCAACATATATGTAATGCTCTTTATGTGTCAAGTACTATACTAACACATACACATCACATACACACACATACCACATACACACACATATTTAAACTAATTCGTTCTCACAATGACATTTTGAGGCAAGTATTACTATTGTACAGATGAGAAAACCAAGGCACACTTTATCTGTAAACCTCTGCTGTACAAAAATTCTGGAGGGGCTTCTGGCCCCTTAATTTTAAAATAAGGCCAATAATACAATACTTACCACGCAGCAATTCTCTAAAGATTATGTAAGATATATACTAAAGCGCTTAGCTCAGGGACTGGAGGGATGTGAGAGGAATTTGTCTTTTGTGATATGCTTTATGGTCTGCTCAGTCACCTCGTTCTTAATCCCTTTCTCAACTTCTATTTTATACAGAAATTGTGAGCATATCAGCATTAAGTACCACTGAGGTGGCAATGCACACTTCAACCTCTTCTTCAGTCACAAAGAGTTACATCTCATCACAGACAAATGGTTTGTTTTCATTTTTATTTTTAAATTGTGGCTCCGAAATGATTTTTGTGATGCAACCCTATTTTAGGGGACCTGTCACTGCAGAGAAACTGACAAACACTGAGAAATGCGAGCTAAGTAGACACAGCCTACTAAGTAGACACAATTCTTACTACAGAGGAATTCTAGCCTCTGAAATATCTCACAGAAATAATACTGTGAGTTAAAGAAATTAAAACAATGTGGCAAAGCACAGAAATGATACATGTGACCATGAAATAGTGGGCCAGATAAAGGGGACCTAATAGTGCGGTGGTGCGGAGGGTCTGTGGGCAAAATGAGTTCAGCTCAGACCTGGGCTCAGCTCTATCCCAGCTGCTGACCCAGGGTGAGTTGCCCTGCAGGGTTTCTATCCCATTAATTTTAAAATGGGGCCAATAACACAGTACTTATCTCACAGCATTTCTCTAAAGGCTAAATAAGAAGAAGTGTCTAAAAGTTATTAGCTCAGAGCCTCACACATTCTCAGTGACTGATAAACAATAAGCAAAGCTGGGTGCTGAGATAAGAGTAATCTGGTGGCAGTCTCTCTTGTTAGTTTTCAGGGGAGAAGAAGAAATTCTGGAGCTGCTGCTGGGAGGGATGTGGGAGAATTTGTCTTTCATGATACGCTGTATGTCCACGCAGTCACCTCATTCTTGTTCCCTTTCTCAACTTCTCTTATATGCAGATAAGCACAAACGGGACACATGTCCAGCTCATACTGCTAATGAAGTTTCAGAAATTTCTGTTACAACTGTTTCCCCTCCAGAAAAGAAAAACGTTATGTTCTTAGTTTTAAATAGTTTCTCTGGAGTCATTGTTGTGATTGAACTCTATTTACACGAGCTGTAACTCATGACAGTTCTCAAACTTTCGTGACAGAAAACCCAACTCTTTTACTCCAAAGCCCATATAGCACCCACAACTATTAACTGTGACCAAGAAAGAGAAGGCAAGCCCCAATTAACCTTTGTACGTAAAGCCTAAAGAATGAAAAAATATACCTGAATCCTCAATCATCAAACAACATAGCATATACTAAGTAATTTGTAATAATTAAACTCTAGAAAATTGTGTGGCTTTGGTATAAGAGAGCTTCATGACATAAAATGGCAAGTGGAGACAGAGACAAAAGTAGGATGTGGACTGAGAGGGAAGGTTAGCACAGGTGGAACAGTAAGGCAACCATACTATCAATTGCTACTGACATAGAATCCAGAGAGACTATTGGCAAAAGCTCAAATGAGACACAGTAACAGTTTAGATTCATACAGTGGCTATGGCATAAATCAGAAAATTGATAGCCGCATGACCCTTCTTTGCATGGGACTGGCATCTCTGTGGAGTAATGGCTCCATATGCCTCCTTTCTTCTCATTATTTTTTACATGTTTTAAAAATGCATTGCTTCTTGTGTAAGTCAATAAGTGATTCTTCCAATACTTTCTCATTCCTTTCCCCTCAGTTATGAGACAATTTGCTTATTTCTCATCCATGAATACGTGTTGGGTCATTAAAAGTAGATACTGAAATTACTAATGGTAAGACTGACACATTACCTCATAAATGTTACTAGCTAGATGTTGAAAGTTGACCAACAACTCTCAAAATATGATTAAGAAAAGGAAACCCGCAGAACAGTTTGATTCCAAAATGATTTTTTTCTTTGCACATGTCTTTCTTATTTGGACTTACATTGAAATTTTGCTTTATAGGAGAAACGGGACAACTTGTCCATCGTTTCACTGTACCAGGTATGTTAATATTTGACAAAGAATAAAAGTCATTCCATTTTAAACTATCCATTGCTTGTTTCAAATGCCTAAGAAAATGTGTCTATCTTAAAACAGAAGAGCATATGTTGTTAACTTTATTCACACGAAATTGTAAAGACAAAGAAAATATTCTCTTTTTAAAATTAAAATAGGCATTTCTTATTTTTAAAAACATTTTGGGGGCCAGGGGCCGTGGCTCATGCCTATAATCCCTATAATTTTGGGAGGCCAAGCCTGGCTAATCACTTGAGCCCAGGAATTTGAGAACAGCCTGGGCAATATGGCAAAATCTATCTCTACAAAAAATACAAAAATTAGCTGGGATGGGGCATGCACCTGTAGTCTCAACTGCTTGGGAGGCTGGCTGAGGTGGGAGGATCGGATCCATTGCCTGAGCCTGGGAGTTTGAGGCTGCAGTGAGCTATGACTGTGCCACTGTACTCTAGCCTTGGTAAGACCCTGTCTCAAAAACAAATACATAAGTAAATAAAAATAAATAAAAACATTTGGAAATAGAAATACATAATTTGGTAATAGTTTTTCTCTTAAGTTAGATGTTTTACCTTTCTAACCAACCCTGAGTACTTGAAAGAAGCCTCATAAGAGCTTATAAAACAAGTGAAGTTCCCTCTGCCCTCATGTAAAAAGCAAGGCATTTAAAATCATCTAATTAACTGGTACTGTATTTCAAGGGTAAATCTCAGCCTTGATTCATTTTTGGCCCAATGCAACCACTTAGGGACCATCTTGACAACCTCTGCTGAAGGGACATCCCTTCCCCTCACTTGAGTATCACTGTGTGTGCTCATTTGCTATTCTGCATTCTAACCCTCCCTTCACACTTGGCCGTGTCCATGGCTCACAGGGTAAAAAGCACATCATAGAACTTCATCACTATCGCATACATTCAAGCTAAGTGGTCAAGAAGGCTGGGCAACACCAGCAAGAGGAAATGCTACTTTTACTTTTTGTGAATAATTTAAATATTAATTAGGCAAATAAATGAGCCATTTTACCTGTATGTCTAGCCTTCCATTCTATTTACTTCATCTGGAAGTACTACAAATATGCTATAAATATGGAAATATCTCTTACTTAATTGATTTCAATTGTTTCATTCCCAACATATAAATGACTTAACAAGCATTGTTAGTGACTATATTGGAGACTATGCATAAGAATACTGTGGAAGGAATAAAGCTTAGAATATAGATGACCTGCATTATAGTTATAATTCTACTTTTAACTAGTTGTCTGACCAAGGCTAAGTTAACCTTATTCAGCTTCTTTTCTTCATTTGTAAACTGTTTATACCAGTTTCTTTCCAAAATTATGATTCTATGATCTGTTCAATGCTCTTTTATATGTTAAGACATTGTTTTCTCTCATAACTTCCAAACTATGGGAGAATTTGTGGGTTTTTTTCCCCATATCTGAGGAGAACGTCCACTGAGTTCTTATCTACAGTTACACTAGTGAAGAACGCTGGGTCTGGAATCAGAAGCCTCAGGTCTTAGTTCTGTCATCAACTATTTTGCGACCTTGGACAAAAGACTTGATCACTCACAGTCCCAGTTTCCCACAAGGTTACTGTAAAGCACACAATTTAAAAAAAGACAAAATACACATAATAGTATGTTAACTGTACTTTGTATTAAAAGGCAAGGTGATGTTATGCTGATGTTATCTGTCTTATTTTTCTATTGCTATGTGGTCATTTATTTCAGACTTTCATAATTTTGCTGCTCTCTTTAGCTCCTGTAGTGATAATACTCATTATTTTGTGTGTGATGGCTGGTATTATTGGAACGATCCTCTTAATTTCTTACAGTATTCGCCGACTGATAAAGGTGAGAATTCAGTTTTTAATTTTGCTCTAAATACCAGTGTGAACAGCTCTAGGAGGGTTTATTCCTCTGAGTTCAGTTAAACTCAGAAGAGAAACAGAACTGCATAAAATTCCATCTTTTTCAACTGGACACATAGAAGTCACTGTGTTTCTCTAGCAGAATTTTTTTTTTGCATTTGCCCAATTAAAGGGAACCTCTAAATATAAGTCTGTCCCCCATTTTCCCAATGAAAGATCTCCCTAAGTTTTTGTCTAACTTGCTTTCACATATTTTGATGGATATTGAGGAAATATTAAGATTCTTCTTATAGTATTTAACCTATTAGTGTAAAAAATATTTAAAATAATATATTTACATATGTTTAAAACTTTGGAGGAGGCCAAGGCAGGAGGATTGCTTGAGCTCAGCAGTTTGAGACCAGCCTGAGCAAAAAGGTGAAACCTAGTCTATACAAAAAATATGAAAATTAGAAAGGCTTGGTGGTGCACATGTGTAGTATCAGCTATTCAGGGGGCTGAAGTGGGAGGATTGCTTGAGCCTCGGAAATCAAGGCTGCAGTGAGCTGTGATCATGCTACTGCACTCCAGCCTGGGCAACAGAGTGAGACCATGTCTCAATAAATATATAAATAAATAAATAAAAATAAAATAAAACTTTTGCCTTTCTTAATTCTCACATGTTCTGAAACAGATTTTACAAATTTCCACCCATGAATTCTTAACATCAGTGATTTTTTTTGAATCATTAAAGTTTTTTAAATTTTTTTTTGAGACAGAGTTTCCCTCTGTCACCCAGGCTCGAGTGCAAAGTGGCGCAATCTCTGCTCACTGCAGCCTCTGCCTCCCTGGTTCAAGTGATTCTCGTGCTTCAGCCTCCACAGTAATTGGGACTACAGGTGCGGGCTACCATGCCTGACTAATTTTTGTATTTTTTTAATAGCAGAGATGGGGTTTCGCTGTGTTGGCCAGGCTGGTTTCAAACTCCTGACCTCAAGTGATCCACCTGCCTTGGCCTCCAAAGTGCTGGGATTACAGGTGTGAGCCACTGCGCCCGGCCCTAATTAGGGTTTTTATAAAACCAAAAGAACTTGGCAACACCCCTAGGTACCCTTTAGAAGCCTCCAATTGGCTACAGCCTGTGAAGGATTGGCCTGTGACCAATCAGAGGCTGAAGTGGAGTCTTAGCTCATGGTCAAGCAGAGGCTGAAGTGGAAACTTCTTGTCTTTTTATCACAGGCATGAGGATGTGGCCTGCATGCTGCCTGATCTTGCCTAGAACCGGCTGCACCTGCTGTTCTCTTGTTTATGCAAACTGGCTGCACCTGCTATTCCTTTGCTTATGCCCCTACCCCTGGCTATCCTAATTCCCTGTTCTCCTGCCTCACTATTACTGTATTCTCTACTTCTAAATAAAAATAAAACAAAATACAAACCGTTTTCATGTATTATAGTCATGATTTGTTATTTCAAGCTATGTTTAAAATGTAAAGCCCATTACAGTAGGATAGATGAGAAGAAAGAAGGGTCTGAACAAAGCCAACAGCGGAGAACATGCAGAAGGGGAATGAAGACTTCAGCCTGGACTCTCATTAGGTGGTTGTCCAAGATAACATGAAGTCTCATGTGAAATATATTGGAAAAGAACAAGATTCAGTCAAGTACCCAAGGTGCCTGACTGCTGAAACGGCACTGTAATTTAAAAAGCAAAGACAAGTTTATCATACTGTGAGATCCTTGAGGGCAAGGACCAAATTCTATTCAAATCTTTGTCAAAAACCAGATTTTTGATAGGCTTACTTTAGTATCCATTGATCTTAATTATAGTTCACCTGCCAGGAGTTAAGGTCCCTCCTCAACAGTAAAGAGAATGACAGGCACAGGGGTAGGAGCACGTAGAGAAGGGCCTGACTTTCAAATGAACTCTGGAGAGCACTCATCACCTCCAGAACACAGCAGATCTTACTGAGATGGCTGGGTCAGAAATCTCTGAGGGACTCCAGGATGCCCACGCCTCAGAAAGGACAGGTTAAACCAAAGGACCTGGGGTCCCAATGTGCAGCACGTTTCCTCTTCTAGTACACACCAGATACATTCTGACTGCCTTACCCTTGGAGTCAGAAGGAGTGTCTGAGGTCTCTTTTCTCCCATCCTAAAAACAGGACGTAGAGCAGGCCATGGTCATATGCTGTATGCCTCCCCTAAGTGAGCAGTAAGAGATTGTCACAAATCTGCTATGTTCAACATCCGCATTTGAATAAATGAATGTTATTACCTCTCCAGGTGACTGCTTTGAATGTATAAATTCTAAAGTATTTCAGAAACCTCAGACATTACAGTCACACCATGATAAAATCTGGTAGGTCTGATGACGAGGAATGGTGTTTGTTGCATATTTAAAAGATTGCAGACAGTTCTACATTAAAGGTTCTTTCTGTGGGTGAGGGGGCTGTGGGATGGGGGAGATGCCAGTATATGTATAGAGCTTAATTTCACTTGGTGGGATTATAGCTAATTTTTGTCTTTTTCTTTATACTTTTTTTCTAGCTTCTTAATTTTCTGTAACAAAACTATATTACATTTTTGAAGAGACAATAACAAAAGCCATTAACTTTTTCAAAACTAAATATATATATACATATATACATATTGCAACAAGACAGTTGCTAGCACACATCTCCCTAACAGATAGAGTTACATTAGTCTACATGGGGTTTTACTTATAATTGACATAGTTACCCTAATCTATGCATTCTTTGACTATGTTGCATGTCTAACATGTTCCAGTGACCATTCAATTGTGGATTACAGAGAACTGTCATTGTCCAAATTAGAGGCAGGAATTTCAGTCCTGTGGGAAGCATCCAAAAAGTTCTTCAGCACAGATAGGTTTAGGAATAAAACTGGAGATCTTTTGAGTGGTTCTCATTTTTATAAGCTTGGTCATGAACTTATCTGCCCCTTAGTTATTTTTAGAATTGATTTCATGCTCAGGTCAATCATTTCGCAGTGAAGAATATACCATTTCTCAAACTGCCTTCTTTCCAAATTTTATGACTAGAGTTCAGCCTGAGTTCCAGAATCAGCTGATGAACATCACTCAATGGAGCATATTAACTAGAATTGTTGTCTCCATCTGGGTCTCTTCCAAATGGTCTTGTCAAATGCAATCAGAGCATCATATATTAGAGAATATGTTATATCAGCCTCCACTTAAGTTACTCATAGATTGTCCTTGACCCTTCTCATGGCTCTTCTCTCTTGTAGGTGGTATTATTGGTAACATAATTTGCTCTGACAAAAGCAAATAAAGGAAATTTTAGACCTGTATTATTCAACTGGATAAAACTGAAGGTTCAGAAGTGATTGCAAATATTGCCAACCAGGTGAAAATTATTTCCATTCTCAGCTGAACGCTATTACCTTTAAATCAAAAGTAATCAGTTTAATATAAGTCTTACCTAAGTCTATTAAACATTTTCTAGGCCTACCAAAGCATAAAAATGGTGAATATTTTAATGTCCTCAGATTAAAGTATCCCCATCTCTGAATATTTTGAAATTTTAAAAAGAAATCACTAAAAGGTGACCAGCAGCATTTATTCTTACTAAAAAGAATGGATGAGATGGCATGGAATATAGTAACACCCCCACAGCTTGTCTCGCTGTCTCTACTCTTGTTTTTTATATTCCCTCCTTCACAGAGCAATTTTTTCAAACTATCAATTAGATCATGTATTTCTCCTACTTAAAATCTCCAGTAGGTTTTTCACTGCACCAGAATAAAATCACCACTTGTTAGCATGCTCTCTGAAGTTCTGACCTGTCCACATGCTCAGGTCACCTGGCCTGCCCCTCTCAACCTGCTCCCACTCTCTCCTGTCTTTAGGTTGCAACCACTGAACTTTTCCCCAAAACTCCAACATACTAAGCTTGCTCCTTTCTTAGGAACTTTGTTCTAATTTTTTCTCCTTTTTTTGCTTCATATCTTTGCTTGACTGCCTCCATATTATTCCTGTCTCACACCTTCAAAGAAAATTCTGATGACAGTATTTTTCATCTGCTTTGTTTACTATGCATCCTCAGAGCCCAGAATAATGGCTAGAACACAGGAAAACTCAGTAAGATTTCATTGAATGAAATAGGTCTTCCCTGCCTACCCAACGCAAAGCAGCTTGTAGTCTTCTTCCTTCCTTCCCATTAATTTCTCTTTCATTTTCTTCCTGTATTTTTTTCATAGCACTCAGCTCCCAAGACTACCCTCTTTATGTGTATAACTGGTTATTGGCAAGTCTCAATTCAGTAGGGTAAAAAAAATTAATTCTTTAAATTTGCTCATACTGCATGGAATGTACTTTTCCTATTTCTTATTTCTATTCCCTAGAAACATCTTGGGGAGATACGAAACTTTCTGGTCTTTTTTGTTATTAAAATTTCAAAACACCAATCTTATATGTAAATGAAAGCTATACAGCTACTTTCTTTTTTCTAGGTTTTCATGCCTCTGGGATTGGGATTAGAGAAAGAAAGCAAAGAAAGGACATTTTTTACTTCACTGTTCACAGTGTAATCGTGTGCCTAACGGCTGTAGCTACTAACTTGGCTTACATTGACTGACCACTAAGGGACTCTAGGAGTCAGAATCTAAATGCTGAGTGTCTCAAAGGTGTAGAGAGAATTTCAGAGGGCCTTACCATGACATGGGGATTAAACTCCAGTTCTGCCCAATTCTCGTCACGAAATCCTTATCCCGTGCCTCTTTGTGTTTGGTGTCCCCTTGCCTAGGGGACAGTTTTCCTGGGTAACATCAGCAAGATAACACTTCAGTCACATTCCATTTGATACTTTGAATACTCTGGGGTCCTTACCCACCAAATGGATGGAGTTCAGCTGCTCAATCACTGCCTTTCTCAGAACTCTGTTGTCCAACCACAATTCCCTTCCCCTACTCACGTAGGGATAGGGCTATATTGGCAAAATGCCGCCCGAACAGCCTGCTGACAGTAAACCAAATATTAGTTTCTCTCACCTTCTTGAAGGCATTTACAGTCTTTGTAAGCTTTTCTCCTAATTTTCCCTTTCCCGTTCCTGCTTAGATTCTAAGAATGAAGTGCATCCTTCTCCTTTTCTTCATCAGGTGAAGTGGGATTTACCCATTACCATATATTCACCACCAGGTCACTGACGAGAGACTCCAGTGAATCTCTTCCCCTCTGCATTCCTCTCCTTGTACAGACTAGAGGGTCACATTGTGTAAAGCCTAACATAGCCCTGCAAAAAGATCTGGCCCCCGCAGTGAGCACAAGCTCAGTAATTCTCTTTAGAGTGAGGGGGTAATCAGTGCCTCTTGGTTTCAGCTGTGGTCCTAGTGGCTAATTATGGAAGGATAGGAATAGTCTCACAACATCCTGTAACATTGGCTTACCTGTATATTATACACCACCCATAACAATAAAGATGCCAGGATTTAGGTTCCTTGAAGGTAATGACTATGGGTCCCTCTCTGTGGAAGAATAGTGAATAGAAGAGAGAAATCACTCAATATGTGGAATGACTAATATGGTTTGACTGTGTTCCCACTCAAATCTCATCTTGAATTGTAGTTCCAATAATCCCCACATGTCATGGGAGGAACCCAGTGGGAGGTACTTGAATCATTGCGGTGGTTTCCCCTGTGCTATTCTCATGATAGTGAGTAAATTCTCACATAATCTGATAGTTTTATAAAGGAGCTTCCCCCTTCACTCAGCTCTCATTCTTCTCCTTCCTGCCACTATGTAAGAAAGATGTGTTTGTTTCCCCTTTGGTCATGATTGTAAGTATCCTAAGACCTTCCAAGCCATGCAAAACTGTAGATCAACTAAACCTCTTTCCTTTATAAATTACACAGTCTTGGGCAGTTTTTTATAGCAGCATGAGAACAGACTAATACAGTAAGTTGGTACTAGAGGTGGGGTGCTGCTATAAGGATACCTAAAAATGCAGAAGTGACTTTGGAACTGGATAACAGACAGCCTGTGAAAGCAGCCGAGAGCGGGGTTGTACTATGCAAAGCCACAGGAGCGGAGCTTCCCAAGACTGTGGGAGCCCACCTCTTGCATCAGCATTAACTGGATGTGAGACATGGAGTCCAAAGAGATTATTAAGGTGCTTTAAGATTTAATTACTGCCCCACTGGATTTCAGACTTGCATGGGCCTGTAGCCCCTGTTTTTGGCCAATTGCTCCTATTTAGAGTGGGTGCATTTACCCATTGCCTATACCCTCATTGTATCTAGGAAGTAACTAACTTGCTTTTGATTTTACAGGCTCATAGGTGGAAGGGACTTGCCTTGTCTCAGATGAGACTTTGGACTTGGACTTTTGAGTTAATGCTGGAATGAGTTTAGACTTTGGGGGACTGTTTGGAAGGCATGATTGTGTTTTGAAATGTGAGGACATGAGATTTGGGAGGGGTCAGGGGCATAGTGATGTGGTTTGGCTGTGTCCCCACCCAAATCTCCTCTTGAATTGTAGTTCCCACAATCCCCACGTGTTGTGGGAGGAATGTAGTGGGAGGTAATTGAATCATTGTGGCAGTTTCCCCCATGCTATTTTCATGATAGTGAGCAAATTCTCATGAAATCTGATGGTTTTATAAGGGGCTTCCCCATTTACTTTTGCCATCATGTGAAAAAGGATGTGTTTGCTTCCCCTTCTGCCACGATTGTAAGTTTCCTGAAACCTTCTCAGCCACGCAGAATTGTGAGTCAATTAAACTTCTTTCCTTTATAAATTACCCAGTCTCAGGCACTTCTTTATAGCAGCATGGGAATGAACTAATACAATGACTGACTGACTGGAAAAATTCAAACGTTTTCTCATGACCAATTCAATTTGCTAGAGCAATTAGAAGATCACACCTCAAAAGTATTCAGTACATTCATACTGTTTTTCAAAACATTTAACTTGTTCAAAACTCATTTCACATTCTGACCAATAAACTTCTATTCAACTTCTTATGCACATGCATTTCAAATTGCATCATTTTCAACCTCACTCCTTTTAAAATGTAAATTAAAACAACAGAAAATTTATCCATTATCTATGAAACCTACAAAGTGGTATTTCTAAGATAATATCCAATGTGCTAAGGCTGCAGTAAATTCTTATTGTTGTTATGGTAATGTAACTTGGTGCAATCTTTTAGAAGGAAATTTGCATATATATTCCAGCACCTCCAAGATACTCATAGAAACTAAAACTCTAACAAGTATTAAAAGCGTAGCAGGCAGACATATGTTGTTACATACCGATTGCTTCTTCCTATATCACACACTCATCTGAACTTCTTTATTGTATAAGACTGATACATTTTTCCCTATTACTTATACCAGCAACTACAAGAAAATTGAATCTACAGACAAGCTAAAAATAAAGTTACTTTTATAAAACCATGTTAAACATTTGGATGGGTCAAATAGAATGAAATGAAATAAATAACTGCTGCTGAAAATATAAAGAAAAAGTGACCAAAAGCAAAATGGTCTTGAAGGAAAACTTTGAAAGAGATGTATAGGAAGACCTCAGCTTTTGCCTGTATCGTCCTACCATGTGAAGATTGATTAAAGCAATAAACAAAGTTTTATGGCAGATAGAGGGGACTCTATGGTGCACATATTGGCCCCAGGTAAGAAAACATCATCTGGAGAGGTCCTTTCTCCTCAGATACTGTGATATTTTTAGTGGTTTATTCTACAAACTTCAAGTGTGAAGAAAAGGGGCAATAATGTGTTTATATATCAAGTACTTGAGACTGCTTGCTAGAGGCAATCACAGTTCTTATAAAAAGAGCTGTTTGCAAAACTGCAAGGAGAGATATGGCAGTTATTTTACTTTAGTTGTTTGTGTTAAACACTAAGGAAAGTGTCATAAGGATGTAAGAAACCAAAACAATTGAATAAAATGTAAAAATTACAGTCCATTCTTGCAACAGTTCCTCATTTATTTCTAACAAAATAGCTCCTATCAATCTCAAACTCACCATTAACACCTCTTACCTAATAAAAAGGATAAAATAATAAATCACTTGTAAATATCAAACAATAGCAGAGCAATTAAAAACAGATAAGTGAAAATGGTAATTTAAATGTTTCTTAAAGAAATTTAAAATGAGAAGATGGAGGCTTGAGAAAATATTTACAAATTCCATCTATTTGAAATCTGCTTAAATGAAGAAAGAGAATGAAGAAAAGTATAAAATAAACAACAATCTACTCTGAAATTTAAGAAACAACACAACCTCATACAAGAAACTCTGCAGAATATCTGCTTTGGGCCAAAAAGAAAGAAGGTACTGGAGAGTTGGCATAGCATTCCCACCTGAGGGCACCAAACAGAGCTACAAAAAGAAAGTAGAGGAAATTAGAAGGATCCCACTACAGATTTCTATTTATCCAGTCCAAAATATCAATAGTGCCAAGGTTGAACAGCCTCCATCTAGAAGAATAAATGTGTGTTAATAGTCAGAAAAATTATGAAAATGAAGAACAATGAGTGGGAACTTCTTCAGCCAGGAATTATAATATAGAGTTATATTAAGCATTAATTGAAGGAACATTCTGGGTAAAGAAATATATATTCAGATAAGTGAAATATAACAATTCATTTGTAAATTCAAATACATGTAATAATTTAGTGTCATGAAGAAAGCAGCTTTCAAATCAATATAAAAAGATAGATTGTTTACCATATTCAGAAAACTTGTCAGATACTCAAGAAGAAAAAAATGGATCTCTACTACTCATTCTTTACAACATAAAATATTTCACATAATTAAGGTTAAGATACTAAAATAAAAACAGGAAAGCACTAAAAGAAAATATGGATAAAGTCTTTTAGTTTTAGCAATTAAAGACTCCCTTGGCAGACACAGAAACTCTAAACACATGGTAAGTCTACTTTTATTTGAGGGGAAAATAGGAACAGAGGATGTTGTTGATACTTAGTGGCTTGGGTTTTAAGGTAACAATCAATCAATCAATCAATGTACTGTAACTTTACTAAAAGTCACCTACTGTTTGAAAGTAAAATTTTTAAAACATAAATAGATAAGCTGAAAGTAAGGGATGGAAAAAAAAGATGTCTGAGGAAAATAACAACTGAAATAATGCTAGTGACTTCCTTTGATGTTGGCAATATTCTCGATCTTGATCTGGGTGGTGGGTACATGGCTGTATACATTAGAAAAAAATTATCAAACTCTATTCTTAAGATCAGTGCCTTACATGCTCTTTATTGTATGGGTATTATATGTCAATAAATAGGTAAAGAGGCTGTAAAAATACAGAAATTTCATGTAGCTATATTAATAACAAATACAATAGATGATAGATAAAGCATTTTCAAAGATAAAGAGGCTGCTACGTAATGACAAAAAGGAATCATCTTGGAAATAATGTCAGAGGCATTTGAACCAGAGTGCCTCCATCTTGGATAGGGGCCTGGTAAAATAAGGCTGAGACCTGCTGGGCTGCATTCCCAGGCAGTTAGGCATTCTAAGTCACAAGATGAGATGGGAGGTTGGCACAAGATACAGGTTATAAAGACCTTGCTGATAAAACAAGTTGCAGTCAAGAAGCTGGCCAAAACCCACCAAAACCAAGATGGTAATCTGACCTCTGGTTGTCCTAACTGCTATACTCCCAACAGCACCATGACAGTTTACAAATGCCATGGCAACGTCCAGAAGTTACCCTATATGGTCTAAAAAGGGGAGGCATGAATAATCCACCCCTCGTTTAACATGTTGAAACAGGAGAGTTCCCTGACCCCCAACTCACAGGACATGCAACACGGGTGTGGTTTTTCTGTTTGGGCACCATGAGCTCAAACCCCTTATGGGAGGGAGAGCATGCAGATAGGCAGGTGCAAGAGCTGGAGAAAGTGCTTTTGGGCTCCAGCCCCATGGTAGGATCTAAGGGTGGGTGTCTGCAACTCCCAAAGCCCCAGTGCGCATGTTACAGTGCCTCTTAGCTCTGCTGTCCACAGATGGCTTAAGTGTTAATCAGCTCAGTGACCTCTTGGTATCCAGATCCTTGTCCGGTGTCCAGGAAGAATCAGGTCACACACAGACTTGAAGGATGGTGAATATGGGACTTTTATTGAGTGGTGGAGGTGGCTGTCAGTGGGATGGATGGAGAGCTGGAAAGGGGATGGAGTGGAAAGATGATCTTCCCCTAGAGTTTGGCTCTTCCATGGCCTATCTCCTCTCCAACTGTCCCCAGCTGAACTCCTCTTGACATTTAGACATTCCTTCTCTTCTCTCCTTCTCTGCTGCACCACTCTTCTGCTCCTCTGATCTTCTGCTCATGGAGCCTGAGGTTTAGGGTTTACATGGGTATAGGATGGGGGGCGTGGCAGGCCAAAAAGCAACATTAAGGTGTGAAAACAGGAATGCCTGTTCAAATTTAGGGCCATGGATTTCCAAGCTTGAGGGTGGTGTCTTTGCCAGGGAACCGCCCCCTTCTCCCCAATATTTCCTTGCCTCCTGTTCATACCAATATAATCAAGAAATAACCATAAAAATGGGCAATCAGTAGCCCTCGGGACTTCCCTGCCTATGAAGTAGCCATTCTTTGTCCTTTACTTTCTTAATAAACATGCTTTCAGTTGATGGACTCACCCTTTCTTTCTTGTGCAAGATCCAAGAATCCTCTTTTGGGGTCTGGATCGGGACCATTTTCCAGTAGCAATAACAGTTTAGAACGTGGATTAGTTTAATAGCCTAACATATATAAAGTAACATAAAGTGAAAAGTTCAAAACATTCAGTAATTGACTTAGAAAGACTAAAAGCTAATTAACTTAATATGAACTCAAGAAGTTAGAAAAAGAACAAGAAGAATAACCAAAACAAAATAAAAGTAGACAAAAGGCGTAATAAAGAACAGAAGTCATTAAAATTGAAAATGAAGTGAAGTGAGCTGCCTGTATGGGAAGCTGCTGGAGGACAGATGGAACAACAGGAGCCAGATTTACCCTGCTGCAGGAAATGACACCAAGCAAACAAACAAAAGATATGAAAACAATGAATTTCAGACATTGGACATCAGTAGCACAGAAGAGTGATTGCCAAGAGAGAGGAAACAAACAAAATGGAGATGAGCTCCATTGTCCAGCTCACAGCCTGGAGGGTTCCCAAGCCCCACTGCAGGGTCTCTCTGAGATGAGGAGGCAGAGCTGATTCTAGGAAAAGCCTGGCGGTTTGAGTTTGCAAGTCAGAGAACCCAAGAGGAAAAGTTGCACAAAGAACTCTAGAAATTTGCAGAGGGCTCCCCTGAAGTCTTTGGCTGAGGTCTAATCAGCACATAGATGTGAGAAAGCTAGACATATATTTCAAAACTTCTTTAATATTGTAACGACCAATGAAAAACTCTTGATCTTATTCTGGGTCTTAACTTTCTCTTTTACAATATAAGGTGTGCAGAGAGAGTGATTTTAGGTGTCATTTAGCACTAAAATGCTCTGACCTTTCTACAAGGTAGCCCTTTCATTGGATACTTTTTTGTCCTTTTGGGGAATATACATGAATATTTTTTGTTCCTGACTCAGGTAAAAGAAAAAGGAACTCAGGCTGTTAAAAGATGGCTTTCATTGTAATGCAGCAGCTCTTCCATTTTCCATGAGTAAGTCTAATTAACATCAAACCTTCCAATCATGACAGAAAAGTGAGGCTTGGCAGAGCATTAGCAAAGTTTTCTCCCTTCTGGAATCAAAAGAATTTAAAGTCAAGAGGAAAGAGTACAAAGAAAAGGGAAAGTAAATGTAGATATCAATTTCAATGACTTAACTTTTCTTTCAGCCTACTTTTTACTTGGGGCAATAAGCCCTGAGGTCTCAGTCAGACTTCCTTCTAACTATTTTCTAGAAATGTAAGAAAGTTCAGGAAAAAGGGGGAAATTTTAGATGATAAAATACTAACTCATTTGTCTTTAATTATTTTATTACTGTTATTAGTGACAAATGTGAGAATCTCAGGTTTACATAAGAATATACATAAACCACAAATCGGTCTTACTGAATTTTCCTGACTGATTTTCAATCTGTTCTAGAAGTGACTATCAAAAACAAAGCTGTACATGTAGATACAATATTTTACAGACTAACACTTTAAAATTGCTATGAACATAGAGGACAAATAAAATTTTGAAGGGACTTATAAAGCAAGTTGACTTTGAAAATGTTCTATAATATTTTTATATTTTTAATATCACCCCCAAGTCAAAGAATGTTAAATGAAACAAGAAAGCCAGTGGAATTTCCCCCTTCCTGACCATGTTGATATTACTGTTTATATCCAAGTGTTCTTGGGTCAGTGTTGAAAAAAAACAAAAAAGCAGAATTGCCTTTACAGAATACATAGAGTCAACTCTGCTTTAGAAAGGTAATCTTTAAGTAGACAGTCCTGTGACATCTTTGCAGCATGAATGGGGCAGTAGCGGGGGAGAGAGGTGGACTGCGAGAACTGAAGAGGTTGTTTAGCTCAGCTCAGGATCTGTGACGGGGGAGTCAGAAGTTATTCTCTCCTGGGTGTTGGGTGGTAGGAGTTGGCACTTTTGGAGATCTCACCATTGTCACTACTCAAGCTTGCAGCCAGCTCTGATCAGAGATATCAGCCCACTCCTCGAGGCAGGATTTACCTGAATCTCTTCATGCTAGGAGCCCATCGTTAGCAATGAAAACCTCTCTCACAACTTAGTTGCCATTGAAACATGTGTTTTCTACATAGCAGGCCAATGTTTATACACCCTTATGGATTTAACCCCATCTGACAACGTAAGAGGTCACTAAACAAAACTTGGTTTCATTTCCAGAGCCACTTGTCTCACCTATTTTGCCCACCTCTGTTCCACACACCCCATCCCACCCCAATTCAAAGAAAGCTTCATTTTCACTTTGCTTTACTAATCTGCCATTCCCTATTTATTCATACACCTGGTTTCTTCTTTGGCTTAGTGTTTCCCTGCTGCACCTTCCTTACCTTGTTTAACTACACTGGACCACTGTTTACACTGTATTTTTAATTGCCTATTTCATTTGTCAGTCTCCCCACCTTAATGGTTTCAAACTCAGGGACTAACTCGTCCTGCTCACCATGGTGTTCATTGCACTTCACATAGTAACTGACATACAGTGGGCATTTATAAACACTCACTGTGTGACTGAATGAATAAGTAAATTAACTAATTAGCTAATTAATTCTCTAGTAAGATCTGATGAAAGATTTACATCAGTTCCTAAAGCAAAGCTTGCAATTACATGGTAAAAATGACATTATTGTTGTTATTACTATTATCACTACTACCATGATAAGCACAACTGGAAAAGCAGTAGATGAGCATAGACATTACTCATATAGATAATCCATATGAAAAAATCCAAAGAAGTTCAAAAGTATCTTCCTCAGAAATATTCTCCCCCAGATATCTATCTACTTGCTATCCCCCAGATTTCATGAGGTTCCTCCCTCATGTCCTTCACATTTACTCCCAAATTGTTTTCAGAGAGGCTCCCTTCATTATCCTTTAAAAAAAGCAATCTCACCTCCTGTCTCCCAGACACACACACACACACACACACACACACACACACACACCTGTAATGAACACAGTGCTACTGGCTGGAAGCTCACTACTGTCAGCCCTCTCTGGGAATTGCCCTCAGCAGAGGAAAGTCATGTCACCAAGGTCACAGTCCCCTTCCCAAAGGACAACTTGCATCCAATTTCTGGTCATTGCAGGAATATAAAGGCCTGGCCTCCATACCCCAAGTCAAGGCAATCGGAAGGCCCATCCCTGCTTTCCAGTTCCCCATGGAGTCGGCAGAGGCCCAACTGTGCCTGCTTTGGAACCCATCTTCTCTCTCTACCCAACCCTACTTCCTTCCTCAGAAGACTTTGAATGAACTTCCTGACTTCAATCTCCATCTCAGATTCTGCTGCCTGCACATCTGACCTACAGAACTTTTCCTTTATTCTGCTTTATTTTTTCTCCATAGCACTTACTACATTTATTGCTCTATCACATACTCATATATCACATATTCATTACTGACCTATTATATATTCATTTTCTACTGTATTATTGGCCCTCTCCCTCCTCCCATTAGATTGTAAGCTCCGGTGGGGCAGGAATTTTGTTTTACTTGCTGCTGTAACCACAGGACTTGGAACACTGAAAGCACTATATAGATTTTCATGACAAATATCAAATAAATGAAAGTTGGGACTTGCAAACATATAGCCTGTTTACATTGCTGTTCCTGAACCCCAGGTTTTACTGTCTGCCAAAAATCCAGAGTACCCTACATTGGTATCCATTAATTAAGATCAGACCAGAAATTAAGAATATTTAAAGGGATTTGCACCAGCACAATTAGGACTATAGCAGCAAGAGTTAACATTTTCAGCGGAACAACTTTTGTCACATTTCTTTAATTTATATAACTTCGATTATAATAGTCATCTTCAGAATAATGATGGCTAGCATTAGCATAAAGTGCTCTGGGTCACAAAGCTTTGCACATATTATTTCATTTAGTTTGATGCTGATGAAACCATGTAAAGGACATAGAATTGTTATGCTAGTTTCACTAATGAGGAGACTAAAGCTCTGAGAGCTTCAATGACTTTTTCAATGACACACCTGATAAATGAGTTCCATCCAGGTCTACTGACTCCAAATCCACTGTTCTATCTCTCAGTACATCACCCTAATAATTCCCTGGAGAGTGACTCCACAAAACTAAAGCTCTTCTACAATACCGATCAGAAAAGCAAAATGGGGCACCTCAGCAACCCAACTAAAAGACATCCTGTATGTAGCTTATTTAAATTTATTCCAAATAATATATTTACTTATGCAACATTCATGAGAATTCTGAGTTGTTTTGGTTTCATTTGTGGGGTTTTTTGCATATATATTTGCAACTGAGAATGAATACCATAGATCAGGACACTTCTTATCTGTTACTTATATAATATCTCTGAACATTCATCGACTCTTTGCTGTTCTGTTAAAGATGTATACTTACTCACCTATGAAAATAGTTACTTTTGATTTTTTCAATGACTTTTATTCTCTCTTTTTTATATTTCAAAGGTAAAAATTGTAAAAATTCATATAAACAAAGAAAATGACATATAGCATTCTCACAAAGACATCACATTATCACATTGTATTTGCATATATTCTTCCAATACTCTCTCCCTCTCTTTCTCTCAATATAATACATATTGTTTTATAAATTTATTTTTTTGAATTATTTTATGTTCTGATGGTATATAAATGCTATCTTCTCATTTGGACATCTAGAAATCGATTAGAATTTTTAAAAAATTTTAAGTAACTTCTCGTCAACAATATAATTACATTGTACGTACACAATGTGATTGTCTTCACCAAATAAATAAATAAAAACCTAAGGCTTACACATTAAAAATAAAAATAAAGGAAATTATATGCTTACCCCTTTTGCGTACCTGATTTCTGTTTACTAGGGCCCAAGAGAAGGTCCAAAACATTCATGTCTTGTGATGGCCTGTCTTAGTCTTACTGGGCTGCCATAATAAACAGATACCACAGACCTGTGTGGGTTTAACAACAGAAATTTATGTCTTCACAGTTTTAGAGGCTGGGAAGTCCAAGATCAAAGTCCAGCAGGGTTTGGTTCTGGTGAGGACTCTCTTCCTGGCTTGTAGACAGCCATCTTCTCGCTGTGTCCTTGCATGGTAGAAAGAGAGGGGGTAAGCTCTCTGGTGTCTCTTCTTATAATGACATTATCCTGTTGGATCAGGTCTCTACCCTTATCACCTCTTTTAACTTCAGTTACTTCCTTAGAGGCTACATCTCCAAATACAGCCACATCATGGGGTAGGGCTTCAATATATACATTTTGTGGGGAGCCACAGACACTTAGTCCACAACAAGGCCCAAGCCTAAAAATAAGAATAGGTCTAAATAATATGCTCTCAAGGAAGGATCTTGGGGACAACCGAATGTACAGAGTTTAGTACCCCAAATCCATGCTAGGCAAGGCATGCTACTATCCAGATAGCAGCTAAGGTGTGACACAGGTTCACACAGTATAGTCAACTTAGCTGCTACTAGTATTATTGCTATTAGTGAGTCACTTTATTGCTTAAGTCTCAAATTTCTTATCTGAAAAATAGGAATAATATGTTCCTCAAAGGACTAGTGTGAGGATTAAATGAAGTTACGAGTGCCAACTCTAGAGCTTACACATAAGCCTAATAAATGTTAGTAGAAATGAAGAATGACAAACTGTTCCAGATCACCCCAAAGGATATCCAGCTGTTTCCAGATTGCTAAGTCCGTAAAGGTATGCTCCCAGAGTTCTAACCCAGTACCAAGGAAAGATCTGGATTTACTCAATAAACCATGAGCATATATTCAACGCACACTTCCTCTCTGCCAGGCTCTGCACCAGGTAATATACTTTCTTAGGTAGTAATTATCAGATTTAAAGTGCTAATTATAGTTAACATATAATTAGACAAGCACACTAGAGGGCAGTGTCTGTTGGTAATGGTCAGTCTTTTAGGACCTTAGAGCTGCAGGTCAGGGTTCTAAGAAGTGAATCACTCTCTTTGATAATTATCAAACCTAACAACGACCATACCTCCTAAGCACATCTCAGTACTAAAGTTCATTGACTGTCAGACTTTTCTCAGTGTTTGCTCAGACAAAAGGAAGACGAGCTTTGAAAGCTGTGATGGGACTTGAGACACTCCTTTATATGCTAGCAGCATATAAACAAAATCACAAAAAATCTTGGCTTTCCACTGACCATCATCCCAGGTAACAGACCCTAAGCTAGGTTCATCACTTAGGCTATATCATTCAAATAACATAACTCAGTGAGGCTGGTACTTTCATTATCCCCATTCTTAAGATGACAAATAATTAAAATAAAATAAAAGAAGATGTGGCTTTAAAAGTAACCTGGCCAGGTCAAAAGCCAAGAGCTGAGAAAAGTTCCAAACACAAATTTTTCTAACTCAAAAGCCCATGCATGAGTTTACAACATGTCCAGGAGGGGCAACCTGAAATTAAGAAAGGCTGGTAATTTAGAATTCTGAATTGCAGGCAAAGGCCTCTTCTTTCATGTAACTTTCAGTAAAGACTGAGAGCTAGGATATAATGGACTATTCCAACTTGGTATCAGAGCTCTCAAAGGAAATGACATAAAACAGCTATTACAAGGCCAAATGTAAAAGAAAAATACGAAGAATTGACTTTTCAGAGCTATTCATTCTCACTCAGAGATGGAGTTGATATTAAACCCTTATTTATACTGGGTATGGAATCATACACATTGTTGAGATCTGGGTCTGATTACACCTATGGCACTGTGCAGTATATTTCAGTGTAAACAGAGTAAGTCTGAGTTTGATTTAGAGAAAAACAAAAAATACGCTAAAAAAATAAAAACTACATGTGAGGGGGAAATACCTCTCCTTTGGCCCCTTTGCTCCTGATCGGTGAGCATTTTTGCATTTTTCAAAGACATCAAAGGGTTGCTACAAGGCTTACCTTGCTCACAGGACTTTGGATGTATCTTCTAGTGCTGCTGAGAAGATGTGTCATGACAAGGCACATCCACCGTGGTGTGGTGTGTCAAACTTGAATCACTGGACTTGAGAAAAGAAGGCAGAGTTTGTGTTCTGTGCTGAAGATAGCCCATGTATTTCTCTTAGGGAGGAAAAAGTTTTCGAGGTTAAAAAAATTGAGAAAGTGGGTAAAGAAAAAAATAGGCTTTTAAAAAATATATAAACATCTGTAAAAATCCTATCTTAAAATATCAGTAATACAAGTAAATTAATGTACTAGTAGCAAGATTACCAATCTAATGCAAAGTCTATTCATTGCTCTTCATATGCCTATTCTATTCCACAAAGTTTTTGCAAGGTGGAATGACATGAAGAATATTGCTTGGAAAAATAGATGATCTAACTATAAGCATTTCTCAAGTATTCCTCTGCTGTCAGAATTTATAATGAATCTGCTTACTACCCTGGCCTCAGCCAAATTAATGCATAATTGCCTTTCTCCTTCCGGTGAGTCTCACAGATTACTACACCTTTTTTACCCAAGAAGTCCTATCCTATTGTATCCTATTGTATCTGCCTGAAGCAACTAGATTCAGCTCCATCAAAGGTATACCTTTCAAGAAAATACTCTTAAAAGTGAATTGTTTTAAAGATAAAAATGTATGCATTTTCTTTTTCTTCTGATCTTCTACCTTATGGTCTTCAGGTCCATTATAATATAGGTTTTAGGGTAATGAGTACATTACACCAATAGATTTGCTCACATATTTAAAGAAAAAGCATAGCCTAAACATGCATAATATTAAAAGAAACAAAGTAAAGACAGGCTATAAAAGTAAACAGGTCAGAATAAATTTTATGCATAACTACAGAAGCCACCAGCAGAGGATGCAGTCAAAGCCCTATCCTCGCTTGTCTCTGGTAACTGCTTCCCAGTCATGTCTTATCACTACCTTGTACTCGATGTAGCACAGCAAAGCAGCATTTGTCACTGACACAAGTGTATTCCAGGGCATCTAGAAAAAGGGATATGGAATTAGCTCTTTCTTCAGCAGTCATAGGTCTGAGTCTCTCTGCCTACCACTTTTCATCTATTTTACTGAAATTCAGTTTTCTGAGCAATTAAATTCTGGCTGAGAGAAATGTTTCTGCAATCCTTTTCAATATACTCACTTTCCAATGTAATCCCAAACTCTGACTGGGTTCCACATTATAAACCTAATTCCTTAAGATTTATAGTATCTTAAACTTTCTTTAATTAGACTTCCAAGTTGTAAAGGACTGAGATAATTACATTTGGAATGTTTATAACTCTCATAACTATGTGCAAAGAGATACTCTGTTATCAAAAAATGGCTAGATTAATGCCCAGTAGCTGTCAACTCATCTTTTGGGGGGTGGGGCAGCAATGCACCATACTAGTTAATTTTGAGTGGCAAGAAAATTTATTTCTTCTGAATGATTTACCAGGAATAACAGTAACACAAAAATAAAAAGGCTATACAAGTGCCAAGTAATTAAGCATGGTAATGGAATTACATCAGGCTGCCATGTGGGGTCTAGGCTTCAGCACAAGAATAGAAAATTGATTTATACTATCTAGGTGATCATGTCTTTACTTTACATATCTTCTGTTACCAATTTATAATACTTTAGTCTGCTTTTTTCCTAATATTATGCCAGCTAGAAGGCATTTGCTTTAACTTCTGTATTTGTAGTCTGTAAATGTACAGAAACTTTCTTGTCTTTCAGAGATACGTAGATAATATAAAGGATTAACTTTTCTCTACCCTGTACAAGTACTTATGTATTTGATTGATAAGTGTTTAAATTGAAAATCAGAAAATCAAGTTCTATTATCTGCCAATATTCTAAACAGAAGTTATAAAATATATTATTATGGGGATAAAAAATAGAATAGGGACCCAGTTTATAAAAGAACAGTGATTTACTATATCTCTGTTTATACATATTTTGAAGAACAGTGATTTACTATATTACTATTCATATTTAGTGTATCACTGTTCTACATACATATATATATATATCTCCTTCATGCCCTTTAGGACACTAGTACATTTGTGAGTAGAAACTTGGAAACAGAAATGATTTAAGGAAATCAGTTCTCTAGAACACACATCTCTTAAAAAGGCAATAATATCTTGGTGTCCAAGTGGCCCCAATTTAAAAATAATAGTTACTTACATGTTTTGTATTCTAATGGGTCTGCTACTCTTCCATTCTCCCACCTACCTTATCCCACAAAAGAATAGTCCATAGAGAGGTATTATGAATATGGGGGATATTTTTTCTCTTTTAATTTTTATGTTGTCTTCTAAATAAAAGGCATAAAGATTTATGTAAAATGGTAGGTGTAAACAGAATATAAAGTCAGCTCAACTGTAAGTATTAGAAGCTTCAGGATATTATTTTTCTAATTTTGAAGTTCAGAAATGTAGCAACAAAACCTCACTTGCAAGAACAGATGATCAAGTTTCAACAGATCATAGATCAGATCAAGTGAGAAAAAACATAAGATGACAACGATATCTCTATTTCCTATTCTAGAGAAATAAAGCTGAGATTTGGTCCTTAAAATCATGAAACTAAATTACAAAAATACATCTTCTCCTTTCTTCTGGTTTATTTTTCACAGGAGGGAAAAAAAGCCCTCGACTGGGAGGAATTTCTAGTGCAGAATCTGGAACCCCAGCAAGTTCTGATAGTTTCATGTGACATGATAGCATGTCACATCGTCAGGCACTCAGTGTGTTCTCGGCTTATTCACTTAGAAACCGGAGTCTGTACCAATCAAGATGTATTTCCAGCTAACCTAGGGGTTACCTTGAGTTGTTGACTGCCTGCAGCAAGAATGACAAAAACTTTTTCCAGTATTTTACAAGTATAATGTTAGACAACGTCATTTTTAAGGCAAGAACTAAATTGGAAAACTTAGCAATACACTAGAAAAAGAACGAGTTAAGAAAAAACAGAAATATGCCCTGTTAGGGTTAAGAAAACTGGCTCATATTATCCTGAATAAGATAAAGCTAATGGAAAAGTGTAAATTAGTCCAGTTAACCCTATGCTCTAGGCAAAAACAAAACAAAAACCTCTGTAAAGAGAAAACTCAGAATGTATTTCTCAAAATCCATTTGGCTCATAATGAATTTTTTCTCTTTTTATAGTAAACCAAGGAATTGTTCTAACTCAGTGAAAACTCAAAAAATAAGCTAAGAGAACAATCACACATACAAAATATTTGAATGTTAAATACATGGTGAAGATGTTTGACTTCATTTGAAGTGAGTCAAAACCTTCTTGAGAGGCAGATAACAATATGTCTTAAGACCCACTAGACTCAGTAAGTCCAGCTTTGAAATTTAAGAATGTGCACCAAGATTTAGCAAAAATTAGACGCTACCACAGTGTCCAAATAAATAAATAGAAACTTATTGAGTTCTGAAATATCCATAAAATGAAACACTCTGAAACTATTAAAAAATCATGTGAGAGAAGTTTATTGTAAAAGAAAGATATTCAAGATTAAAATAGAAATTTGACCCAACTATTTTATGTGTAATTTTTGGGTATGGCCATTTTTTTCCCAGCTTAACTGAGGGAAAATTGAAACACAAAACTCTGTATTTAAGGTGTACAACAAGGGTGTCCAATCTTCTGGCTTCCCTGGGCCACACAGGAAGAACTGTTTTGGACCACACATAAAATACACTAACACTAATGACAGCTGATGAGCTTAAAACAAAAACTGCAAAATAATCTCATAATGTTTAAAGAAAGTTTACAAACTTTCTTTGAATGTGTTGAGCCACAGTCAAAGCCTTCCTGGGCTTCATGCAGCTCATGGGCCGTGGGTTAGACAAGTTTTGTGTACAATGGGATGCTGTAACCCAGAACTGCCATTTCCCTAAGAGAAAGAGAACGAGTTATTTTTTAAATTTTTTTTTTGTTTTTTTCTCTTTCTTCCTCTGCCCCGTTCCCCACTTCCTACTTAACTCTTTAGAAATGCAATTAGAACCTCTACCTTCCCTTCACCAGACACTCCCTACAGGACAAGCTCATCTAACTGTGTGCATACCTAGAAGCCCCAGAGCCAGAAATCTCTCCCACCAGAAGATTGCCTCTAGAGACAAGAGTCAATTTACAACCTAAAGTTTGCCCACAGGAAACTCTATCCCATCTGGAGAGTATCTCCAGACCACAGCCACCTTACAGTCTAGCACTAGCTCAACCACTGGGTAGATAAGGCAACAAACCAAGTCACCTAGACCCCCAACTGCTCCTTCCCTGCCTGTCATTCATGCCAAGTTCCCCTTTAAAAGCTCTGGCTTTCTGCCCCAAAAGTGAAGCAGTGCCTTTAAAGGCAAGAGCCTGGACTTCTTTCCACAAGCTAAGCTTTGGATTAAAAAGTCACTTTCTTTATATCAGACCTCACTCTTGTAAACTGGACTCGGCAAGCATCGAGTGACTGAATCTGCAATTGAGTTACAATGCTTTGATATACGTAAATATTGTGAAGTGATATCAAGTTAGTCAACACCTCCATCACTTCACATAGTTACCTGGGCGTGTAGTGAGAACTTTTAAGGCCTGCTCTTTTAGCAGATTTCAAGGATACAATACAGAGAGTTCTCTACTTAAAATTTTTCAATTTTAAGATTGTGTAAAAGTCAGTCAGTAGAAACTGCATTTTAAGTACTCATATAACCATTCTGTTTTTCACTTTCAGTACAGTATTCAATAAATTACATGAGATATTCAGCACTTTATTACTAAATAGGCTTTGTGTTAGGTGATTTTGCCCAAGTACGCCAATATAAGCGTTCTGAGCTTATTTAAAGTAGGCTAGGCTAACCTATGATATTCTGTAGCCTAGGCGTATTAAATACATTTGTAAGTTACAACAAGCTTGTCAAAACCATGGCCCATGGGCAACATGCAGCCCAGTATGGCTTTGAATGAGGCCCAACACAAATTTGTAAATTTTCTTAAAACATTATGAGATTCTTTTGTGTGATTTTTCTTAGCTCATCAGCTTTCGTTAGTGCTAGTGTATTTTATGTGTGACCCAAGACAATCCTTCCAGCGTGGCCCAGGGAAGCCAAAAGATGGGACACCCCTGAGTTACAATATTTTCAGCTTACGTTGAGTCTGTTGGAACATAACTCCATTGTAAGTCAAGGAACATCTGTACAGTATTATTAACTATTGTCATCATGCTGCATATTAGATTCCCAGAACTTACTCATCTTGTAAGTGAAAGTTTGTACTCTTTGACCAACATGATTTGGGTGACATTACATGGCCCTAAAGAAATAATTTTAATTTCATCTTTGTAAAAAGTCAGTCATATATATAACCAAAATTTTACCTCATCCCTGGCATTCACCCCTGGAGCCTACAGAGTAAGCAATGTGGTGGGCAGAAGTAAGTCCAGACAATACAGTAAGGGAGTCTGCAATATAAAGCTAGAGTGACAAAGTACATGAGGTTTTAAATGCACACAGCATCAGAATAGGTGTGTGTATACTCATTCAATTTATTAAGAAAGAAAAAGTATCAAATAGCTAAAAAACATATTTCACATTAAAACTGCATATTCGTACAAATGGTGAAACCCTTATCTCTGCATACCAGTCACATAGAAATAAGAGAATGAAGCCAGTATCACCCTAATCGCCAAACCAGGAAAGGACATAACAAAAAAAGAAAACTACAGACCAATATCCCCAGTGAACATAGATGCAAAAATCCTCAACAAAGTATTTGCTAACCAAATACAGCAGCACATCAAAAAGATAATACACCACGATCAAGCGGGTTTCACCTCAGGGATGCAGGGATGGTCTAATGTATGCAAATCAATAAATGTGATACACTACATAACCAGAATTAAAAACAAAACCATATGATCATCTCAATAGATGCAGAAAAAGCACTTGATAAAATTTAGCATCGCTTTATGATTAAAAACTCTCAACAAACTAGGCATAGAAGGTACTTACCTCAAGTTAATAAAAGCCATATATGACAAACCCACAGGCAACATCATACTAAATGGGGAAAAGTTGAAAGTGTTTCCCCTGAGAACTGAAACAAGCCCAGGATGCCCACTTTCACCCCTTCTATTCAACATAGGACTGGAATTCCTGGTCAGAGCCATCAGTCCAGAGAAATAAAGGGCATCCAAATCAGAAAAGAAGAATTACAACCTCTATGGAAAACAGTATGGAGATTTCTTAAGAAACTAAAAGTAGATCTATCCTTCAATGCAGCAGTTCTACTACTGGGCATCTACCCAAAGGAAAAGATACCACCTTACTCCTTGCAAGAATGGCCATAATTAAAAAGTCAGAAAACAATAGATGTTGACCTGGATCTGGTGAAAGTGGAATGTTTATACACTGCTGGTGGGAATGTAAATTAGCACAACATCTATGGAAAACGGTATGGAGATTCCTTAAGAAACTAAAAGTAGATCTAACCGTTTGATCCAGAAATCTCACTACAGGGTATCTACCCAAAGGAAAAGAAATCATGATATGAAAAAGACACATGAACACATATGTCTATTGCAACCCAATTCACAATTGCAAAGATATAGAACCAATGTAAGTGTCCATCAACCAATGAGTGGATAAAGAAAATGTGGTATATACGCACCATGGAATACTACTCAGCCATAAAAGGAATGAAATGTCTTCTGCAGCAACTTGGATGGAGCTGGAGGCCATTGTTCTAGGTGAAGTAACTCAGGAATGAAAAACCAAACACTGTATGTTCTCACTTAGAAGTGGAAGCAAAGCTATGAAGTACACAAAGGCAAATAGAGTTATATAATGGACTTTGGAGACTCAGAAGCGGGAGGGTGGAAGAGGGGTGAGGGACAAAAAACTACACATTGGGTACAATGTACACAACTCGGGTGAGGAGTGCACTAAAATTTCACAATTCACCACTATGTATTTCATCCACGTAACCAAAAACCACTTGTACCCAAAAAGCTATCGAAATAAGAAAAATATAAAAACAAAAAATATACAAAATGTATTAATAAGTGAATAATTCTCTAACACAAAAGAGCGAAAGTTCTGTATACCACTAGCAGCGGTGTCCTAAAAGAAACAGGCAACTAGGATATATAGCAGTATTTGGGTGTGTGAGAGTCAAAATATCCTCATCCATAAAAGAACACCATGAATTTGAAACAAGTTACATAACTGGTTTTATATGAAGTTCTAAGTTGTCATATATAACATATGTTACATGATTATACATATAATAATAAATTGTCAATATAAATTACCAGAATTGGCCTGAGAAAAAGTGGACAAAAATGAAAAGGCTAATTATGAAAAAAGAAATTGTTAAAGGCTAACTACCAAAACTTTATAACAAACATCACACTTAACAGAGAAACTGTAGATGTATTTTTAAGACTAAGAAAAAATAATATTAGCTATGACATATGTACAATTCCTACTTAGAAGGATAAAGTCAAGACAAAGAAATAAAAATTTTAAATTATTAATATTATTTTTGATTGACAAATTGCAATTATATACATTTATGGGATACAATGTGATGTTTTGCTACATGAATACAATGTGGAATGATTAAACCAAACTAATTAATATATTCATCCCCTTGATTACCCATTATTTTTTATGGTAAGATATTTCAAATTTGTTCTTAGTTATTTTGAGACATAAATACATTATTATTGGCTATAGTCACCCTGCTGTGCAATAGATCTCAAAAACCTATTCTTCCTTTTATGTGAAACTTTGTACCCTTTGATCAACAGCTCCCCATTCCCTCCCTCCCCCACACCCTACCCTCTGGAGACAACCATCCTACCTCCTTCTTGAAGTAAAACATACATATGAAGTATTCCATTAAAATAAGAAATACACAAAATTGCAGCAAAATCAAAGGCAACTTCTATCAGCATGTAATTGGGGCCTTCAAGTAAGGTATAAAGTGTCAGATAGGTTGCTAAGTAGTGAGCATTATGAGTACAGCACCTGAGCACCCAACATATTTTTAGGACATGTTCTAATTTGTATAAGACAAGAATATTTAATTTTTAAAACTACAGTAGGAGAGAGCTTGAGAGCCCATCTTTTTGGCAATGTCAATATGATGCCTCTACTTCTGATCAGAGGCCATCTATTCTGAAAAACACCATCTGTCTTCTTCCTACTCTTCTTGTCACCCAGCCTGAACTTTCCCAGCTGCCTCATCTTCCCATCCCCTCCCTTAAGCACCCAATTTCAGGTGAAGTAAGAAAGGAAATATTTTGTTAGAGAGTTAGTGATAAGAAAGCAATTCTTTTTCTGCCCCTCTTCCTACCATATAATATATAATGATATATAGGTATCTAATATATATTCTAAAAAGCATTTCACAAAGCAACAGAACATCAAACCACAGAATTTTATAAAGCAAGGTCATTTTCTGTTTTCAAAACTATGTAGAGTGACATTTGCCAATTTGTGGAAGCCCCTCTCCACCTTGAGCCAGAGTCCTCTCCCCATTTCCAACTCTGCCTCTGCCAAAATTGAAGAGGACACCTGAGATGCTAGACAGATTTCAATCATCCTAAGTTCCACAAAGTCTTGTCCAAATCCAACATTGTTTTGCCCTTTCTAGAATAATGCTTTTTGTTTTTATTTGGAATAATATTGATTTATCACATGAATTATTGTCCCCACTTTTCTCAAGTGAAGAAAAAGGGCCCTAATCATATTTTTACCTAAGTACTAGTTTAAGATGAAATGAAGAATCAATACACCAAGGATTTCTTAGCAGGGGTAAGCTTAGGGTAGGGAGCTTGTACAGAAATTAGAGAGTATGTAATCACGTTTTGACACACGCTCATGAATCCAGAATCAATACATTGAAATAAAGCCAGATCATTAGTTTCCTTTGTAAACTTAGACTTAACTAAATGATTTGGATGAAATTCAATACACAGTTTTGGTTCTAAAACCACATGATGTAAACAGTATTTCACGTAGCAACAGAACATCAAACCAGATAATTATACAAAGTAAGGCCTTTTCTTGTGTTCAGAAAGTCTTTGCATTAGCCTCAACATTTCCGACATTCCCACAAAGAAATGAAAATTTGGAAATGGCATAAAATTATTTAGTATTAATTGAAATCAAGCCCCATTTTGTTAGCACTTGAAAATTAAGTGTGTAGCTATTTGGGAAGATGAGTTGCATTTATGTTGATGTTTATGTTATGTAGACCACATGATGAGTTTTGACTAATGACCCAATATGTTGTTCCTTGTCAATTTACTTAACCTATTTACACCTTTTTCCTGGCCAAAACTTCTCACATATATAGCTCCGGTTTACTCAACTGACTGTGGAGCCGACTTGATCATAGATTTGGCAGGCAACCAGCCCTTCTCCCCTTCCCTGAGATCACCTTATACTTCCTCCAATGAGAGTTGAAACAACTTCTTTCCTAGGAACTGGAAGTTAAAAGCATATCAGAATTACATAACTAGCAAGAAAATGTTTCACCATCTAAAGTGATACTTCCAATTTACAGAACCCTCCCCCTTTGAGCCAGAGTCCTCTCCTATTTTTACCTTCTCCCCCTTCCAGAATTGCAGAGGATATTTGAGATACAAGAAAGTGGCCATGACCCACAATGAGCACTCAGATCTACATGGGGACTCTGGCTAAGCCAGTCATCCAAGATCGTTCTAGTTATTATTATTCTTTTAGAATAGCTCTGACTTGATTAAATATATTTTATAATGCTTTAATGAAAATGTGATGCCATTTTTGGAATGTTACTGGGTAACTTGGTCACTGGCTATAATTTTATCATTGATTATAAGTAACTATAATTACTAGGAATCGGAGAACTGAATGATATATGGTAAAGCACTGGACTGGCAAATTTGGGTTCTCATACCATCCCTCCAAGATATTTGCTCGGTTTCCTTAGTTAATTATGTTAACCTCTCTGAACCTCAGTACACTCATTGGTAAATAAGGGACGATGTTAACTCTCCCACCTACTATATGGTTCTTGTGAGGGTCAAATGACAGACTCCAAAGTAATTTGAAATCTACAAAGCACTTTGCAAATTCAACAAGTTATTTTGTATACCCTTAGAGATATAACTTATCAAAAATTTTAAGCCAAAAATAATTAAAGAAAAAACGTTGCTACTGAGAAGCAGCCATAAATTTCTAGTTTACCATCCTTACAGTTTATGATTTAAATATGTTTTTATATGTGGATTGGATATGTAAAAGGAAAAGTTGTTTCTACATCAATCATATCTTTCTTTGGGTTAAAAAGCATCACAAACCATTTAAATAACTTCACATTTATCTTTATCTCCTCTTTCTCCCACACGCTCCATATCCAGCCAATCAAATCAGCGAGTTCTCCTGAGATGTCACTTCATCTGTCTCCCCTCCCTCACACCTACTGGTACTCTCCACATAGGCCTATTTTAGCTAAAAGTGGCTTAGGGAGAAAAAAAATAATTTACTTATAAATTTTTAAATTTCAGAAGTAACTTATAGCTTCAGGCATGTTTGGATTTAGGAGTTTTAAACAATATTGTCCTGACTCTGTTGTCTCCATCAAAGGGTTCTGCTTCCCCGGCTTTCTCTCACAGGTCCTGCACGTACAAAGGCAAAAAAGGCCATTAGCAGCTCTGGCCTTAAATCTACCAGCTGAGAAACCTCAGTGGAAACAATATCACTTTCCCACTAACTTTCATAGAAGTCCGGTGCTGACACTCTTTGGGCTGACTAGGGTCCCATATCTTTCTCGGACTCAAGCCCTCTGATAGGAGAGATGGAACATAGTCATGGGCCAGCCTGAGTAGCATGCCTGCCACACCTACCCACCCACCTCCCATTCTTAGACCCCAGAAACTGGGTTTATCCCACCGAAAAACACAAGGACTGACAGTGGCATTCCACTTCTCAGAAGTGGCTTTCCAAATAATAATAATAAATAATATTAGGAAGAAGGAGAAATAGAGGCTGGTCAAGCAAGGCATCTGTCCATTATACCCTCCTTGCCTAGGTCCTCATAATCTACTATCTCCCTCCAGATTTAATAAAATTGATCTAAGAGTAAGTAGAAGAAACCACATGTACGTGTAAGAGGTATACAAGAGGGGGCTATTTAACCAATGAACAATAAGAAAAACAAAGTAAAATTTAAAAAGAAAAAAAAATCATTTGTTTGAAGGCATGGGAGAGCTTCCAAAGTGATAAGAATCTGAGGTGTCAAGATCCTGGAGAGAAGAGAAAAGTAGAAAGGTGAGACAAATTCTGAATGTCACTTACCCTTAACGGCATTTGCCAATTCTAAATATGGGCTGGAATATTAATAATCCTCAGCCCCTGCTAAAAGGCAGATAATCTAAGAGAGCTCTTGATCATTCATAAATCGAGGTAGACAAAAAATTATAGTTTGATGCTGTGAAGGCAGCCAGGATTTCTGAGTACAAGCCTGGAAAGAAGAGAGGTGCGAAAATGTAAGCATAATACTAAGGTCGTTTTCCTATAAAGGCATTTTCTGAAGTAAGCTGATTAGAGTGAGAGGCTAGGAAGCCAAGCATACAGCCGTTGAAAATCAAATTAGAGTTTTTAAACATCTTTTAGTGCTGAGAAGACAAAACTGGAGGCCATGACTCACTAAGGGAGAGGGGCAACAGAGAACACTTCATACTCTCATTCGAGACCTTTAGGGGCTATAGCACTCCAGGAAACCAATCTTAAGAAGACTGAAACCCAGCATTTCATCTTCTCGTTTACTTGATTAAGGTGATTTGCCTCCACTATAGCTTCCAACCAAAGGACAGGGCAAACTCTCTCAGGAAAGCTATAACACAATCCACATCATCCCTGGTTTTTTATATTCAGTATCTGGCATTCAACAAAAATCTACCAGGTATACAAAATATAGCAATAACTCAACAAATAGGAAGAACACAAAAAAATCAACAGTGGGAAAAGACTCACAGATGATGCAGATATTGTCCTTAGCAACACAAAATTAAAATAAGTGCTTAAAATGTTTAGGAAATAGAGGGTAAGATGGGGAGTTTCATCAAAGGAATAGACTTAATAATCATATAGAAATTTGAGAACTGCAAAATAAAGTAACAAAAATTAAGAATTTGATATATGGATTTAATAGCAGTTTGGATATAGCAGAATAAAGAGTTAATGGACTAACATCAACTGGAAATGTAGGCAGACGTAGACAGATTTTAAAATATGTTTTGTGGCCAGGCACAGGGACTCACGTCTGCAATCCCAACACTTTGGGAGGCTAAGGTAGGCGGATTGCTTGAGCCCGGGAGCTCAAGACAAGCCCAGGCGACAAAGCAAGACCCATTTCTTAACTAAACAATTAGCTGGGTGTGATGGGATCTGCCTGTAGTCCCAGCTACTCAGAGGGCTGAGGCGGGAAGATCGCTTGTGCTCAGGAGTTCTAGATTGCAGGGAGCCGTGGTTGTGCCACTGCACTCCAGACTAGGCAACAGAGTAAGACCCTGTTTCTAAAACACAAAAAAATGGGGTTTTTAAAATTATAATTAAAAGTCAATAATGTTCTTTATTGTTGGAAGAAAGGAAAAGTACAAATGAGTTTTATTCAAACAAAAACAAAATGGGACAAAAAAGAAAGATGATATGAGTGGAAGAAATATTCCTCTAAGCAAGGACCCATTACCTGGGTCCAGACTGGGGATGGAAAGGTTCTCTACATGACTGTGTTTTCTTTGCAGAAGATGTATTTTTCTGTATGCTGTACTCTTCTATAAGCTGGAAAACAAAAGTAAAATTGATACTTAGATCATACTAAAGCTAATAATTAGGAAAGCTTATGACAATTAAAGGACACTGTTATGCTTTGAATGGTTGTCCCCTCCAAAACTCATGTTGAAACTTAATCTCCAATGTGGCAGTATTGAGAAATAGGGCCTTTAAGAAGTGATTGGGTCCTAACAGCTCTACCCTTATGAACGTAAGACTCTATTAATGGATTACTGGGTTCTCATGGGAGTGAGACTGGTGGCTTTATAAGAAGAGAAAGAGAGACTTAAGTTACCACACTCAGCCACCTCACCATGTGATGCCCTGTACCACCTCAGGACTCTGCAGAGTCCCCACCAGCAAGAAGGCCCTCACCAGATATGGCCCCTCGACCTTGGGTTTCTCAGCCTTCATAACTGTAGGAAATAAATTCCTCTCCTTTATAAATTACCCAGTTTCAGGTATTCTGTTATAAGCTACAGAAAACAGAAAAAGACAGACTCTTACTAATGAATCTAAAGAGTATAAGCACTGAAAAGACCTTAGTGTTAAAACTCCTGAAAATTAGGAAGGGGATACATACTGAGAACTGGTTTTTGTGCATGGTGTAAATACGCAACATGAACTCAGAATCAGAAGAAAAATGAGAGTTCAATTATGTAGTCTATTAATTTAGATTCTGAGCAAGCCATACGAAAAGATTTCAATGGCCGGGTGTGGTGGCTCACGCCTGTAATCCCAGCACTTTGGGAGGCCGAGGTGAGCGAGATCACCTGAGGTCGGGAGTTCAAGTCCAGCCTGACCAACAGGAGAAACCCCGTCTCTACTAAAAATACAAAATTAGCTGGGCATGGTGGCACACGCCTTTAATCCCAGCTACTTGGGAGGCTGAGACAGAAGAATTGCTTGAACTGGGGAGGTGGAGGTTGAGGTGAGCCAAGATGGTGCCATTGCACTCCAGCCTGGGCAACAAGAGCGAAACTCCATCTCAAAATACAAAAAAGAAAAAGAAAAAGAAAAAAGAAAACAGAAAAGATTTCAAGTGTAAGCAATTTATTTTTAGAGAATTAAGCATTAGGAGAGTACATAAGTGAAACTGGCCAAGGATAAAAGTTGTATTACGAAGCCAGCTACCATTGTGCACTACCAGTGCCTAATACGTTAGAGCTCTGGAAAATTGTATAAAATATACGCCTACAAATTATCCAACTAGAGGGATAAGAAAGCTGGCATTTTCATAAACCAACTCCTATCATTTATTGTTTGAGGATTGAATTGAATATGTCAAGTGGAGACAGGGCTAATTCCCTAGAACCTCCAGCCTGGAGTTTGCATGGGCAGACTGGTCCTTTATTTAGTAGAAGGAAAACCTTGGGAAGAGGATACAAATACTGACAGTTGGAAGTCACTGTCTCCTTGGAGCATGCTGAAATAATGAAGTCCAAAGAATATGGGTGAGGTACTGTCCCATATTAAATACGGGCGAGATCATTTGGCAGGCTGATGGCAGTAATGGCCCAACACTTAACTTCTTCCTGTATCTATGCCCTTTGCCATGTGACTTTGCATTTCCTCTCACTATAGAGGAGTGTACTTCTTTGCGCTTTGATTCTGAGTTTGGCCATCTTACACGCTTTGGCCAACAGGACAAGAGCAGATGCATGCAGAGGCTTGAAAAAATCTTTCACACTAACAGTCTCTTAATCCTCTGACTTTGCTGTGACACATACCTGGACTAACCTACTAACCTACTGAAGGTAAAACAGAACCAGGTTATCTCAATCATCCCAGATGAGTTATACTAGATCAGCTAATATGCAACCCATTTCCATGCATGTGAGACCAGAAGAACCAAGTTGCTGGCCCACAGACTCATGCACTAAATAAATTTTTATTGTTTCAAGAGGCATTTTGTGTTGTTTATTATGCAGCATTATTATGGCAATAGGTAATTAGTACCTATAAGGAACGTGCTACTGTAGCATAAAACAGACATATGTGGAATTAGCTTTGGATGAAGTAGGTAGCAAACAGAAGCTGGAAAAGTGTCAATGATACCACTAACAAAGCCTGGAAAAATGATGAGGCAACTCTTAGAACAAAGTGAAAAAATGATCACCCATGCTACGTCGGCATGAAACATCTGTTAGAACTGGTCACTTAAAATAACTTGAAGATGCAAAATGTACCTTACGAATTTTTGGACTTGATCTCCAGGCAGAATGTTGAAAATGTCAGCTGACTCTTACTAGTTGTATGTAAAGTACTACAAGAAAGAAACAAATGTCGACAAAAACACACACACAGTTTACAAGGAGAATATGAGGAATTAAGAGATGCTAGAATTTATTAGAATAGAAACTAAAGTTGTTTTTCATCTTTGCTGTCTCAGGCCAGAAAAATATTTTCACATTAAGATTGGCCTCAAGGTAAAGATAAAAATCAAGGGTGTGGCCATGAGACTTTGAAAGAATTAAGCCAGTGCCTAGAGATGCTCTCAGCTGGAAAGAACTTTCAGGAAAATTTAGGGTATTGTTCCTCAATAGCCAGTACCCAAAAGAGCAGTGGTTAAGTGTAAAAGCAGAACTGTAATCAGGCTAGGGAGGCTATTATACTATGGATCAGGATCAGGCAATCTCCTTCTCTCCCTGTTTCTCTTCTTCTGTCTTCCTCTTTCTTTCTCTTCCTCTACCTTTTCCTCCCTCTTCCTTTCCCCCTCAATTTTCCTCCCTCTCAGCTTTATAGACATCCCCAAGGCACGGGCTAGAATGAGACTCAAGTTGGAATCAGAAATTTCATACCTCCTATCCACTTCCACTGCAACCTCTTAAAACCAAATCAAAGATGTATTGGTAGATCAGCTTTGTCATATTGTTAGTTGGAGGCTTCATTTCTGATTCCCTATGCCCTTTGATGTTAATATAACTCAGTATCTAACAGTTAACAAAGCAACAACAGTAAGGGCGTGCTGCCCAGGCGATATGATGCAAGGGAAGGACATTGAAATAGTCAAGACTTTCAACTTCAGGGGTGGGAGTTGTTCAGAGAGAACCCTGGAACGATGCCCTTTTCAGAAATATATTTGAGAGGCTGAAGAATGGAGGCTGAAAGATTCATTTGTTTATCACTTTTGACCAGAGAAGTTGTCCGCATGTGTGTAAACAGCAAACAGCTCCAGGTCTTACAGTTGGCCCTCCACACCACACTATTTTAAAATAATGAGTACTATCATTTTCCAAGAGTAACACCTGGCTTACAATTACTAGCAACACTGCAGGTCAGAAAAACAGACTGCTTTTCTGAATGCAACTTGAAAAACTCCTTTTTGATTTCTGTAGCCAGAGGCAACAGAGCTAATAAGTTTCAAACACTACAGGCTCCAGAGAGCTGTAGTTTTTTTCTTTCTTAGTTGGAAGAGCACATATGAAATAAAAATAAGTATAAAATTCTGCCACGAAGAAAGTTACATTTCTAGCCCACAATTTTTTTAAATCTTAATAATAATAATGATAATGATAATAATGAAAATCTAAATGTCACATTGATTGGCAAAAGAGAAAAGGCCATGCCTTCCGACTCTAAGTCCAGTGCTCCTTCCACTGCCAGCTCATTTGACTGGATAGATTAGATACTATAAAGATAATTTCTACTCTAAAAGTTTTCAAGTAAGTTTTTTCAATATATACACTTTTTAACTTTAGAAATGGAGTCTCATTCTGTCACCCAGCCTGGAGTGCAGTGGTATGATCATAATTCACTGTAACCTTGTACTCCTGGGTTCAAGTGATCCTCCCCCTCAGGCTCCCAAGTAGCTAGGAGTACAGACATGTACCACCACACTCAGCTAATTTTTTAATTTTTTGTAGAGATGGGGTCTTGCCATGTTGCCCAGCTTTGTCTCAAACTTCTGGCCTCGAGCAATACTCCCATCTTGGCTCCCAAAGCACTGGGATTACAGGCAGAGCCTATAATCTCTATGTAATCTCTTCTGGCCTCAATATTGAGATCCTGTAAATTGTTATTTGGGGGTGAAAAAAAAGCATGTTACAAATAGTATGTCATATGATCACATATTCAGAACACTCTTTTAAAAGTCTAACATAATTGACAATTGAACTAATTATATTCATATTAAGCTGAAGACAATTCATCAATTAATTTATCAAAAGCAATACCTAAATGGAAGGGACAGCTAGTATTCGATGATTCTCTGAAGAATACAGATGAAGAAAAACTACTGCTTTTTCACCAAATGTCAGTCAGACTAGTCATTAAAAGAGGCTTCTGAGGGGGAGTCATCAAATAATATCCCAAAATTGAATGACTGAGAATACAGTCTGACAAATTATTATTGAAAATATTATAATCTAAGTCTCTAAGATAGCCTTATAAGGAACTGAGAAATTCTACAATGCTTGGAATAAACACACTTGGAAAAAACTCCCAATGTACAGGTAAACCCATATCTAAATCATGCTGGTAAGAAGTGTTGTTTATTAACTTGGGGCAGAAATAATGTTCAAAAACTTTAACCCCTTTGACCACATGGTACCACTCAATCAGAATGAATACTTGGTAACGCAATGTATTTAACACAAGCCAGTTAAATATCAACCATGGTTTTAGGTAGCAGTAGTAAACTGAGTTAAGCAATAACCATATTCTACCTGAACCCCACTAAACCCTTAAAATAAGTGCTTAAAAGAGTAAAAGTATATAATCCACAACTGATCATATTGAGAGATGTTCCAGTGTTGAAGCTATAAACCCATAGAACATTTCTGGTCCAAGGGCTAGTTTTGTTTGTCCTGCACGGCATTTGTTTAATGTCAATTAATTGACAATATTTTGTAAACAGTAGACTTCATACAAAATATTTTTACTTCTCTTGAAATATCAGAAGGTCCACGAATAATGGCCCACAACTCCTCATGACAACAAAATAGTTAGCAGCATTTTTTCTCATTTTTGTTTTTGTTATTTCAGAAAGGGCATGCTCCCTGTGTTGATGCAGTTGCCCCCCTCCTGGGCTTTGTTCTACACATGGATGTAACCTGCCACACACTGGTAGACACTAAGTTTGGAACGCATGTAATGTTCAACTAGCCAAACAAGGGAAAATAGCATCAAGCTTACCATTAATTTAAGTCACCTTTTGCAAAACTACTTTACCCCATATGTTTTTTAACCGACTGATTGAACTGTCAGCAAAAGTAGGAAACAGCATCACAGGTAAATAAGCGACTTGGAAAGGAATATAAATACTATGTACAGGCTGTCTATAAAAACCAGGGTAGAGAATATTTTATTATGCTAGTAGAATAGTGTTTGCTGTGTCATTTCCTTACAATTTATCACAATGCTCCTACACACAGAGTCTAAACAATGTGCCCTTGAATTACAGTAGAAATTGGATTTCAGATTAACAATTTCTTATCTCCTAACAATTCAGACTTTTAAATTTTGCTAACTAAGACTTTAGCTCGGCTGTAGTTGACCGAAGAATTGGAAACTCAGTTATCAGTTTGCTGTAAATCTTTTTTTGCCTCAGAAACACACTTTTGGGGGACATTAGAAAGAAGACTGATTAGAGGCACCTGGTGCTCATCCTCCCCACAAGAAAGAAGCAAGGCAACAAATAAACAGATAAGATTTGGATGGTGTGTCAAAGGAAGAACACTGGAGTGCAGAGAGGGAGTGGAGATGCACCTGTGGTGATTGAAAGTCCAGGAGGACAGCATGGAGACACTCAGCCTCTGTGGTCCCATCTTCCCTACCCGGATCATATCCAGCCAGAATCAGGAGGGACTTCCTGTTGCAGGAGAAAGATAAGGAGAAGAACCGCACCAGCCACCATTGCGACCACAAACACTTACAGTCCTTGTAAGACAATTTCACAGTCCTTGCAAGCCCAGAGCCCAGTTTGGAGAGATACCCAGAATTCTCACAGCTGCATTGCGCTGGATTAGGAGTACAAAGTGTGCACTCCTTATTCCCCACCCATGCCCTGTGAGCCAAGCTGCTGCAGCGTGGCACTATCTCAAGACTAGAGATGACTCTGTAGTATGCCTTGCTCTGGGGTCAGCAGCCACTGCACTGGGACTCCATCTTCATTCCACTAAGCTCACATTGGTGACTGAATGCCACAACCCCAGCAGTGTGAATTCTAGGCCCAGGGATAGCCGTAACTTTGGTCTTGCACAGCAAGGAAGGCAACTCCTACTGTCCTCACTTAGAACCAGAGGAACAGTCCTGCCCAGGGTGAACTCACCCTCGAGCCAGCCAAACTGGTGAATGCCCTTCCCCAAGCGGGAGAAGCCCTCATATCTCCAAGCAGCCAACATGCTTCTGGGTTGAAGGAGCAGCTATGTGCCCACACCCAGGTCCTGAGAAACAGCCGCACAGTGCCTCCCGCCACTACAGACAAGCCCCAGTCCCACCCAACAGCTTTGTATCCACAATCAGAGCCTGAGAAACAGACCTGTGTGCTGCCCCTGACAGACATGCTCCTTGGCTGTCTGAACAGCTCTGCGCTCACATGCCAGGACTGAGAAATAGTCTGCAGGCCACCCCTGGTGGGAAAGCCCTCGAGTCAGCCAATTATCCCTGTGCCCATATCCCAGGCTGAGAAGCACCCCTCCAAGCAGTATCTGGTGGCAGATACTTCCCAAAGGAAGCAAAAGACCTCTACAATGAAAACTACAAAACACTTATGAAAGAAATTGAGGAGGATACAAACAAGTGAGAAAATATCTCATGCACATGGATTAGAAGAATCAATATTGGTAAAATGGCCATACACGTTCAATGCAATCCCCATCGAAATACCAAGGACATTCTTCACAAAAATAGGGAAAAAAATCCTAAAATTTGTATGGAACCACAGAAGGCCTTGAATAGCCAAAGTAATCCTAAACAAAGAGAACAAAGCTGAAGACATCACACTACCAGACTTCAAAATATACTACAATGCAGTAGTAACCCAAACAGCATGATACTGGCATAAAAACAGACACAAAGGCCAGTGGAACAGAATAGAGAACCTATAAATTAATTCACATATCAATAGCCAACTGACTTTTGACAAAGGCCTCAAGAACATCTACTGAGGAAAGGACAATCTTTTCAATAAATGGGGCTGTAAAAACTGAATATCTATATGCAGAAGAATGGAACTAGACTCTCACCTCTTACCCTTTATAAAAATCTAATTATAATGGTTTAAAGACCTAAAACTCAGATATGGAACTAGAAGAAAACATAAGGGAAAAACTTCCAGACATTGGTCTTAGAAAACATTTTATGAATAAGACTTCAAAAGGAGTCAAGAAAAGCAAAAATAAATAAATAACATCATATCAAACTAAAATGCTTCTGCACAGCAAACAAAACAACAGTGAAAAGACAACCTACAGAATGGTAGAAAATATTTGCAAACCATTCATCTGACAGGGGATTTATATGCACAATATACAAGGAATTCATGCATCTTAGCAACATAAAAACAAACTGGTTTTAAAATGGGTAAATGATCTGAACAGACCTTCCTCAAAAGAAGGCATACAAATGGACAACAAATATATGAAAAAATGCTCAACATTACTAATCATCAAAGAAATGCAAATCAAAACCACAAGGAAGTATCATCTTGCCCCTGTTAGAATGGCTATCATCAAAAAGACAAAAAATAGCAAATGCTGGTGAGGATGCAGAGAAAAGGGAACTGTTATACACTTGGTGGGAATGTAAACTAGTACAGCCACTATGGAGAACATTAAGGAGGTTCCTTAAAAAACTACAACTAGGACTACACGTGATCCAGTAATCCCACTACCAGGTATTGACCCAAAGGAAAAGAGATCAGTATGTTGAAAAGATATCTACAACCTCAAGTTTATTGGAGCACTATTTACGATAGCCAAGATATGGAATCAGTCTAAGTGTCCATCAGGAGAAGAATCGATAAAGAAATGTAGTATAGATACACAATGGAATACCGTTCAGCCATAAAAAAAAATGAAATCCTAGGCTGGGTACGGTGGCTCACACCTGTAATCCCAGCACTTTGGGAGGCCAAGGTGGGTGGATCACCTGAGGTCAGGAGTTCAAGACCAGCCTGGCTAACATGGTGAAACCCTGTCTCCACTAAAAATACAAAAATTAGCCAGGTTTTGTGGTGCGCACCTATAATCCCAGCTATTCAGGAGGCTGAGGCAGGAGAATTGCTTGAACCGGGGAGGTGGGGGTTACAGTGAGCCAAGATTGTGCTACTGCACTCCAATCTGGGTCACAAAGTGAGACTCTGTCTCAAAAAACAACACACACAAAAAACAATGAAATCCTGTCATTCATGCCAATGTGGATGAAATCAGAGGACATCCTGTTACATGAAATAAACCAGGAGCAGAAAGTTAAATACCAAATGCTCCCACTCATATGTAGAAGGTAACAAAAAGTTGATCTCATACAAGTAAAACAGAAAATACTTGAGGCTATGAAGGGTTGGGGGAAAAATGACATTGGGAGAGATTTGTTAAAGGATACAATGTTACAACTCAATAGGAGAAATAAGTTCTAGTATTCTATACCACAGTATGATGACCAGAGTTAACAATAACATAATATATAGTTTCAAATAGCCAGAAGGATATTGAATGTTCTCAAAACAAAGAAATGATAAACGTTTGAGATGATGGACAGGCTAACTACCCTGACCTGATCACTATGCATTATATGTATGGCAACATCGCTATGTACTCCATAAATATCTACAATTATAATGTGTCAGTTTAAAAAAATTAAAAATAATAATAATAAAGGGATTCATACCAGAAGATAAACAAACCGGAACAAAAGAAAAACATTTGTAAAATCTTCATACTATAATTCATTGTCACTAGACAATGAGCATATAAAGCATTGCCATTGCAAGTGCTTATTAAGTTGATTAATATTGATCAAAGAAGTACAGAAGAGGGATGCAAAGCCCGGCCAATACCTAGTCATGTCAAATAAAATTCATTTTCTTTTTCCAATAGAATCACTAGATCAGTAGATCAGGGGAACATGGCCACATAGTGTATCTATGAATAATAGATCCTGGCATAAGCTTTCTTATCATATTCTTGTAGAGCAGATGGAGGAATACAGGCTAAATGAAATCACGGTTTGAAAGATTTTATCTTTATCTTAAAACTGGCTCTTTCTTCAGGATTTTCTTTCTTAGTTCATGGCACCGTCTTTCATAGCCCAATATCTAAGCTAGAAACTTTGGTGTCATTCTGATTCTTCTTCCTCCATCACCAGCCACATTCAATCCTCTACTATTTCTAAAATCCAATCCCTTTTCTCCATGCCCATTGTTCCTGCTCTGATCCAAGTCCTCCTACTGAAACAGCTTTTGACTTGTTTTTGGCCTCCAAAATATCCTCTTTTACTCCATCCCCATAAGTCCACAAAGATTATTTAAAATAAAAGTCTCTCAATGGCACTACTCTGCAAAAAACCCATCAATGGTTCCTCATCCACAGTCCTTCTTGATCTTAGGTTGTCATCATAAAATTCAAGATCTAGCATGTAGGCACTGGAGGTGCCACTTTGTTCCACACCAACATCTGGGCAAACGACAAATAAACCAGAATCACAAAGAACCATATAACCCTTTCATATAAATCTGGAGACATTCTGTGTGAAAGTTAAAAGTCTCAGATGCATAGAGCAATCTGGAATTAATGGTAGGACTGTAGTTAGATTTGCTCTGCAAGGACCCAAGAAATGGAGCTAGAATACATATATGCTAGAGAATCAACTTTTGACTATTATAATTAAAAAAATTTAATACTCAGAATTAAATAAGACTATGCAGAGATGAATTTCCCGTCACTAAAGATATTCAAAATAGACTGGATGGCTGGGCATGGTGGCTCATGCCTGTAGTCCCAAAATTTTGAGAGGCTGAATTGAGTGGATCACTTGAGGTCAGGAATTCAAGACTAGCCTGGCCAACATAGTGAAATTCCGTCTCTACTAAAAATTAAAAAAAAAAAAAAAAAAAAACTGGGCGTCGTGGCATGCACCTGTAATACCAGCTACTCAGGAGGCTGAGGCAGAAGAATCACCAGAACCTGGGAGGCGGAGGTTGCAGTGAGCTGAGATCGCACCACTGCACTCCAGCCTGGGAGACAGAGCGAGACTCTATCTCAAAACAGACAAACAAACGCCATAAACTGGACAATTTGTCTGATCAGAGTACTACAGAAACTGTTCAAGTCTCTAATAATTCAATTATGTGAAATCTAAAGTCCTTCCAATCCTCATACACTATGATTATGATTAATTTTCTAAAATTAAAAATACTCAATACCACTAATTTTCTTTTTATAAGATTTAATACATCAAAATACTGGTAACTGGTGACTTATTTATAATAACATAATTTCTGTTTCACACCTTTTATCCAACCACATCCACCTCCCAATTACCCAAGCCATCAGTTCTGACTACCTTTTTTTTTTTTTTTTTTTTTTTGAGACGGAGTCTGGCTCTGTCGCCAAGGCTGGAGTGCAGTGGTGCGATCTCGGCTCACTGCAAGCTCCGCCTCCCAGGTTCACGCCATTCTCCTGCCTCAGCCTCCCGAGTAGCTGGAACTACAGGTCCCCCCACCACGCCAGGCTAATTTTTTGTATTTTTAATAGAGACGGGGTTTCGCCTTGTTAGCCAGGATGGTCTCCATCTCCTGACTTCCTGATCCGCCCACCTTGGCCTCCCAAAGTGTTGGGATTACAGGCGTAAGCCACCGCGCCCGGCCAGTTCTTACTATCTTAACTAGAGCAAACAAGAACCCCCTGGTTACAAAAAAAAAAAAAAAAAAAAAAAACCTCAATAAAACAACCACTGCCCACATCATTTTCTCATATGAGTCAGTGGGCAACCCTGACACTCAGAAAAAGCCAGTATCAAGGCATTTATCACTCAAAGTCCTTCAAAGATACCCTTTCACCCTAACTATGCAATAATATTTTTTAGTAGGTTCTAATTTTAAACTCAAGTCTAAAGCCTCTGATGAAATAAAGAATACCTATGCAGATTCGCTTACCTCTACCACCCAGACTTTATGACACCAAGAGCCAGGAGAAAGGAGGAAAACGACATGTGGAAAAAATAAATTCAAAAAGAATACTGCAAAGTAATTTATGTGGTATTAATTCCATTATTTTGAATGATCAGTTTTGTTATTTTTATAGTATGAAACAAGTTTCCAGGACTAGAACTCTCTTCCAGGAATGAATTAGGTAATAAGTCACACATATTTCTCCCCAGAGGGAAAAGTGGGAAAGGGAAAATAAACACAACATAAACATGGCAATGGTGGATGGCCATATCATTTTTCTGCTGCTACTCAAGCCTCTTCCTCTTTACAAGTGCAGAGGGACTGAATGTATATAAAGATTTATCAAACTTTTCAACATTCTGGCCACCACATAGAAAAGATGTTACCGAGCACTATCTTGAAATTCATAAGTGTGAGGTTGGGAGTCTGATTCTTCTCTTCAGGATCCTCCAAGCATCTAAAGGAGGAAGGTCTGTGGCCAAGTCTCTGTCGAGTTGAGGTTTCTGAAGCCCATGGGAGGATTACAAGATGATAACCAGCCAGCATGCCGAAGATAAACCACTCTGGTGCTCTCTGTGGTACACATGCTATACCATGCCAGCTTCTGTACTGATATGGCAACTCCATCAGAGGAAAAATTTCAGAAGCAGAAGTGCAGGAGGATGGAGGGATCTGGGAAGCATGCAGCAAAAGAGCCACTGTAGTAGAATGGTGAGCCTTCTAGGGGCTTCACTTCAGAAATTCCTTCTAGGGACTTCACTTCAGAAATTCACATCTCTAAAGAAGAAAGCCTCTTCCCAGTATTTCTGGGGGTGAAATATCAATAAATCACCTTCAATGTCTTTTCTAAAACACCTAGCAATGTGTGAACTCCAATGGAATGTTGACATTAGGTAATATCAGAAAGGAAAGTTCACTAATGGTCACATAGCATGAAGAAATGCAGCCATTAATCTGTTCTCCACTCTGTTAGTTCTCTTAATCAGTCTCCCTGGAATCTTCAAAGCATAACTCTCATTTGCACCTCTTCTGAAAATGGCTAAGTATGTTTTGAAATTGTATGGTTCATTTTGTGGTCATTCTAACAGCAATTACAATATTCTGTAGTTAACACAGCATAATGATCACTGAAACTCTATAATAATTATGCCAGCCAGTTATAAGTGAATCACTCTGGTAGAAGTCCTGAAATATAATACCACCAAATAACCTTTCTTGACCACCCACACAAGACAGCTTTCCCTCTCAGAGCAGAAGGTAAGTTAAGTATCTCTCGCAGGGCCTCTGGAAGAGACTGCACATAGCAATCTGAAAGAATATCTTTTGATTGTATCATTTGTTTTCAATATTGAGAACCTGAAGAAGTTGTAAAATATCAGTCTCCAAACCACATCTTTCCCTGTGTTGGATTATATCTAGTGTCCTGCAGGGATTTCTTTTTGCTAATGAATCATTTTACACAACTATTCTCCTTGCAGCTCAGAGCTGGCTGCTGCAGTGCTTTCAAGTCATCTATTGTTTCACTGTAGGTGGGCTCTTATGATTATTTACAACTGAATGGTATTTAAAATTTAATAAGTTTTGAATAGAGTTTATACCCACACAGGATTTGACAATTTTCATTTCTGCCTTGTTCCTCTTGACCGCATTAGGTATCCTGAATAGATGCAGGAGAAGGAAGAGGGAGAAAGCAGAAGTAGAAGCCACAGTTCTTGGGAGCCAAACAAGCCATGGTAGAAAGAGCATCCGGCTTTAACTCTCTGCCAGAGCAAGCTGCCTGACATAATCACTCTTGCTCTCATTTTCTGCCTCATGACTGTGTTCCATAGTTTCTGTTCTCTCTAGGAAAACCTGCACACAAAAATTCCACCAAGCTTTGCATAATTTTGATGTCCATGGACTTTTATAAGCTGTAGTTCTGTGCTTAAAGGCACCACTAAAAGTTTTCTTTCAGAAACTCCTTCAGTCCCACCAAGGACAGGGACTGCATTTGTTTCATTTTTTACTGTCTTCCACTTCTTATTTAAATGTAGACATGAATATTTCCAAAATTAAATTTCTATTCAATATTCAACATACTTTTTAACTTTAATTTCTACTATTTGTTATTCTATTCAAGTGGAATGGGAATCCAGTGGCCAAAAAATAATAATAAAATAGCATTTAAAAATTTTAAATTAAAAGTCAGAAAAACAAAGTATTAACAATTAACATTGTATGAGTTCGTTCTCACACTGCCATGAAGAAATACCCGAGTCTAGGTAATTTAAAAAGAAAAGAGGTTTAATTAACACACAGTTCTGCATGGCTGGGGACGCCTCAGGAAACTTACAATCATGGCAGAAGGCATCTCTTCACAGGGTGGCAAGAGAGAGAATGAGAGTCAGCAGGGGAAATGCCAGACACATAAAACCATCAGATATCATGAGAACTCACTCACCATCATGAGGACAGCATGGGGGAGACCGCCCCCATGATTCAATTACCTCCCACCTAGTCCCTCCCATGACATGTAGGGATTATGGGAACTACAATTCAAGATGAAATTTGGGTGAGGACAAAGGCAAACCACATCATTACATTCCTGGCCCTTCCCAAATTTCATGTCCTCACATTTCAAAACAAAATCATGCCCTTCCAACTGTCCCCCAAAGTCTTAACTCATTCTAGCATTAACCCAAAAGTCTAAGTCCAAAGGCTCATCTGAGACAAGACAAGTTTCTTCCACCTATGAGCCTGTAAAATCAAAAGTAAGTTAGTTACTTCCTAGATACAATTATAAGCATTGGGTGAATACACCTGTTCCAAATGGGAAAAATGTGGCTAAAACAAAGGGGCTACAGGCTCATGCAAGTCTGAAATCCAGCAGGGCAGTCATTAAATATTGAAGTTCCAAAATGATCTATTTTGACTCCATGTCCTACATCCAGGTCATGCTGTTGCAAGAGGTGGGCTCCCATGACCTTGGGAAGCTCCACACCTGTGGCTTTGCAGGGAACATCCCCCAACCTGGCTTCTTTCACAGGCTGGCATTGAGTGTCTGCAACTTTTCCAGGTACACAGTGCAAGCTGTCAGTGTGGATCTACTATACTGGGGTCTGGAGGACGGTGGCCCACTTCTTACAGCTCCACTAGGCAGTGCCCCAGTGGGAACTCTGTGTGGGGGCACCCACCACATATTTCCCTTCTACACTGCCCTACCAGAGGTTCTCCATGAGGCCTCTGCCCCTGCAGCAAACTTCTGCCTGGACAATCAGGCATTTCCACACATCCTCTGAAATTTAGGCAGAGGTTCCCAAACCCCAATCAATTCTTGACTTCTGTGCACCCACAGGCTCAACACCATGTGGAAGTTGCCAAGACTTATGGCTTGCACCCTCTGAAGCAATAACCCGAACTCTACCTTGGCCCCTTTTAGCCACAGCTGGAGCTGGAGTAGCTGGGATGCAGGGTACCATGACCTGAGGCTGCACAGAGCAGGGGAGCCCTGGACCCAGACCATGAAACCATTTTTCTCTTCTAGGTCTCTGGGCCTGTGATAGGAGGGGCTGCTGTGAAAGTCTCTGACATGCCCTGGAGACATTTTCCCCATTGTCTTGGTGATTAACATTTGGCTTCTCATTACTTATGCCAATTTCTGTAGCCAGCTTGAATTTCTCTCCAGAAAATGGGTTTTTCTTTTCTATCGCATTGTCAGGCTGCAAATTTTTCAAACTTTTATGCTCTGCTTCCTCTTGAATGCTTTGCCACTTAGAAATTTTTGCTGCCAGATGTTCTAAATCATCTCTCTCAAGTTCAAAGATACAGAGATCTCAAGCAGAGGCACAGTGCTGCAAGTCTCTTTGCTAAAGCATAACAAGACACACCTTCGCTCCAGTTCCCAACGAGTTCCTCATCTCTTTCTGGGACCATCTCAGCCTGGACTTCATTGTCCAAATCACTATCAGCATTTTAGTCAAAGCCATTCAACAAGTCTCTAGGAAGTTCCAAACTTTCCCACACCTTCCTGTCTTCTGGGCCCTCCAATCTCTAGAAATTTCCAAACTTTCTGACATTTTCTTGTCTTCTCCTGAGTCCTCCAAACTGTTCCAACCTCTGCCTGTTACCCAGTTCCAAATTTGCATCCACATTTTGTGGTATCCTTATAGTAGCACCCCACTCCTGGTACCAATTTACTGCATTAGTCTGTTCTCATGCTGCTATGAAGAAATATCCAAGACTGAGCAATATATTTAAAAAGAGGTTTAATTGACTCACAACTGTGAGTCACAACTGTGGCTGGGGAGGCCTCAGGAAACTTACAGTCATGGCAGAAGGCACCTCTTCACAGGGCAGCAAGAGACAGAATGAGAGCCAGCAGGGGTAATGCCAGATGCTTATAAAACCATCAACTCTCATGATAACTCACTCACCATCACAAGAACAACACAGGGAAAACCACCCCCATGATTCAATTACCTCCCTCTGGGTCCCTCCCATGACACATGGGGATTATGAGAACTATAATTCAAGATGAGATTTGGGTGGGGACATAGCCAAACTATATCAAACATCAAGTAATATTTCTTAAGCATCTCTTTGTGACAGGAATTCTTAAAATGGTGTGTATGCACAACTGCCTGTATCACTAACAAGAAGTCACAAGAGCAACAAAAGCAAGAAATTGGCCAGTGAGTGAAATAGTGAGAAGTGGTGGTTGCCTGTTTGGTCTCATGCACTGAAATTTTTAAGAACTACACTGGGTCCTCTCTCATCTGCATGGTATGTATCTGTCCTGGACAGAGTCTACAGCATTAGAAAGCTGGCTTCTGAATTTTGAGAACTCTGACACAACTGTGACTCAATAACATTTTTCTTTGAGGTACGTATCTGTTCTGGACAGAGTCTACAGCATTGGAAAGCTGGCTTCTGAATTTTGAGAACTCTGACACAACTGTGACTCAATAACATTTTTCTTTGAGACGAAGTTTCACTCTTGTTGCACAGGCTGGTGTGCAATGGTGCGATCTCGGCTCACTGCAACCTCTGCCTCCTGGGTTCAAGTGATTCTCCTGCCTCAGCCTCCGAAGTAGCTGGGATTATAGGTGCCCACCACCATGCTGAGCTAATTTTTTATATTTTAAGTAGAGACAGGGTTTCACCATGTTGGCCAGGCTGGTCTCGAACTCCTGACTTTCAGGTGACCCACCCTCCTCAGCCTCCCAAAGTGCTTGGATTACAGATGTGAGCCACCATGCCCAGCCAACTCAATAACATTTTAAAAATTCAACCTGTTTCTTTTCCTCTCCCCTCCTAAATCAAGCAGGTACTCAATCATGCATTTCTTGCCTCTTGCCTCTTGCTTCTGAGTAGTAACCATAAGGAAAAAAGAAAAAGCAGAACTAAGTTTCCTGGGCCTGGGAATCCTGAATACACCAGTTCCAGAGAAGGAAGAGAATATGGTGTCAACAAAATATTTGTAAGAAGCAAGGAGACAACTAAAAGCCCCACCACAAGGATTCTCCAAACCTGCAGGAAATGAGAAGGTGAGTAGCTGCTGTGTGCTTTCTGTGCAGTGCAAACAAGGAAGTGGCAAGATCCAGGGAGGAGAAGTGGCTCTGTGTGCAGCTCAGAAATTGAGACCACACCATGGTGTCACAAAGCCACCGGACCTCCAGGGCTGTGCTAAAATACAGAATGAGTGTCTTACTGCTAACCTGTGTGGGTAAGTGACTCAATCACCAGATGCCATGTCCTGAATTTTTAGCACTGGGCAAATTTTTATGTCATAGTCATGACATAAATTCCAGGGAGATAGCAGAGCTCTTTTAAAGACAGTTTCCTCCCTTTCTGAAGGCGCAGGGGCTCAAAGTCCTCCCTTTTTGAAGGCACAGGGGTTCAAAGTAAGGCAGGATGATTTACAGAAACATAAAGAGAGGAGGTTCTTCCTCCCCACCTGTAGTGTTCCTGTTGACCAGGGAAGACCGGGATTCACGTTATCATTTCAATTGGTACACGTAAGGGTACACCATAGTTCCTGAGTTTTTAAGAGCCACTTTTCTCTCCATCTGCAAACTCATTCCAGCAGCTAATGTTTCTTCCCACCTCAGCAAAGAATGGAGGCAATTCTTTATTAGCTATTTGATCATTAAGTTTTTTTGTTTTGTTTTTGTTTTTGTTTCGAGACAGTGTCTCGCTCTGTCACCCAGGCTGGAGTACATTGGAGCAATCTTGGCTCACTGCAACCTTTGTCTCCCTGGTTCAAGCAATTCCCCTGCTTCAGCCTCCTGAGTAGCTATTACAGGTGCACGCCACTACGCCTAATTTTTTGTATTTTTAGTAGAGACAGGGTTTCACCACGTTGGTCAGACTGGTCTCAAACTCCTAACCTCAGGCGATCTGCCTGCCTCAGTCTCCCAAAATGATGGGATTATAGGTGTGAGCCACTGCGCCTGGCCGATCATTAAGATTTAATAGCTAATGGCACCTATTGTAATTGGGATTTGCAAACACTTAACCTGTTTTAATGAGACCTTTTGGATCCCAGTTCTCTTCTTGGCTGCAGGATCTTGATTCTTTCTTAGGATGCAGTTCCTGCTAAACACACAGCAAACTTCCTTATATTCTTCTCTAATTTATACTCTTCACACTCCTACACCACTCACAAGTCACAAAGACAACTACCTCTGCAACCTTGAATAGGTGAGGAAAAATGTCTTCCACAGGAGCTTCTTTGTAGACATTTTTGTGCAGCAATCAGAGATTAAATCTTGTTTGTGACTCAGCCACCTGAGTGATTGGCTACTACACAAAGCAAATTCATCTCACTCTTTTTCCATTGTTTGAGAGCAATGATGGGTCAATACCTACTGCACAGTTTCACAGTATGGATTCAATCAATGTCTCTGTTTTTTCCCTCTCTCTCTTACAAAGGGACCTGAATCTTCCCTTTATCAATATTGAGCAAATGCTGATGGCAAGGAATTTTATTTCAAACAACTGAAAATCCATTTTAGTTTTTTTCCCACTTGCAGATTCAGATCATTGTCTTTTGTATGTGTTGTCCCCTTTGTGATGGCATTTTCTAAACAGAAAGTAATCTACTTGCCTGACACATGGTATGTGTTCAATAAATTTTAATTAATAATAATAGCCCTTGTTGTTGCTATAGTAATAAAAAGTAAAAGTGAGCATAGAGGGGTTGATCCCAGGGCTGGGTCAGGAATGCAGTGCATCCATGCGACCAGAGGACAGGACAAGGAGGTGTAGATGTTGTAGAAGGAAATGATAGACTGGGTGCGGTGACTCACACCTGTAACCCTAGCACTTTGGGAGCTGAAGGCAGGAGGGTCACTTGAGTCCAGGAGTTGGAGACAAGCCTGGGCAACATAGTGAGACCTTGTCTCAATAAATAAAGAAGTAAACAAACAAACAAATAAATAAATAAACAAACAAAATTAGCCAGCCGTGGTGGAGCACATCTGTAGTCCCAGCTACTCAGGAGCTAGACGTAGAAGGATTGCTTCAGCCTGGATGGTTGAGGCTGCAGTAAGCCATGATCATGCCACTGCTCTCCAACCTGGGCAACAGAGTGAGCCCCTGGAAAAGAAGAAAGAAAGTAAAAGAAAGAAAAGAGAGACAGAGAGAAAGAAAGAAAGAGAAAGAAAGAAAGAAAGAAAGAAAGAAAGAAAGAAAGAAAGAAAGAAAGAAAGAAAGAAAGAGAGAAGAAGAAGAAGGAAGGAAGGAAGGAAGGGGAAGGGAAGGAAGGAAGGAAGAGGGAAATTAGTTAGAAAAAATATCTTGTTCCCGACTGCTTCAGAAATTTAACAAAAAGGAAATGGTAAAGTAAGAAAAGGGAAAGCAGGAAAAAGAAAACGTGGAAAATCAGAAGGTGAAGAAAAAAGAGCCAGGTATATAAGAAGAGTGGCACCAATGAAGAGAACTTGAGGGGAGTAAAAATCCCCTGTATACAGAGAAATAAATAAGAAGAGAGAAATCCAAAGAGAAGGAGAGGGAGGCATGAAATGAAATAAGAAACAGAGGAGAGAAGGGGCCTCAGGAAGCTTGGAATGGCTTTAGTTGGCTTGTGAATTTCAGAGGAAACTAATATCTATTATTTTTCCCCTTTGAAATTCTAATCTGATAATTAACCATTATTAACAATTTTTATTTTTGTAGTCCTAAATGAGTTCACACTGAAGGGGGTAATAATAGCTCCCCATTGACAGAAAGTGGAACAGAAATCATTATTTCCTGGCTTTCAGACATGGCCAGAGCAATATTATCTCAAAGGCCAGATATTACAGCTAAAAACTACATCTGACAGCCAAACATCCTCACCCTCTGTGTTAATCTTTTGAACACGTATGTTCAACTCAAAGACTCTAGGAGTGTTAAAAAGAGTAATGACCTTAATATGTGTAAAGTTCTTTGAAGGTTAAAAAGTACAAGTACTGTGTTTTTAAAAGTCAACATTTAATTTGTTCACTAAAATAAATTGTAAGGTTTTATTTAGGCAAGTCTTTGAGAAAGAAAGAAACATGCATTAATTACATTGATTTATGTCCTGTGCTTCTCCTGATTGGGAAAGTGAACTCTTAACATGACATTGAAAAGACACAAGATGCCAAGTAGGCGATGGAGAGGAGACAGAGTAAAGTAAGGACAGGAAGTGACCTATTTTGAAATCGCAGCTAACACAGGAGCACAGCCAAGGACTATGAGACTGAGAAATTGACAGTTTGCCTTCACCTTCATCTCTTTATCTCCTTATCCTGTCCCCTGGCTGTATGGAAGCATTCCATTCCCTGCACCCCAAACCCCAGATCAACCACCTGGAACTGCACCAGGTCCAACTTCTCAGATCCTCAAATACCACATTCTTAGCAACAGGTTTCCTCCTATTTCTCTCATCCCCTTTCTGCTGCCATATCTGTTCTTCCACCATAGAGATACCTGTTTTTCCTGTATCAGCACATCCTGCTGTCAATTCCTTCCCTCCTGCCTGGTTAGTTGGTGACTTCACCCACATCATCAGCTCCCTCACCCTCTTCTCCTCTCTCTGCCTCAATCCAGGCCTGGGTGGATGCCATCAGTCACTTCTTAGCTTGTGCCCATACGATGTTCAGCTTTGCCTCAACCAATTACATCAAATAAAATAAAATAAAATAGGATAACATTTAAATAGAATAGAAATGATAAAGGAGAGTAAAATAAAACAACAGTTTTTACTGGCTTCAGCTACAAAATGATGGCTTCAACTAGACCTTGTGTTCAATTGGACTCAGTACTGACTCCATTCAGCTCACATTTGTATTCTTCGGGGGAGTACTTCCAACACTTTACCCCTCTCAAATACTCTACTCCACTCCCATCTTTAATTTCCCACCAATGATCTTGCTCCATACTTCATACAGAAAAGGCAGACCATCAGAGGAACCTTCTCTAACTTCGTTTTCCTTCTCCTTTAGAGCCGATGTATCCAGATACATTATTATAGTCTAACCTTTTCTCTTAAAAATGAAGTGGCCCCATACTTCCTAGACTAATTATCTAAGTGACTGGATTATGTTTACATTTCTAACTTCTTTACTACACCATGAGCTCTTTTTCTGGGTGGCACCAACCCTTCTCTTTCTTGAAGAAAAAATGGCATAGGAGCACCCCTGAATTGTATCACCAAAAAGGGAAAACACTTCACGAAGTTTTTTAAAAATGCAGCACCTTCTATACTCTAATAATAACAGTAACATTTATTGAGCAATTACTCTGTCCCAGGCACGCTAGTAAGTGCTTTACATTTGTTACCTTATTTGACCCCCACATTAACTCTTTCAGAAAAATTCTATTAGTTCTATTACTAACGATGAAATAGTGACAAACAATCACAACAACCCCTGGGGAAAAGTACTATAAAGTGCTGATGGCAGGTTGATAGCATTATACGAAATATACAAAATCATTATTAATATTTTTATTCGGTCATTGGCTAAATCTCAAGACCCCAAAGCAAACTTTGGAACAGTTAAAATATTTATTTTCATTATTTTGAAGACATCAGATATATTACTTATTCTAAATATTATGTGCTCAGATGTATAACATTACACAAGAAAATACTTAGATACTTTAAGAAGTTTTTTGAAAGCAATGTTATAAGTCCTAGGAGTTTGCAGTAGAGAAGCTTCCTATCTTCTTATCTTACCGTGGGTCATGTCTTGCCTCTTAATGGTGTCTTTTTGGTACATAGCCTGAAAGCCTAAAGGTTATCTGAAATGCCTCTCTTTCTTATTTACTTCAAGTTTTCTATTTTGGCATAGAATGAGGACATTGGAAGACTTCTGTGTTTCTACCATTCTAATAAGACTGAAAAATTCTAAAAATAGTCAATTTATATTTGGGTGTTGCGATGGATTGAATTATGCCTTGTCTCCCAAAAATTCATGTGTTGAAATCCTAACTCCCAAGTATCTCAGAATGTGACCTTAATTGCAAACAGGATCACTGCAGATGTAACAAGCTAAAATGAGATTATACAGGAGTAGGGTGCACCTCAAATCCAACAGGACTGATATCTTCATAAAAAAAAGAAATTTTGACACACTCAGGGAGAATACCTTAGGAAGATGAAGGCAGGCATCAGGATGATACCATAGAAGCCAAGGAACACCAAAGATTTCTAGCAAACTACCAGAAGTTAGGGCACAGACATGAAACAGATTCTCCCTCACAGCTCTCAAAGAAACCAACTCCACAAACCCTTTGATCTGGGACTTCTGGCACCCCAATCCATGGTGCTTTATTATGGCAATCCTGGCAAATTAATACAGGTGTCTTCAAAGGGACAACGATATCTGTTAATGCATAGGACTTAGAAATCTGGGGGTGGGTGAGGGAAATTTCTGAAGAATGAAGCATAGAAAGCTACCACATAAACATTTTTTTCCTAATGTTCCTTTTCCTATTATTTTCTTTTTTTTCAACATACTTATAGCTGCTTTCAGATTGCTTTATTGTCTGCAGTCTTTAGAGGGCTTTTTTAAGAGAAAATGTTATGTTTTCTGATTCTTCATGACGCTCTTTTCCCTGTCTGGTTTATAATGTTTTATTATGAGTTCATTTTCAGTGGATTTCCATTGTCCTTCAGGAATGCAGTTTGTCCTGAGATGTGGAAGTTTTCTGACAAAACGTCTCTCCCAGAGCCTGCCTGGCAGGTCTCTCCCTGACCTGCCTGGCCAAAATGGTGAAACCCCATCTCTACTAAAAATACAAAAATTATCCGGGCATGGTGGTGGGTGCCTGTAATCCCAGCTACCTGGGAAGCTGAGGCATGAGAAATGCTTCAACCCGGGGGGCGGAGGTTCCAGTGAGCTGAGGTTGTGCCTCTGCACTCCAGACTGGCTGACAGAGCGAGACTCTGTCAAAAAAAAAAAGAAAGAAAGAAAAAGAAAAAGAAAAAGAAAGAAGCCAACAGGAGATCCAGATGTTGAAAGTTTTAGATATGGATTTTTAAATTACTGCGGTTAATATGCTCAAGAAATTTGCTGGTAATATGAATAATTTCAAAAAAGGACTGGAAATTTTAGAACAGAATCAAGTGGAAATTCTAGAACTGAAAATTAGAAAAACTGCAATGAGACATCAAAAGATGGGACTAATGCCATGTATGGAATATGGTCTGAAAGGTCTAAAATATATGTAACTGGAATTCCAGAGAAGAGGTAACAGAGACTAGAACAGAGGTAATATCTGAAGAAGAAGTAGCTGAAGAATTTCCAAGTGATAAAAGTCACAGTTCACAAAATACTACCGTGCCCAACTGGGAAAAATTCAAAACAACTGCCTAACCACATAAAAAGAAAGATATCTAAAAAGACAAAGAGGAAAATCTTTGCAGATAGAAAAAAAAACCACATAATACTTTTAAAAGGAATAATCATCAGTCTGACAGTTAATTTCACAATTGAAATATTGGAAGCCAGATGACAACAAGCACTTTCAAAACGCTAAAAGAAAATAACTGCAGCCTAGAATTTTGTATCTAACAAAAATATTCCCCCAAATGAATGTTAAATAAAAACATTTTTATACAAGCACAAAACAAAAAGAAAATGTTACCAGTAGGGCTGCAGCAAAACAAATTCTAAAGGGAGCCCTTCAAGTCAAAAAAAATAATTTCAAGTGAAAGCACAGAAATAAAAAAGAATAAATAAATACATAAATAGCAATAAAAAAACTAAATGAATATTAAACATGTAAAATAACAATCATATATTGAGGAGTTTATAGAATAATATACAAATAGCACTAAAATAAATGACAATAGAAGAAAATGGGAGAAGTAGAAAAGTAAGTGAAATCATTTTAAATCCTTAGATTGTCCAAAAAGGGGAAAAATTACTAATTTTTATTAGAATTAAATAAGCCAGGAATTCATGTATAATCTCTAGGGTAACACCTTAAAAAAATTAACAGTAAAAGAATGGTTAAGAAGCAAAAGAGAAAAACTCATTTTTAAGAAAGGAGAGGACAATAAAAGGTAAGAACAAAGAAAAAAACACACATTGACAAATTTTGAAGGATTGAAGTTATACAGTGTGTAGTCACTGGAAATGAGGTAGAAATCAATAATAGAATGTAACCAAAAAATGTATCAAATATTGAAAAACTAAGCAATACTCTCCTAAAAAGTCCCATAGCTAAAGGGAGAAATCCCAATGAAGTTAGAATATACACTGAGCTGGATGATAATAAAAATATTACATATCAAATCTTATAAAATGCAGCTATGGATGTGCTTTAAGAAAAAATGATCATCTTTAATACATCTATTCTAGAAAACAGAAGGGCTAAAAATCAATGATTGAAGTAGTCACCTAAAGAAGATAGAAAAATAATAGTAGATTAGACCCCAATAAGTTAGAAAGAAAGAGTAACAAAGATTCAAACAGAAATTGAGTCAGGACAAAAAATGCAATGAAGGTAAATAAAACCCAAAATTGTTCCTCGAAAAGGCAAATAAATGTATAACCTTTGAAAAAACTAACAAAGAATAAAAACAGTAAAGGTACGGATTACCAACAGAAAGACTAAAAAGGAATGTCACCATAAAGTCAACATTTATTAGACAGATAAAGAGAATTTTAAGAACAATTTTGTGCTAACAAATTTGAAAACTTACATTAAAACACATTTTATCAAAATTGATACAACAGAAAATAATTGGAATAATTCTATACTAACAATAATTTTGAATCTGAAATTAAAACCTTGCCACAAAGAAAATTCAGACCCATATGTGTTTATTAATGAATTTCTCTAAACATTTAAGAAATAAATAACACCACTTACACAATCTATTGTGTAGAATAGAAGAGAGAACACTTTTCATCTCATGTTGTGAATCCAAGACACCCTGATGAGTATATTATAAAAAAGGAAACGTCTAACTCAAACATTCTGAAGCAATATCAGCAATCTAATCTGGTGATTTCTAAAAAGAATAACATATCACAACCAAGTAGGTTTTATTTAGGAACAGACCCTTGAATTTCAATCATGATAGCTCAGTACAATAATAAAGGAGAAATTATCCTGTCACTATCTCAATAGATGCAGCAACAAACAGATGTTGAATTTTTTGATAAAATCCAATGCCCATTTATGATAAAAACTTCCTAACTAGCAATAGAAAGAAATTTCTTTAATATGATAGAGTATTTACAAGATAATCTTAAGAAAGTTTTCAGAATTAACATCAAGAGAAAGAAAACTACAGCCAAACTGAAAAAATTTCTCAGATGAAATTATCACGTTTTTGAGGCCCAGTTTTCAGAGCCTTCATTTTCACAGGCCCCTATAAGTGTTAGGAATTGCTGGGGATTGTAGAGAATTCTGGAGAGAGAGCAAAGTGGGTTGCAACCAAGAAACATTTATATGTTAACATGTCTGGAAAATTGTGTAAAGTTGTCTCAGAAGAAATGAACTCAAATCTCTAAGTTTCCAATAATTTGTGGTGCATATTTCTTAATCTAAATAAATATTCATTTTCATACTGTATATTAGTGCATTCTCACACTGCTACAAAGAACTATCTGAGAAGGGGTAATATATGAAGAAAGGAGGCTTAATTGGCTCACAGTTCTGCAGGCTTAACAGGAAGCATGGGTGGGAAGCCTCAGGATACTTACAATCATGGCAGAAGGCAAAGGGAAAGTAAGCATGTCTTGTCATGGCAGACCAGTAGTGAGAGAGAAGAGGGAAGGGCCACACTCTTTTAAGCCATCAGATCTTGTGAGAACTCACTCACTATCATGAGAACAGCAAGGAGGAAATCCATCCCCATGCTCCAGTCATCTCCCACCAGGCCCCTCCTCCCCTTTGACATGAGATTTAGGTAAGGACACAAATCCAAATGAGATCACATACCTTTAAAAAGCATTTTCAAAAACCTATGATAAATATCATATTTAATGGAGAAATATTGAAAACTTTTTATCTGACATTGCAAAGGAGACAGGTTCCCCTTATTAACAACAGTTTTATTTAACATTGGTAGGAAAAAGATCCTAGCATGCATAATAATGCAATAAAAATAATACATATAAAGATTAGAAAGAAAAACTGTCATTACTTATAGACTGTATTATATCCAAGCTGCAAGATAATCCATAGGAAAATTATTGATTAAATGAATTTAGAAAAATCACAGAGTTCAAGGTCAATATGAAAAATCTCTGTTTATATACCAATAAGTGATTAAAAATGATATTTTAAAAATTATATCATTAACAATTATATCAAAAGACCAAATATCTAGAAATAAATTAACAAATGTGCAAAGCTCTACACAAAAAATATGAAACGTTATTTAAAAAAATTTCAAAAGACCTAAATAAAAGGAAGATATTCAATACCATAAACATGTATATTATTTTTAAATTATTCTATAAAGAGTATCTCCAATACTGAAGGAAATAATGTATACAATGGCCCATGGTCCATTTCCAAGACAAAGTGCCTTAAATAGACTTACGTTAGCAAACTACAGAAGAAACAGAACATACTAGGCTTCCTGCTTAGATAGCCAATGCCTGCTTGTTGGCCTCCCCCTCCCCCACTCCACCCCCACAACCCTGTTTCCTTGCCTTCACCAGAACCAAAGAAGTTTAGTCTAAGATAAAAGTTTACTAGCCTGCAAAATAGTTCGTTTTGTCTGTTTTTATTAGCCTGCCCAGCTACTTAGCTCATAAGTAAATACTTGAAGAGCCCCTAAGCTAACTAGGATTGCAATGCATTGTGGGCTGCAACAAAATGCAGCAAAACAACCCTAAAAAAAAACAAACAAACTAACAAACACCTAAAGCCCCTGCCCAACAATCAATAGGTGACCTCCAGGAAGATTGTGACCCCCTAGTATTAAGCCTATGAAAAACCAGGAGAGGGACCTGCACACTAGGGGTTAAATTGCTTGTTAAAACTGTGCTGTGTGTGCCTGCACATCAGACACCCAATTCTTGCAAGAGCATCATTACAAGTTTCCCTTTCGCTGTTCTCCAGGTCTCTGAGTCCATTCTTTGGGTTTGGACAGGTAGGTTTGTTTCTCACAATACCAATTATAATACCAGTAGAATGTTTCATGTAATTTATCAAGCTCATTATAAAACGTACTTGAAATTGCAAAGAGCCACAAAAAAAACCCAGACAATATTGACGAAGAAAAGACAGTCAGAGGACCTATACTACAAGATATCAGTATAAATTATAAAGTTACCATAATTAAAACTGTGGAACTGGAGTAAACATGGACAAGTAGACCAATGTAGTAAAAAACAATTCTGAAAAAGACCCACACATATATAGATGCTTGATTTATTACCATGTTGCTGCTATAAAAAAGGGAAATCTGTTTCTTAAAATAAATTATGCTGAGTCAGGCCAGGCACAGTGGCTCGCGCCTGTAATCCCAGCACTTTCGGAGGCAAAGCTGATCACTTGAGGCCAGGAGTTCAAGACCAGCCTGGCAAACATGGCAAAACCCCTATCTCTACTAAAATTACAAACATTAGACTGGCTCGGTGGCACACACCTGTAATCCCACTATGTTGGGTGGCGGAAGCATGAGAATTACTTGAACCCAGGAGGCAGAGGTTGCAATGAGCCAAGATCATGCCAATGCACTCCAGCCTGAGTGACAGAGTGAGATTCTATCTCTAAAAAAAAAAAGAAAAAGAAAAAGAAAAGAAAAAAGAAATTATGCTGAGTCAGCAGACTATCCATAGTGAAAAATATTAACCCTTCCTTCATACTACATACCATTTTAGGTGAATTGAAGATTGGTATGAAAGAAAAAATAGAGTTTCTAAAAAAATAATGTTAGAAAGTATTTTTAAGACTTTTGGGTAGGCAAAAGTTTCTTAAGCAGAGCACAAAAAGCACTAGCCGTAAAAGAAAAGACTGAGAAATTGAGAAATTAGACCACATTAAAATTAAGAACTCCTGTTTATCACAAGACACAAGAAAGTGAAAGGCAAGTCTCAGAGCTATTATTTGCAATAAATATAACAAAGAAAGAATTCATATTGAGAGTATATCAAGAACTTAGAAAAATCAATTTTTTTCAAAAAGAAAACTTGATTTTAAGATAGGCAAATTTAGTCTTGCTAACTTTCAGGGAGACAGAAATTAAAGCTAAAATGACATACCACTGCATATCAAACAAAATGGTCAAAGTACAAAAGGACTCATATGTCAAGTATTGTAAATGATATGGACAGAGCAACTGGAACTCGAAGTCACTGCTAATGGGAGTGTAAATTGGCATAATCCCTTTGGAAAACTGTTTGCCAGTATCTATTAAGCCGTATGTATGCATATCATATCACCCAGCAATTCCATCTGTAGATCTGCGCCTGACAGCAGTATGTACAAATGTGAACTGAAAGACATTTACAAAGTGCTTATGGCACCGTTATTCTTAATAGCCTCAAATTGGAGAAAATTCAAGTGTCTATCAACAGTAGAACAAATATATTCTAGTATATTTATTCAATGTAACACTATGTAGCCATGAAATAAACATGTGTAGCAACACACCACATGGATGAATCTCTCAACACTATTGAGTGAAAGAAGCCAGACACAAACGAATATGTACTGTAAGATTCCGTTTATATATTTATATAATGTACAAGCAGAGTCAAAGCTAATCTACAGGGCTTAAACCTCAAGGTGTTATCTGTGCCCTCTTAGAAACTGGGCTGCACAGCAGGAAGTGAGTGGCAGGCGAGTGAGCATTACCGCCCGAGCTCCATCTCCTGTCAGATCAGCGGTGGCATCAGATTCTCATAGGAGTGTGAACCCTATTGTGAAACGTCCATGCGAGCTTTCATGCTCCTTAGGAGAATGATGATCTGGGCCAGGCGCGGTGGCTCACGCCTGTAATCCCAGCACTTTGGGAGGCCGAGGAGGGCAGATCACGACATCAGGAGATCAAGACTATCCTGGCCAACACGGTGAAACCCCATCTCTACTAAAAATACAAAGAATTAGCCGGGCATGGTGGCGGGTGCCTGTAGTCCCAGCTACTCGGGAGGCTGAGGCAGGAGAATGGCATGAACCAAGGAGGCAGAACTTGCAGTGAGCCGAGATTGCGTCAGTGCACTCTAGCCTGCGCGACAGAGCGAGACTCTGTCTAAAAAAAAAAAAAAGAAAGAAAAAAAAATTGATGATCTGATGATGATCTGAGGTAGAACAGTCTCATCCCCAAATCATCTTCCTCCTGCCCCGGTCCACAGAAAAATTGTCTTCCACGAAACCAGTCTCTGATGCCAAAAAGCTTGGGGACCGCTGCTCTAGTGATGATAAGAAGATGCTGCCCATTGTGATAATGGTCAGTAATGGTAATTACATTCATTTACATTTTGCATTCAATTATATTCTTTTTAAAAAATGTGCTACAGAAATATATACTTTTTTGAAAAAACGAGCCAATATTAAGGAAGTTATGTTAGTCCATTTTCTGTGGCTACAAGAGAATACCTGAGACTGAGTAATTTATAAAGAATAGAGATTTATTTAGCTCACATTTCTGGAGGCTGTGAAGTCCAAGATCAGGTGGCTGTATCTGGTGAGGGCCTCATGCTGCATCACAACATAGTGATGGCATCACACGACAGGAACACATGCAAGAACAGCAAGCAGGCACATGCAATGAAGACAAAACATGAAGGATGACCTTGATTTATAACAACTCACTCTCGGGTTGCTATTCCAGACCTACGCTCACTCAAAAGAGATGGGATTAATCTCTTCATAATGGCAGATCTCTTATGACCCAAACACCTCTTAAGGATCCCACCACCTCTCAACACTATTACATTGGGGATCAAGCCTCAATATGAATCTTGGTGTGGATGAAGCATATTAAATAATAGCAAAAGTAAATTTTTTCAAAAAAAATTTTGGAAAGACGCTATGCGTAAATTTTCTAAGCCTTGAAGGATTCTTTTTAAGTTTGAGTGAAAAATCTACATAAATTCTAAATTATTTCCTAGAGCAAAGATGGATGAATTCTTGGTGGAAAAGAAAAAACACAAAGACAAAAATAACCATGTCTTCTCACAGCTTTATTTTATATCTACTTTTCTTTTCATTCATTTTTAAATTAAACAGATTGTAATATTCATTTTCTATTATTTGTTTAGCAATTGCAAAATCAGATATGACAAAATCAACTAACAGCATAGTAAATGTATTTCCCTTATGCTTGTACACAAAAATCTGTTAGGTTTCTACTTTACTAGGTTTTTTTGGCATATTATTTAAATGTACCCTCACTCACAGGAGTCCTCTAGAGCTAAAACACATAATGATGTATGGTCTTTTCAGTTGATCCATTGAACATGATTACCATAGTCAACCAGAATTTTCTGGCAAGGTAAGTCAATTCTGTGTCAGAAGTGTATAACAAATTTCATTCCTTCCACTATTATAATTATAACAGAGTAAAGCTGAGAGAGTAGCAACATGGATGTCTCCCTGACATGAATGAGAGAAAGCTCTCTTTGACTTCTCCCTGTCGTCTTCCCTCAAAAGAGCCTTCAACTTTACATAAATCTTGCAAGAAGCAGTACTCTAGGGACAGTAATCCTTTCTGGGGTCTTTTTTTCCCCCAAGAACTTCAGAGAAGCTCTATTAGTAAAGAGGGTAACATTTATACAATGGCCCATATTCATCTCTTTATCCTTTGAAGATTGTGCCCCCAAATTTGCCCTTGAATCTAAGGCTTCTCTGTGACAGCACCTGTCACATAATTCTCCTCCAATTATTTCAAGTTGCCTAGGTGTCACATCTATTGAAGTTCATGATAACCACAGATATTATCTTGGTAATAAGAGTTTATTACTATGTTTACACATGAAACCCAGCTCATGTGGCCTTGGAAGAGTTGCTTAACATCCCTAAGCTTAAGTTTCCTTCTGTAAAATAAGGAAAATGATACATATTTCATCGAGCTGGAAGATTGAAGGTGATAATGCATAAAAAATACTGAGCATAAAGTATAGTAAGTATTCAATTTATATATTAGCTCTTATTATAATTAATAGGGATCTACTTAGGAAGATTTTTCTCTCTTCTGTATGTAATATCCACACTATTTTATATATATTTTTTTTTTTTTTTTTTTTTTTTTGAGACGGAGTCTCGCTCTGTCGCCCAGGCTGGAGTGCAGTGGCGGGATCTCGGCTCACTGCAAGCTCCGCCTCCCGGGTTCACGCCATTCTCCTGCCTCAGCCTCCCAAGTAGCTGGGACTACAGGCGCCCGCCACTACGCCCGGCTAATTTTTTGTATTTTTAGTAGAGACGGGGTTTCACCGTTTTAGCCGGGATGGTCTCGATCTCCTGACCTCGTGATCCGCCCGCCTCGGCCTCCCAAAGTGCTGGGATTACAGGCGTGAGCCACCGCGCCCGGCCACTATTTTATATTTTAAGGACACAGCTATATTGGTTGTTGCACCTATTTGTCTCCTGTAGTTCAATAAAGTAAATGTTTGAAGAATTAAAAACAATTTCCCTGAGAGACCACAATTCTCACACTTTGGAATTTATTCTCAATGACTCCTCATGACACTGCCAATTAGTATGCCCTTTATTACATTACCATTCTCTTTTGAATTCTCTAGAGGTTGTCCACACAAAATACTTTGAAAACTTTAGGAAAGTAAGTGTTGCAATGGTCAGAGTGATTGTGGAAAAAGGGCTACAGGGTGACTAATGAAAAGTTCAAGATAAATAGCTAGAATTTTTCTTTCCCTTTTCCTTTCAATCTGAATTTTTCAACTTTAAACATTTTCTTCAAATTTTCATTCTGTTAATAAAGTGAACTTTTAGACAATCAAACAGCTTACCTCATTCTATAAGAGTAACATTTAATAAAATGGCAATTAAACCTCTTTGCTGCTTAATTTACATATTAATTGACAATTATTATATTCACATTTTTGCCATTATTGATGCTACAAAATACTCTAACTCAACACAAACAATAATTACAACAGTTTACAATAACTACTCAGTTTTAATTGGGAATAAATGATGTTTATGTTCCTGAACTTGTGCTTTTAAAGAAAAGCCATATCAATAGCCAAACTATACAAGAGTTGACTCAGCTCAGCTTCAAACCACAAATATTGCATTAACTGACATTGATGATTTTAAAGAGGTTCTAGATAAGTGCGCTCATTTTACTCTTCTCTCCAGTGTCATTTGATTGGTCCCCCATTTACCCAATTAACAAGGTAACTCACATTGAATCCCATAATTGATTCAGGCCCTCAAATTAACCTCAATCCCCTATTCAACCCCATGGCCTTGGGTTTTCTCCACATAATTTCTCCAACACCTACTTTCCTAGTCCCTCTCTCATTTTGTCATCTGCTGCCCGCTCCCTTTGGCTTCCATTTCTCTTGCATTTGAATATCCTTCAAAAGTCCAAATGAACTAGTATCCCCTGCCTCATCATGAATGTTTTGTATAGATCACTGGACAACAGAACTCAGAGACTGAAGCATTTATGATCAGATTGTTCTGGCGGAGTGACTAAAGCATGTAATATTTGAGGGATTTCAGAAAGGACCTCACAGCAATATCAGTATCAAGTTGCTATTTTTGAATTTTGTGGTTGAAATATAAGTATTTCCACTGCCAGAGACCCAAGTTCCAATGCTTACTTGGTTGTTGATTATTTTATTTTTCTGACGTTTACTTTTCTCATTTGTAAACTAAGGAAAATAGACTATATGGTTTCTTTCAGCTTTAAAATACCATTCCAAAAGGTTAGAATTTATGGATCTGCTGTAAATCAAAATAATTTAATGTTTTAAATATTATTCAAGCTCTGTTAAATTTCTAGGAAGCTTTATTCTTTTATTAATCTCATCTCTACCCACATCAATTATGAAAAAGTCATGCCTACACTGAATACATTATTTCATTATGAGTTTTTAGAAGCATATATCTCCTACACAAAACAGCACACAGTACCATCTCTGAATGCTGAGTTCTCAGAGCACATATTGTAGCCATTTCATGATCTTTATAAAATAATTGTGCTCTAACACAAAAAGGCACAGCTATCTCAAGGTTAATCTAAAACTTTAGAGCAAGAGATCTCATTTCCTTTGTAAATAAGTCTATTTTTTGTGGAGTTGTTAGTCAATTTAAGCAACAAAGTGTGAAGATTGATTTAGGTGTACCTCAGGCCAGTGGTTTGCTGACTATGATCAATAATCACCCAGCCTATACTTCTAAATGTTCTTTTCTTTTTGAGTTATTCTTTTTTTAAGTTTTTTATTATACTTAAAGTTATAGGGTACATGTACACAACGTGCAGGTTTGTTACGTATACATACATGTGCCATGTTGGTGTGCTGCACTCATTAACTCATCATTTACATTAGGCATATCTCCTAATGCTATCCCTCCCCGCTCCCCCCACACCACAAAAGACCTCGGTGTGTAATGTTCACCTTCCTGTGTCCATGTGTTCTCATTGTTCAATTCCCACCTATGAGTGAGAACATGCGGTGTTTGGTTTTTTGTCCTTGTGATAGTTTGCTGAGAATGATGGTTTCCAGCTTCATCCATGTACCTACAAAGGACATGAACTCATCATTTTTATGGCTGCATAGTATTCCATGGTGTATATGTGCCACATTTACTTAATCCAGTCTATCATTGATGGACATTTGGGTTGGTTCCAAGTCTTTGCTATTCTGAGCAGTGCTGCAATAAACATACGTGTGCATGTGTCTTTATAGCAGCATGATTTATATTCCTTTGGGTATATACCCAGTAATGGGATGGCTGGGTCATATGGTATTTCTAGTTCTAGACCCCCAAGGAATTGCCACACTGTCTTCCACAATGGTTGAACTAGTTTACCGTCCCACCAACAGTGGAAAAGTGTTCCTATTTCTCCACATCCTCTCCAGCACCTGTTGTTTCCTGACTTTTTAATGATCGCCATTCTAACTGGTGTGAGATGGTATCTCATTGTGGTTTTGATTTGCATTTCTCTGATGGCCAGTGATGATGAGCATTTTTTCATGTGTCTGTTGGCTGCATAAATGTCTTCTTTTGAGAAGTGTCTGTTCATATCCTTTGCCCACTTTTTGATGGGGTTGTTTGTTTTCTTCTTGTAAATTCGTTTGAGTTCATCGTAGATTCTGGATATTAGCCCTTTGTCAGATGAGTAGGTTGCAAAAATTTTCTCCCATTCTTTAGGTTGCCTGTTCACTCTGATGGTAGTTTCTTTTGCTGTGCAGAAGCTCTTTAGTTTGATTAGATCCCATTTGTCAATTTTGGCATTTGTTGCCATTGCTTTTGGTGTTTTAGACATGAAGTCCTTGCCCATGCCTGTGTCCTGAATGGTAATGCCTAGGTTTTCTTCTAGGGTTTTTATGGTTTCAGGTCTAACATTTAAGTCTTTAATCCATCTTGAATTAATTTTTGTATAAGGAAGGGATCCAGTTTCAGCTTTCTACATATGGAAAGCCAGTTTTCCCAGCACCTTTTGTTAAATAGGGAATCCTTTCCAGGTTTCTTGTCTTGTCAGGTTTGTCAAAGATCAGATGGTTGTAGATGTGTGGTATTATTTCTGAGGGCCCTGTTCTGTTCTATTGGTCTATATCTCTGTTTTGGTACCAGTACCATGCTGTTTCAGTTACTGTAGACTTGTAGTATAATTTGAAGTCAGGTAGCATGATGCCTCCAGCTTTGTTCTTTTGGCTTAGGATTGACTTGGCAATGCGGGCTCTTTTTTGGTTCTATATGAACTTTAAAGTTGTTTTTTTCGAATTCTATGAAGAAAGTCATTGGTAGCTTGATGGGGATGGCATTGAATCTATAAATTGCCTTGGGCAGTATGGCCATTTTCACAATATTGATTCTTCCTATCCATGAGCATGGAAAGTTCTTCCATTTGTTTGTGTCCTCTTTTACTTCATTGAGCAGTGGTTTGTAGGTCTCCTTGAAGAGGTCCTTCACAGCCCTTGTAAGTTGGATGTTCTTTAAGCAATACGTTGACAGGCACCAGCCAGTAGGTAAAACTGAGGTTAAATTATATCTTCTATCAAAGATGTAAAAACCAAAGCCTCAAAGTAATATCTGACTTATAGTCTGCAATCAACAATATGGGAAAATTATATTTGATATATGATGAAATAAGACTGTTGATTGGGTAAAAAGATAAGTAGCATAAAGAGAAGAAAATACACATTAGAAACGATACCTATTTTTTGTTTGGGATGGTGAGATCTTATGCATCTTAGGTGATATTAAGAACTCATAATTACAATGCTAACTAGGAGTCTGTCTGTTTCCTAGACTGTCTTAACATTAACACCATCTCTTGCTTCAAAGAAACAGATTTGTTATACCTACCGTTGCTTGTTTTATACAGTCAACCTTGAATTACCTTAGAGAAACAACTGCACTTCTTTATCTCATTCTCTGAAGCTATTAAGTGATTTCATTGCACGAAACAATACTTTAAAGACTGAAAGTGTATGTTGTAGCAATCAATAGAGTTATTTAAAGAATGTGCTTTATTATTTGGTCTATATTCCTTAATGTGATATTATTACTGTAAACAAAGAAATCTTTAGATATAAGTAAAATCTTAATAATGATTAAAATAGCAAATATGAAGAGAAAAATAAATTTTGCCGATTCAAAGTTTCTATTTTAAGTTACCATTTTATTTTTTCTTAGTGAGTGACCTAGAATCTTCAAATTAATTTCAAATACACCCAATACTTGAGTATTATAGTATATTTGACAATTTATTCTAAAGAAGTCAAGGTTTTGAACTTTAATTTCTTTAATCCATTTACATATGTTCTGAAATGGCCTTTTAGGATAAAATGTTGATTAAAAATAACCAAAGCATAAAGATTCAATTCCATCCATTCATATCAAGGGCTACATTTTTTTCATTTATAAAATTGAGTCAGATGGTCAACAAGATCTATTTGGCCTACATTTCATGTAATATCTTGAACACAATGTAAGAATGTGTTCATTAACTTGTTCTTTCAAATATTTAATTCTCTCAGCAGGGAAGGAGTCTATATCATGTCCTCCAAGGACACAGGAATAAATAATAGAAAGATCTTGGATACACACAAAACTTAAATACAGAGAAAGAAAAAGCTTTCTGAACAAGTAGAGGATTTCTAAAGATTGCAATCTGGCCATAGCAAATGAACAGTTGCCCCCATTAGTTAAAATGCTATGCTATGTAATTAGACCTTTGGGAATCCTCCTCACTTGTGTTGCTCTTTGAATCAGAGATGCCAGCTTCTTTTGAGAAATTCACCTCCTGGCATCACAGCACAAAAGTAGCTCAGATTAGTCACATAGGGAGTCTAGTCATAAAAGAAAATGAGGGGTTAAAAACTTATAAAAATCAAGTCATAAAAGAAGGTAATATGCTTTGGCTCTATGTCTCCCACCCAAATCTCATGTCAAATTGTAATTCCCCATGATGGTGGAGGGACCAGGTGGAAGGTGATCGGAGCATGGGGGTGGATTTTCTCCTTGCTGTTCTTGTGATAGTGAATGAGCTCTCACAAGATCTGTTTTTTTAAAAATATGTGGCACTTTCCCCATCACTCTCTCTCTCCTGCTCTGCCATGGTAAGATGTGCTTGCTTCCCCTTTGTCTTCTACCATGATTTTAAGTTTCCTGAGGCCTCCCAGCTGTGCTTCCTATACAGCCTGTGGAATTACTCAGTCTCAGGTAGTTCTTTATAGCAGTGTGAGAATATACTAATAAAGATAATTGTTACCAAAGAAGTGAGGCATTGCTATAAAGATACCTGAAACTGTGGAAATGACTTTGGAACTGGGTAATGGGCAGAGGCTGGAACAGATTGGAAGGATCAGAAGTACACAGGAAGGTGAAAAAAAGTTTGGAACTTCCTAGAGACTTGTTGAATGGTTGTGACCAAAATGCTGATAGTGAAATGGACAGTGAAGTCCAGGCTGAGGTAGTTTCAGATGGAGATGAGGAACTGATTGGGAACTGGAGTAAAGGTCAGTCTTGCTATGCTTTAGCAAAAAGACTTGTGGTATTGTGTTCCTGCTCTAGCAATCTGTGGAACTTTGAATTTGAGAAAGATGATTTAGTGTATCTGGGGGAAGAAATTTCTAAGCAGAAGAGCATTCAACATGTAGCCTGGCTGCTTTTAAAAACTTACACTCATTTGCATAAGCAAATGTTTAAAAGGGAAGCAAATGGGAAAAGTTTGAAAAATGTGTAGCCTGAATATGTAGTAGAAAAGAAAAACCCATCCTGGGGAGAAATTCAAGCTGGCTTTAGAAATTTGCATAAATAAAGAGGAGCTGAATGTTAATTGCCAAGACAATGGGGAAAATCACTCCAGGACAGTTCAGAGACTTTCACAGCAGCCCTCCCATCACAGGCCTGGAGACCTAGGAGGGAAAAATGCTTTTGTGGGCAGGGCTTAGGGTCCTGCTGCTCTGTGCAGCCTCAGGTTATGGAACCCTGCATCCCAGCCACTCCAGCTCCAGCTGTGGCTAAAAGGGGCCAAGGTACAGTTTGGGCCATTGCTTCAGAGGGTGCAAGCCTCAAGCCTTGGCAGATTCCACATGGTATTGAACCTGCAGGTACACAGAAGGGAAGAGTTGAGGTTTGGGAGCCTCGGCCTAGATTTCAGAGGATGTATTAAAACGCCTATTGCAGGCAGACTTCTCCTCATGGAGAAACTCTACTGGGGCAGTGCAGAGGAGAAATGTGGGGTTGGAGCCACCACACAGAGTCCCCAGTGGGGCACTCCCTAGTGCAGCTGTAAGAAGAAGGCCACCGTCCTCCAGACCCCAGAATAGTAGGTCCAATGACAGCTTACACCATGCTCCTGGAAAAGCTACAGGCAGTCAACATCAGCCTGTGAAAGCAGCCACAGGGGCTGTACCCTGCAGAGCCATAAAGGCAGAGCTTCACAAGGCTTTGGGAGTCTACCCCTTGCATGAGTGTGCCCTTGATGTGAGACATGGAGTTAAAGGAGATTATTTTGGAGCTTTAAGATTTATGACTGCCCTGCTGGGTTTGGGACTTGCGTGGGGCCTGTAACCCCTTTGTTTTGTCCAATTTCTCCCTTTTGGAATGGGAGCATTTACCCAATGCCTGTACTCCCATTGTATTTTGGAAGTAACTAACTTGTTTTTATTTTACAAGCTCATAGGCAGAAGGGATTTGCCTTGTCTAAGATAACCCTTTGGACTTGGTCTTTTGAGTTAACACTCAAATGAGCTAAGACTTGGGGGACTGTTGAGAAGTCTTGCTGCTTTTGTTTTGAAATGTGAGAAGAACATGAGATTTAGGTGGGGCCAGGGACAGAATTACACAGTTTGGTTCTATGTCCTTACCCAAATCTCAAGCCAATTTGTAGTTCCAAGTTTTGGGGGAGGGACATGGTGGGATGTGATTGGATCACGGGAGTGGATTTTCCACATGCGGTTCTCATGATGGTGAGTGAGTTCCCATGAGATCTGATTGCTGAAAAGTGTGTAGCACTTTCCCCTTCACTCTCTCTCTCTCCTGCTCCACTATGGTAAGATGTATTTGCTTCCCCTTCACCTTCTGCCATGATCATAAGTTTCCTGAGGCCTCTCAGCCATGCTTCCTGTACAGCCTGTGGAACTGTGAGTCAATTAAACCTCTTTTCTTCATAAATTACCCAGTCTCAGGTAGATCTTTATAGCAATGTGAGAACGGACTAATACAGAAGGCTTGTTTTGAGATCTAATTATGTGATGTTACAAACTACTACATTGTTTAAATCTTCTAAGAGGAATTAATGTCTAAAATTACTCTCCTTGACCATTGCAAAAGAGCATCTGAGTGAATGGGTATGTGGATGCTGAGTTCAGTCCCACATTCTACTTACTAAGACATGGCCCATGAGGGTGAGTTTTTCCAAATAGGCCACCTTTTTCTACTTTTCACAAAAGAACAATATGAACTAGGTAGACCTTTGTTTACTATAAACTAAGAAACAGATCCTACAAGCCTAGAAGATTCTATGAAGTATGATGCTAATCCAAAAAGGGAAACCATATATGTCAATAACTCTTTCAAGGACATAAAGAATCCAGGAGTGAGACTACTTTCTGGTTCCAACCTAAAGACCAGAAAAGTAATAAGACAAGCATGCTGAGTACAGAATTTGTGAAGGTGCTGCAGAACTATGTTGAGCTTCCGTTATTGGTTCTGGGCTTCCTCTTGCCCAGTGAATGAGAAGCCATGACCAGAGGTCATCAAACAATAACTGGAGCACATTTTTATTTGCATGGCATTATAAATTCATAGAATGCTTTATTTTAGTGTATCAAACCAATGAAAAACTAATGAATGTTAAAATATATAAGCACACATGTTATTTTCTGATTTTTTTATGTTAATAGAAATTCTAATGGGTGTGAGGTGATATCTCATTGTGGTTTTGCTCAGCATTTTCTTAATGATTAACAATATTGAGCATCTTCTTATATACTTTTGGCCATAGGTATATCATCTTTGGAGAAATCTCTATTCAAGTTCTTTTCCCATTATTTAATTGCTTTTTTTTTTTTGCTGTTGTGAGTTACTGGAGTTTTTCATCTAATCTGGGTATTAACTACTTATTAGATATATGAGTGTCAAGAAGATATTGTACACCCATGTTCATAACAGCATTATTCACAAAAACCAAGAGGCGGAAACAACCCAAGTGCCCATCAATAGATAAATGGATAAAAGCTGGTATATATGAGATACCATTCAGGTTACAACATGAATGAACTTGAGGATCTTGTGCTAAGTGAAGTAAGTCCATCACAAAAGAAATGAATTTGTATGATTCCACTTATATGAGGGATCTAAAATAGTCCCCTTCATAGAAATAGAAAGTAGAATGGTTGTTGCGGGGGGGTGGGAGAAGGAAGAAATGGGGATTACTGTACACTTAAGAATGGTTAATGAGGCAAATTTTATATGTTCTTTACCACAATTAAAAGTTTTAAAAACATATAAATAATAGAATGTTGAACAATTGTTTGCGTTTAGTCAAGATTAGTGCTTAGATGTTTCAGAGAGTGGGACTCCACTATATTGTGACAGAGTGAGCACTGTGTGTGACCAACTCTTAATCAGAGGCCTCCTATTTGCTCTCCTACTAATAAAATACAGAGAAGACTTCAGGGCATAAATCTTACTAGATGAATACTTATTCTTCAGACCATTTTCCCAAGTGTGGATTGTGACCCTCTAAAGAAGGATTTAAAGAGCAAGTAGAGGCCAGGGGTCCTGGGAAAACTATCACCTTATTTCCTCGCTTCCCCTGGTCCCAGCCTCCCTGAGAGATGCACTAGGATGCAGCACATGTGGTGGGTGTAGCTTGGACGCATGCCTCAGAGCCTGTGAGAATCCCCACTCTGCCATTTCTAGCAGTATGACTTTAGGTATATTCACTTTGCTTAGCCTCATTTTCATTACCTGTAAAATGGGGATAGGTTCTCAATATTGAAGTAAGATGAGGCATGGGAAGCTCTAATTTAGACTAGACTAAAAAGAGTAATGTGGAAAATAAGAAATTACTGGCCAGAATTGACAGCTTTCTGATGTATACTTGCATGAACATGAGATGACAAGTGTCCACAAATACAGTAGTATGATGTGAATTAGAAATCTATTTTCAGGGGCGTGGCTTTCAACTGTGCCTTAAAACTTGGAAGCCATCCACAATAGTGCTATCTCAAAAGAAAACTTGACAAATAAGAACTCTCATGACTGAGATTATAATGAAGAAGAAATGTGAGATTATAAATTCCAAATGAGATTATTACTTTTCCTGATTTGGTCATTTTTGTCATGTAGATGTAGCAGGCATCAGGATGCAAAACTGTCTTGTGGGTGTGATTTGGGAAAACTGGTCCAAAGTGCATTTTGACATGAGAGAATGTCATATTCTAGATGCTATTAGTAACTCTTTTGAAATCTCAGTATGTAACTGTACATGCCCTTCAGATTGGAGTCAAACAGTTTGTGTTTCTGTAGAGTTTTATTGCTTTGATGGGAAAAAGGTATAAAAACTGGATTACTTTGCCAGGTGAAATGGATTCTAGGTGGATGGGGGTGGATAATCAATTAAGTGCTTATATTGATTATGAAAGTGTCAGTCAACGAGGTTATTGGTAGAAAGAACAGAGTTCATTGTTGTATGTCACAGAAATTTTTTTAAATGAACTTTTAGCATAGATCTTTAAGCATGATTCCCAGCAGAATAATGATGAAACACTGTAGTTCATTTGGCTTGCTCCGGCAGAGGATCTCTATCCAAAGTTGATAGGAAATAACATGTTTGAGATTTGGGGCATTCCCTCAGTCCATATTAATTATTTTATGATGATCAGCAGGCCAGTTATAAAATAAAAACAATGGTTTCAAGCCTTTGCATAGCTGGGTTTCTTTCTTCTGGTAAAAGTACTTGGTTCTATTTCTACAGAATAAAGATCTAAATAGTCTATGAAATCAATTGTTTTTGATCTTCCATTATCATTGTAATTTATTATTTTTAAAGTCATGAGATATTTAATCAACTTTTTAAAGTGATGGATACAATCTTCCAGTACATTGGTTTACTTTGAAGTTTTAGGTCTTTGTACATTATCAAATTCAAAATCATTGTTTGAATCAAAAAAACATAGATGATTAGGCAAAGCTTATTTTTCCCATTTTGTTCATTCAGTCAATATGATAGGCAGAGTAATGCCCCACCCCAAGAGGTCTGCATCCCAACCCCCAGAACCTGTGAATATGTTGTTACGTGGCAGAGGGGAAGTAAGGCTGAAGATGAAATTGAGGTTGCTAATCAGCTGACCTTGAGAAGGGGGGATTATCCTGGATTATCTAGGTGGGCCCAATGTAACCACAGGGTCCCTAATGTGGAAGAGGGAGGCCAAAGGAGAGAATCATAGAGATGACATCATGAAAAGACTCAGTCTGATGTTGTGACTGTGAAGATGGAGAAAGAGGCCATAAACCAAGAAATGTGAGTGACCTATAGAATTTGGAAAAGGCAAGAAACAGAACCTCCCCTGGAGTCTCCAGAAAGAACCCAGCCATACCAACAATTATTTTTGCCCAGTGAGACCCATTTTGGACTTCTGACCTCCAGAAATTTAAGATAAATTCTTGTTTTATTCCACTAAGTTCATGGTAATTTGTTATAGCAACAACCAAAAAAAACTAATACAGTCAATTCATTGTTTTTGTTTTTAATCTTCATAGGTACATGACAGTTGTACATATTTATGGGATACATGCGATATTTTGATCAAGCATGCCATGTGTAAGGATCAAATCTTGGTAATTAGGATTTTCATCACCTCAAACATTTATGATCATTTCTTTGTGTTGAGAACATTCCAAATCTACTTTTATAGTTATTTATTTTGAAATATACAAAATAAATTATTGTTAAGTATACTCACCCTATCTACTCTGGACCCAAGGAGATGGGGTTCCTTTGGGTTTCAGAAAAAACTTTGAGAGCAGGATCTGATCTCTAAGAAAAGGCTGTGGAGCCCAAAAAGAAATTTGAGGTCTCTTGGAGATGCCATGTAGTTCTATGGCCTACTGTCCTTAAAAATCCTTCTCATCTCTATTCACCTTTTTAATGCTTTCAGGAATCAATTTCCTCCTTCAGGAAACTGGCATTTTCTGTAGAGAAATTTTTCTATGCAAATACTTGTCTTTACAGAAGTAAATGAAGTTAAAAATATGGAACTTTAGGTATCTAAGTAATTAGACTTGGTCTTTTGTTCTTTAGCATCTTTTAAATGAATATAAAACTGATTTTGTATCATTCAAAAACATTTATTTTACTTTAAAGAATCAGATAAAGTATGCTCCATAGAATTTCAATCATCCCGCTTTTTTTTTTACTGTATGACCTGGAAATATGAGATAACCTCCTCTCCACCAAACACCTCACAGGTACTCCAGTGCATAAGGAGTCCTCTGCCTCTTAGTCAAGGAAAATGTTAACTTGCAGTAATGACTACATTATTGGGAAGCTCACTGAAAGAGGATCTTACGAACCATTAAATGTAGCACAATAAAGGTGAAAACTACCTTATACTCATCATGTAACAGTCAAAATTTCGCATAAGCTGTATTTTTATGATGTCCTACTATAAACATGGCTTAATGTACCTTTACTTATAATTGTGTTTGTCTAAAACTTCATCACGATTTTTGGTTTTTTTTTCTTGTATTGTTTTTCCGTTTTTTCTTTTTGCTTTTATTTTTAAAGGATAGAAATATTTTAAGAAATGTGTTCAGACAGCAGGATGTAGTAGAAAGAACACTTGCTTTGGAACCAGAAATCCACAGTGACAATATGACACCTGGCACTGACCGAGAAACCCTAGACAAGTTCATGAAATGATTTCTACCTCAATTATTTCCCCCAAAAGTGGGCACTTTGCAGGGTTATCCTAAAAACTATATGAAATATATAAATACCCATGTGCAACTGGAGAAGATATTTACTAATCATGTCTGCTAAGGGGTTAATATCAGAATATATAAAGAATTCCTACAACTCAGCAACACATCCAGTCAAAAGATGGTCAAAGAACTTGCATAAACCTTCTCCAAAAATGAAATACAGGTAGCCAAGAAACAAGAAAAGATGCTCAACATCACTAGTCATTAGGAAATGCAAATCCAAACCACATTAGGGTGGCTACTGGGCCAGGTATGGTGGCTCACGCCTGTAATCCCAGCACTTTGGGAGGCTGAGGCGGGTGGATCACTTGAGGTCAGGAGTTCAAGACCAGCCTGGCCAAAATGGTGGAACCCCCGTCTCTACTAATAATACAAAAATTGGCGGGGTGTGGTGGCATCTGTGTGTAATCCCAGCTACTCAGGAGGCTGAGGCAGGAGAATTGCTGGAACCTGGGAGGCAGAGGTTACAGTGAGCTAGAGATAGTGCCACTGCACAAAAAAAAAAAAAAAAAAAAAAAAAAACCAAGGCGGGGGGGATGTCTACTATATTAATCCATTAGTGCTGCTATAACAAAATACCACAAATAGGATAATTTATGAAGAACATATTTATTTCTTACAGTTCTGGAGGCTGGAAATTCCAACATCAAGGCACCGATATTCAGTGTCTGGTGAGTGCTCATTCTCTATGCTGCTAAGATGACCCCTTGGTGCTGCATCTTCCAGAGGGGATGAACATTGTGTCCTCACATGGCAGAAGAAGGAAGGGCAACAGGGCCTAAGTAGTTTTCTCCTACCCTTTATAAGGCACTAATCCATCCATGAAGGTGAAGCCCTCATGACTTAATCACTTTCAAAAAGGCCCCACCTCTTAATATCATCACACTGGGGATTAAGTTTTAATCTTAATTTTGGAAGGGACACATTCAAATAAGAGCAGATACTATCAGAAAAAATATATATATAAAAATAAAAACTACACACAAACCAGAAAATAAATATTGGCAAAGATGTAAGGAAATTCAAACCCTTGTGTCCTGCTAGTGGGAACATAAAATGATGCAGCCACTGTGGAACAGTATGGCAGTTTCATAAACATTAAGTATAGAATTACCATGCAATCCAGCTTTTCCACTTCTGGTATATATCCAAAAGAATTAAAAGCAGGGTTTCAAGAAGGTATTGCACATCCATGTTCATTATAGCATTATTCCCAATAACCAAAAAGTGGAAGCAACCCACCTGTCCGTTAATGGAAGAATGAATAAACAAAATGTTGTAAATTCTTCTTTATAAAGGAAAGAAATTCTAACATACACTACAACATGGATGAATCTTGAGGTCATTAGGCTAAATGAAATAGTCACAGAAAGACAAATTCTGTATGATTCCACTCTATGAGGTATCTACAAGAGTCAAATTCACAGAAACGGAAAGTAAAACGGTGGTTGTCAGGGGCTTGGGGAGGGAGAAATGGGAAGTTGTTTAATGGCTATAGAGTTTTATTTTAGGAAGATGAAAAAGTTCTGGAGATTGCTTGCATAATGATGTAAGTATACTTAACAGTACTGAACTATACATATAAAAATGGTTAAGATGGTTAATTTTGTTATGTATATTTTGTCACCATTTTTAAAAACTCATAACATGTAGGAAGTTCTGATTTAATGCTGAGTGGATGGATGGGTAGGTGAAATCTTATGGGGCAGTGAAAAGGTCATTGCATTCAGGTGACCTTGTCCTATCCTACTAATTGTGTGACTCTCAGCCTCTCAGAAACTCAGCTCTCTTCTCTTCAAAAGAGAAACAATAACACCCGCGTCCTCATAGGCTTATTGTGAGGCTTGCCTTCAGTAAGCCATGTATGTGAAAGCATGACACCTTGCATAATTGAATAAGAGTCTAGGTAGTAAAATATTATAATTATTTGGTCAACATACATGCGCATGCACGCACACACACACACACCCCACACAGAAAGAGAGAGAGAGAGAGCCTTTCACCCAAGGTTACATTTTTCAATAAGTATCACATCTGCTGTCAATATCACTTAACTAATTAGGGCCCAGGGTTCTAAATCACAATTTCAGAATGGGTTATAAATACAGAGAAGTGTCTTAGTATGCTCAGCAGTTTTTAATCTTTCACAAGAGATTATGAAACAACCTTGTGTACAATCGAAAAAGACATAAATCTCTTGTTCTGCTGTAAAATTATTTATAATAGTCTTTCTTTTTTTTCTTCCTATTAGTCTTTCCCTATCTTCTGTTGAATTCTGAAATAAATGTGTCCTCCAATTTGTTGGGGGAACATAAACTCAGATTTCATCTCTCATGGCTCTGGGAAGGAAGTGGGTTTTAATTTAAAGCAAAGCTCATGTATGTAGCAATATATCGACTTTGTTTTTTTTTCACCTTTCTTAAAGGAAAAATAGGAAATTAAGTGTATCGTGGTAGAACAATTTGGTTGATAAGGTAACATTAAGCGGAAGTTTGGGGTTCATTTCATTTTACTCACTGACCACTGCTGATGCAAAAGAGGGTAAGTGCC